>NC_000007.14:123756779-124381779 GCF_000001405.40 Homo sapiens | reverse complement strand
TCTTGTACTTAAATATTAATATCCTTCTTTAGGTTTGTACATTTCTCTGTTATTATCTCTTTGAATAAACTTTCTCTCCCATCTGTCTCTCTATCTCCTCTTTAAGGCAAATACCTTTTAGATTTGTCCTTTTGAGGCTGTTTTCTATATCTTATAGGCATCCTTTATTATTTTTTTATTTTGTCTCCTCTGACTATATATTTTCAAATATCCTGTCTTCAGGCTCACTGATTCTTTCCTCTGCTTCATCAGTTCTGATGTTGAGACTCTGATGTATTATTCTTTATTAAGTCAGTTGCACTTTTCAACTCCATAATTTCTGTTTGATTTTTTTCAATTATTTCAATCTCTTGTTAAACTTTTCCAATAGGATTCTGATTTCTTTCTAACTGTGTTATCTTGAATTTGAATAAGTTTCCTCAAAATAGCTATTTTGAATTTTTTGTCTGAACAGTCACATATCTCTGTCTCTCCTGGACTAGTCACTGGTGTTTTATTCAGTTTTTTTGGTCAGGTCTTGTTTTCCTGGATGGTCTTGATGTTTGCAAATGTTCATTGGTGGCTGGGCATTGAGAAGTTAAGTATTTATTGTAGTCTTTGCACACTGGGCTTGTTTGTACACATCTTTATCAGGAAGAATTTCCCGGTATTTGAAGGACTTGAGTGTTGTGATCTAAGTTTTTGGTCACTGCAGCCATATCCACACTAGTGGACACCCCAAGTCCAGTTACACTGTGGCTCTTGCAGACTCATAGAAGTATTGCCCATGGTGGTCTTAGATAAGATATGGAAGAACTATCTGGATTACCAGTCAGAGACTCTTGTTCTCTTCCCTTACTTTCACCCCCAAATGGAGTCTCTGTCCCTGTGTTGAGCTGCCTGAAGGTGGGGAAGGGGTGACACAAGCTCCCTTGTGGCCACTACCACTATGACTACACTGTGTCAAACCTGAAGCCAGCACAGCACTGGATGTCCCCCATGCCCTGTTGTAACCACTACCTGGCTACCCTCTATGTTCACTCAAGGCTCTGGGGCTCTACAATCAGCAGGTGGTGAAGCCAGCCAGCCTTGTGTCCTTCCCTGCAGGCTTCAAGTTCCCTTCAATCCCAGGTTCATCCAGAGATGCAGTCCAGGAGCCAGAGCTTGGAGGAAGAAAACTTAGGAATCTACTTTGTGCTCTATTCTACTGTGGCCTAGCTGGCACTCAAGTGACAAGATAAAGTGCTTTCCCCCGGTTCCCTTCCTCCACTTTCCACAAGCAGAGGCGTCTTCCCTTATAAGCACCACTACCTCAGGCCCATGGCAAATACTGCCTGGATGCTGCTGATGCTTATTCAAGGTCCAAGGGCTCTTTAGTTAGCTTCTGGTGAATGCTGCCAGGCTTGGGACTGTTACTTCAGGGAAATGGACTTCACTCTGGCCCAGGGCAGGTCCAGCAATGACATCTAAGAACGATGGCCTTGAATTTGTGACCCCAAGAGCCTACTTTGTGCTCTACTCCACTGTGTCTGAACTGGTACCTAAGCTGCAAGATAAAGTCATCTTTATGCTTCCTTCTCCTTTTCTCAAGCAAAAGGAGTCCATCTTACAGCCACCACAGTTGGGTGGAAGCCACCACAGTTGGGAATATGCTTCATCACACTTGAAGCCAGTATGTTTATGAGTCTCACCCAAGACCCACAGCAAGAACTGCCTAGGTACCCACACTGATTATTAAGGACCCAAGGGTTCATTAGTCAGCAGATAATGAATCCTGCCGAAATTAGGTCCATCCTTTCAAGACAGTGGGTGCCCTTCTGGCCCATGGTGTATCTAGAAATGTTGTAAAGGAGTTGGACCTCTGGACTCTGTCTAGTACCCTATTCTACTATGGCTGAGCTGGTATCCCAGTTGCAAGACAAAGTCCTCTTTACCCTCCTCTCTCCTCTTCCCAGGTGGAGAGAAGTGTCTCTCAGTGCCATGGCTGTGCTGCCTGTGGCTGGGGAAGGAGTGGCTGTCGCAGCTGGTGTCTCATTAGGTCGTGTGTTCCTCCAAGTCCATTGGCTCTGAGCTCAGCACAGCACCAGGATTTGCCCAGGAATTGCAGTCTTTGTGGCTTATACTGCCTTTTAAGCTTATTTAGAACTCCAGAGCTGTTTGACCTGTGGTGCTGAGGCTTCCTGGAACTTAGGTTCTGACTGCTGGGATGGGCAATTCCCATCTGGCTAGGGATGGTCTGAATGCTCCCTTCTGGCTACCATCTGAGTTCTGCCCAGTGTATCTTGCTGTTATGACAGAGAAGCAACACTAAGTCCCAATGCAAGGTCCCATGATCACTGTGGTCTCACTCCCCAAAGTGCACAGATTATCTCTCCAGGCCACACAGCCTCTGCTGGGGGTGGGGAGGTATGGTGTCAGCAGTTCATGACTGTGTTTCCTACCCGCTTCAGTGCAGCTTTCAGTGATGTGCAGTGAAAACCAAGTACTGTGATCACTCACCCAGTGTTTTGTTCTTGTGAAAATGTTTTTGTGTGTGGTTGCTCAATTTGGTGTTTTTGAGAGGCAGACGATCAGTGAAAGCTTCTATTTAACCATTTGGCTCCACCTCCACCCCCCTTCCTGGTTTTAATACACTTCTCAGGCTAATTCTAAATGAAAGTTTCTCAGCAAAAGTAGTACTTTGTTCCTAGGGGGTATTGTGGAAATTTATGTTTTTTGGTTGTCACAATGATTAGGGAAGCAACACTTAATTAATGGGAGAATGCCAAAGGTGCTAAATAATGAATAGCACATCATAGTATTTAAAATAAATAAATAGATATAAAAAGATTATCACACACCAGCACCTATACACAACCTTAAAATATCCCACTGAGCTTTAACATATATGTAAAACCTGCTCAGAATTTTGGCCACTTACAATATATCTTTGTTTAACATATAACGCAAAGATTTTCTACATGACTTTAATTAATAGTAAATTTTCTAAGAACAGGAACTCTTTCCAACTTGAAGGAAGATTTTTGGTATTTTGTTTGAAACTTTATTAGGTGTTATTCAATGTGTTGGAAAACCACATTACGAACCACACCACCAATCTATATTTGAGTCACTAATGAAATGTTTACTCTCTCACTCTGTCTTCGTAGCCATCACATTCTGTTAATTTTGTATATCATAAGAGTCTAACTGCTTTGTTGTCTCTTCTTGTGTTGTCATGCCTGAACACTAACATACACACATATATCATTTTGTAATAAATAATTGCTTCTATATTTTTCTATTTTATTATTCTTGTACAATTTTAAAAATTATTCATGCATGTTCATTATATTGTCCATAAGTTTTATTTTAGGAGAGTAAAGCACTACAAAATATTTGTTATATGAGCAGGACATTGGGCCTAATAAGGTCAAGAGTCACTAAATACAATGACAATGGAAGGATTGAACCTTCTTGGAGCTTATGAGGTCAACATTTTGCCCTCACAGTTATGACTTTTCTAACACAGGGATAACCCGGAAAGCTTGTGTTGCATGTGGTGGCTAAGGAGAATAGGAATCTAAGGTATGATTATTGTTAGTCCTGGTAGTTTCTATAGGGAATGTGGATATAAATACAAATTATAAGCTTACAGGGTTGATCTTTCAGCAAGTTAGCAATGGGGGTCTGGTAGTATTGGGAAAAAAATAGAGTGTATTGACAGAAGCACCACAAGCTCTCTGGGTTTCTTATACAGACCTTTTAAGGGCGGTAAGGAGGTAGAGTAAAAGAGCCACAAAAATTATATCTAACGTCTCTTCTGTCGTTTTGTTCATGCTTTATAGTTTTCAGAATTTCCTATTACTGTCTGCTTATTGTTCTTTGTTTGTTTATTATCCATCTAGCTAGCTAGCTAGATGGTTTTGCTGTTAACTTTTCCAGCAATAGTCTCAGTACAAAATATTTTTTAAATTGACGTATCCACTTTTTAAGATATTTTTGTGTTATGTGACTGGAATCACATTTTGAAGGCAAGTCTTAAAAAATCTTTTAAAAGTAGCATGTAGGTGGTATACTTTACAGTCTACATATCAAAGGTGTCTGTTTTCTTTACTCATAAAAGACAACTTAGTAGATATAAAATTCTTAAGATACAAACTTAAAAATACAAGCATTAAGATGTATTTACATGCATCTCCACTGACTTAAGATATGTATTTGGGGAAAAGATGTGTTTGATGGATAATTCTGATTTTATTTAACCTTAGAATTTAATGTTTAATATGAGATGTGCCAGGATGCTTTTGATGAGATTGTCTCGAATGTTCTCAATATTTTTGATATATTTTTACTTCAGAAAAATGTATTTGAATTATATTTTGTTGTTCTTTCCCTATTGCTCAAAAAGTCTACTTTAAACCAATCTATAATGCTGAAGTTGTATTTTCATTTTCCGTTTTTCTCATATCTTATGTTTTCCCTCTTTCTTTTTTTTTTTTTTTTTTTGAGAGAGAGTCTCACTCTGTCACCAAGGCTGGAGTGCAGTGGCAACATGTTAGCTCACTGCAACCTCTATCTCCTGGGTTCAAGTGATTCTAATGCCTCAGACTCCTGAGCAGCTGGGGTTACAGATGTGCACCACCATGCCTGGGTAAGTTTTGTATTTTCAGTGGAGTTGGGGTTTCACCATGTTGGCCAGGCTGGTCTTGAACTCCTGGCCTCATGTTATCCGCTGCCTAGGCCTCCCAAAGTGTTGGGATTACAGGCGTGAGCCACTGTGTCCAGCCAGATCATAAATTTTATCTTTTGAACTTTTCTTCTGCGTTCTAGAACAGCTCCTCAGATCTCATCCTGTTACTCTCCATGTCAATTCTAATTTGTATGTCTCTGATACAGATTTTTAAATTCTGTCATTATGATTTTATTTTCCTTGTCATTCTTATTTATTGTTTCTTTATTGTTATTCTTCTTTATTTACCTTGCATAACTTTATTTCTCATGCTCTTGTCCATTTTTCTCAGCCTTGAGAATTTCTGCCACTATTTAATAAAAAGCTTCATTGTTTTTCATTGGTAACAATCAACAACTTTTCTAAGCTTTCTTTTGAACCCTGAGATCATTATTTCCTGGGGATTGCTTTTTCTCTGATGTTTGATGATACTTTAACTTCTTTGTTTGGGAGCATTCTTCTTTGCTCTTTTTCTTTTTCTGTTGTGTCTTTGGATTTTCCTTACTGCCAAGGTGGTGCTTTCTGGATCCCTCTTTTAGATATATAAAAGCATACATGTAAATAGTTTCTATTTTAATTCCTAATGTCTGGAAAGCTTTCATTTACTACTTGAGATCATTTTCTACACGTTTCCTAGTGCTTTGACACCACAAAAGATACAATACATGAAACTCTTGTTTCCTCAAAACTCACCACTTACAGAGCAACCTCTTGGGTGTCAGGCAGTATGCTACTTCAATTACAACATACTTCTCGCACACTCGTTTTCTGGAAAGAGAGAGAGATGCACAGATGATGAACAGCCCTCTAACTACCCACAGAAACCTTCATCATGCAATAGAAGAAAGGCTGCCAAGTTTTCTATTTCGAACAGTCCTTTTTTCTTTTTCTTATTTAAGAGTCAGACAGTGGCCCAGAGATGATAAAAAGTACATTTCTATGGCCAGGTTTTCTCTATTCTAGACAAAAAATATGAATGGACCACTGAGTGGATATTTCATTTCTATCCAATCAGCCATAATTAGTAAAAATCCTACCACATTTTCACAATAACTTTAATGTCACTCAATGTTATATCACTCAATTTGTCAATGAAATTTTCAATGTAGTAAATTTGCATTTTTTGTTTTTATAGGAAAAGTGTTAAAGCAGTGAATACAGGATATTATTGCACAAATGCCAGAGGTCATAAGGGTCTGGGTACAGGCTGTGGCTATATACCTTTTGTTGTTGAAGATGGGAGATAGTGATTTAGATTTTCACATGCAAACTTTGAGGTCTTATGAAAACCAGCTAAAAGATTAGGCAGTTTGATCTATGTGACTATACCAGAGGAAATGCTGACATTGGAGTTGTGGAGTTAGAAGTTTTGGTGTGTATGTCACATTTAAATCTCTAGGGCTAAGTACAAAAAGCCCGTGACGTACAAATCTTTAATTTATCAAGAAGAAAGTGGAAACAGAAGCAAGAGTAAGTTGTGTGATATAATCTAAGATAAAAGATATCTTCAGAAAGAACATATTTTCAACAAAGTCAAGAGCTGAAGAGAGGTGAAACAAGGATGAACCCGAGAGGGCTGACCTTTTAAAAATCTCAGTAATGTTTTAGAGATGAGTATAAGAGGAGAAGCGGATTCTAAGCCCATAAATCCATAATGCAGTGAACTGATGAGTGAATGAAAAGTGAGGCCATGACTGTTAAATACAATTGCAAAAAATATGTCTTTGATGGAGGAGGACGAATAGGGTAGAAGTTTGTAGGGGAAGGATTGTCAAGAGGCTTTTTTAAAAACATAAAAAAACCTTCACAGTTCATAAAATTGAATTCACCCAAAAGGTTGAAAAGTAAAATAATTGAGTCTATTGTTCTTAAAGTCTGTTTTTCCTATTAAAGGAAACAAAGCCTTTGGCAGAATTAATTTGTTATATTGCAGTGTTTCTGTTATTTAACAATTTAAGTTAAGAGATGCATAGCTGTGGAAATGTATAGTTGGCAAAACAGTGAAGTAGTTTGGAGCATGGACTCAGGAGCTAGAGGGCCTGCATTTGCATCCTGGCTCGGCCACACACTAGCTGTGTGAACACATCTTTCCACCACAAAACTCTGCTAAGCTATCTGCATTTGAAGGGATATACATTGCATTTCTTCCTGTGGCAATGCATGAGCTCTTCCTCCTGCACGATCATCTGCCCCTCATCATCTTCTCTTTATTGGATTATTCATATCAGTGGACAAACATGTTATAAAATCTCCCGTCTACTGAACATAACAAAATGTGACCCCTGCCACAGCACCATTTTTCTGCTTTCTTATACAAAATCCTCAGAGAGTGTTGTCTGTTCCTGCTACTAACATTTCTGTCTCCTGTGTTCTCTCATGAACTTAGCCCTACATGGCTTTGCCTCCACGTCTCTACCCAAATTGATTTTCATTTTTTTATTTGTGAAAAATATAAGGACTCAAACAGAGTAAATTACTCTTTTAAGACAAGAGAAAGATTCTCTGGGTTAGCAAAATGTATTTATTGCTTTAAAAAACACATATAGGGCCAGATGCGGTGGCTCATGCCTGTAATCCCAGCAATTTGGGGCGCCAAAGCAGGCGGATCACTTGAGGTCAGGAGTTCAAACCCAGCCTGGCCAATATGGCGAAACCCCGTCACTACTAAAAATACAAAAATTAGCTGGGCATGGTGGCACGCGTCTATAATCCCACTTACTTGGGAGACTGAGGCAGGAGAATGGCTTGAACTCAGGAGGTGGAGGTTGCAGTGAGCCGAGATCGCATCACTGGACTCCAGCCTGACTGAAAGAGCCAGATTCCATCTCAAACAACAAAAATTAAAAAAAAATAAAAACACATATGAATTAAAAGCAATAGAACCTTGTTCACAAGAATGCAAAATAATATGGCCGTCTTGGAAAACAATTTGGCACTTTCTTATAAAATTATACATATACCTGCCATGTGACCCAGTAATTGCACTTATAGGTATCAAGAAAAATGAAAACACATGAGGCAGACAGAATCCACAATGTCTGCTCCATGAACTTCACCCCTGGAATTCACGTATTTATAGAACTCTTTCCTTAAGTGAAGGCAGAGCCCATGACTGGCTTCTAACCAATGGGACATGGCAAAGGTGACAGGATGTCAATCACTTGTGATTGTGTAACATTATCTAAGACTCCACCCTATTTCTACCCTACTCATGCTAGAGGCTCTCCTTGCTGGCATGATGAAGTAAATGGCCATTTTGGAGAAGCATATTATGCAGCAAGGAACTTCAGGTTCAGCTCCTTAGGATCTAAAGGCAGCCTTTTGTTATTGAACAGCAAGAAGTCAGGGCCCTCAGTTTCAAAACTGCAAAGAAATACTGCTACTCCTTGAGTAAGCTTGGAAACAGATTCTTCCCAAGTTGGGCATAGTAATGAGTACCCAGTTTTGGCCATCACCTTGATTATAGCGTAGCATGGGACCCCCAGCTAAGTCATGCCAGGATTCCTGACCTAGAGAATTTGTGAAATAATAAGTGAGTGCTTTTTACAACTTATACATTTGTGGTAATTTGTTATAAAGCAATCTAAAATGAATGCAACATATACCACTCGGAAACTGACAAGCAAATATTTGTATCAGCATTATTCTTAAAAGTCAAACCTGGAAATAGCACAGATATTTTAAATCTAATGAATAGATAAATTGTGACATATCCATTCAGTGGAATACTACCCAACAAAAAACAGAAACAGACTACTAAATACAGAACAACATGGAGAATCTCCATGATATCATGCTTATCAAAAGAAGCCAGACATAAAGGAGTACCTGAGGTATGAGTCTGTTTGTGTGTAATTCCAGAAAAGGCCAAAATATAGTGACAGAATGAAGATCAGTGATTACCTGAGGCTAGGGGTGAGGGTAGGGAATTGACTGCAAAACGGAACAGTAGAACATTCGAGGGTTGATGAAAATATTCTGTTTCAGCACTGTCCAATAGAACATTTTGATGGACATATTCCATAATCTTCTCTGTCCTATCTGGGAGCTACTAGTCACATATAATGGCTATTGAGCATTTGAAATGTAACTAGTTAAAATAAGAAAATGAATTTTTAATTTTAACTAGTTTTAATTAACTTTCAATATGCACATGGGACAATATGGTGCTGTATCATTTGACTGTGGTTGTGGTTACGTGACTGCACACATTTGCAAAACTCGTTGAACTGCACACTGAAAATGAGTGAATCTTGTTGTATGCAAATTATACTTCAATTAAGCTGTTTAAAAAATAACAATGGAAACAACAGAAATATTTGGTAGTTACAATAATTACATCAGCTTCCTCTTTGCCCTTTTCCTAACCTCTTTGCCCTTTTCCTAACCTCTTTGCCTTCTGTATTTATTTCCTAGGGCTGTCATAGCAAAAAATGACAAATCTGGGGGCTTAAAACAACAGAAATTTTTTCTCTTACAGTTCAGGAGGCTACAAGTCTGAAATTAAATTGTCAATGGGTCAGTGCCTTCTGGAACCTCTGTTCCAGAGGGAGAATACGTTCCCTGCCTCTCTCTGGCTTCCGTTGTTGCCGGTAATCCTTGGCATTCCTTTGCCAGTAGCTTCATCACTCTGATCTCTGCCTCCATCTTCATGTAGAGATTATCAAAGATAATCACTGATAATAGAACAAATTGAATTCATGTGTCACCTAACAGAACGCAGCAAGAGCAAAACTGCACTTTTCTGTGATTCTCCTGCCAAAGATACAAAACCTGAATATAATTATGTGAAAACATCAGACAAAGCCCCAAATAACTGGCCTATAATTTTGTTGAATGTTGATGTCTTGAAGTCAAGAAAAGACAGGAACTCTTTGATATTCAAAGAAACTAAAAATATAAAAAAGAAAATGTGTTATGTGAAACTGAGTTTGATCTTTTGTTATTTAAAAAACATTATTTTAACATCTGATAAAATTTTAATGGGTTCTGAACATTAGGTGATAGTAATACAGCAATGTTAATTCCATGATTCTGAAGGTTTTATTGTGGCTATAGTGGGCAAATGGCCTTTTGGGAGGAAATACACACTAAAGAATACGGGAGTGATGAGGCATCGTATCAACAAAATACTCTCAAATGATTCAGGAAGAAAAAAGTTATTTGTACTGTACTTGCAACTTCTGTGTTCAAGATTGTTTCAAAATAAACCAAATTTTGATTATTTCATAACTTATTTAATTTATTATTTGCAAGTTGTACTTGCAACTTTTGTATTCAAGACTATTTCAAAATAAACCAAATAAGTTATGAATATAAGATAGGCCATACATTGCTTGTGTGTTGAATACTACCATAAAATACATAGGAAAACTGCTAGAAATATATAAGTTTAAAATATTGTATTTTTTAAACAAACTTATTAGAGCTCTAACAGACTTTAACAAAAAAGACCAAAATATAAAGTCATAAAGATGTATATTATCATTAAGCAGGAGTAGTAATAGCTATATTAAGCCATGGTAAGCAATAAAAAATAATATTTTGTAAGAATTAACAAAATATTATAAAAATTATTCATACATTACTTTGCATAAAAATTCCAGATGAATCCAAAATGGTGACATTATAGCAGCCAGATTCTTTCAAGCAATCCAATGCAACTAGAATTAATTTAAAGATATTTTGAAAACCATAAAAGGTGACAAATATTTCAAAGTTTGAAAAGAAATGCTAAATAAAAATGTGGTGAATTACATTAGAACTGTAATTATAGTCTATGTAGGAAATAATAACAGAATATGAAATATCAAAAGGTATAATAAGTAGCCAAATTATAGTTAGGTCAAATTCATGGTCAAAAACTTTCTTTCTTCAATGTAAATTTAATAAATGAGTTAAGCTTTCAACCCCAGAAGCACAACAATAACAATGAAAATCTCTTAGGAAAACAATAAGTAAATCAAGTAAAGATAAAGATAGAAACTAATTAAAAACATATAATGACTAATAATGAGTATATACAAGAAGTGTCTTTGAAAAATAAAGTAGCAATTTATCAAATTTAACAAAGAAAAAAGGAGCAAAATTAGGAATTAAACAATGGATAGAACAAGATTTAGAGAATATGAGACCCAGATAAAGTGTTTTCATGTTTTAAACTATTCATTTTGAAAATATTAAATTGTTGATTTTCTGGTTCAAGAGTTTAAAATTTGAATAGATGGAGAACAATGTAAGTATGTTAAAAGTTATCAATAAATTCACTAAAAAAAACTAAGCCCAGTTGGATACATAAGCAAAGCCTTTAACATTTTTAAGAGACAAGTTTATTGATATGAAAGGTGAACTGGAACATAAAAAAATGGAACATAAAAAGTAGAAAGAAATATTTTTTCAGTATGTTGTTATAAATTAAAATATCAAAGCTATACAAAAATTACATATGCACAAATAATATAAAATATTAAGCATACTTACATATGATTTAAAATAATAAACCACAATTAAATAAAATCCATCAAAATAAAGAAAGAACACTTTAATATTTTATATTATAACTATAACATGAATAGATTAGAAAAGAGAATAATATCAAAAATTATTATAATATTTGAGAAAAAGCCTGTTACCCACTCTTGATATTTTCTCTCATTTGAAGATAATTCAGTTAATATAATATTTGGATTCTCTTTCATTCACTCCACCTAAGGAAAGGATGAGGAGTTTCTCTGGTGAATCTGGGAAAAATAACATTGGCGTGCCTAGCTCAAATCTGGCGTACATCTTCTTGAGACTGGGCCTATTTGAATGCAAAATTGTTCAGAAAATTCTTGCCAATGCAATAATCCGAGAGTGAGAAAGAAGGTAAAATTATAAGAGAAGAGCACAATATTACTCACTATCAAACAATGTCTCCTAATATTCATGATACATTTATATTTTTATATTATATGTTATGTTTATATAGTACAAATAAACTAATTTATATACTTACTGTAATATTTAAGAAAACTTACCAAAAATAAAGACAACAAAAAGAAAAGCACCTTCCACCGGGAAGAATAGTAAAAAACAGGATACAGATGCTGTAAAATCAACAACTTCAATATGGAGAATTCATAAATATTCAAATATGAAAAGAAAAAGATTCCATGCACACTAGAAACAAAGTTCATAAAGTAGCTAGAAAATAGAATAACAAGAAATACTTAAGATCACATAAAGAAAACCACAAAAAGTTATTATGAAAGAGTAAATTTGATTTTTAACGGGAAGACTGAATAACAGAAGTATGCTAATTGTTTCCATATTGAATTTTAAGGTTAATAAAAATCTCAATGTGTTTTTGAAAGATGAAACAACATAGTTATAAAGCTTTCTACTGGGAAAATTCATAGGTGGGAATAGTGAAGAAAAAAGTTATTGTAAAAAAAAATTCCTATCAGTGAATGGTAAGGAAAAGAGTGTCCTGCTAATGGACCATCAGGAACCAAAGGGAAAGCCAGTGAGTCAGAAAAGAAAACTGAAAACACAGACCCCAGTAGACAGAATAGATCTCAGCATGTGCTGACAAAGCACAGCCAGCTATGGGGGAAGGGAGAAATGGCGCAACAGCAATATTGGAACTTGACTATTTTGAAAAAGAAAAAAAAGTATACTATGTATCACCTTGTCCCTGACCATAAAATAAACCTCAAATGAATGAATTTCATTTTTAAATGAAACCTTAAAAGTCAAATTAACTCTTAGTTGAATATAGCTAATTAGATAAAAATGGCAAGGGAAACCAATTCACAACAGAATAAATATAAATACTCCATGAAGATGTGGGAGGCAGAAACTTAACTGGCTAGGAATCAAACATTTGCAAATTACAACAAACACTATTTTTGCACATCAAATTCACAAAGATATTTTAAATATGTTATATAAAAATCAAAGCTGAAGTTATAAATAGATAAAATCCTTCAGGAAAATAATTTTTAAATGTATACCAAGACCCTTAAAGAGTGTATATTTTTGAGCCAGAACTTCTATACACAAGAGGAATTTAATTATTTATTTAAATGAAGTTCACAATGCTATCTATAAGAACATTTTAAAAAATGAAAATGACGTAAATATCCTGTAATGAAGTATAGTTCTATTATGATATGTCCAAAAATGGAATTCTATGCTGTTATAAAAAATTATGTTTGAAAAACACATAATGACATATGAAAAAATATATGTAGGAAAGCAGAAATTCATTTTAATAAAAGGCTATTTTATGTATTCATTTCCTATTAAAGATATTATAATTGTTTAATTAAAGTGATTAAAGCCATCCTATATTGTTATGCAAATATTATTAACAGGTCTAGGCTCAGGTGAAAGTCAGGGAAAATGTCAAAAATACAAATCATCATCAGAGTTTGAGGAAACCCCCATTTAAAAAGTTATAAAATTTTAAATGAAACATATAAAAGAAAAATTGTAAAACATTCCATAATCAAGGAATGTCACAAATTTATCAATGACCTACACTTAGGCCAGGGTTTGTATAATACTGTCTGGTAGACCCAGGAATGAGAACCCTTATATGTTACAGTTTCAATAGTTACAGTATTGCGCTGTGAATTTGCCAAGCTCACTCCATTGCCCATACTGCTTCCCCATGGGTACTAGCTCTGTCACCCAGATGCCTCTAGTGATTCTGCGCTTCCCTTTCTTGAGGAGCAGTTCTTTTATGGTGCCACTTTCTCCCCCTTGCTTCATTTGAGGATACAAGTTCAAGGAGGAGCTACATCTGAGTGACTGGGGATCTTGGTTTCTTTCATGGAGCCAAACACGTCTGTAAATGCTACTCCCACACTAGAATCACATGAATCTTTCCTATGGTTGACTGAATTCAGCCTTCCTAAAAATTACAGAGCTTATCCCTCAAATAACATTTTGGGGATGAAGCCCAACCACACCTACTGATGATGCTTTATACCTGGAAAAAAATAAGCAAAAGCAGTAATCTTTTCTACTTCTCCAACATAATTTTTTATACACAGAAATAGCCATATTGTGTTCATAGAAAATGTGATCATTATAGTTTTTTTTAAAGTTTTTTGTTTGAAGTAATTCCAAATTTACAATGATAGTATTTTGCAAGAAGAGTATGAATTTTTTCTTTCTGCATCTTTCGGAGTAATTTGCCAACATTATGCCGAGTTAACTCTGGCTACCTTTGTGCAGTTTTCCTATAAGTGAGGACATGCATCCATCTAAGTCCAGGGCATCCATCAAAATAAAGTGATTAACATTAAAACAGCAAAGTTTAATTTTTACAATTTCTTCTGTATCTATTAGTTGGCATCATACTATAAAAAAGAGCTGTTTCTTCTCAACTATTGAATTATTTACATCACTACAGACTCATGGATTCCTGTTCTAGTCAATGGATTATAAAAATTTACGGTTATTTATTGTAATGGTCAAATTTTCCCCAATGTGGCCAGTGGTGACCCCTTCAAGCTGGTTTTGTGTTCTTTTAACATATCTCCATCATTCTTAGTTCACTGTCTCACTTCCCAACACAACAGATTCTGGGCATTTTGTATTTTTCCTCCCACTACCCTGAAGTTAGCCATTTCTCCAAGAAGCTCTGATTTCTCTTAGTGGAGAATGATCTTTAGAAGCCAAGATCTGGCACTACGTGTGCTCATTGTGATTGAAATGTCAATGCTACCAGGCCCTTTTAGTGAGCCACGCTAGAAAACACACACACACCTATGCTTTTCTACACTTATCTATACATATTAAAATTATATGTTCCCTCTGACGCTTTCAACTCCAATATAGCACAGAATGCTTATTGTATTTTTTCATCTTTCCATATTTATAACTTTTTCTCTGTCAGTGAGAAACCTAACTCCCACTGTTCTAAACACATGTACCAATTTTATCAATATCACTTATGTAACCAATCTTTTGACCTCACTAGGCTACAACCCAAGATGACCACTTTCCTCACTTGGGCTTCAACCCCTGGCACTTCCCTTGCTCGAGCTCTAAACTCTGACAGGAGAGCCACCCACCGTACTTGGAAATCTACCTTCCTTGGCCTCATCATCAGGCTTTTAGACTAAATTATTCGAAAGAAATGAATAAAAAAGAGGAATAATGAAAAAAAGAAGGCAAGCATACAGGCAGGAAGCCCAGGCAATGTGCTGTTAACATGGGCTTCAAGTTCAAAAATTAAAATGCAAAGAACGTATCTATCTCTAAGAAATTACACTACTAAGAGTAAAAAACACTCTTAATAAATCAAACAGTTAAAATGCCAGGGCACACCAAATTTTGACACCATTTGATAATATGTATTTGATCTTAGTTGTACAGTCTATTGCCTTTATAATTTATAACAAAAAGTATCTGCAATAACACTTTACATTTTTTATGTTTGACATTTTTGCTAAAGTGACTTAAATACATGGATAATCAGCCACAGATAAGTTAGATATATATTTATATTAAACAAATGAGAGGATTTGCATGTGATAACTACTTCCAGCATTCTCTTAGTTTTCTCTTAGTAAATCATCCCTGTACTGTGCAAGAAATTTTTTGATTGCCCTTGCCTAGCTCTGAACTTACTATAAATAAATTATTGAGTCTTTCCATCTCTGTAAAGCACCAAAGAGCTCCTGGGTAAGATGCATTTTTAAAATTAAAAAAAAATCAATTTCTTTTTATGACAGATTGCTAATAGCTTTCACCCATCCATTTAGGGTGTACACATCTCTACCAACACAGGAAGTGAGAGGAAAATTGACAGAATGGTGCCAGGTCACTGGATATTTTTATGCTCAACTTGAATTAGCAATTTCGAAAACTAATTTCCTTCTCTTTTTCCTTCTGTGTTATGCATGCTACAAATGTATTGTTGCAACACACATATTCCTGTGAGGTAACTCCAGAGATTTTTAGAAAGACAGCTTAAAAAGTGTTTTCTAAATTAACAAGACAAAATCTCAGCTGATTTTTTATTTTATTAATTTCTTTAAGCTTAGGAATTCCCTAAGAATTCCCTAAGAAACTTTGGCTTTCAAATAATCAGCATTATCACTTGTAATGCTGATTACAAATAATCAGCATATCATCAACCTTATTACCAAATTTCTGATAGCTTAGGAACTTACTACTGTCCAGACAAATGTACTATAAATCTACAGGCATCAATCAGTGCTTCATCTCTAAACACAATTTTAGCCTAATTCCTCTTTAAAACAGGTTTTTAAACAATGCTAGAGAAAAGTCAACATATTTTTTTCTCATGTAGTAATAGTGCAATGAACTGAATACTTACGTCCTCCTAAAATTCATATGTTGAAATCCTAACCTCCAAGGTGATAGTATTAGGAGGTGGAGACTCTGGGAGAAGATTAACTCAATCGGGTGGAACTCTCATGAGTGGGATTAGTGGCCATATAGAAGAGGCCCCAGAAAAATCCCTAGCTCCTCCCACTATGTGAGTAGACAGTGGAAAGAGCGGAAAGTTTCTACCTTTGAACCAGAAATCTGGCCTGCAGCTGACAGTCTCGCTGGTCCCTTGATCTTGGACTTAGCCTCCAGAACGGTGAGAAATAAATTTCTCTTGTTTATAAGGCACCCAGTTTATCATGTTTACTTATAGCAGCCTGAATGAACTAAAACACACACCAATACTTTTATCTTCCTGTATGTAAAAGCTTATGGTGGCTCGTGCCTGTAATCACAGCACTTTGGGAGGCCGAGGCAGGCGGATCACCTGAGGTGGGGAGTTCGAGACCAGCCTGATCAACATGGAGGAACCCTGTCTCTACTAGCCGAGTATGGTGGTGCGTGCCTGTAATCCCAGCTACTTGGGAGGCTGAGGCAGGAGAATAGTTTGAACCCAGGAGGTAGAGGTTGCAGTGAGCCGAGATCACGCCATTGTACTCCAGCCTGGGCAACAAGAGTGAAACTCCGTCTCAAAAAAAAAAAAATTCCTAAACTCTAACCACAAGCTCATCTGGTTTCAGTGTTTCAGTGCTTCACTCAGGATACTTTGATTTTTGACCACAAATCGCAAATCCCTTGGTCCTTCCCTCTCCTCAGTATACCTCTTGTCTTACTTTCCTCCCTACCCTGTTTAGACTCCATAATTGATCATGTAAAGTAAGAATATGCCCTATCTCCCTTGCCCATTTGCCCCATATTACCGCAAAGAACTCCACATTTCCCTACCCTGATCTGCTTAAGTGCGGCAGGAAAAAGGTCACACAACCTTCAGATTGGTGCAAATACCAATGAGTGTTTTCCAACTTCCTTTGGTTTCTCAACACCTGTGTTTCATTTTATCTTACTTCTATTATATCATCTCCTGTCTCGCTAAAATATTCGAAAACTCCGAGGCTGCCCTTATCAACATTAGTAAATGTCCTTGCAAATTATTTCACTGAGGAAACAGGAGCCAGATAGAGAACACCCTTAACTTCAAATGATCTCCATCCTGCATATCTTATGGTTCCTCTTTCACTCCATTTTCCTCTATTCATAACTTATCTCCCTCTCTATGCCCTGATTGCATGTTTCCTGTCTTCAACACTCTGCTGCGGTTCTCACTTGCAACACTTTACTACTTGTTTGCTCCTCCCCTCTGACTACAGAGATACTTAACCTCTCTTCTAACAAATAAGAAAACAAGTAATACAACTACAATAAACTTCTGTGAGTAAATCCCCTCTATGGAAAACAGTATGGAGATTCCTTAAACAGCTAAAAGTAGAGCTACCATTTGATCCAGCAATCTAACTGTTGGGTATCTACCCGAAGGATAAGATGTTATTATATGAAAAAGACATTTGCACACTTATATTTATAGCAGCACGATGACAATTGCAAAGATGTGGAACCAACCTAAGTGCCCATCGACGAATGAATGAATAAAGAAAATGTGTTTATATCCACCATAGAATACTACTTAGCCATTGAAAAGGAACAAAAGAATGTCTTCTAGAGCCATTTGGATGGTGCTAGAGGCCATTATTCTAAGTAAAGTAACATAGACGTGGAAAGCCAAATATCCTACGTTCTCATTTATAAGTGGAAGATAAGCTATGAATAAGCAAAGGTACACAGTGTCACACAATGAACATTAGAGACTCATAAGGGGGAGGGGAGCTAGAAATTAAAAAAAAACTTTACACATTAGGTATAATGTACACTACATGAGTGAAGGGTGCACTAAAAATCTCATAATTATAGCAGCACAATTCACCACTATATAATTGATCCATGTAACCAAAAAAAACACGTGTACCCAAAAAGCTATTGAAATAAAAATTGTTCAAAAACTGTAAAAAAAATCCCCTTCTGGACATTGATTTCTGTTTCTTTTTTTCTCTGATATACTTCTTCTCTTTTTTATTAATACGTAATAGTTGAACATATTTATGAAGTACATGGGATATTTTGATTATTACACATACACATACATACAATGCATAATAATCAAATTAGGGTAATTAGGATATCCATCATCACCTCAAAAATTTATCATTTCCTTATGTAGAAACATTCCAAACCTCTAGCTATTTTGAAATATACCATAAATTAGTGTTAATCATAGTCCCCACGCTATGCTATCAGACACTAGAAATTATTCCTTCTATCAAACTGTATTTTTATAGCCATTAACCAACTCCTCTTCATTTCCTCCTCCTCAGAACTCTTCCCAGCCTCTGTCAACTATCATTCTATTTACTACCTTCATGAGATCAATTTTTTAGTGAGTGAGAACATGCAATGTTTGTTTTTTTGTGCCTGGCTAACTTCACTTAACATAAGGTCCTCTCATTCCATTCATGCTGCTGACAATGATAGGGTGCCATTCTTTTTTATGACAAAATACTATTTCATTGAGTATAAATAAATTTTCTTCATTTATTCATCCCTTGATGGACACAGGTTGACTCCATATCTTAGCTTTTGTAAATAGTGCTGCAATAAACATAGTGCTGATATCACTTCAATATATTTATTTTTTATATTGTGTATATATATCTAATCGTGGAATTGCTGAATCATATGGCAGTTCTATTTTTAGTTTTTTCAGGAACCTCCATACTGTCTTCCACAGTGGCACACTGTATTAGTTCGTTCTCACACTGCTATGAAGAAATACCTGAGACTGGGTAATTTATAAAGGAAAGATGTTTAATTGACTCACAGTTCTGCAGGGCCAGGGAGGTCTCAGGAAACTTACAATCATGGCAGAAAGGGAAGCAAACATGTCGTTCTTCACATGGCAGTAGCAAAGAGAAGTGCAGAGCAAAGGGGGAGGGGAGAATCCCCTCATAAAACCATCAGCTCTCATGAGAATTTGCTCGCTATCAGGAGAACAGCATGAGGGTAACCACCCCCATGATTCAATTACCTTCCAGTGGGTCCCTTCCACAACACTTGGGGATTATAGAAACTACAATTCAAGATGAGGTTTGGGTGAGGACACAGCCAAACCATATCATGTACTTATTTACATACCCGCCAACTGTGTACAAGGGATCCCCTTTCTCTACATCCTTGCTAGCATTTGTTATTTTCTGTGTTTGTAATAACAGCCATTTTAATTAGGATGAGATATCTCATTGTGGTTTTAATATGCATTTCCGCGATTAGTGATGTTGAGCATTTTTTCATATACCCTTGGCCATGTCTTCTTGTGAGAAAAATCTATTCAGATCATTTGCCCATATTAATCCCTTGTATGAATAGATTGCAATTATTTTTTCTATTCTATATATTGTCTCTTCACTTTATTGATTGTTTGCTGTGCAGAAGCTTTTAACTTGATATAATCTCATTTGTCTATTTTTGCTTTTGTCACCATTGCTTTTGAGGTCTTGCCCAAAAAGTTTTTGCCTAGGCCAATGTCCTGAAGTTCTTTCCTAATGTTTTCTCTAGTAGTTTCACAGTTTAAGGTTTTACATTTAAGGCTTTAATCCATTTTAGTTTGACTCCCATATATGGTGAAAGATATGCTGTAGTTTCATTCTTCTACATTTATGAATATCCAGTTTTCCCACCACTTATTGAAGGATGTGTTTTGGTGCCTTTATAAAAAATAAGTTGGCTGTAAATCCATGGATCACTTTCTGGGTTCTGTATTCTGTTCCATTGTTCTATGTGCCTGTTTTTATGCCAGTACCATGCTGTTTTGGTTACTATACCTTTGTAGTATATTTTGAAGTCAGATAGTGTGATGCCACCAGTTTTTTTGTTGTTGTTGTTCAGGACTGTGTTGGCTATCTAGAATCATTTGTTGTTTCCTACAAATTTTAGGATTTTTTTTCCATTTTTGTGAAGAATGTAATTGGTATTTTGATAGAGATCATTTTGATAACATTAATTCTTCCAATCCATAACCATGAAATACCTTTTTATCTTTTTTTGAAAGAAAACTGTATATTTCTTCACTTTCTATTCACTTCACTGAAGTCTGAGGACCTTCCTTCATTTTATCTACCAAATTATTATGCAAAAAATGTCATCGATTTCCTGTTTATTTCCAAACGCATTGGACAAGTCTCAGCCTTCATTTTCCGAGATTATTTGAGGATGCTGGAGCTTTGCATTACTTTCTCCTTTGTTTTTAACTATTTTCTTATCTAGCATGACACAACTCTCTCCTATGACCTCCTTTTTTTACCCTCTTTTTTCTAATTTTGTGATTTCTTTTCATACTCTCTTTCTTTAACCACCCTTTCTATGCTGTCATATCAAGTTACCTTTAGTTAATGTCTTTATGTTCTGTGGAGGACCAGAGGTTAAGCAGACATGCATCGGGGTGAGGTTTACACCTGGTGTTTACATGAGATTACTTTAAAATAACACATTAAGCTGTTCCTTTATATTTTATGCATTTTTTCTGAGTTACTATGCACATTTCTTTTAAACAAGGCAATATTTTAATTGTGAAACAAACTTGAGGCGGGGTGGGCAGGGCAGGGCGGGGCAGGGCAGGGCTGTACTGACCAGGCAGTACCCTGATTCTTTAGGCCATGGTTGTATCCCTGGTGCCATGGTGTCACCTCCCAGAACAGAGACCATCTGTTTCCAGGTGGGGACACGGGTTAGAGTGTTACACAATGACAACATAAATAGCGTCTAGAAAAGAAGCAGTGGTCCAGGGGCAATTGTTATTTGCTGCAGAAATTGAGACTCCAGTATCTGTCTCCCCATCCGGCCACAGAGAAGATATGCAGCTGGACCTTTGGAGTGTACATGCATGCATGCATCTATGTCCACACACACACACACATGCACACCTCTTTTTTTTTTTTTTTTTTTTTTTGAGGTGGAATCTCACTCTGTTGCCCAGGTTGGAGTGCAGTGGCACAATCTCAGCTCACTGCAACCTCTGTCTCCCAGGTTCAAGTAATTCTCCTGCCTTAGCCTCCCAAGTAGCTGGGATTACAGGCGTGTGCCACTATGCTCAGCTAATTTTTGTATTTTTAGTAGAGACAGAGTTACACCATGTTGCCCAGGCTGGTTTCAAACTCCTGACCTCAAGTGATCCACCAGCCTCAGCCTCAGCCTCGCAAAGTGTTGGGATTACAGGCATGAGCCACCACACCCAGCCCACACTTATTTTATAGTGTTATCTCCACTGACAGTGACTTTAACTGCAGATTTCCAGTGATGGGAGGGCTGCCTGTCCTTCTTGAAGACAGAAGAACACAGGAGAGGGTCTGTCTCAGAAGTATGGGTGGGCTCTTGGGACCCCCACTTGCTTCCATGAATCCAAGTGTTTTTCCCAAAGTCACAGTTCAGTAGTACCTACCCCTCTAACCTCTAGCAAGGAATGCAGTGCCACATGGAGTTACTGTGCACATACTTTTTTTTTTAGGGAGGTGGAGAGTTGACCTCCTACTGGCCTCTGTGGGGCTGGGTGGCCCAAGAGATTCTTAGGCTCGAGAACAGGTCACTGTAAAAAAAAAGCAGAAAATAGAATAAAACAAAATTCACCATACCAATCACCCAAGATGGCAAAACAGAAAAATATCATTGAGGAAAATTACTGGTAAATGCAAATATAACAAAAAAAGTGTACAAAAATATATATATGATTACTTAGGAAGAATTGTAAAATATGTTTAGGTAAAAAAAGAAGATTAAAAATAGTACATACAGATGGATTCCATTTTTATAATTATACATTTAATTTGTATATAATAAGATAGTCATGAGAATAATTGGTTATTTTCCCTGGATAAAAGAAAAAATGATATCTTATTTTCTAATTTTTGTTCACATGTGTGTTTTTTAACTGAATGTTTATGTCTCCCCCAAATTCATATGTTGAAACCCTAATCCCTAGTGTGATGGTGTTTGGAGACAGGGCCCTTAGAAGGTAATTAGATCACCAGGGTAGAGGTTTCATGATGAATTTGGTGCCCTTTTAAGAGAAACACAAGAGAGGTTGCTTCTCTCTCTCTCTCTTTCTCTCTCTCTCTCTCTCTTCATCCATGTGAAGATACAGCAAGGAGTTGTCCATCTACAAATCAGGAAGTGCACCCTCACCAGACCAAAGCTATCAGAGCCTTGATCTTGGATTTCTCACCCTCCACAACTGTGAAAAGTAAATGTCCATTGTTTAAGCCACTCCATCTATGGTGTTTGTTATAGCAACCCAAACTGAGCAAGACAAGCACATGTGCTGAAAAACATGTGAGTTTAATTTTAAGGATTACACCCACAACATTTCCCTGAAATATGATCTATAAAGATGTATAAAATAGTACATCTACAAAGAAACTCTCCAGGTTAAAAACAAAATCAACAAATCATCATTTATCGATGTGGCAAAGGAAAAGTGTTCTGATTTTTACTTCAAACATAAAATTGGATAAGGAAAACAGTAACAAAGTTATCAAGAAAGAATACTTCCATCTTTTAATTCATGCTACTTCTGAAGCAAAAATGAATCAGTTATTTCTTTCCCTGGCCTAAAATACATATCAAATAAAGGGAAGGCTTTGTGTTAAGATTAGGAAAGCTCATTCAATTCTCTATATTCTCTAAAGAAAATTGCTGCATTACCTTATTTATTTTCTTCCTTTCCATGTCAACTACAATCAGACAAATTAATAGCAGTCTCTCATTTTTTTTATTAGTAGCCAGGTGGTATAAGAAAAATGCTATATTTGGAGTTTTGCAACAGTGAAGTTTTGCACAGATATTTTACTGAACCTGTTTGCTCATCTATAATATGACAATAATGATGAGTTCTACCTCATAGAATTGCTTAAAGGCTAAAATAAAACATTGCGGTGGGCAAAAACTATTTTTAAATGGTTAAAATGCTGGAATTTGTTTGCTATAATTATTCAAGTTATGGCAGTCTGATATTCAATAGAATAATTACTTCTGAATCAAAAAATGAATTTCCTGTGTATGGAAACTCCAAATACAATCATTTGTTGCCCATTCTCCACCAATTTTTTTCTCTGGCCTTTAGGGGAAATTGGAAGGATCATAGCAGCCAGAGAAAGTTAGCAAAGAAAAAAGTAAGATTTGATGAAACATTAGAGGCAAAGTCTGAATGCTTTTGCCTCTACTCTGCTCTGGTTCAGTGGAATCAGAAAGATCGCTGTATAAAAATTACAGTTATTACAGTCCTTACTGTTTGCAGAAGAGGAAACCCTGGCCTGAGGAGATAAATCGACCAGGCCGAAGTTACTTTTATGGCAAGTGGTTGATTTTCTATCCTCTAAACTCAGAATCTGAGAGGTTAACAACCAACTTTCATGTACAGAACAGAAAAATAAGAAGTAGACATGCCAGAAGGCACAGATAGTTAATTATTAAGTCAGAATTTCTCATCTATAAAGCAGAAATAGTATTCCTCAAAGAGGAATAAACATATCAAAGAGTTGTTAACATAATTAAATAGAATTATTTAAATAAAAATACTTGAAGCAATGTGTGGTTCATAGAAGTTGCTCAGTTAATGTTCCTAACCTTAATTACAGGCAATTGGTGCCAGGGCTATAAATACAACATCTAATTTACCCTGGCAAAAATAAACTTTTATCTATATTTACTAAGTAAGAAATACTACTTTCCTGTTTTGTGCCCACCGAGCGCCAAAATTCAAATAGTATTCAGGAAAGTATCTAAATGTGGCAAAGTTATAACAATTATGAATTCTTTATCTTGGAATTTGATGAAAAGGAATAAATGATTTATTGAAAATAAATGAACCTACAACTTGGGAGTTTTGAAAACAGTTCATAACATAAAAAACACTAACATATAGTGCTCTGAATATTCTGATATCAGCTTTTGATTGTTTTTTACTAAAAAGTAGGTAATACATTTAGTCTATGTATTTCCCTAAAATGGTTATAAGCAGAACAAGAAGAAGATGAAGGGGAGAGATTTGCAGATTCGCTAAGGGAAAGCATTCCAGGCAGTGCAACAGCCTTGAAGTAGGAGCATGACTGTTAGATGTAAAACAGATTGTGCCCAATGCATAAAAAGGAGAAAGCATACAAGGTCAGGGACACAAAAGGATTCTAAAACATGAAGGGCCTTGTAGGCCAAAGAAGAACTTAAATTTTTACTGTGAGTGAAATAGGCGGAGGAGTGACATGATTTTAGGTTTTATGGAAATCATCCTGACTCCTATGCTGAAAATAAGCTATGGGGAGTATGGGGCAAAGGGTATAAGGAGACAGCTCAGTTAGAAAACTATTACAGCAGTTCAGGCAATAGAAGCTCATACAGAAAATGAAAATGCTTCCAAAAATAACAGTGGAGCAGAAAAAAATAAAGAATAAAGGAGAGTGTAAATATGTGAGCAAATCTAAAAGAATACTGACTTTTTAAAACAACAGTAATAGAGGGGTTTAAATAAATTGAGAAATAAAATGTATGGCAGTAACATCATAAAAGGTGAGAGAGCTTCTAAGGTCCTAGCATTGCTGGTAGGTTATAAAAGTATTAGTATGTTAGACTTTAATTCAAGAAGACTTTAAGTCAAGAAGACACGCTTTTTTGAGTGGTCAGTAAACAAATAGTAAAGCGATATGTAATTAATAACCAATAGACGAGAAAAGTAAAATAAATATTATTAACTCAAAGAAACATAGAAAAAGTCTATGAAATATAGAAAACAAATAAGATAGCAAATTCATACCAATAGATTAGTAATTATCTTAGTCTACACATTCTGAGTGAAACACAAATAATCCAATTAGAAGACTTTGTTAGTCTGCTAAGGCTGCCATGACAAAGCGCCACAGACTGGGTGGTTTGTACAATACAAATTTATTTCTCACAGTTCTGGCGGCTAGAAGTCCAAGATCAAGATACAAGCTATGGAGAGAGGCTTAGACTTAGACTTCTAAGGCCTCTCTCTGCAGCCGGTAGACAGTTACCTTCTCTCTATGTCTTCACATGGTCTTCCCTTTGTCTGTGCCCAGATTTTCTCTTATTATAGGTGCACAAGTCATATTGGATTAAGGCCCAGCCTAATAACCTCATTTTGACTTAATTACCTTTTTAAAGACCCTTCTCCAAATACAATCACATTTTGAGGTACTGGGGGTTAGGGCTTCAACATGAATTTTTTTAAGAGACAATTCAGCCCATTACAAAGACAAACACCATAAAAGCCCTCAGCTTTGTTTATGAGGTATACACCTTTAGTGATAAAAAATGATATACTGTGCAAATACTAACCACAAGCAAACAACAAAAAATGCTGGCCTAGCTATACTTGCATCAAAGAAGAATTCAAAGCAAAAATTGTTATGAAAAGCAATAAAAACCTTTCATAATGATGAAGTCATCAGTCAGCCAGAAAATTATCACACAGTTCTAATTATATTAAAATTTGAAAGCATTAAGAAAAAATAATAGACAAAACCATAATCATAAAGGAAAATGATAACATGCTTTTTATCAGTAACTGATAGAATATGCAGACAAAAAAATCAGTAAGAATATAAATCAGTTTTGATCTAACCTACATTAAACCTTTAAATGCTCAAAGACTACATTACACAATCTTTTCAAGAAATCACTTAAGAAAATTGGAAAGAAAAAAGCAAGTATCAACAGATTTCCAAGAGTTAACTAAAAAGGTTTTGTTCTCTGGCTATGTTAGAATTAAGCTCAAACTCAATATAACTAGCTAGAAAATAGCCAATGGTTTATAATTTAAAATGTATATCTAAATATACATGGATAAAAAATGGGAAATTTTAAAACTGAATCAAAACCTGTGGATGCAGCTAAGTCTGTGCTCAGAGGAATTTTTCTAGACTTAAATATATATATTAGTAAAGAAGAAAGGGTGTAATGGAATGTTCTATGTATTTGTCTCAAAAATTGAAAGTATAGCAACAAATTTAATTCAAAGAAAATGGAAGGAAATAACAACTAAAGTTAATGAATTATTAATAAACATACAATAGAAAGAATCAAAGTAAATTTTGATTATTTGAAAAGACTCATAACAGTGATACACTACTGGTGAAACTAATAAAGAAAAAAGAAGTAGAACAAAGTAAACTGATACAGATGCTTCGGTATTAAAAAATCACAAGTTATTATGTACAACTTCACATTAATATATTTTATATGTTAAATAAGATAGATAAAGTCCTCAGTTAGCCTTATTTTATGTTTTTGTTTGTTTGAGGTGGAGTTTTGCTCTTGTCGCCCAGGCTGGAGTGCAATGGCACTACCTCATCTCACTGGAAGCTCTGCCTCCTGGGTTCAAATGTTTCTCCTGCCTCAGTCTCCCACGTAGCTGGGATTACAGGTGCCCACCACCACACCCAGCTAATTTTTGTATTTTTAGTAGAGACAGGGTTTCGCTATGTTGGCCAGGCTGGTCTTGGACTCCTGACCTCAGGTGATCCACCCACCTTGGCCTCCCAAAGTGTTGGGATTACAGTATTTTAATGCACTAACAATGACACTGCCTTTAGACTGGATAGTTTATCAGCTGTACGAATTGGAAAAATCAAATATGGGAATACAGAAGATTTTCATTTTTCTTCTCTTCTGGTTTCTTTTCCTAGACTTGTCATGTTTTCAATGATTGTTAGGTCCTCTTTGCCTGCTGGGAGATGTTCATTTATTTGATAATGTGTTTTTGTTACCAAGTTTTGGATTTAATTAACAACTACTTAATAAATATTTGTTTATTACCTTTATGTGTCAAATGGTGTGCTAGGAGCTAGAGCAGCTATTACAAACAAGATATAATCCTGTTGGGCTCCCAAATTCTAACTGGAGTAAAAGCAAATGGAGAAAGAGAGGCATATGTAATATGCTGTTGGGAGGAGTTGAGAAGATTGCTCCAAAAAAAAAAAAAATCAGGGAAGAATGCATGATGCTTGACATAAGTTCTAAAGGAAAAATTAGAACAATACAAAAATTATGTAGAGAACAGAACTTTGGATCCAGGAGTGAGAGCAAATCTGAAGGTCTGAAGACATATGTGCATGCAGGTAAAATTTAAGTACATATCTTACAACTCTCCTCCTCTCTGCTATGCTTATTAAATATTGGATTTTGCTTTACTGTTGAGCTAGGAATGGGTTTTGACTATTTACTGGTCCTTGTAGCTGGATGGCTTCCTCCAGCCTGTGTTCTCTTTGACATCTGTGATTTTTTTTTTTTTTTATTTGTGGCATATGGTGGAGAAGGAAACAGATTTACACTTTTGTCTTTGGCAGAAAAAGTCATTTTCTTTTTTGATTCTAAACTGAAAATATTATGCCATGGCACCTCCTGTTTAAATATAATTTTAAAATGTCCCTTTTATCATCCTTGACCCTACACTTTCATGCCACTTAGGTTTACTTAACAATGACTATCACTTGAGGTGCACAAGAAGAATTCAGACTTTTCACCTTTTTCTTCAGAGAAATTTCATAGCTCACAGCTTTATACATTCAATCAGTGAAGCATCTATTGACTTTCTTTTATGTGACAAACAGGACATCACAAATGTGAGTAAAACAGCCTTTACCTCGAAGAACTGCATCCATGATCTTGCAATACTCACACTGTCTTCTTCACCTTCAGGAATTAGTTGTATCTAGAAAAAGTTCCTAGGCAGTTTAGCTAATGTATAAAGTCAATGTGGTTTTAGAGTATTTGCAATGTACAGAAAGGCTGTCAAGTTTTATAGAAACTATTAAAGAAGCAAAACTCACTGGTTTGATGCCTTGCCACTGCTACTGTTAAGAAGTCTGGAGTCTGAAAATGAAATTCTGTCATTGCACTTGTTACAATATTAATATCTTTACCCATGTTGACAAGTGGGCAGAACACATTTATGTTATGCAAGCCTTTTCTGTAATTTAATTGATCTTTCAAAATTTACTACATTGGCCTTGGGTTGCCACTCAGAAAAATTACCCTAAAACTTACATTCCACTGCCAAACATAAGACCTTCCAGGTAACCTAATGATATAATAGAGATTGACAGTACTATTGCCCCCATATAAAAGAGTATGAATGAAAGAAAAATCTGCCCGGTTTCCTCATATCATCTTTTACAGGAAATATGGAGTCTCACAGACTTTTCTTTATGGGGAACCTATCTGTCATTGCTTGTCATCCTATGATAGAGCAATTCAGTCTGTAATCAAATAAGCCTGGAAGTCATTTTTATTTATGTTTCAAATGGTAAAATATGGCTGTCTTAGGGCATAGAAGAATGAAAAATCACAATCTTCAGCTGGTGATCTTTAAGAACTCTGTTCTTGCATGTATCCAGTCTTTTATCTTAAGTCTTATTTTCAGAGTCTTGATTACCAGGAGATAATTCTTCTGCCTTCTTCCTACTAAGTCAGCTGTGTCCTTCTTCAAATTAGCCCTATTTGGTGAGTGTCCTTATTTCCCTCTGTAAATGCTTCTAAGAAAAACAATCACACAGTCAAAAAAGAAACTAAGACATACACAGGAAAATAAAATGACATGATTTTTCTGAACCATCATTTGTTTTTTCATCATATTTATCACTGACGTTTAGCTAAAATCTCAAAGAAAAATGAAAACTTCAATGTGATAAATAAAAATACCAATATATTTATTATTAAATTTCCTTTTTGATAGTGTTAGCAGCTTACAACTACTTGGGAAAAAAAAACGTGTTTTGGTCAAAATTCATGCCATCCAAACAAAGAAAGCTAATGAGATGAGGAACAATATTACCTCATGAAAACAGCAGTCTGTTTCATTTCCTATGACCTGTAATGCAAAAGAAGTAAACGTTTGTCAAGTTTTTAAAGAAATAAAATAGAAAGTTATTTCAGATAAGCCCAAAGATTTTTCCAAACAATAGATTCTATACCATTTTCAAACACTGAAATATTTATTTGAATATTTTATCATTTTACTCTTATTGAATGCTAAATCAATAAGATTTTCTCTTCTTATGTCACTAAAAATGCATATCATCAGAAAATAGAACAGGGCAATGGTTCATTTGGCTCTGCATAAGCATCTCCTTCTATAGAAAAATGAAATGTTCTTCCTTAGATTACAGGAACAAGTATAAAAGGGAATTAAAGGGGAAGAAAAGGTAATCAACAAAAAAGCAACAGGCCGATCTTTATCTGAGCTAGTAAACTTCGACACCTTCTAGAATCCAACCACTTTTCACTGTATATAGCATATGTTCAAGTCTGAACAAGAGCCAGAAACTGGAAACTCAGATATGCCCGCAAAAAACGTATGTGTGGAAAGTCTGAGGTCTACAGAGGTGCATAGGGTGTTCTATCAGCCTGATTTTCAGAAAAGCTGGTGAATCCATCACTGGCTTCCTCTTATCATGGCTGCATGCTAAAAATGGAGGTGATTAATATGCTAAGTAGGAAAACCTTGGCTGTCAGTCGCCTGCATTCAGCTGCCAGAACCTTGAAATTAGGTCATGGCCGCCAGGGAAAATTCCTTCTCAGATGGCAGGCTGCGTGAACATGCGAACAGACCCAGACGGTAGGAAACACCTCCCAAAGTACCCAAAGTGATGGGAATGATATGCACTATTAAAATTACATCAACCTGTGATTCCAAGACCTTTCATTATGGAACCGAAACACAGCTGTAAACTTCACACCTCAGTTTTCATTCTGCCCTTGAAAAGGAACAGAAAGAAACAAATCTCTTTTCCAATTTTTCCAGCTATTTCCTCAATAGCTTGAAGATTTAGCATTGTAAGTATTGGATTTCTCTCAATGAGCACAATTCCTAATAGTTTTAAAAAATATTAAATGTTAGGACTCCATCTTCACATAAGTCATGGCCATCCTGAAAGATGTGTGTCTGTGAGTGTGTAGATATATGTGTGTATGTGTATGCATACCCACATTTATATGCATCTTTATGTAAGGGATGGCATTCCTGAAAGATGTGTTTGTAGGGGTGTGTGTGTGTGTGTGTGTGTGTGTGTAGGGGTGTGTGTGTATATGTATATATATGCAAGAAATTGCTGTTGAAGTCACAAATATTCATGAGGAATCATTTATAATAACTATGCTTTACCATCTTCAAAATAATGAATTATATTTTCAAGTAGTCAAGCTGAAATATTGTTAGGATGTTTTGCTAAAATGCCATAGACTTTGGAGATTAAATAAAGCCTTTTATTCCTAAGTTAATAATATTGGAAAAACTTGAGGCTAAAAGGTACTTTTATTTCCAGAAAGGGAATCAGTGTATAATAGGAGAAAGACCATCAGTAAAAAGTTCAAGAACAAGAGTGTAAGTTCTGCCTTTATTATTCATTTGCTTTTTTTTTTTTTTTTTTTTTTTTGAGACGGAGTCTTGCTCTGTGGCCCAGGCTGGAGTGCAGTGGCACGATCTCGGCTCACTGCAAGCTCCACCTCCCAGGTTCACGCCATTCTCCTGCCTCAGCCTCCCCAGTAGCTGGGACTACAGGCACTCGCCACCATGCCTGGCTAATTTTTTGTTTTTTAGTAGAGATGGGGTTTCACCATGTTAGCCAGGATGGTCTCAATCTCCTGACCTCGTGATCCACCCGCCTCAGCCTCCCAAAGTGCTGGGATTACAGGCGTGAGCCACCGTGCCCGGCCTATTCATTTGCTTTTTAACCATAGGCCTCACTCTATTTATCTGTAAAATAATTAGTTAGAAATAGTTAAAAATAGATTATTTCTATATCTACTTATACCTATAAGCCCTCAAGATTATTTTATTTGAATAACAAACACTCAGGAGAAAAAAATTGAAGCTCCTAGTATTTGCATACACTGTTAATTCATAAAGGGTTACATGTCATCACTTATATTGTATACTAAGGTAATAACAACTGCAATGACAGTTGAATATGGGCTTGCAAAATTTAGAAGGCATCAAGATATCAAATTGGGCTTTAGATTTCAACACCCTTTCTTTAGCAGAAATAATTTATTGTACATGTTTCCCACCCACAACAGTAGAGCCACCTATTGCAGGGGGAAAAATTGTCCCTTTGGCTCAGTTAAGGGTCTCTGCATCCATCAGAGGTGAGCTGTTGAATGCATAGGTATTTACAATGATTAGGTCTACAAATTGTAAATCTGAAAATTCTCATGATGAACATGTTGAAGTATAAAATTCCAGTTCAGATTGTTAAGTGACTACAGTTTCATAATTTGACATGTTTTAGTTTGAGAAGTCCAGGGTTTGCAGGACTGTAGCAACAACCTAAATCCAATCATTCCAAATGCCAACTCACTATGCAGTTTTATTGGAGTAACAGCAGAGCAGCTCTCAATTCTACAAAGAAGACTTGAGAGTCTTTAGGGTCAGTTATATATAGTTAACAAAACAAAACAAAACACCTTAACATTCAGTATTACTTATTGGGCACCAGTAAACGGTGCCCACTCAGAAAACGGTGACTTGGTTACCTGTGAAATAACTAATCTATATACAGGCTGAGGTCTGAAATCTGAGACTGTTTCTCAGCCTGGGAAGAATTTCCAAACTCCCCCAAATGGATTTTCATTTTATAATTCTTCAGATTTTTCCCTTAACAAAATTTCTAGTGGTGGATAGGAGGCAGGACTAGCTTGAAGCTCTGGCTTGGACAGACAAAACAATGTGTAGTGACTTACATGGTGAACTTTTGCTCTAAGAACTTCTGCAGGATGATACCAGGAAAGCTGAGATAAACCACAGGCCATTTGAAGGAACTGGATTGCCGCTGCAGGCTCCCTGAGATGCTGAAAACTGTGAGTCTGTTTGCTTTCTCAGTGGAGAGGCTGGTGGTCTGGGGCTAGTTCTCAGCCCTGATCACTGGCTGCCTGGTAATAGAGTCAGTGCTCTTTGTGGGGCATGGTGGGAATGAGACTGGCTTTTAGGATTGTGGGCTGTGTGGGAGTGGGATGAGGCCTGTGACTGGCAGCTTTCCCGCAATTCCCTGGTGACCTGTATGACTCAGCAGAGGCAGCCATAATCCCTCTGGGAATATAACTCCATTGGCCTGGGAACCACACCCCCATCCTCCATAGCAGCCATAGCAAGACCCTCCAAAGGAGAATCTGAGCTCAGACAAGCCTATCCCTGCCCCAACCTCGTGGTTTTTCTCTACCAGCCCTGGTTACCAAAGATAAAGGACATATCTCTTGGGAGCTCTATGGCCCTGCCCACTGCCTGAGAAACATGAATACTTAACTGGATGACCCTAGGAAAAGTTTGAAACCTTCCTAGAGTACCACAGCTGATGCACTCTTGAAAGTACCACATCTTGGTTGGAGGCCAACTAATACAAAACCAGCACACTGAACAAAAATACAACCAAGGATCCCCACAGAGTCCATTTCACTCCCTTGCTGCCTCCACCATAGCAGGTGCTGGTATCCATGGCTGAAAGACCTGAAGACAGAGCATATCATAGGACTCCTTGCAGACACTCCCCAATACAAGCACAGAGCCAGGGAGCTTCACTGAGTGGCTAGACCCAGAAGAGCAAAAACAATCACTGCAGTTTGGCTCTCAGGAAGCCCCATTCCTAGGGGAAAGGGGAGAACACCACATCAAGGGAGCACCTGTAGGACAAAAGAATCTGAACAGGAGCCATTGAGTCCCAGATCTTTTCTCTGACATAGTCTACCCAAATGAGAAGAAACCAGAAAAATAATTCTGGTAACATGACAAAACAAGGTTCTTTAACACCCCCAAAGATCACACCAGTTCACCAGCAATGGAGCCAAACCAAGGTGAAACCTCTGAATTGCCAGAAAAAGAATTCAGAAGGTTGATTATTAAGCTAATCAAGGAGACACCAGAGAAAAGTGAACTCCAACTCAAAGAAATAAAAAAAACATGATTTAGGATAAAAAAGAAAAAATCTTCAGTGAAACAGATAGCATAAATAAAAAACAATCACAACTTCTGGAAATTAACGACACACTTAGAGATGTCCAATGCAAAATGCACTGGAAAGTCTCAACAATAGAATCAAATAATAAGAAGAAAAAACTTCAGAGCTTGAAGACAAGGCTTTCTAATTAACCCAATCTGTCAAAGACAAAGACAAAATAATTTTTTAAAAAATGAACAAAGCCTCCAAGAAGTTTAGGACTACGTTAAATGTCCAAACCTAAGAATAATTGGTGTTTCTGAGGAAGAAGAGAAATCTACAAGCTTGGAAAACATATTTGAGGGAATAATTAAGGAAAACTTTCCCAGCCTTGCTAGAGATCTAGACCTTCAAATACAAGAAGCTCAAAGAACACCTGGGAAATTCATCACAGGAAGATCATTGCCTAGGTAAATGGTCATCAGGTTATCTGAAGTCTAGATGAATGAAATAATCTTAAAAGCTATGATGCAAAAGCATCAGGTAAACTATAAAGGAAAGTCTATCAAAGTAACAGCAGATTCATCAGCATAAACCCTGCAGCTAGAAGGGATTAGGGTCCTATTTTTAGCCTTCTTAAAGGAAACAATTATTATCAGCCAAGAATTTCATGTCCAGCAAAACTAAGCTTCATAAATGCAGGAAAGACACAGTCTTTTCCAGACAAATAAATGTTAAGAGAATTCACCACTACCAAGCCAACAGTACAAGAACTGCCAAAAGGAGCTCTAAATCTTAAAACAAATCCCTGAAATACACCAAAATAGAACCTCCTCAAAGCATAAGTAAGTCTCACAGGACCTATGTAACAATAACAATGAAAAAAAACACAAATAAGGTGTTCAGGCAACAAACAGCATGATGAATAGAATACTACCTCACATCTCATTACTAACATTGAATGTGAATGGCCTAAATGTTCCACTTAAAAGTTACAGAATGGCAGAATGATAAGAATTCACCAACTAAGTGTCTGCTCTTTAGGATACTCACTTAACACATAAAGACTCACATGAACTTAAGTTAAAGGTGTGGAAAAAAGTATTCCCTGCAAATAGACACCAAACGTGAGCAGAAATAGCTATTCTTATGTCAGACAAAATAAACTTTAAAGCACCAGCAGTTAAAAAAGACAAAGAGGGTCATTATATAATAATAAAAGGACTAGTCCAACAGGAAAATATCACATTCCTAAATGTATATGCGCCTGTATTAGTCCATTTTCACACTGCTGATAAAGACATACCTGAGACTGGTGAGAAAAAGAGGTTTAATGGACTCACAGTTCCACATGGCTGGGTTGACCTCACAATCACAGCAGAAGGTGAAAGCCATATCTAACACGGCAGCAGACAAGAGAAGAAGAATTTGTGCAGGGAAACACCCATTTTTAAAACCATCAGATCTCATGAGACTCATTCACTATCATGAGAACAGCACAGGAAAGACCCACTCCCACAATTCAATCATCTCCCACTGAGTTCCTCACATGACATGTGGGAACCATGGGAGTTACAATTCAAGATGAGATTTGGGTGGGGACACAACCAAGCCATATCAGCACCTAACACTGGAGCTCACAAATTCATAAAACAATTACTATGAGACCTAAGAAATGAGAATGATGGCAACAAATAATAGTGGGGGACTTTAATACTCCACTGAAAGCACTAGACACATCATCAAGACAGAAAGTCAACAAAGAAACAATGAATTTAACTTATACCCTATGACAAATGGACTTAACAGATATTTACAGATATTCTACCCAATAACTGCAGAATATACATTCTATTCATCAGCACATTGAACGTTCTCCAAGATAGACCACGTGATAGGCCACAAAACAAGTCTCAGTAAATTTAAGAAAATTGAAATTATATAAAGTACTCTCTCAGATCATAGTGGAATAATATTGGAAATCAACTCAAAAAGGAACCCCCAAAACCGTGGAAATGAAATAACCTGCTCCTGAATGATCACTGAGCCAACAATGAATCAAGATGGAAATTTAAAAATTATTTGAACTAAATGATAATAGTGACACATCTATCAAAACCTCTGGGATACTGCAAAAGCATTTCTAAGAGGAAAGTTCATAGCATTAAATGCCTATATCAAAAAGTCTGAAAGAGCACAAATAAACAATCTAAGCTCACACCTCACAGAGCTGGAGGAAAAAGAACAATCCAAACCCAAACCCAGCAGAAGAACAGAAATAATCAAGACAAGAACAGAACTAAATGAAACTGAAACAATAACAACAAAAAAATACAAAAGGTAAATGAAACAAAAAGCTGGTTCTTTGAAGAGATAAATAAAGTTGATAAACCATTAGTGAGATTAACCAGGAAAAGAAGAAAGACGATCCAAATAAGCTCAATTAGAAACAAAATGGGAGATATTACAACTGATACAACAGAAATACAAAAAATTATGCAAGGCTACCATGAACACCTTTACACACATAAACTAGAAAACCTAGAGGAGATGCAACAGTTCCTGGAAATATACAACTCTCCTAGATTAAACCAGGAAGATAGAGAATCTCTGAACAGACCAATAACAAGCAATGAGATTTAAATGGTAATTAAAAAATTGCCAACCAAAAAAATCCAGGACCAGATGGATTCACAGCTGAATTCTGTCAGGCATTCAGAGAATTGGTACCAATTCTGTTGGCACTATTCTACATGATAGAGAAAGACAAAATCCTCCCTAAATCATTATATGAAGCCAGTATCACCATAGTACCAAAACCAGGGAAGGAGATAACAAAAAGTGAAAACTGCAGGCCAATATCCCGGATGAATATAGATCCAAAAATCCTCAACAAAATACTAGCTAACCAATCCAACAGCATATAAAAAAGATAATGCACCATGATTAAGTGGGTTTCATACCAGGGATGCAGGGATGGTTTAACATTTACAAGTCAATAAATGTGATATACCACATAAACAGAATTAAAAACAAAAATTACATGATCATCTCAATAATCACAGAAAAAGCATTTGACAAAATTCAGCATCCCTTCATGATTAAAACCCCAGAAAAATCGGCATAGAAGAGACAAACTTTAAGTAATAAAAGCCATCTATGAAAAACCCACAGCCAACATTATACTGAACAGGGAAAAGTTAAAAGCATTCCCCCTCAGAACTGGAACAAGACAAGGACACCCACTTTCACCACTTTTATTCAACACAGTACTGGAAGTTCTAGGCAGAGCAATCAGACAAGGGAAGGAGATAAAGAGCATCCAAATCAGTAAAGAGAAAGTCAAACTGTCGCTGTTTGCTGATGACGTGATTGTCTACCTAGAAAACCTAAAGAAGCCTCCAAAAAGCTCCTAGAACTGGTAAATGAATTCAGAAAACTTTCAGAATACAAAATTAATGTACACAAATCAGTAGCTCTGCTATACACCAACAGCAACTAAGCTGAGAATCAAATCAAGAACACAACCCCTTTTACAATAGCTGCAAAATAATAATAATAAAATACGTAGGAATATACCTAACCAAGGAAGTGAAAGATCTCTAAAAGGAAAACTACAAAACACTGCTGAAAGAAATCATTGATGACACAAACAAATGGAAATACATTCCATGCCCATGGATGAGTAGAATCAATATTGTGAAAATGACCATATTGCCAAAAGCAATTTACAAATTCAATGTAATTCCCATTAAAATACCACCATTATTCTTCACAGAACTGGAAAAAACAATCCTAAAAATCATATGAAACCCAAAAAGAGCCAAAGCAAGATCAAGCAAAAAGAACAAATCTGCAGGCATCACATTACCCGACTTCAAACTACACATGGTACTGGTACAAAACAACATGGTACTGGTACAAAAATAGACATATAGACCAATGCAACAGAATAGAGAATCCAGAAATAAACCCAAATACTAACAGACAACTGATCTTCAACAAAGCAAACAAAAACATAAAGTGGGGAAAAAGACACCCTATTCAACAAATATTGCTGGGCTAATTGGCATGTCATGTGTAGAGGAATGAAACCAGATTCTGATCTCTCTCCTTACACAAAAATCAACTCAAGATGCGTCAAAGACTTAAATCTAAGACCTAAAACCATAAAAATTCTAGAAGATAACATAAAAAAACCCTTCTAGGCATTGGCTTAGGCAAAGACTTCATGACAAAGAACCCAACAGCAAATGCAACACAAAGAAAGATAAATAGATGGGATTTAATTAAACTAAAAAGCTTCTGCACAGCAAAAGAAATAGCAGAATTAATATACAACACACAGAGTTGGAGAAAGTCTTCACAATCTATACATCAAACAAAGGACTAGTATTCAGAATCTACAACGAATTCAAACAAATCAGTAAGAAAAAACAAACAATCCCATCAAAAAGTGGGCTAAAGACATGAACAGACAATTCTCAAAACAAGATATACAAATGGCCACCAAGCATCTAGAAAAATACTCAACATTACTAATGATCAGGGAAACGCAAATAAAAACCACAATGTGATACCACCTTACTCCTGAAAGAATGGCCATAATAAAAAAAATAGATGTTGGTGTGGATGTGGTGAAAAGGGAACATTTTTAATACTGCTGGTGAAAATGTGAACTAGTACAACCACTATGGAAAACAGTGTGGAGATTTCTTAAAGAACTAAAAGTAGAGCTACCATTTGATGCGTCAATCCCACTACTAGTTGATCTACAAAATGCCCATCAGTCAATGAATGGATAAAGAAAATGTGGTGTGTATATATATGTGTATATACATGTGTGTTTATATATAATGGAATACTACTCAGCCATAAAAAGGAATAAAATAATGGAATTCACAGCAACTTGGATGAAATTGGAGACTATTATTCTAAGTAAAGTAACTCAGGAATGGAAAATGAAACATCATAGGTTCTCATTCATAAGTGGGCGCTAAGCTATGAGGATGCAAAGGCATAAGAATGATACAATGGACTTTGGGCACTCGGGGGAAAGGGTGGAAGGGTGGTGAGGGAGAAAAGAATACACATTGGGTACAATGTACACTACTTGAGTGATAGGTGCACCAGAATCTCAGAAGTCACCACTAAAGAACTTATTCATGTAATCAAATACCACCTGTTCCCTAAAAACCTATTGAAATAAAAATAAATTTTAAAAAAGTACTAAATGTCAACCATGGTTGACATGGTGCTTTCATATTCTTCCAAAACATCTTCATAAAATTAGAAAACAAAGAGTGGAAACCTATCATATCTCTACTGGAACATACAAATCTAAAGAGTTTTTCTAAATTTCTAATATTTTCATGTTATATTTGTTAGAGAGTTACTGTGAATCCCTCCACATTCTCTAGTGTATCCAGTCGCTATTGAGGGGGTTTTAAATCTTCTCCTCATCCTGCTCTCTCTTCCCTGAGTATACTTGCCCAAACTCTCCTTCCAGATAAACAGAGTCCTGGAAGACCTAAAGCAAGCTCTGTTTCCAGGGGTAATGGTGGGGGTGGCCATGGGCTAACACTGACCCCACAGTGTGTGGTGAAGAGGGAGAACTGAAAGGATCATCTGAGAGTAAAACCAGAGCCAGAAACCTCATAGAAATAAATTCTTATTATTGGCTTTGGGTAGAGGCTGACTGTCTTGTAAGGGGCTAATGCAACTCGTGATTTTAAGTCAGAGCCAATGCTCATTTACCATCCTGAAAATTCACCATAAGATTACCCAGTATACATGCATTCTGAATGCTGAGTAAAAGGTGAAACCTGAAAAAATAAAAAATAAAATAAAATAAAAAAACAAGGACGTGGTCGGGAAGATGTTAGTCAAAGGATACAACACTTCGGTTAAATAAGAAAAATAAATTCAAAAGATTTATTGTACAATATAATGACTATACTTGATAACAATGTATTTTATTCTTGAAAATCACTAAGAGAGTAGATTTTAAGTGTTCTCACCACAAAAATATAAGTATGTAAGCTAATGAATATGTTAATTAACTCAATTTAGCCATTCCACAATGTATATGTATTTCAAAACATCAAGTTGTACATGATAAGTATATATAATTTTTTTGTCAATTAAAATACAAGCATGCCTCCATTTATCACCCTTTGGTTTCTTGTGTTTTGCAGGTATTGTATTATTTTACAAATTAAACATATGTGGCAACCAGCATCAAGCAAACTATTGGCACCGTTTTCCAACAGCGTTGGTATCTCCGTGTCACATTTTGGTAATTCTTGAACTATTTCAACTGATTCCTTATTATTATATGTTATGGGATCAGTCATTTTTGATGTTATTATTGTAATTTATTTGGGGTGCCAGGAACCATGCCCATATAAGACAGTGAACTTGATAAATGTGTGCATTCTGATGGATCCACGAGCTGGGCATTCCTCCATCTCTCTCCCTAATTTTTTTGGGCTAATCTATTCCTTAAGACACAATGATATTGAAGTTAGCCCAATTAATAACCCTACAATGGCCTCTAAGTGTTCAAGTGAAAGAAAGAGTTGCATACCTCTCACCTTAAATCAAAAGCTAGAAATGATTAAGCTTAGTGAGGCACGGTGAAAGCTGAGGTATGCCATCAACATAGAGGCAAGACCCTTCATTAGCAGAAAAAATTATGATTCACTGAAGGCTTAGATGACCATTAGCATTTTTTAGCAATAAAGTATTTCCTAATTAATACCAGTTGTGAATGCAAAGGAAAAGTTCTTGAAGGAAATTAAAAGCACTACTTCAGGGGACACATGAATGATTAAGCAAAATAGCCTTATTGGCGATATGAAGAAAGCTTTGTGGTCTGGATAGAAGATCAAACCAGCCACAACATTCCCTTAAGCCAAAATCTAATCCAGATGAGATTAGGCTATGAAGGCTGAGAAAGGGAGGAAGCTGCAGAAGAAAAGCTCAAAGCTAGCAGATGTTGGTTCATGAGTTTAAGGAAAGAGGCCATCTTCATAACATGAAAGTGCAAGGTGAAGCAGTTAAGTGTTACGTAGAAGCTGCAGCAAGTTATTCAGAAGCTCTAACTAAGATCATTGATGAAGGTAGCTACACTAAACAACAGATTTTCAATGTAGACCATATAGCCTTCTATTGGAAGAAGATGCCATCTAGGACTTTTCTCGCTAGAGAGAAGCCAATGACTGGCTTCAAAGCTTCCAAGGACAGGCTGACTCTCTTGTAAGGGGCTAATGCAGCTGGTGACTTTAAGCCGAAGCCAATTCTCATTTGCCATCCTGAAAATCCCAGGTCCCTTCAGAATTATGCAGAATCAACTCTGGGCTCTATAAATGGAACAACAAAGCCTGGATGACAGCACATTTGTTTACAGCATGGCTTATTGTATATTTTAAGCCCACTGATGAGACCTACTTCTCAGAAGATTCCTTTCAAAATATTACTGGTCGTTGATGATGTGCCTAGTCACCCAAGGGCTTTGATAGAGATGTGCAAAGAGATTAATGTTGTTTTCATGCTTGCTAACATAACATCCAGTCTGCAGCCCATGTATTAAGTAGTAATTTTGACACTCAAGCCTTATTATTTAAGAAATACATTTTGTAAGGCTATTGTTACTATAGATACTGATTCCTCTGATTGATGTGAGCAAGGTAAATTGACAACCTTCTGGAAAGTATATGGCATCACCAGTCTAGATGCCATTAAAATTAATCATGATTCTTGGGGGAAAGTCAAAATGTCAATATTAACAGGAGTTTGAAAGAAGTAGATTGCAACCCTCATGGATAATTTTTGGAGGACTTCAAAACTTTAGTGGAGGAAGTAACTGCAGATGTGATGAAAACAGCAAAAAAACTAGAATTAAAAGTGAAGCCTGAAGATATGAATAAATGGCTTCAATTTCATGATCAAACCCAAAAGGATGAGTAGCTGCTTCTTACAGATGAGCAAAGAAAATAGTTTCTTGAGATAGAATGTACTCCCGGTGAAGATGCTGTGAATGTTATTAAAATGACAACAAAGGATTTAGAATATATCATAAACTTAGTTGATAAATAAAAGGCAGGGTTTGAGAGGATTACTTCTAATTTTGAAAGAGCATCTACTGTGGGTAGAATGCTATCAAACAGCATTGCTAGCTACAGAGAAATCTTTTGTGAAAGGAAGAGTCAATCGATGTGGCAAACTCCATTGTTTTATTTTTAAAAATGGCTACAGCCATCTCAGCCTTCAGCAGCCACCACCCTGATCAGTCAGCAGCCATCGACATAGAGGCAAGACCCTTCATCAGCGGAAAAGATTATGTTTCACTGAAGGCTTAGATGACCATTAGCGTTTTTTTAAAATAAAGTATTTTTTAATTAAGGTAGGTGCATTTTTTAGACATAATGCTATTGCACACTTAATAGATGACAGTGTAGTGTAAACATAGTTTTTATATGCTTTGAGAAATTTTAAAAAGTATGTGATTTCATTATAATGCTGTGATCTGGAACTAACTTGCAATATCTCCAAGGTATGCCTGTGTTCTGTCCTTGAAAATTGCTAAAAGAGTAGATTTTACATGTTTTCACTACAAAAAAATGATGTTTGTGAGGTCATCCATGTGTCAGTTATGTAAATTTAGCCATTCCATTGTATTTCACCATATTTCAAAACGCCATGTTATACCTGATAAATACATGCACTCTTTTGGACAATCAAAAATTAAATTAAAAGAACAAGGCTATGGAGAGAGAGGTAGAAGCTTTTATTCTCTTTCTCTCATTTTTTAAATGAAAGACTGCATCACCCACAGATAGAGATGCACCATTAAGGACAGAGTCATATTGGGTAATTTTCTAATTTGTCACTTTCTAGGAATGAACAATTAGCAGGGACTTTAGTAGACTTTTTAAGCCTTATTTTCCATGTCATTTATATACTTTCACATCCTATAATTTGTCTGCTGTGACCAGCGATGCCAACATCTATTCGTGCCAGGCTACACTGCTAACTAGTTTCAAAGTTGGAGCCAATCCCTCCTCTTAACCGCTGCTGCTGCTATGTCTGACAGCTTACTGCAGAGAAAATTAATATAGTTATTAATATTTTATTTGTGAACATCTCCTCTGGTGGGTTTAAGAACAAACTGCAGAAGTAAGCAGTTGATAGTACAGTTATTTAAGTTCATAAATGGCAGAATGGCCATGAGCTAAGACTCCTGTTTAGTGGGTCCTTCCCAACTGTTCAAATATTCTGTAGCCTACGCTAGACTCTTTTGTCACTTTCGTCAATATCTCAGTGTGACGTACCAAATCCGACTCAAACGACTCACATGTTACATTAGAGAATCAAGTTACGGAAAAGCAAATAAAATGTTTATGAACTGAATTAAATGAACAGAATAAATGTAATGGGGATAAATATAAATTTTATATCTAACTACCAAAATTGTTTTGCAAATTAGCAGATCAAAATATATACTGTAGAGCAGAACGTATTTTTAAAGCTGAATATTTCAGCTAATTATCCACCATATTATTTTATGGCTCCCCCAAGAAATTAAAGTTTACCTATTTTACAAATATGACTTTATTCCTCTGCTTAAAACTGTGTGCTAAGCAATGAATGGTTAAGACAATAAAGAAATGTTCCCAGGCGATTATATAAAGAATGAATAATTTATGAGTCAAGAGTCTTCCTTGTAAAACTGAAGTTATCCTTAGTGACATCAAAGCATTCCAAAAGTCAGGGGAAGAGAATACATGCATTTTCTGTGCAATTTGAGAGAGAATAAATAGTACATTGTGATCAATTAAGACCTTTTGCAATTAACTCTACTTGGTATCTAATACACCAAATAATATTCATATTAATTGACACCCTGAATACTCCATGGTGCCAGTGAGCCACAGCAGTGTGTGAAATTATGTGTGTGACTCTTTCTCTCTCTCTTTCCTGATGTTTTTCTCCTTGCCCATCTCCTCCTTCTAAAACTTCTGAAATTGAAAAAAAAAAAAATTACATCTAAGAATACAGATGAAAGAAATATCCTACTTTGTTTTTTCTTCCTCTATTCAAACTCTTTGAAGACTCTAAAGAGATAGAACAAAAATAAAAAAGGAAAAAGAAAAAGAGAGCTAGTTTCTGTTTCCTTCCTTATAAATTGTAACAATAGCAATAAACTTCACAAAGGTACAGTGATGACCCAGATTAGGTCTGTGTGGTTGAGGATGAATCTGATTACTCCCCAAATTGCCATAATTTAGCATTAGTTGAGTCACAGACCAGAAAACTGAGAAAACATATCTTAGTAATTACAGAAGTGTACAAAACACCTGAAATAATTATACGCACGTTTTAAAATTTGAGCTTCATCTGATTGTGATTGCAAAGGTTTGAAAATACTTTGGCTGATTGCAGTGGTTCACGCCTCTAATCTCAGCACTCTGAGAGGCCAGTGTGGGAGGATCACTGGAGCCCAGGAGTTCGAGACCACCCTGGGCAATATAGTGAAACCTTGTCTCTACAAAAAATAAATGAAATTAACCCATGTGATGGTCTGTGCCTAAAGCTCCAGCTACGTGTGACCAATGGGAGCATCACTCGAGCTGGGGAGGTCTAGGCTGCAGTGAGCTGTGATTATGCCATTGCACTGCAGCCTAAGTGACACAACGAGACCCTGTCTCAAAATAAGTAAATAAATAAATGAAAAGAAAAAGAAAATACTTTGAAATACATTATGCCATTCCATTCTCTTTTTTTCGGTATTCCTAATTTTTAATTGTAACTGAAAAGGTTGTTCTTTCATTCTAAAAATTTGAAAGAAAAGCATCTAAGAATTACATGTACCTGCTACATACATACATAAGTTGCTGTTGCTTTTCTCTACTTTGTTCCACCAAAATTCTTAAAAGAATGTTTATTCACCGTATAATCACATACATTTTCCTTATAGTCAGCTTGCCACTTACTACTCTCAGTTGTCTTCAAACTCCACACCACTCTATTGAAAACATTTTGCTCCAGCCACAGACTCTTTAGAGCCATATCCAAAAATATTTTTAGTAGTGCTCATTTGGCATAACTTCTCAGCACCAATGAATAATATTGATTAATCTTACTTGCTTCTCACCCTCAGTTTTTATAAAAAGTATTCTCTTAACTGCTGTATAACTTTACTTTCCTTATTCTGCTTTTATCTAATGGCTTATTTCCTTCATTTATTCATTCAGTATTGAAGACATGCTAGAAACTGTGCAACTCCCTGTCCACAAGGAATTCACTGTCAAGTAATAAGCACATAATTATTCCACTACTTGCCATGTCTTAAATAAAACTGTGTTCCAGAGTCTGCCCGTGACTCCCTTGTATTTTTCTTTGTAATGTCTCTATTGTTAATCTTAGCTACTGCAATGGTTTTAACATGTCATTTTACAGAATCGCTTTCCCACACATGTAATTAGCATGTGGCTATCTTCATCAGCATTCATGCTTGAACCTAACGTGTATCAGATCTGCACTTCATCCTGTGCTTCTTATTCATGCTCTGTAATGAGCAGCACTAGAGATATAATAAGGTAAAATGAAATATTAAGCAAGGATATATAATTTATTTGTTCAGAAAACTAATGACAGTGACATTTCTGAAAGGTGAAACTCATTTCTCTTGCCTTTACCTGGACAGCAGCATGTTTATTCTCTTGCCCAAAGTTGCAGTCATTGTGGCTATTGAGCATCATCGCACACACAGAAATGGCAAACTTAACCCATTTGACCTAGTCTATTCTTAGCCATTAGGTTGAACTGAAGTAATACACAGAATTAATGAACATGAGAGTAAGTGGAAATTGATGTCAAGAGAACTTCCAATGAATAATAAGTTGTGTGACCATGAAATGTAGTATTAAGCTATTGTTAGCCAGAGAGCTATGTTCAAATCTCTATAAATTTGGAGTAAAGCAAATAACTAGCTATATAATACTTTCTTCTTGTAGGCAGTTATATTTAGTGGAATGGAAGAAATTTTAAAATTGATAGCTAAAAGTCTAATTTTGATTGCTTCTTGAGTTGCCTTTTTGGAAAAGGAAAGGGAGAACACTGCTTATTAAGCTTTTACTTTCTCAGGTTACCAAATAAATTATTACACAGGACAATGAGTTATAAAAACCAACACTATAGAGTTTTTTATATTGAAACATTGAAAATTAAGTTCTTGGAGCAGGAATTACCAAACAAGTACTCATTCTAGAAGTGTGATAGAGAATATATTTCATCAGCTGAAACAGCAACCCTGGAGTGTTTTGGTCTTAGAGCCCCTTCATATTTTTAAAATTACTGAGAAGCCCAAAGAACTTTGTTTTTATGTATTACCTATACACCTATATTTGCCATATTAGAAATTATAACTGAGAAAATTTAAAAACATTATTAATTTAAAATAGTAATAAACCAAAATATGTTAATAAAACGATATGTTTATAAAGATAATTTTCTAAGACAAAATACTAGTGCAAGAATGGCACTGTTTTATGTTTTTACAAATTCCTTTAATATCTGTCTTTATAAAAGACAGCTGTATCCTTATATCTGCTTTTGTATTCAATCTGCTGCAATATCTTATTCTTTGGAGTCTCTGGAATTGCGTGAGAGAAGAGAGAGAAAGGTGAATAATGTCTTAGTATTACTATAAAAATAGTTTTGACTTCATACAACTCACTAAAATTTCTCAGGGATTTCAGGGAGCTTGGTCACACTTTAAGAATCGCTAGTGTTAAAAGTCATGAATGTGCCCATGTTTTCAAGCATTAGAATCTATTTTTAAAAATTCTTATAACATTTTAAAAACATATTTAAACATTAGAATACTAAACAACAAACATTGTAACAAATATCAAGAGTTTGCTATAATTCCTTCAGAAGTACATAGCAAAATGGTGCTATGAATTATGTAATGTTTTAAGAAATGAATTTTATTCATCATAATATGATTTCTGTACCATTGAAAAACTACATATGAAAAAGATATTAATATTTGTTTCTTAGGCAATGTGCCAAGCAGAGAAGTATTTGTGGACACTATGCACTAATTTTATAGTTTCCTAGGATTCCATGGTCTCTGTGTTAGAAGCAATAAAATTATCTCTAACATATATTTCAGAACATACCCCCATACACACACACACACACACACACACACACACACACACACACATACATATACAGAGATGGATTATTATGTCTATATATAGAGAAACATATGTATATATAATGGATTATTTTATATATATATAAAATCCCTGATATTAATTTTAATCCTTAAAAGCTAAAACTGTGTATAAAACTATACAGATTATATATATAGCTATAGATATATATATCTTTCTATCCTGTTTATAATATTATATATAATATATAGAGCTTTTATAGTTTTATATCCAGCTATATATATAAGCTAAAACTGTATATAAAAGATATATATTTTAGATAGATGATAGATAGATAGATAGATAGATAGATAGATAGATAGATAGATAATCCCTGATATTAATTTTAATCCTGAAAATCTAAAACTGCCTCTGGCATTATGAGGCAAATTAAAAGGGGTATAAATCATCTGGAAGAGCATTATAAGGTAGTATCACCAATTCACAGTTTTTGAATTCATAAACTAAGTGATCTTTCCAACATTGGTGGCCTCATTTCATATCTCAACAGAGAATTTACCAAAAAGCTAAAAAAAATATACTAAAGTGCATCATTAATATAGGAAATTAATGAAAGAGGATAGAAAGATAATTATAGCAATACTGTAGTTTATGCCCCAACATAGAAAAATAGATTAGTGGAGACTTTCTTGTCCGATAAAGTTGAATCTCTTTTTATCAATTTGTAAATACCATTAAGACTAAATACCATAAGACTCTCCTTGTCATTATCGTTACCAGATTTTGGACCCAAATCTTTCCTTTGTCATTAGCAAATACAAATTCTAAACATATTTTCCAGTTTTACATTTACTACAAAAGAAGGAATAAAAAAGACACATAATAATGTCTATAGAATTACAACAAAATATGCCCCAGCCTTATGATTTCAGGTATGTAGATACAGCTACAGACAAATTTTATTACACAAAAGCAAGAGCCTCCTATGTGTACCACAATTGGTTAGGTGCTTGCTATGCTTCGAATATTTGTGTTCCTTACGAAATTTATATTGAAAGTTAATCCCCAACACAATGTTATTAACAGTGGGGCCTTTCAGAGGTAATTAGGTGGAGGCTTCATAGATGAGATTAGTACCTTATAAAAGGGCTAGAGGGAACTAGCAAGGCTCTTTTTACCCTTCTCTTCTTTTGGCCATGTGAAGACACAGGGTTCAACACCTTAAAGGATGTAGCAATAAGGCACCATCTGGAAGCTGACAGCAGCTCTCACAGACACTGGATCTGCTGGCACCTTGTTCTTCTGCTTCCCAACATCCAGAACTGTGAGAATAAAATTTCCGTTTATTATAAATTACCCAGTCGCAGATGGGCATAGCTGGAACTAGTCTGCTAAAACAGCACAAAAAGACTAAGACGGTGTTACTGGAAATATAAAATGGCATGTAAGTTTTCCCTGCATTCAAGGAATTTAAAGTACAGTTAAGGAGATAGGATAAACATAAACAATAATTAAAGATCATTTATAACTTACATAAGATTAATTACAATGCAATATAATTTATTCTGTATAATACTAAATAATTTATTGTTTATAAGATAACTTATAATAATACAAGGACCATTTATAAGAATATAAATTAGTACATAAATAAAACCCAAATAAATCATTCAGCAATTACAAAAGAAATCAGAGCAAAGAGGGTGATCACAGTACCAAATGGTGAGAAAGACTTCAAGGAAGTGCTGGAGGGCTCTTCTGCTGTTGCTCAGTGCATGAGTACTATCTGGGTAGTGAGAGAAGATGAGAAAGGCATTTTCTGTAAATGGAACACCTGTGATGAATGAGGAGCGCCTTCACACAAGTCACTTCTCTTAAGAGAGAAGTGTTCACCACAGGTGTTCCATTTACAGAAGGCAAATGCATTTGGTGCTGGACTGTAAGTGTTCAAAAGCAAATTGTGTTAATGCAACTATATTGCCAGATACTTGCAGGTGCCAGATCTCTTCAGTCAGAAGGCAGAGGTGATCCACGGCTGTTTTCTGCAAGGTCCATACTGCTAAGTGTACATACAAATCTACATCTTCCTTCAGTTTTTTTACTTGGGAAGTTCAGAAACAGCTCATTCCTTCATTCAACAAGTAGTGAAAGAGCACTAATATGCCTGTAAAATGATGTGGATAGAACAATAAGCCAAATAGATCGAATCCCAAGTCTCAGTGTTAGGTCTGGTAAAGGAATTGGACATTACATGGACAAATAAGTAAATAAACTGTAAATTGTATTATATGTTCCAGGAAAAGAACAGTGCACTGTGAGAGACAATAATAAGATGAAAGGCATCTAGTCAATGTTTTATTAAACTTCATTTTAAAAAATTAGCCATTCAGGAAAGTTGCAAGAACATTACAATAAATACTCATATACCATTCACCTATATTTCCACATTGTTAATATTTTGTCACTGTATTAGTCCATTTTCATACCACTATGAAGAAATACCTGAGACTGGGTAATTTATAAAGAAAAATAGGCTTAGTGGGTTTACAATTCTACATGGCAGGGGAGGAATCACAATCATGGCAGAAGGTGAAGGAGGAGCAAAGGCACGTCTTACATGGTGGCAAGGTCTTACATGGAGACCACTTCAGCCTGGACTTTGTTGTTCATATCACTATCAGCATGTGGGTCAAAGCCATTCAACAAGTCTCTAGGAAGTTCCAAACTTTCCCACATTTTCTTATCTTCTTCTGAGCACCCACCCAAACTGTTTCAGTCTCTAATTGTTACCCAGTTACAAAGTCACTTCCACATTTTTGCATGTCTTTACAGCAGCACCCCACTCTCTGCGTATCAATTTACTGTATTCATTCATTTTCATACTCTGTGAAGAAATACTTGAGACTGGGTAGTTTATAAAGAAAAAGAGGTTTAATGGACTCACAGTTCCACATGGCTGGGGAGGCCTCACAATCATGGCAGAAGATGAAGGGGGAGCAAAGGCACATCTTACATGGTGGCAGAAAAGAGAGCATATGCAGGGGAACCACCCTTTATAAAACCATCATATCCTGTGAGACTTACTCACTCTCACAAGAACAAAATGGGAAAATCATGCCCTCATAATTCAATTTCCTCCCACCGAGTCCCTCTCATGACACTTGAAGATTATGGGAGCTACAATTCAAGATGAGATTTGGGTGAGGACATAGCCAAACCATATCAGTCACATTGTTGTCGCTTCTACTCCTCTTCTCAGTAGCAAGAGGACTCCTACTGAGTCCTCTCCTCTCCTCTCCTCTCTCCTTCTCTTCCCTCTCTTTTCCTGTTCTCCCCACTCTTCTCCTCTCCTGTTCTCTCTCTGTGTGTGTATATATATATAAAATATACACATATATGTTTAAATATCTTTAAACATATATTAAACTTAAATACTATGATAGTTATTTGATACTAATTTAATTGTGCCCCTCCTCATAACCCCCAATGTGATGGTATTTAGACATGGGGCCTCTAGAAGGTAATTAGATTTTGATAAAGTCATGCAGGTGGGGCTTTCATGGTGATATTAGTATCTTTATTAAAAAGAGAAACACCAAAGCTCTGCCTCTACCATATGAGGACATAGTGAGCATGTGGCTCTCTGCACTCCAAGAAGAAAGCCTTCACCAGAGCCTGACTATGCTAGCATCCTGCCCTCAGATTTCTAGCCTCCAGATCTAAATTTCTATTTCTTCAGCCACCTAGCCTATGGTATTTGTTATGGCCGCCTGAGCAGACTAATGTATTATTTTTATTCGTGTTTATGAAACACTGAGAGTAGGTTTTTAAACCATTGAAAGTAAGAGATCATAATCCTTCATCATTACATACTTCAGCATGTATCCCCTAAGAAAAAAAGGCGTTCTCTTAATCACACTATAATTTCAAATTTCAGGAATTTTACCTTTGATATAATATTATGATCTAGCAAAGAGTTCATATGATAACTGTTTCAATAATGTCCTTTATAGAATTTTTTTTCTTTAGGATCATGCATTGAATTTAGTTGTACAGTGTCTTTAGTATCCTTTAATCTTGAACTATTCCTTAGACTTTCGTTGTCTTTTGTGCCATTGACATTTTTGAAGAGATTGTCTTCAACCTGGGTTTGTTTTGTAATGGTTAGATTTGAATTAGGTATTTTAAAATAAATATTACATAAGTAATACTGTGTCCTCAGTGTGTCAAATCATGAATCATATAATAGTTTTTCTCATTTTTCGATGATATTAACTTTGATCACTTGGTTAAATGGATACTGCCCAGATTTTGTTTAACTGCAGTAATTTTTTTCCTGTGTAATTATTAACTGTTCTGTGCAGACAATCTGTGAGACTATGTAAATATTTTACTGCTAACCAACTCTCATCAAATGGTTTTGGCTTCCACTGATGATTATTACCTAAATTAATTATTAGTACAATGATTTTAGAATGGTACTTTTCTAACTATACCACCCCTTCTACATTTATTTGTTTACATTCTTGGAAAGAGGAGTGCTCTCCTTATTTATTTTGGAGCTCAAATTGTAGGATTACTTTAAATAGAGCAGAAGAAGCTTATGTAAGAAGATGATAATTCCGCTGTGAACTGAAGGATGAAAATAATCCAGGAAAGGGCATCCTGGCATATAAAGCTGAGAGTGTGAACATTCTCTTAGGTCCAAAATTTTGCAACAGAGCTCTAATTGAACCATCTGTAAATTAAACACTTCAGAAAGAAGCCGTAGACACCAAAAAGCTTTCTTTAAATAGCTGATCAATTGAAAGCAAATTAATTTTTCTGTGTTCACAATCTGCATTCCTTTTTTCCAGGACAGTCCCAAGTTATATCTATTTTCCTGGCCTCATAATTAATAGAAGACCCTTTTCAGTCCACAAAGTGTCAGTTTGAGTGATAAATACCATGATTACCCTCAATTATAAACTCTAATAAATAAACAAATTATAAGTCAGCCCAGGGAAGAGAAGACTTGGTTGTACCTTTAAGACATGAGTCCATACAAAACCGCATTTGACTAAATGTATTTCTTTTTCAGATTCTGAAAATTGAATAATTCTCTTCCTCCTTTAGCTGCTCATTGCATTATTTGCTAACTGCAACAATAAAGAAGTGTGCATTAACCCAACTGTTATTTTTATTGTTACATATTATATCAATCTTATCTTGGTGAATAAATATGGCCACTGTACTATATACAAGATTCATTTATGTGTGTGACTTCTCTACTAACTACAAATATGGTCATGGTTATTTTGTAGCAAAAGAAAACAAACAAACACACAAACTCTACGTTGTAAAAAAGATGAGAGAATTAGTCTGAAATCATTTACTATAAAAAATAGCCTATGAGACATGGTAAAATGTTTCTCTTTAGAACGGAGTTCTCTGAGTTTTATCTGGACATAATGTAAAAATACTAGACAGCTATACGAGTTGCTTTACAGTGCATTCTAACTGCCATGGAACAATTGTGATTTAATCTTTTATTACTGATTTACATTAATGGTCAGTATAAGGAATGGCTATATAAACATGGTTGTATGAATGATTTTCTACATATGTAATAATACGATTAAACATACTTTATATGATGACATCTCTCTTAGACATCAGACTCAGCACATCATGTAGACATCAGAATCAGCAAAAATGTTGGCCTTTGTAGTGAGTTGGCATGCTTCCTTTTAATATCTAATGAGATTATTATGATTTTATGTCACTTCTCTTTTAATTTGACTACCACAAAATTCAGAGGATTTTGTGTATTTTTTTTTAAGTTCTGAAAATTGAATAATTCTCTTCCCCTGTTAATTGCTCTTTGCTTTTCAAGGCCAGTGTTTTTTAGTATGGCTCTCTTCTTTCTTCTATCTACATCACACCTTCCTCACTGTATGTCTCTGGATATTGCTGTATTTGTCATTCAAATCCTTCCTGTAAATAATCAGGTATGTGAATGATAGCCAAAAAATAATTCTAATACAACCTTTTTGATGAACTAATTATAACTAAGATGGGAATATCTTTAGAATGTTGCTATTCAATAGACTATATATATATAAATTTAATGGACATTATTAATATACAGGTAAGGATGAATATTTGGATAATATCAAATTATCAAATTTTGAGTTAATATTTTGTTTTGAAATTGGCATATAACTGAGACAGGAAACATCAGAGAAATTCAATTTAATAAACTACTTCATAGTACTTAGAAATTGATATATGTAAATGCATGATGCTTTGAAATCTAATAAAAACTTGGAAGTGCAAATGAGCAGGAACTTTAAGAAACACTCTTGAAGAGCTTTACCATTACGTTATCTAATGCCACCTCAAGGAAACAGTTGTTTTGTCTATTTAGGACACTTAAAGTGTGCATTAAGACTTGGGGACCTACGCCAGAGGTTGGTAAACAAAATAACTTCATGTAAATGAAGCATATGAGGTAGCTACTGTGAGTAAATTGCAAAGGATAGAAGCAGTTGCTGTTGGTAATCTTTACCTAATTGAATGACACCAAGTGGAGGAAGTCACTCCACAAGCATGTCCCTGGACTTTAGTCACTTTTGCAAGGATTACAAGAGGTAGAACCAAATCAGACAATTTGAGCAGGGAGGAAATCATGCAAAAACATTCGCGTTTAGGACAATCAGTTCAAATAAGTAGCTTAAGGCTATTCAAATAAGGAAGGAAAAACAAAAGCAACAGTCAGGGTTCATTGAAGCCACCTCACTGCAATGTGCCTGATCATAATCTTCAGCCTCAAAAGTTTTCCTTAGCCTGGATAAGGAAAATTAAAGAGCCAGTGTAAATATAAACTATTAATATATGGAGTGTAGTCAAAATAATACAGTCAGTATTTTTAAAGAATCTTATTACAGAATAGCAGTTCCCAAATTATGCTGCACTTTGGAGTCACCTAGTATACTTTAAAAAGATACTAATACCAGCCTTCTACCCCAGATGTTCTCATATAATTGGTATTGAATGAGACCGGGCATTGGGATATTTAAAAAGCTCCCGAGATGTTTCTAAGGTGTGGAAAAGTTTGGGAAGCACTATTTTTGGTTAGCATAAAAACATTCACCTGCTTTATTGTTGGCAATTACCCTGCCCTCCCAGTGTTCCTCCCAGCTGCCCTGCAGCTTTTTCTTTGGGATTTTAGGGGCTCATCCATACTTTTACTTAGGAAGAAACTCTGATTTCCCCATCATGCTGCCACACTTACTATGACAGCAAATCTTCCTTTATCTAACTTTAACTTTTGTCTTAGATTTCTTAAGGACAGAAGTATCAGCTGAAAGAAAAGCTTTGTTATTGTTTGTTAATAAACTTGGAAGATATACATGAAAGAAAAAAATCAATTCCACAACAATGAACAAAGATTTTGATATATGCAAATATGGAAGAATAAGAGTGTAGGGGAAGAATAACCCCCATATGTTCTTAGATGGAACAGCCCCCTAACAAAAAACAGAATAATAAGAGAAAAACAAACAAGATTTATTAATACATATATTACATATATACATGTGAGGCACCAGGGAATGAATAATTCTGAAAGAGGCAGCTTGGAAATCCAGCTTATACAGCATCTTCAACAAAGAACAGTAAATTTTTAGAGAAGTGACAATACAAAGGAAAATAACTTTGAGCTTCTATAGGATAGCATCTTGGGGAAAGACAAATAATGACAGATAAAGGCTAGTTAGTCAAGTTTGTTAATATAAACTCCTCTGGTACCATCTCCAGGCCAGTAAAGGTCCTAAGTCGTCCTCACTGGTTAACTGTTTTTCTCCCTGATAGAAGTGGGGCTGGGGCACATTTTGTCTTTATAAATCGATATCCTGTTTTTAGGCAAATAGAGGTAAAGCAGAGAACTTTCTTGCATCTGCTGCTTCTAGTCTTCAGCTCAACAATCCTTTCTATTTTAAGGCAGCATTTCAGGTCTTCCGGAAGTACTTGTAAAAAAATAGTTAAATGAATTAGCAGAATGTTATCTATATTGAAAATGCATTATCTTCATGAACCCAAGATACAAATACTCTTAAAGAAAAAAACACCCTTAGGTTTGAAATCATATGTAAGCACTCAAGTGCCATAACAAAAATCAACATGTTTCTAATTTTCCTGTCAAAAAAATCTGAAAAATATTGGATTGAGCAAAGTTTCACAGGTTTGTTTACAGTAACAACTTCTTAGAGTAACAGTGATGCTCCTAATTTTTCTCATTCTTAAGCAATATATTGGTTTATAACAAACTCTCCAAAGGAAATATGTACAACAAAGAACAAAAGCAAAATGTCTTTTCATGGCAAACTACTGAGCTGTTTAATAACTTAGCATGTTCCTCAACGTGGTTCCAGTATCTTCTGCAAAATTCGTTTAAACTTAATGGAAGCCATTTCTTTGCCAGCCAAGTATATCAAATACTATTGCAAGATTATGTCTATCTGGGGTACACTTTCTTGCCACTTAACTTCCCCTGTGCCCAGACATTCTTTCACTCAAATCACCTGAGCTCTTACAGACACCTTCAGTGTGGCTACACAGAACCTCTTCAATTGTCTTAGCCTCCCAACATCACTGCACACCATATAACTTTCTCCTTACTGTGAAGGTCAAGAACCTGCACAATTAACTCACTCAACTTCTCTCCATCTATTTTTATCTTGTATCAGAGTAATTCCTTTCAAGGATACTCCCTTGACCCCCTTTTTATAATAAATTTCCTATGTTTTTCTCTGTCCTGATATAACCATTTACATTTTTTCTTTTTAAAACAGATAGTCCCTCCTTATCTACTTCCTCAGATTTATTGACACAGTGCTATGTCTAGCCTGTTCTAAAACTCTACCTTTGCAAACTTTCATAACACTATTACATAACTTATGTTCCCATTTACTTCAGTGACAATTTTCTCACTTGCTCTATTCACTACCAAATCATTCTTTTGATGCTTATAATGTAAATTCTGTTCTTATTTCTCCTGTTTTTTTTTTTTTTTACTGTCTTGTAACCATGTTCACACTGGGTTTTATGACACAAACAATCTGAATCTTCTCTCATCTGTAACTCCTCCTCTTCTATATAGGGCTGGCTCCATTTTCTCCCTAAACAAAAACACTCTCAAGCATTTATTTGTTCCTTTTTCACCAGAGTCTCTCCTTTCCTTTAGTATTTCATTACATTCTAAAGAATTGACTATTACTTCTTTGAAAAAAATTTTATGGGTACATAATAGCTACATATAATTGTAAGGTAATGTGATATTTTGATACAAGCACACAATATGTAATGATAAAATATGGGTAGTTGGGATATCTATCGCCTCAAACATTTATCGTTACTTCATGTTGGGAACACTCCAAATCTACTCTTCTAGTTACTTTGGAATATACAATAAATTATGGTTAACTATAGTTGCTCTATTGTGCTACTGGAAACTGGATCTTATTCCTTCTGTCTAACTGTATTTCGTATTTATTAACCAACCCTTCTTTATCCACTCCTCCTCCATTATGGCTTTCCTGGCCTCTGGTAACAACCATTTTATTCACTACCTCTATGAAATCCATTTTTTTAAGCTTCTCTATATGAGTGAGAATATGCTACATTTGTTGTTCTGTTCCTGGCTTATTTCATTTAACATAATGTCCTGAAGTTTTATCCATGTTGTTAAAAATAACATTTTCATTTTTTACAGCTGAATAATATTCCATTGTGTATACGTACCACACTTCCTTTATCCATCCATCTGTTGATGGACACAGGCTGATTTCATATCTTGGCTAATGTGAATAGTGCTGCAGGAAACATGACAGTGCAAATATCTCTTCAATATACTCATTTCCTTTCTTTTGCATATATACCCAGCAGTGGGATTGCTGGATAATATGGTAGTCCATATGACTATTAATTCTTTAAACATGATTTTCAAATCTGAATCTTTAACACCTTCCTAGCATTCTATTTGTTTTTCTAACTATGCTGTGTACTTCTGTGCTGTTTGTTAGTATTATAAATCTGACATCTTTCCTCTTCTCTTCAATCTACCCTCTCTTTCTGATTTTAATGTTTCTGATAATGGCAAAATTCTCTACCTAAATTAGATGTGAAAAATTAAAGTCTCTTAAATTTTTTTTTCTTCTTGTCTCCATCACAATTTCCTATTGGTTACTAAGTCTTAACAATTCTACCACTATTAGATATTTTCATACATATCCTCATTTCTCGTCACATTGCCACCACTTTAGTTTAGGCCCTTATTATCTCTTGTTACAGATTTAGCAATTATCTAATGAGTTACTTTCAGTCTATCCTATATATTTCTTTTTTTTTTCTTTTGAGACGGAATCTCTGTCACCCAGGCTGGAGTGCAGTGCCATGATCTCCAGGCTGACTGCAACCTCCGCCTCCCAGTTTCAAGCGACGCTCCTGCCTCAGCCTCTCAAGTAGCTGTAGCTGAGATTACAGGCCGTGTGCCACCACACCTGGCTAATTTTTTGTACTTTTAGTAGAGACAGGACTTTACTATGTTGGTCAGGCTGGTGTCGAACTCCTGACATCAAATGATCCACTTGCCTTGGCGTCCCAAAGTACTGGGATTACAGACTATGCTATATATTTCTTTAAGATCGATTTTTAAAAACAATATTTTGTCCTGTTACTCTACTGCTCAAAAACCTCCCTAGGCTCACCCCCCCACCCATATCCTAGTGAGTAATGGGTAAAGGACTTCTACAAAGTGACTTCAATCTACTTTCCATCCTAATCATGTATAATTTGTATTTAATCTGAATTAATTGTTTCTATACTATATCTTATGGTTTTCTCTAATGTAGCTTAAAGTATACTACTTACTCTACCTGTAGTACCTCCTCTTTCTTCCTCTGCAAGTCAGGATACAGCTTAAACTACCTTGTCAAATAATTACATTTTAATTATTTCATTCAACTATGCCTGGAGCTTTGAAAGTTTATAGCCTATTCATTCTATTGGAATTCACTTTTTCCTTTGAATTTCTGTAACATATTATTTCTTACCCATGGTGCTTACTCCATAAAGAATTTTATTATAGTTATTTGTATATGAGTCAGAGAATTATTCAACAAATGGCTTTTACAATATTTTTTAAGCAGTGGCTATCCAAGAAATGTTTGTTAAATGATTAATTTATCAGATAAATTACAAATAAACTATATTCCACCTCCATTTATTTTTTACAATTTGGCAAAGCCTTTTATTAGCTTGACTCTCAAGTATATAGATATGTTCTTCTTAAATAACTAAAGAAATTAAATTATTTCTGGTTTTCTAAATTTTTTCCCTGATGTGCTGTGAATTTCACTAAAACTTTCATTTATTAATACAGATGTGTTAAATATAAAATTTTCTGGTCACAAGCAAATGTACATCTGACCTACACATTTTATTTGCCAATCTCCAGTGTCCTTCAAGGTCTCCCAAGAAATGTTACTTTCCTGATTTCTTAATGCTGCAAAATTAGGTACTGAATTGTTAATAAGTCTAAGGACTCAAAAGAAAAAAGCAGTCAATTATTAACAAGTCTTCTATTTTTTAATGGTCAGGGTTGAGAATACACAGTATTTTTTAAAATTATCCTATGTAGAGCCATTGTTTTCTCACAAGAAACACCCTTACAAGATCCATTAAGGTGGTTTTAAAAACAGAATTGAAAACAGGATCTCAAAGAGATATTTGCATACCCATGTTCACTGCAGCATTATTTATGACAACCAAAAGGTGGCAACAACATAAACGTCCATTAACAGATGAATAAGTGAATAAAATATGGTATACTCATACAATGACATGTTATTCAATCTTAAAAAATAATCTTGTCATATGCTACAACCTGGATGAAACTTGAGAACATTATGCTAAGTGAAGTAAGCCAGAAGGACATAACATTGCATTATTCTGCTTACGTGAGGTATCTAAAGTAGTCAAGTGTGTAGAAGCAGAAAGTATAATGGTGGTTGCCAGGGCTGGGGAGAGGCAGAAATGGGGAGAGATCTGCAGTACATGTATGTAAGTAGATCCCATGTTATGTGTGTTTTACCACAATAAAAACATACTTCTGACTAGACTGTTACTGCTTGAAAGAAAAGGATGTTTTCTGATTTACTTACTTTTAAACTTTTTAAAATTCAGGCAGAGTATAGGGGTCATTGGCTTCCCTAGCCCAAAGGGGAGCTTGCATAAGACAAGTTCAAGTTGGAAGTGTGTGTTGGGGAGAAAAATAAAACCTAGGGAAAAGAGAAAGTTAGGCAGAGAAATTGTGAGAAATAAATGGAAAGAAGGGAAGTGAATCTTAGAGATTTTCCAAGAGGATGTGACATAGTGTATTTTAAGGCACTTGGTAGAAAACCTTCCCAATAATACTATAGTATAATATTGCTGACCAACCAGCTACAAATGTTTTATCCTCATTATCTTTTGTTCATTCAACTATTATTTAATTAATTTATATTAAAATGAATCAGGTAAATTCCTAACTTCACATAGACTATAATCCAGAGAAGAGAAGTCAATAAAGTAAAGGGAAGAATATAATAAATGCATTTTAAATGTAAAAATTAAGGATAATTTCAGAGGTAAAAATAATCACTTGTCTCCGAATTAATTGGACAAATGCCATTAAAACAAGCATCTAGAAATTTGGCCTTGAATATAGGCAAAATTTCCCTAGGCAAAGATGAGGAGTAGAGGCTACTAATTACAGGAAAATAAAACAGGCAGGGCAGGGTAAAGAAAATGAGTCATGGTTGTAGGAATGTAGTTCAGTCATAATAGTGTTCCCAATGAGAATAAGTAAAATTTAAGATAGTTGGATAAAATTGTGAATAACTTTAAATATTAGGCCAGATATTTTGATCAAATTTGGTTTTTATAATTATTTTTTCTTAAATAATCAACATGAACAGAGCTGTTCTCTAGGAGAATTAATCTTACTGAATGTAAAATAGTTTGGAAGGAAAAAAGCTAAGGTTACAGTAATGATCTGGCTAAAACAGTATCTAATTGTGCATTAGTTCATTAATTTAGTCAACATATATTCTCTTTAAATTCTATTCTCTTAAAATTTTTAAAAATAGATGCATAATTGATGTACATAATTTCAGGGCACATGGGGTAAATTAATATATTCATATGATTTGTAAAGATCAAATCAGTGTACATGGGATATCCATCCCCTTAAATGTTTGTGTCTTCTTTATTATGCTAGAACCACTCCAGTTCTCCTCTTCTAGCTATTTTGAAATATACAATAGATTATTGTAAACTACAGTCGTTCTAGTGATCTAACTTTAAGTTTTATTTCTTCCATCAAACCATATATTTGTACACATTATTCATTTCTTTTCAGTACCGCTTCCTTCCTATTCTTCCCAATCTCTAGCAATCCCCAATCTACTCTTTATCTTCCTGAGAGCCTCTTTGTAAGCATATGTGATATTTGTCTTCCTGTGCTTGGCTTATTTCACTCAATATAATGACTTCCAGTTCCATCCATGTTGCTGTAAATGACAGGATTTTATTCTTTTTTAATAGCTGAACGATATTCCATTGTGGAATAGCACAGCCATAAAATATGGTATATAGATAGATTAGATAGATAAATAGATAAATGATAGATAGATGTAGATATAGATATTACATTTTCAAATCTATTCATGTGTTGATGGGCAGTTAGGTTGATTCCATGTTGTGGCTATTGTGAATAGTGCTGCAATAAACATGGGAGACAAATGTCTTTTCAATATATTGATTTCCTTTCTTTTGGATATACATCCAGTGGTGGAGTTGTTGGATCATATGGTAGTTCTATTTTTAGTTTTTTTGAGGAACCTTCCTATGGTTCTCCATAGTGGCTGTACTAACTTACATTCCCACCAACAGTGCACAAGGGTTCCCCCTTTTCCACATCCTGGCCAGCATCTGTTATTGCCTATCTTTTTATAAAAGCCAATTTAACTGGGGAGAGATGATATCTCATTGTAGCTTTGATTTGCAATTCTCTGATGATTAATGATGCTCAACATTTTTTCATATACTTGTTTGCCATTTGTATGTCTTCTTTTGAGAAATGTATTATTTTGTCCATTAATTTTTTTTTTTTTTTTTTTTTTTTTTTTTTTGCTGTCAAGTTGTTTGAGCTCCTTATATAGTCTGGCTATTAATTCTTTGTCAGATGGGTAGTTTGAAAATATTTTCTCCCATTATGTGGGTTGTCTCTTCACTTAGTTGATTGTTTTATTTGCTGCGAAAACAGCAGAACACGGGAAGCTTTTAGGCTTGGTGTTATCCCACTTGTTCATTTTTAATTTGGTTGCCTGTGCTTTTGAGGTCTTACACACATAAAATCTTTGTCTAGACCAGTGTCCTGGAGCATTTCTCCAGTGTTTTTTTTCTAGTAGGTTCATATTTTAATCTCTTAGATTTAAGGCTTTAATCCATTTTGATTTGATTTTTGTGTATAGTAAGAGATAGGGATTTTGTGACATTCTTCTGCATAATCTAGTTTTCCCAGCACCATTTATTGAAGAGACTCCCTTTTTCCATTATGTGTTCTTGGAACCTTTGTCAAAGATGAGTTGGCTGTACATGTATGTATTTATATCTGAGTTCTCTATTCTTTTTCATTGATCTATATTTTTTTTATGCTAGTACCATGTTGATATGGTATCTTCAGCTTTGTTCTTTTTCCTCCAGATTTCTTTGACTATTTGGGGTCTTTTTGGTTCCATATAAATTTTAGGATTGTTTTTCCTATTTCTGTGAAGAATGTCATTGGTATTTAGATAAGGGTTCCATAGAATCTGTAGATTGCTTTGGGTAGTATTGTCATTTTCACAATATTAATTCTTTCAACCATGGGCATGGAATACTTTCTATTTGTTTGTGTCATCTTCAACTTCTTTTATCAGTGTTTTATAGTTTTCCTCATACAAATCTTTCACTTCCTTGGTAAAATAGATTCCTAGCTATTTCATATTCTTTAAATGGGATTGCTTACTTGGTTTCTTTTGCAGATGATTCCTGTTGGCAAATAGAAATGCTACAAAGTTTTGTATGTTGATTTTTGTATCCTGAGACTTTGCTGAATTTGTTTATCTGGTCCTAACAGTTTTTGTGTGGAGTCTTCAGGTTTTTATAAGATCATGTCCTCTGCCATTAGGCTAATTTGATTTCTTCCTTTCCAATTTGGGTGCCCTTCATTTATTTCTGTTGCCTAATTGCTCTGGCTAGGACTCCCAGTACTACATTGAGCAGAAGTGGTGGAAAATGGGCATGCTTGTCTTGTTCCAGATCTAAGAGAAAACGCCTTCAATTTTTTTCCCAGTCAGTACAATGTTAGCTGTGGTTTTCTCATATATGACTTTTATTATATTGAGGTATGTTCCTTCTATACCTATTTCGATAAAGGTTTTTATCACAAAAGGATGTTGAACCTTATTTATTTTATTTTACTTTAATTTCTAGGATATATGTACAGAACATGCAGGTTTGTTACATAAGTATACGTGTGCCATGTGGTTTGCTGCACCTATCAACCCATCCTCTAAGTTCCCTCCCCTCACTCCCTGCTCCCTATTAAACCCCGATGTGTGTTGTTCCCCTCCCTATGTCCATGTATTCTTATTGTTCAGGGATGTGGAATTTTATTGAATGCTTTTTCTGCATCAATTGCAATAATCATATATATTTTTGTTTTGGTTCTGTTCATGTGATGTATCAAATTTATTGACTTGTGAATGTTGAGCCATCCTTGCACCCCCCATGATGAATCCCTCCTGATGATGGTGAATAATCTTTTTAATATGTTGTTGAATTCATTTTGCTAGTATTTTTGTTGAGAATTTTTAAATCTATGTTCATCAGTGATATTGACATGCAGTTTTCCTTTTTTCTTTCTGTACTTGTCTGATTTTGGTATCAAGGTATTGCTGGTCTTGTAGAAGAAGCTTAGAAATGTTCCCTCCTCTTCATATCTTTGAACATTTTGTGTAGAATTGGTGTTAGTTCTTTGTTAAATGCTTTATAGAATTCAGCAGTGAAGCCATCCAGTCCCAGCCTTTCCATTGATGGGAGACGTTTTATTACAACTTTGAACTCATTACTTGTTATTGGTTTACTGAGGTTTTATATTTCTTCATGGTTCAATCTTGATGGGTTATATGTGTCCAAGATTTTATCCATTTCTTATAGCTTTTCCAGCTGTTGGCATATTGTTGTTTATAATAGTCTCTGATGAGTCTTTGTATTTCTGTGGTCTCCGTTGTTATGTCTTTTTATTTGTGATGTCATATATTTGGATCGTCTCTCTTTTCTCAGTCTAGCCAAAGGTTTGTTGATTCTTTTTATCTTTTCAAAAAAACGATTTTTCATTTTTTCAATCTTCTGTATTTTTTTGGTTTCAATTTTATTTCTGTTCCGATTTTTATTATTTCTTTCCTCCTACTAATTTTGTGTTTGATTTACTAGCTCCTTGAGTGCATCATTGTTTATCTGAAGTCCTTCTACATTTTTGGCACAAGTATTCATTGCTATAAACTTCCCTCTTGGTACTTATTTTGCTGTACTGCTTTGGCCTTGGCTTGATTCCTTAGTGACTACAACATTCTTGTTTGTAGATACATTTTTATTGAATCTATAAAGTGAATTTAAATTATCTTCTCACAGTTCTTGTTTGATTTTAAAGAAAGTAACATTTCAAGGAGCCTCCCAAGTATTATAATAATACTTTTTTTTACAAGTATGTATTTAGCAGAAGGAATGTAATGTCTTGCTGCCCTACTTCAATGATGTTTACAATAACTGTTGGGTTCAGATGATATCTATATGTTATATCTAGTATGAAGTTTTCTACCAGTTGTTCACCTAACAGTGTTATCAGCCATTGATGATAGTTGTTTAGATCCATTATTTATTAGTGGTGAAATCCAGAATAAAAGAAATACTACAGGACAAATTACCTGGTTGCTATAAAAACTAAATAGCATGAAAAAGAAAGGAGGGATAATTTTTATACTTTAAATGAAACTATGAATCATATAAACCAAATCTAGTGGGTAGAACTTGTATTAATCCTAATTCAAATAATCAAACTTTAAAAATACTTTTGTGAGACAATTGAGAAAAAATGAAAACGGAATGAGTATTATGTAATATTTAAACACTACTATTAATTTTGTTGTGTTGGGTAGTGGTACCATGGCTGTGTTTTAAGTAATTACTAACAAATAGAGATAAAAAGAATTCTTAACCAGTAAAGCAACATATGGAAGTATCTGCAAATGAAATAATATAAGGTCTTATATTTGCTTTAAATTATGTCAAGAAAAAAAAGTGAGGTGATAATAGATGAAGCAAAAAGGTTGAAAGTTAATGGTTGTTGAAGTTGGGTGATGAGCTACCAGGGTTCCTTTGACTTGTATCATTAGCTTTGCATATGCTTTCATTTTTTTAAGTAAGTTCTTTAAAAAAATTAACAGACTGCAAATGAATGATTTCCAGGTACAACCATGAAAATAGTAGTAATAAATAGTATTTTATATCACTGTTTAATTACAAAGTGCTCCAAAAACTATTACTTCATTTGCTATTCACAGTATCTTCTCAGGCTAATAAAATTAAGACGTCTACTTCAGGTCAGAGAGACCACAAAACTCACCTGAGACAACTGAGCTATTAAGAAGTGGAGGTGAGCTCATATTTTACTCTTCTTATGCCAAATTCTGTAATTATTCTCCACATAGGGAGCCCTGGGATTATATAAAGGATTCAGAGGTCAGTTTTGGATTCTGGCATGGACATTACAATCATGGACATTTGTTAAGTCCCTTTTTTTTTTACTGCATACCAAGTTAATTATATTTTAAAGAAATAATGTTTGATCTTTGAACATTCATCTCCTTCAAAGATGAAGAATTAGTTTCTTTTTCCATACTGCTTTTGACCACCTTATGCATTCATTTACTAAATAAGATCTTGAAATATTATTGGCTGAAAGGAATTACTGACTTTACATATCAGCACCCCCCAGCCCCCCGCTCCAAAAAAAAAAAAAATCAGCAGTGCTTCTTAAACTTTAGAGTTTATAAGAATCACCTTAAGAAATTGTGGAGTAGCTTGGTTGGATTAGCCCTCTAACAAATAACAATTATAAGCTTCTGTACCCTAAATTTAAAAGAAGTATTTGAATCCACTGGACCAGGGCCTAAAGCAGGCAGAAACTTGAAGGGAGTCACCCTTGAAAGAGGAAAATTGCGCTGACTGACACACATTTATTAGCTTTTCACTTGAGTGAGGGCTTTCCTCAGTCTGTGCAACTAAAAAGCTGAAAGTCAAATAGAAAGCTGCAGTCTTATGTGTTTGGCAAATATAGTCTTCCAGCCTGTGGTCTGTTTATGCATTTTATAATGGTGTTGTTTATAATGAACAAAAGTTTTGGGTTGCTGAATTTATTTTTTTATGCTGATTGCCTAGATAAAACATAAAACATCTCCAGTATGTACGCTGAATGTCAAAAGAAAAAAGAACAGCATAAAAGCTAGGTCTATCCCTAAGTTGTGAATATATATTATTGTATTTCTGATAGAAACATTATTGTTATAGCTTTTGTGTTTAAGTCTATGATCCATCACAATTTAATTTTTGTATATGATGTGAGATAGTGGTTGACGTTCATTTTATCTCCATGAGTATCCAGTGGTTGAAATAGTTCCACAATAGTATTTTTATTAAATACCAATTGACTATGTAAGTGTAGGACTTTTTTTGAATTTTTAAATATTATTGATCAATTATCTACCCTAACGGAATACCACACTAAATACTGAAAAGCACTGATCTATAGACTAAATTTATTATTGCATCAATCTAAATATTGAAAAGTATATATGGGGATAAGTTTTCTTCAGTGTCTCATGGAATCGCCTCAACTGAGCTAACTCTGGCCTCATGACATTGGCCTTCATGAAGGTGCAGTTTTTTGAAACTTACTATTATATTTATTTTGGAAATGCTGAGGGCATCATACTATTTCTCCTTTATAAGAAGTCACAGGAGAAATGTTTTACAAATTTCAATGCCAGAAGACTAATATGTCTCCTCAGTAATCCATTACATTCATCTTACGTAGTCTTGACCACTAAGAAGATGAGAGATAATAATAGTTAATTTTATGCATCAACTTGACTAGATCATATGATGCCCATGTATCTGGTTAAATATTCTTTCTGGGTATGTCTCTGAGGGTTTTGCCAGAAGAGATGAACATTTGCATTGGTAGACAGGGTAAGTGGATTGCCTTTCCCAATATAGGTGGGTATTTTTCAGTCTATTGAAGGCCTGAATAGAACAAAATGGTGGAGAAAATGAGGATTTGATGACTCTCTGATGACTGCTTGAGCTGGGATGTCAACCTTCTCTTGTTCTTGGTGCTCCTGGTTCTCAGGCCTCCAAACTTGGACTGAAATCTGTACCATCACCTCTCTGGCTCTCAAGTCTTTAAATAACACCATGAGGTTTCCTGGGCCTCCATCTTGCAGACTGCTGATTATGGAATTTCTAGCTTTCGTAATTACATGAGTCAATGAACTTCTTCATATATTTATAGTTGGTTCTGTTTCTCTGCACAACCCTGACTACTTTATTGGTCAACTTTAACAATTCTGTAGACAACCTTATTGTGAGATGAGTAGGTTGTGAAAATTTTATCCAGAATCTACAATGAACTCAAATTTACAAGAAAAAAACAAACAACCCCATCAAAAAGTGGGTGAAGGACATGAACAGACACTTCTCAAAAGAAGATATTTATGCAGCCAAAAAACACATGAAAAAATGCTCACCATCACTGGCCATCAGAGAAATGCAAATCAAAATCACAATGAGATACCATCTCACACCAGTTAGAATGGCAATCATTAAAAAGTCAGGAAACAACAGGTGCTGGAGAGGATGTGGAGAAATAGGAACACTTTTACACTGTTGGTGGGACTGTAAACTAGTTCAACCATTGTGGAAGTCAGTGTGGCGATTCCTCAGGGATCTAGAACTAGAAATACCATTTGATCCAGCCATCTCATTACTGGGTATATACCCAAAGGACTATAAATCATGCTTCTATAAAGACACATGCACACGTATGTTTATTGCGGCACTATTCACAATAGCAAAGACTTGGAACCAACCCAAATGTCCAACAATGATAGACTGGATTAAGAAAATGTGGCACATATACACCATGGAATACTGTGCAGCCATAAAAAATGATGAGTTCATGTCCTTTGTAGGGACATGGATGAAATTGGAAATCATCATCTCAGTAAACTATCGCAAGGACAAAAAACCAAATACCGCATGTTCTCACTCATAGGTGAGAATTGAACATTGAGAACACATGGACACAGGAAGGGGAACATCACACTCTGGGGACTGTTGTGGGGTGGGGGGAGTGGGGAGGGATAGCATTAGGAGATATACCTAATGCTAAATGACGAGTTAATGGGTGCAGCACACCAGCATGGCACATGTATACATATGTAACTAACCTGCACATTGTGCACATGTACCCTAAAACTTAAAGTATAATAATAATAAAATAAAATAAAATAAAATAAAAAAGAAAAAGAAAACCTTATTGTATGTTCCTATTCTTTACATGGGGACTGTCCTTACTCTAGATTGCACCTTATTTTTTAAACTTCATTGTCAATTTTCTTTTAGTTTACCACACATGATATATTTATATTGTTGTATTATATATACATAGGCACTCCAAATTCAACTCCTTTTTGGAATGATTTAGAATTTAAATAAAACTTTACGTTCAGTGTGTCTTTGGAAATAAATTTTACTATTGAAAACCATAGCACTTGCATTTGGTTTAAATTTATCACATATCTAAATGGTAGTATCTGTCTTTTCTCCTGCCATATCATGAATTGATTAAGAGATGGAGCAAGAGCTTAGTAGGTTCATGTGTGAGTTCATGTCCAATTCACCCTTTTCTCCTTGTCTCCACCACCCAGCTATGGTCCCTTCTTGCCTCCAGTGTGCAGATGAGCAGCATTTAAAGAAAAAAATGATATGTGGCCCTGATCTTATACCGTTAATTCTGAGAAGAATCACCAAAGTTAAAAGATGCTTAATGAGACCTCGAGGATATTTACACTATGCTTTTTGTAAGAGGAGGAAGAAAAAACAAGATGAGCTATAGCACCATTGAGACACATCAGGAAGTACCAGGGAGTTCATAGTGTCCCTGCTGTTTCCAACTTTGCCTGGCAGGAGGGGTGACATGGAGTGTAGTAAATATCATCTGTCTCCTGTCTCCCAGCTCATATAGGGTACCAACATTCAGAAATAAGACATTTGACTCATATTCTCAGAAATATCAGCTGCAGGCTTGCTTCTAATATAATGCCTATTTCTCTTTCAGGCACTACTGCTCTTTCTTTCATTTGAAAAGTTATTGATTATCTTCTGTGTTCTTTGGCATTGCTCTATGTGTTGCGGGTGAAAAAATAAATAAGATATGGATCCAGAGATGAAAGTGCCTGACTCTGAATAGCAGCAGTCATCAGCCATCATAATCCCATCGTCCCTACTCTTTACCCCTGCAGATCAGTCATTTTGCTTTTGATAACTACCACTCATCTCAGGTACCAGACAGGTAAAAGGTGATCTGCACAATGAAATGAAATAACTTAATTAGGTAAGCTTCCCCTAACTCTGTAAAGAAAGAAATGCAAAGCCACGCGAGAAGAAAAAAAATAGTTCATTGAATTATAATCTTTCTTAAACCAACGGAAACAAATTAAAGAAATAACTTCAAGCACAGATACATCAAAGAAACACCAAGGGGACAAAGGCAAGGTTTTGAAACTCTGAAATCCAAGAAGCAATATTCTTTCATATTACATTTCTCTTAATTCCAATCAGCAGAATAATACAGTATGAAAGAATACAATTAGAAATTTCCATGTACTATTCAATAATTGAGTAAGCTGGGTTGTTTATTCAGGCATTGACTGCAAATTGTTTCTTAAGTGACAAAAATCCAAAGTTTGAGGAAGAATGTGCTGCAATGCCATAGATATCTTCAGCTGCAACCCATACTTTCTGCTGCATCTCACCTCATCATCAGTGGTGCATAGCGATTTCCTGGCTGCCATCTCAGGGAAGCTGGCTTGACAGAGATAAGTTATATTGGAATCTAACTGTCAGAGATAGAGAACACAGTGCATCTCAATGGCAACAACAACTCTAAAAGAAGAAAACACATGGAGTTATAGCTATTTATCTCAAAATTTTACAGGCCACCAAATCTAAAATTATCCAGTGACAAAGGGAAGTGATTATCTTTTACTAACTAGATTATTGAAAATGCTTTTGTTTGTAATTGATGCATCAAAATTTCTTCAGGATACTTGAGTATTCTACTTTGTTTTGAGAGATTCAATTCTGATTGCTTGCAAAACAAAGAAAGAAAACTTAAAATTTAAGCCCAACGATCTCACTTTTTGCTTTTTATTTCAAATACCACCTCAAACCAGATTATCTCACTTTTTAAAAAGATGACTTCACCAAGACCAACCATATCACAGAAAAGAAACTTAAAATGGAACAAATATTTGGGATAATGAAAAGAATGAGTTATTGGTAACATGAAAGTATAAAAATATATGTGAAATCTATTTAATATTTAACTATTTTAGAACTTACTGGTTTTGGTGGAAAATAAAACTAAAAATATACAGAAAGAAGCTATCATGAGAAAGCAATTCAATACACATAGCCATATCACAAATTTTGGAAAAGAGCCTGCTATCTTCCCATCACTACCAACCCACTCACATACCTATGGATTCAACAATTGGTATGTGTAGAATAGCACAATAATGAACATTTTAAATATAAATAATACTACAAAAATAAATAGTAGAAACATAAAGCAAAATAATCAGACAACATCAAATTTTCCTCTGTCTATTCTTTATTCATGCCTTCCCTTTCCTCCTTTAGGTTGGAACTATTCTTTGTAAAAGCATCTTGAGTAACAGGTGAATCAGGAACAATGACATAAATATCAATATTAATATTTTCATATTAATATTCACCAAAAAATAGCAATGAATTATCTAAAGTTATCTGGAGTCTTAGCAGAAGCATAGTATACAACAATTGCTTGTTAACTTTAATAGTCAATCCAAAACAGAAAATTTCAAAACATTGTTATATCATAATGAAATGTCTTTGATTTCAGAGGATATTAACCCCTCGAGCGACTCTAGTGGAAAACATTTCAAGTAATTTTTATGCACTGGTAATGAAAAAATACCCTATGAGTCCAAGGGAAAGCAGTTTTCATTCAATTTTTCTGAGGAAAATTCAGGTAACTAAAATCAGAGCATATTTTTCAAATAGGGAAAGTAATAAAAATGAAAATAGTGCACCTTCTTGGTTGACTAATGGTATAATTTCATTAATTTGTAAGCATTAATTGCTAAATTACTATGTGCCAAGAACATTCCTAAGAACTGGAGATTTAACAATAAGCAAGATACTTTGCCATCAAGTGATTTAGAGGGTAGTAAAAGGCACAGACGGGTACTTAGGAAACTACACTGAAAAATAAGGATGCTGCATACATAATGCTTTGGGAACACCATGGAGGATCACAAACCAACTTTACAGAATCAGGAGAGACTTCTCCTCAACTTTCACACTTAAGCTGAGACCTGAAGAAAGGGAGAGTTAAGAAGGTTTAAAAGCAGAAGAATCAGTCAATTTTCTCAATTAACAAATGCCAAGCACCACGATCCTCAGAGACAACGTGCAAAATAATAGAGTATATATAAACACTATTAGACATCTTAGTGTTTCCATATATTCAATAGCTGGGTACAGTGATGCTGAGTATGGTATGTGTACTTCATGAAATAGTTCATAGGCCTTAAAATAAAGATGAACTTTGTGAATTGTGTCCACTTAGGCAGGATTTGTATTTCCCAGAATTCCCTACCCCGCACAGTTTTAAGTTAGAGTGCCAGAAAAAGACATTTTGTATGAGATTGAGATTTGGAAGGTAAAGTGAAGTCACAGAAGGCATATTCTTTCTTCAAGAGGAAGGACAGAGCAGAGTTCTGCAAGTGTCATAGCTCCTGATTCTCCTCCTTGATCTGCTGGCTTCCTGTGTTGGCCTGGATCAGCAGCCAGGCCATAGCTCCTACAGTGCCTGGTAGTTCCCTTTCATCAGCTGCTTCACCTCCTGGGCCTGGAATGTGTTTTGCTTGAGGTGGCTGTCAACTTCTCTGTCCTGGTCATCCCTGTTATCAAAGTTGGAGGCTTGGAGGCCATCAGAAACCAGTGTGTGATCCAGTCCTGCCTCATAGGTCCCAGCTTATCCTTGTAGATTAGATTCCAGCTTACCCTTACCCCATCTGTACTTTACTACTATCCTTCCTTCTCAACTACTCACCCAGATGACTTCAGCCTCTTGCATCAGACACAGAGCAGTAGCTTCATATAGACTGTTTATCCTGCTTTCTCAATTGCATAAGATCACATCGTTGTAACTGGCTTCTCAATATATAAGATACATATAATATGGTTGAACTATATTATATATGGTTTATATATAATGTAAATATATGGTTTATATATAATATAGTATATTATATAATACATAAATATATTTATAGATCATATAAAGAACCAGATATATGTGTGTGCATATGTATATATGGTTCTTCTTCCTTGATTCAGCTCTGAATGCTGCAATGATGTTTATACATCCTGTATGATTATATTGAAAAAGGATTATGGCATAATATTACATTTTAAAAGCCTGTATGCAAAACTGATGTAAATTTTAATTTCAATAGGTTAAACATAAATGGATTTAAAATTCACCAAAATATTAATTGTGATATTGTTTGGATCAGTGGGACAATGTGTGAATTTTTGTCTTCCTTTTATCCTTCAGTGTTTTCAACTTTTAAAAAATGAGCATGCATTAATTTTATCATTTAGATCAGCAGAAAACATAGCCTTGCTTTTGTGACAATAAATCTTTAGAATAAAAAAAGACAGTCACCTAACCGTGTGATTTTAGGTGCTCTTAATGCAGATAAATGCATCCTTGGGGGCTTTCTAAATGCTGATATTAAAAAACATAGTAGTAGAAAAGGTTGTAAACAATCAGAGCTACATTTTCAATATGTTCTGCTAAGACTTAGTCACCAAACCTCATGAATGTTAATTTGAAAAACTGGGTCATATTCTTTCACATAATTTTATCTTTTTCTGTAATGAAAGTACAGATTTAAGAGACATTTAGTCCAATTTGTTAAAACTGTCTATTAAAAATATATAAATTAAAGCTCCTTGTAAATATATACACATCTGTCTTATGCCATATACCCGCGAACACACATGCATTCAAAGAAATTTCTACTTCCATACTTAATTCCAAATTTCGAATTCATGTAATAACCACTTAAAAAGCGTACATATATACCCACAATTTTTGATCTTTAAAGTCGATATTTTATTTAAATAATGATCCTAGCCTTTATAATCCTTTATATGGTTCTAGCATGTCATCATTTAGAAAGAATCTCCATGAAATCATGAGACAGACATTTTTGTTTTTCAGTCGTTGAAGACACTAAGGCCCAAAGGGATTAAAGAATGAGGTTTGGGTCTTCATCTTAATTTATCGCCATCATTATTGACTTTTTAAAACATCCTCACCTGATAATTTTCAAAAATGAGCTTCCTAGACTCCTTAAAAATTAGAGTGAGCATGTAAAAGCAACCATGAACAGTCAAACATCTGGCAACATATTGGTTTTATGCTGTCAGACAAACTTATTATTATAGTTATTTAATACATAGATGTAAATTATTCAACATGTTTAATGACAAACGAATTGGGACTTAAGCCTTTGTAAATCAAAAAATTATACATTAAGTATCCTTAGAAAATATGGACGGTAAAAATATTTAACTTTCTATCAGATTATGAGTATAAAACATATAAAAAAATTGACTTAATTATATTTTGCCAAAGAATTACTTTTTCAAATAGTCATTAATATACTGAGCTGTTAGTTTTAGTGTGAGAGTTTGGGAATATTCTTTTTAGGGAAGGACCAGAATACCTTTGTATGAGTGAGATACAACAACATCACAGTATGTCAATTTTTTTCAATTCAGTCACCTGGTGCAGGGGCCAGCCCATGGGCCAAATCCAGCCTACTACCTGTGTTTGTATGGTAGATGAGCTAAGAACTTTTTTTCCAAAGAGTTGAAAAAACACTTTAAAAATAATATTTATGACACATGAAAATTATATGATATTCAAAATTCAATACCCCTAAGTAAAGCTTTATTGAGACACAGCCCTATTCTTTTGTAATGTATTGTTTCTCACAGGAACAATGTAGGACAGAGTAACAGCTTCTCCAAGTCACAGGGTTCTTCTGTAGATAAGAGGCAAAAGTAAACTAGACATAAAAATGCTGCATTTAGTATTTCTGATAAAATCCAAAAATATTTTGTCTCATGGGAAAAAATGTTTCCACAAGACTTTTATTCACATGTGGAGGGGAAAAATACTCATTCACATATAATATATTTTACTTAGATTGTTAATCTTGAGGGTACAATGACGTGTTTTTATTGCGAAGTTAAATTGGATCCACTAGGCTTCCCATTCCTTCCAAATATTTGGAAATCTTTCTTTTCTACAGGCTAGAAATATGATAGCCCTTCCTACTCCAGCTTGTGACCCAGGTAAGATTGGAAAGGTGACACATTCTGAAGGTCCCTATGTAAAGCATGCCAAAGAAAAAGAAATAGATCAATGATAAGAAAATTACCCCTTTTGTAAGGTGCTGAGTGGACTGAAAACAACTATGAGTGCTTGGAACTGTGGTCATGACAACCAGTAAAGTCAATCTTAGTCAATGATACCAGTTTGAAGTGGTATCACTACTGAGCTGAAATAAAATGCTAAACTTGATGAATTCCTTTTTTCCATATATCAACAGTTATTTATTTATAATTCATTGCTATAGCTATTGTGTTATGTGGTTCCTCTCACATCATGGCTTTACAGAAGGTTCCAGACCAAACAATTACAAGTGGGTCAAAATTTTATGTAAGTACCTGGATTTTATTAAAAATGATTTCACAATTAATACTCCCAATTTATAACCCTTATTAGAATCGGGAAGATTTAAGCAAAGATGTAAGGAAATGGACATTTTGAGTCCTTACTTTCCTTGTCAGTATAAAGTTCATTAATAATAAGCAACTGCAATTGTGCTTGTATTGATACTTTTATTTCCAATTTAAAGATTGTTTTACATTTTTATTTTTTTAGAGACAGTGTCTCGCTCTTTTGCCTAGGTAGGGTGCAGTGGTTTGATCATAGCTCACGACAGCCTCAAACTCCTGTCTCAGCCTCCTGAGTAGTCATAGGTGCACACCACCATTCCTGCTAATTTTTAAAATTTTTGTAGAGACAGGGTCTCGTTGTGTTGTCCAGGTTGGTCTCAAACTCCTGGCCTCAAGCAATCTTCCTACTTCAACCTCCCAAAATACTGAGACTACAGGCATGAGCCCCTGCACTCAGCCCCATTTATTTTTTAAATGATGGTAAATGCATTTATGGATGATTGCCAACTCATCAAAATATGTTTTTTAGACACAGCATGGTGATAAATTATGACTTACTTTTTAATTTTTTGCTAATAATAGGTGCATTGTTTTAAGCAGTTTTTAAATGGTTAAAGTTGACGATAGGTACTAAGACTTATAGCTAATATTTTTGTAAGCTTACTATCTACTATACACTGTTAAGCATTTAATTTTCATTATCTCATTTATAACTTAAACAATCTTACAATCTAGGTACCATTATTATTCCCATTCTACATATGAGAAAACAGAGCCTCACAGAAGCTAGTTCAGTTTAATACTCTAATGCATATTAGAGGGAAAGTAATTAATAGATATTAGAGTCAAGATTGAAATTCGTGCTTGCCTGACCACCAAAATTGCATTTATCTACCATTATGCCATCCTGCTTCCCATGCATGGAGAAAAACAAGTTAGAAAAAATTACTCACATAGATTTATTCTACTATTTGTCTGTATATTCATAAATATCACCAATAGTTACAAGTCTGGCAGGGTAAGATGTTTTGTGAAAAGAAGAGAGGCTTTGGAATGAGGCTCACTGGGTTTTGATCCTGTAATCCTCAGCTTGTGTCCCATTTACCCATATGAGGTAAATCCTCCTAATTTACCAGGTGCTGTAAATTATGATACTTGCCCTCTGTAATGCCCACTTACTTCTCCATAAAATAGAGGTGATGTAACTTCCTTGAGGGTTTTTGTGTAAAATAAAATAATGTATGCACAGTAGCTAGCAAAAATAGGCACAAAGTAATTATTTTTCCTTCTGTTTTTATATTTTTCTACTGTGCATAACTTTCTGCGGAAAGGGTGAACTCATGTCTTAGTCATCCCTAAATCCCTAAATATGAACAACTCAGGTCCAACCTTAAATTTTGGCATAGTTTTTTGATATTTATCACAAGTTCATTAAGCACCATAGTAAAATTAGGGTTTCATTTTTTAAAAAATCACAAAAAATTGACCTGAAAATACTTTCAAGTGGTAAAGCTCAGCCCAACTCATCTGGATGTTTATTACAATCAGTAACAATTTCAGCAAAGGGAATCTTGAGGGAAAGAAACTCAGTGCAAGGACCTAAGGGCAAACTGATGTGCCAGACACATAGGGGAGTGGAAGGTAGGAAGAGTCAATGCAATCCTCAAAGAACTGTTCAAAATCAGCCCAGGGAAGAACACATACCTCTCCCATGCATTTCTGATGTTGAAGCATCTCCTTGTCCTGTATTGATGTGTTACTTTCCTGGATCTTGGAGTGGGAAGAATATCCTGATAACTTTCAATATCCTATGGGTGCCTGCACTCAAAATGAAAAACAAAATCCAAAATATTTCATATGAAGTTTATAATGGTAGTCAACTGTTTCATTGTCAAATGTAGTTTTAGATCTAGGAAATATTAAGGTTTACAACATAGCAAACAAATAGTAGTGTTGGAATTGATTGATTTTTAAATAATTATTTGAAATACTAAAAAAAGTGACTATGCAAAGGTGTAATGCTAATGTGAAAAAGGTAGATTTCAACATTAATTGTATTTTTAAAGATTTAAAATTAATCAGACATTCTGGCTAATATTGACACTGTTCAGATATTGGCCTTTGCAATAGCACGTATTCCAAACCAAGTAAATAATTTGATTTTTGTTAACATTTTTCATGGTGAAAGAAACTTAAATATTCCAAGAAATAAAGTCAATATTACTTATTAAAATAGTTAGGTTTCCTGAAATCTCCTTAGTTTTGTATTATAAATCCTTAGTTTTTTGGGAGGCTGAGGTGGGCAAATCACGAGTTCAGGAGTTTGAGACTAGCCTGGCCAACATGGTGAAACCCTGTCTCTACTAAAAATACAAAAAATTAGCTGGACGTGGTGGCTGGCTCCTGTAATCCCAGCTACTCGGAAGGCTGAGGCAGGAGGATCTCTTTAATACAGGAAATGGAGATTGCAGTGAGCTGAGATTGCACCACTGCATTCCAGCCCAGGCAACAGTACGAGACTCCGTCTCAAAAAAAAAAAAAGAAAAAAAAAGTAATCCTTACTTTTATATTAAAATTTTTTATCTAAGAAGGCATTTAAAATAAGTATTTATGACTTACTGGCTTTTTAATTACAATGTCTTAAAAGAGAGAAAGGAGGGGTCAGGGCCAAGAAGGCTGACTAGAAGCAGCTACCTTGTGCAGCACTCAGGAGAGGAATGAAAGGGGCAGGTAAATACAGCATCTTTAACTGAAATATCCAGGTACTCACATTGGAACTGATCAGGGAAACAACTCAATCCATGCAGAACAGAGAAAAGCAGGGCAGGGCGCCTGCCCACCCAGGAGTGACACTGAGCCAAGGGAACCCCCACCCCTAACCAAGGAAAGCTGTGGGCAGAAACCCTATAAGTCAGAAGAGATTTGGGGCCAACATTCAACATTCTTAAAGAAAAGAAATTCCAACTAAGAGTTTTATATCCAGACGATCTAAGCTTCATTAGCAAAGGAGAAATAAGATCCTCAAGCAAATGCTGAGGAAATTTGTTACCACCAGCCCTGCCTTACAAGAGTTCCTGAAGGAAGCACTAAATATGGAAAGGAAAACCTATTACCAGCCACTGCAAAAACACACTGAAGTACACAGACCAGTGACACTATGAAGCACCCACATAAACAAGTCTGCAAAATAACCAGCTAGCATTATGATGACAGGATTAAATCCACAAATAGAAATACTAACATTAAATGTAAATGGGCTAAATGCCCCAATTAAAAGACGTAGAGTGGCGAGCTGGATAAAGAACCATGACCCACTGGTATACTAACTTTAAGAGATGCAGCTCACATCGCAAAGACACACATAGACTCAAAATAAAGGGATGGAGGAAAATTTACCAGGCAAATGAAAAACCAAAAAAAGCAGGGGTTGCAATCCTAGTTACTGGCAAAACAGACTTTAACAAAGATAAAAAAGGACAAAGGGGGCACTACATAATGGTAAAGGGTTCAATTCAAAGAGAAGATCTAACTATCCTAAATATATTTGCATCCAATCTAGGAACACTCAGATTTATAAAGCAAGTTCTTAGAGACCTTCAGAGACTTAGACTTCCACACAATAATAGTGGGAGACTGTATTAGTCGGTTTTCACACAGCTATAAAGATACTATCTGAGATTCGGTAATTTATAGAGAAAGGAGGGTTTATTGACTCACATTTCCATATGGCTGAGGAGGCCACAGGAAAATTACAATCATGGCAGAAGGTAAATGGGAAGCAAGGTACATTTTACATGGTGGAGGAGAGACAGAGAGTGCAGGGGAAATGCTAGACATTTATTGAACAACCAGATCTTGTCAGAACACCCTCACTATCATGGGAACATCATGAGGAAAACTGCCTCCATCATCCAATCACCTCCCACCAGTTCCCTCTCTCAACATGTGGGGATTACAATTTGAGATGAGATTTGGGTGGGGACACAGAGCCAAACCATATCATTCTGCCCCTGGCCCCTCCAAAATCTCATGTCCTTTTCACATTTAAAAATCAATAATGCCTTCTCAACAGTTCCCCAAAGTCTTAACTCATTCCATTATTAACTCAAAAGTCCAAGTCCAAACTCTTATCTGAGACAAGTCAAGTCCCTTCTGCCTATGAGCCTGTAAAGTCAAAATCAAGTTAGTTACCTCCAAGATACAATGAGGGTACAGCCAATGGGTAAATGTTTCCATTCCAAATGGGAGAAATCAAGTAAAGTCAAAATCAAGTTAGTTACCTCCAAGATACAATGAGGGTACAGCCAATGGGTAAATATTTCCATTCCAAATGGGAGAAATTGGCCAAAAAAAAAAGGGGTCACAGGCCCCACAGAAGTCTGAAATCCTGCTGGGCAGTCATTAAATCTTAAAGCTTCAACATTTCCTTTGACTCCATGTCTCACATCCAGGGCACACTGATGCAAGTGAGTAGGCTTCCACAGCCCTGGGCAGCTCTGTCCCTGTGGTTTAGCAGGGTACACCCCCTGCAGCTGCTTCGATGTGCTGAAGTTGAGTGCCTGTGGCTTTTCGAGGTGCACAGTGGAGGTTGTTTGTGGATCTATCATTCTGGGGTCTGGAAGACGGTGGCCCTCTTCTCACAGCTCCATTAGGCAGTGCCCAGTGGGACTCTGTGTGGGAATTCTGACCCCACATTTCCCTTCCATGCTGTCCTAGCAGAGGTTCTACAAGGGGGCTCTGCCCCTGCAGCAGACTTCTGCCTGGATATCAGGGCATTTCCATACATCTTCTGAAATCTAGGCAGAAGGTTCCCAAAGCTCAACTATTGTCTTCTGCACACCGGCAGACCCAACATCATGTGGAAGCCACTGAGCCGTGGGGCCCGCAATCTCTGAAGCAATGACCTGAGCTGTACATTGGCCCCTTTTAGCCAAGGCTGGAGCTAAAGCAGCTAGGATGCAGGGCACCAAGTCCCTAAGCTGCACAGAGCAGTGAAGCTGTGGGCGCAGTCCACAAAACTATTTTTCCCTCCTAGGCTTCTAAGTCTGTGATGGAAGGGGCTGCTTTAAAGATCTCTGATATTCCCTGGAGACATTTTCCCCATTATCTTGGCTATTACCATTTGGCTCCTCATTGCTTGTGCAAATTTCTGCAACCAGCTTGAATTTCTCCCCAGAAAATGGGTTTTTCTTTTTGACCACATAGTCAAGCTGAAAATTTCCCAAACTTTTATGATCTGCTTGCTTTTAAACTTAAGTTCTAATTTTAAACCATCTCTCTCAAGTTCAAAATTCAACAGATCTCTAGGGCAGGGGCAAAATGCTACCAGTCTCTTTGCTAAAGCATAGCAATAATGACCTTTGTTCCAGTTCCCAATAAGTTCCTTATCTCCATCTGAGACCACCTCAGCCTGGACTTCATTGTCCATATCACTATCAGCATTTTGGTCAAAACCGTTCAACAAGGCTCTAGGAAGTTCCAAACTTTCCCTCATCTTCCTGTCTTCTTCTGAGCCCTCCAAACTATTCCAACCACTGACTGTTATCCAGTTTCAAAGTTGCTTCCACATTTTCAGGTTATCATTATAGCAATGCCCCACTATCTTGGTACCAATTGTCTGTATTAATTCATTATTATACTGCTATAAAAATACTATCTGAGACTGACTAATTTATAAAGAAAGAGGCTTAATTGAATCACAGTTCTTTATAAATCACTAATTTATAAAGAAAGGAGACTGGGGGGGCCTCAGGAAAATTACAGTCATGGCAAAAGTTGACTGGGAAGCAAGGCACATTTTATATGGTGGCAGGAGAGAGTGCAAAGGGGAAAGTGCCACTTTTAAAATCCTCAGATCTCATGAGAACTCCTACACTATCATGAGAAAGCATGGAGGAAACTGCCCTCATGATCCAGTCACCTCCCACCAAGTTCTTCCCTTGACGTGTGGAAATTACAATTCGAGATGAAATTTGGATGGGGAAACAATCAAACCGTATCAGAGACTTTAACACCCAACTGACAATATTATATCATCAAGACAGAAAATTAACAAATACATTCCAGCACCTGAACTTGGCTCTGGATCAAGTGTACCTGATAGAATCTACAGAAATCTCCACCCTAAAACCAAGAATATACATTCTTCTTATTGCCACATGGCATTTACTCTAAATTTGATCACAGAATCGGAAGTAAAACACTCCTCGGCAAATGCAAAATAACTGAAATAATAACAGACAGCCTCTTGGACCACAGCACAACCAAATTGGAACTCAAGATTAAGAAATTCACTCAAAATGTTAGAACAACATGGAAATTGAACAACTTGCTCCTGAATGACTTTTGGGTAAGTAATGAAATTAAGGAAGAATCAAGTTCTTTGAAATGAATAAGAACAAAGAGGCAATGTACCAGAATATCTGGGACACAGCTAACATTGTGTTAAGAGGGAAATTTATTGCACTAAATGCCCACATCAAAAAGCTAGAAGTATCTCAAGTTAACAACCTAGCATTACAACTAAAAGGACTAGAGAACAAAGAGCAAGAAAACTCCAAAGCTAGCAGAAGATAAGCAATAACCAAGATCAGAACTGAACTGAAGGAGATAGACACAAAAATAGCCCTTCAAAAGATCAATGAATCCAGGAGCTGGTTTTTGAAAAAATTAATAAAATAGACTGCTGGCTAGACTAATAAAAGAAGAAAAGAGAGAAGCTTCAAATAAACACAATCAGAAATAATAAGGGAGATATTACCATTGACCTTACAGAAATACAAACAACCATCAGGTAATATTATAAACACCACTATGCACATAAACTGGAAAATCTAGAAGAAATGGATAAATACCTGGACACATACACCCTCCCAATACTGAACTAGGAAGAAATTGAATACCTGAATAGACCAATGATGAGTTCTAAAATTGAGGCAGTAAAATAGTCTACCAACCAAAAAAAGCCCAGGACCAGACAGATTCACAGCTGAATTCCACTAGAGGTACAAAGAAGAGCTGATAGCATTCCTACTGAAACGGTTCCAAAAATTTCAGTAGGAGGGACTCCTCCCTAACTCATTCTATGAGGCGAGCATCATCCTGACACTAAAACCTGGCAGAGATACAATAAAAAAAGAAAACCTCAGGTGAATATCCTTGATGAATATCAGTGCAAAAATCCTCAACTAAATACTGGCAAACCAAATCCAGAAACACATCAAAAGCTTATCCATTGCAATCAAGTAGGCTTCATCCCCAGAATGCCATGTTGGTTCAAAATATGCAAATCAACAAATGTGATTCATCACATAAACAGAACTAAGACAAAAACCTCATGATTATCTCAATAGATGCAGAAAAGACCACTGATAAAATTCAACATCCCTTCATGTTAAGAACTCTCAATGAACTAGGTATTGAAGGAACATACCTCAAAATAATGAGCCATATATGACAAACCCACAGCCAATATCATACTGAATGGGCAAAAGCTGGAAGCATTCCCCTTGAAAACCAGCACAAGGCAAGGATGTCCTCTCTCACCACTCCTATTCAAAATAGTATTGGAACTTCTGGCCAAGGAAATTATGCAAGAGAAAGAAATAAAGGGTATTCAGTTAGGAAGTGAGGAAGTAAAATTATCTTAGTTTGAAGATGATATAATCCTGTATCTAGAAAACCCCATCATCTCGCCCCAAAAGCTTTTTAAGCTTATAAGCAACTTCAAAAAGTCTCAGGATACAAAATCAATGTGTAAAAATCACCAGCATTTTCTTATACACCAACATCAGGCAAGCTGAGAGCCAACTCACAAATGTATTCCCGTTCACGACTGCCACAGAAAGAATAAAATACCTAGGAATACAGCTAACAAGGGAAGTGAAAGACTTATTCAAGGAGAACTATAAACCACTGCTAAAAGAAATCAGAAATGACACAAACAAGTGGAGAATCATTCCATGCTCATGGGTAGGAAGAATCAATATCATTAAAATGGCCATACTGCCCAGAGCAATTTATAGATTCAGTGGTATTCCTATCAAACCACCAATGACATTCTTCACAGAGCTAGAAAAAACTATTTTAAAATTCGTATAGAACCAAAATAGGGCACAAATGGGAAAGGCAATTCTAAGTAAAAAGAACAAAGCTGGAGGCGCCACACTACCTGATTTCAAACTATACTACAAGGCTAAAGTAATTAAAACAGCATGGTACTGGCACAAGAACAGACACATAGACCAATGGAGTGGAATAGAATAGACAACCCATAAATAAGACCACACACTTACAACCATCTGCTCTTTGACAAACCTGACAAAAACAAGTAATGGGGAAAGGATTCTCTATTTAATATACGGTGCTAGGAGAACTGGCTAGCCATATGGAGAAAATTGAAACTGGACCCCTTCCTTACACCATATAAAAAAATCAACTCAAGATGCATTCAAGACTTAAATGTAAAACTCAAAACTATAAAAACCCTAGAAGAAAATCTAGGCAATACCATTCATGAGATAGGCACTGGCGAAGATTTCATGATAAAGATGCCAAAGGCAAATGGAACAAAAGCAAAAATTGACAAATGAGATCTAATTAAACTAAAGAGCTTCTGCACAGCAAAAGAAACTGTCAACAGTGTGAACAGATAACCTACAGAATGGGAGAAAATTTTTGCAATCCATCCATCTGACAAAGGTCTAATGTCCAGAATCTACAAGGAACTTAAACAAATTTTTTTAAAAAAGACCTCATTAAAAAGCAGATAAAGGTCATGAACAGATACTTTTCAAAAGAAGACATACAAGTGGCCAAAAAACATATGGAAAAAAAAAACTCAGCATCACTGATCATTAGAGAAATGCAAATCAAAACCACAATGAGATACCATCTCACACCAGTCAGAAAGACTTTTATTAAAAAGTCATAAATAACAGATGCTGGTGAGGTTGTGGAGAAAAGGGAATGCTTTCACACTGTTGGTGGAAGTGTACATTAGTTCAATCATTGTGGAAGACAGTGTGGCAATTCCTCAAAGACCTAGAGACAGAAATATCATTCAACCCAGCAATACCATTACTAGGTATGGGAATATAAATAATTCTATTATAAAGATGCATGCATATGTATGTTCATTGCAGCACTATTCACAATAGCAAAGGCATGGAATAAGCCTAGATCCCCATAAATGATAGAATGGATAAAGAAAATGTGGTACACATATATCATGGAATATTATGCAGCCATAAAAAGGAATGAGATCATGTCTTTTTCAGGGACATGAATGGAGCTGGAGATCATTATCCTTAACAAACTAATGCAGGAACAGAAAACCAAATACCACACATTCTCACTTACAAGTGGGAGCTAAATTATGAGAACACATGGATGCATGTGTTCAACACACACTAGGGCTGTTGAAGATGGGGGGTGAGAGGGAGGAGGGAGAAGATCAGGAAAAATAGCTAGTGGATTCTGGGCTTAATACCTGAATGATGGGATAATCTGTGCAGCAAAGCATCACGGCACAGTTTTACCTATGTAACAAACTTGCACATCCTGCACATGTACCCCTAAACTTAAAATAAAAGTTGGAAATAAAAAATAGAAACGGAAAGAAAATACATTCTAAATCTTATATGTGTACACTTGACAGTATACATATATATAAATATATACAATGAAAGGGGAAAACATTCCAAATTATATGTATATGTACATGTTATAGGTATACACACATATTTTATACATATTTATGTACATGTTTGCACATCTCTGCATGTGTATGTGTGTACAGACACATAGGTTTTCTGATGGGATGAATTTGTAAAATGATAGTTAAATATTCTTAGAGAAAGAAACAGTCATTTGTTAACTAAAATTATAAAATTTATTACCTTTATGATTATTTTGTATCTTTTTTATATTTAAAAAGTGGATGTAAGCAATCACTAACAAGAAAGACCATGGGATCCTCTGAAAATTGTACAGACTTTAGAATTAAATAAACTGGGTCATACTGCTTTCTTTAGCTTCCTACATCTGTGAACCTGACCTTGACCATGTAGCTTGACTTATTTCTCTCTCCCTCTCTTTTTTTCTTCTCTTATCCTCTCTCTCTCTCATGTAAAATTCTTTGAAGAGAAAATGAGAGAAGGTTTATGAAATGCCTAGCACACAAAAGGCACCAAATACCAAATGCTTATAAAATTATATGTTCTCAAATTTAAATGTGTACAATAAACTAGAGATCTTGTTATGCAGGGTTTTTTTTGTTTTTGTTTTTGTTTTTGTTTTTGTTTTGCAGAAGATCTGGAATAAAGTCTGAGTTGCTGAATTTAAAAAAATTATATGTGAGGGTGCTTTTTCCCTAGGGCCCTTGATGAAGCTAGAATAGAAGATGGAAAGGCAAAGGCAAGGAAGCAAAACATAGGGTCTGATCCTCATTAACCAGAGGAAAAGCTAGGTGAATCATATATGAAGCAAGGAGTGAGATTACAGATTTACATCATATCAATAACTATATTGAATGTAAAGGTATGAAATGTCCCAAATTAAAAGAATACAATATCACTGTGTCATAGTGATACAATAATAAAACTCAGCCCTGTGTTACTTATAAGAAGGTTGGCAAGGATATGAGTGATGGAAACTCTCCTACCCTGTAGTAGGAGTGTAAAATTAAACAACCAATGTTGCAATATGGTTTGGTATTATGTTTTAAAACTGAATCTAAACCTGCACTGTGAAGCAGCAAATCCCATTTCCTAGTATATACCAACAAAAATGTGAGTAGACACTTATTCATGGAGCCAAACACTAGGGAAAAACAGACTATGATATTAGAAATCATTATCATGTGTACCTTGGAGACAGTTAAATGAGAATACTTTCTTCATGATGAATTATTGAGATGTATATTCACAGTGTTTTCTTTTTCTACATGTCTGTTATTCTTCAATGAAACAACTTCAGAAATAGAACATAATGATTAAACTGATGGCTTCATCAAATAATGCAGAAATAAGGTAAAAATAGTATTGGTAAGTCAGGGCCTATATTTTGAGTTGCCTGGTGAGAGTGGGGGTGGTGATTCTTCTTTGTTTTATTTAGTTTCTTTTGTTTCCAAACAGAGATTCTCTTGCCCAAATCAACATAACACATATGGACAAGAGTTAAATTGGGTTAAAGGTATGGAGGATGGCTCTATGCAGCTATGCTTTGTTTGTTTAGAGCTACGTGATTTGGAGGAATGAAGTGATGAGCTAGATCTCATTAGTAGTACACTAAAACCAAAAGAGCTAAATAGGCTGGACAGTAATTACCAATGAGTGTACACCTGGTCAGCGGTATTATACGTATCGCATATGTCTAGCATATTGAAAAGCTACATATAAGGCTGGCCCCATGTTACAGGAACACCTGTAAAGCATGCATTGCAAGGAGAAATATTTTCACATGAGCACTTAAAATGAGAACTCATATATACTTAATTTTTTGGCATGAATAAATCATGTACTTAAAAAGTTAAATCGTTTTATTTTATTGAAAAAGGTACTTTTAACTATCTGTTTTAAAAACCAGATCTTTTTCCTACAGAAATATTTTAGCTCCTCTTTTACAGAAATAGGCATGTCACTTTTATTTTAAATATGTATCTGTTCCCATAGCATTCCACAAAAAGCCTCCGGCTTACAGATGCTCTTAATAAACCTTAAATGGCTATTTCACTGCTGAAAACCATTAAAATGTTCACTCCTTAAAACAGAAAACAGAAAAAAAAAAGCTGTGAAATCTGTGACCACTAATAAGGATCTCACCAACAGTCATTGCAGAGTTAGCACAAATCTTTGAGTTAAGAAGTTACATGTGCAGAGTGGCCCAATGCTTACACAAAGTCAGAACTTCCTGGTCTTCTTCTCATGCCACCCCACTTAAGAAATGTACATTGGTTTTAAAACCCCGTAGGTCATGGATTCAATTCTCTGGGTTTAAACTATTAATCTAATAGTTACTTTGGTCTTGGGGAAATCATTTAACTTTATATCTTTGGGTTCTTTCACCTTTAAAATAAAAATACATATCTTAAAATTCATTGTGAAATTTAAATAAGAGAATTCATAAAAAGTATTTAATACAGAGTCTGGCACTTAGTAAATGCTAAATAAAATGTTGACTGTTATTATGCTTTTATTATCTTATCTTTCTCTATGGATTGTTATTTTGTGGCAGGTTCAATTCACCAAAATTGGTATTTTATTCTGCACTTGTAGATTAACAAAATCTTTGAATACTTTTCCCGAATTGGATATTTCAACTTATCAATTAAGATATGTCAGTTGTTTGGCTGATAAGCAAATCAATATTTCCCTGAACTGCACATTCTGATAAGATGAGCACTGTGTTACAGAGTTTGCCTTCATTTATTCATTATTAATAGATTATTACCATAAATGACAAGGAATTTAGGAATAAAAATAGCATCAATTATATTCAAAGGATCTTGCAATCTAGAGGGAGAATCAAAATGCTGAACTGAATTAATGGGGGTTGTATGGTGATTCAAACTGATTCAAAAACTGTAAATAGTATCCGATGAGTCTCCCATTTTACGGATGCAGAAAGAGAATCTAAAAGTAAAACACATTATTCACAAAAGCCCTCTTGATCCTTCTGTAAAATCCATGGTCCCTCTGCTTCTGATTGCCAGAACTCTCCTCCTGACTTGGTTTTTTAGCTTTTGCAACTACCTCAAGCCTACATCCTGCTTTGGAGCTATGGTATAGACAGCATTTGCTACTTTTGCTTATTCAGCATCTATTTCTCTTACTTTCTGGCAATGGCTTCCATTATAATGAAAAAGTAGAAATGTAAATTGCCTAAAAATCTAGTCAGAAAAGGAAGCCAACTAAAGTGACTCAGTTTCCAAAGTATAATTGGAACTTCTATATTAATTATTTTTTATGTTAATAGAATATTTTATTGTGGTAAAGTATACATAACATAATATATACTATTTTAATCATTTAAGTGCACAGTTCTATGGCAAGAAGTATGTTTACATTGTTGTGCAACCATTACCACTTTGTAACTTTTTTATCTTCCCCCGTGAAAACTCTGTACCCATTAAACACTAGTTTTCCCTTCCTTCCCCTTCCCTCAAGCATTCTACATTCTGCATTCTGTCTCTATGAATTTGATTACTCTAGGTACCTGATATAACTGAAGTATTATAGTAAATGTCCTTTTGTGACTGGCTTATTTTACTTAGGATGTCTTCAGGGTTCACCCATGTTGTAGCATCTGTCATAATTTACTTACTTTTAAAGACTGAATATTGTATATACATCACATTTTGTTCCACTGCATATACATTACATTTTGTTTTTTCATTCATCTCTCAATGAACATTTGGGTTGCTTCCACATTTCGGTTATTGTGAATAATGCTCCTATGAACCTTGGTCTACAAATATCTGTTTGAATCTCTGCCTGTATTTATTTTGAGTATACACCGAGACGTAGAATTGCTAGATCATGTGGTAATTCTATATACCACTTTTTTATGAATTGCCAATCCATTTTCCACAGTGGCTGTGCCATTTTATATTACTCCCAGCAGTGCGCAAGGGTTCCAATTTCTCCCCATCCTCACCAACACTTTTTTCTTCTTTTTTTACAATAACCATCCTAATGTGTATCTAATAAAATATTTTCAGTGCAGGCAGAGACACAGTGTAATTTTTACATCAGATATGTAGATATAGAATATACATGCATGATGACATAAATATAACAAAAATCAGTAAATCTACTTACTACTTTATATTATATGCTAATGTTTTGACATGTTTATGATTTGGTGTTTGGTTGCTAATGTTATTTTATATATTTGATCTTATTTTTCATTAAAGGTATAAAATAGAGTCATAGTCCCTTTCTTATTTCATGGAATGCTAGAACAAGACAGACCTTCAAATGTATCTCTTGCTAATCCAATATGTTCACCTTACAAATCTGTGGTTTTTAAATACCTGGGACAAGAAAAGGTGGCAGCAAAAAGAGGCTTCTTAGTCTTCTCCTTGGGGCTTTTGCTCTTTACCATGACTGACTCTGAACATTTACAACACATAATTAAGTACAGATGGAGGTATGTAGGTTCGAGAATAAAGAAAACAAATCTAATTTTGTTCACGTGTTATTTTGCAAATATTTCTATCAACAGAAAGAAAAACTTAATGTGTAATGAGATCTTTACCTTCATGGAACACACAGGCATAAACCTGAAATTTGGAATGCTTGCAGCTGTGCAGAAGTTCATGGAGGTAATGCACATCCAATTGGCTTGAAAGGTTTTTATTAAAATACTGACTGGACTCATCTATGAGGCTGTGGCTATAACACAAGTAAGAGTAAGATTCCTGAGATCAATCCCATTATAACATAGATTTTAGTTCATAAATTCGCAACTCTTTTTTAGACCACCCCCCAAAGGTTGTCTTTCATTTTCTCACTAAATTCACTGCAGTGACACTAAACCACCCCATTCATCTATCACCTGTCTCACCACTGATATGATAAACCTCCACTTCCCTTCTGAGACTTTGACACATGGTAGACCTCCCTTTTCCACAATTATAATGTTCTTTTGGACTCTTATGATTAGAATTTCTGATTATGCCCAATCTATGCAGCAAAACCCACATAACAACATACTAACTATTTTTAACCTCATTATAAATGGGACCTGCTTTAAGAAATGACTTTAAATGGGCATCATCTTGGAAAGGCAATGCCACATTCTTTTGATGTTGACAACACACTGTTCCCTTTTCCAGATCATGCCCATTTATATTAAAAAGTTGTTTTAACCCCAGAAAGGTAGACTTGTCTTTGAAATGCTGTTTGCCTTGAAATCTAAAAGGCTTCATAAAGCTTCCCTAGGGTTATTCTATACGTGTCTTGATTCTAAAACACCAAATATGGTGATTATAGCAATCCACATTCAAAATTTAGAGATTAAGTAAAAATGTGGTTTTCTACAGGGAAATAATGTCAACTTGAAATATAAGTTATTTGTCTCTTATATTTTATGAGAAAAACAAAGGTTACCTCAGTCTTGAGGACCTAAGTGCACATGCTGGTAACAAGGCCAATAAAAGAATAGAGGAGAATGGGATGTTTGGTCTCAAAATGATAGTTTTCCCCAAGTACTATAAGTTTTTATTTATTTTTATTGTTTTTATATAACTTGTTTGTATGACTGCTGTCTGCTCTATTACATTTTTTATAGAAATATTTCACCTTAACTAATGTGAATATCCTAGAGAAAAAAATAAATGATAATGCTAATAAGCATCATGCCAGAATTCTACAAAGTACATTTGTGACTCTATGTTTAAACCAGCGTTAAGACTGAATATAGATACTCCAATTGACTTGATTGTAATCCATATTCAGAAGTACTTTTAAAGTATTACATTACTAAAACAAAGATAATTTTAAAAAGAAACACCTTTTAATTTCTTGAAGAGATCAAGTTGCTTTACTTAAACAAGGTGGTTTTCTCTGCCCACAGGAAAAAGAGCCTGTTATTTGAAATGTATCTATTTTACAAGAAAGATCCTTTCCCTAGCCTTGAACCCATAGTACTAACCAACATTCAATTTCCTTGAAGATAAAGATTCTTAATATTTGAGAATAGTCCCTGACCTATACTAATCAGAATATCTGAAGTAATCAATGCTAGATGAAGGAAAAAGACAAAAAAAATCCCACTTTTTCTCAAAATCCCCAGATTGTAAGTACACGTTAAGAAGCGCTCTCATACACACAGGACACAGCTGATTATAGAACAGTGCCTTCAAAGCGTCATTGCTAATCACAGAAAGGCTCTCACAGACCAGGTAAGACAGAACCAGAAATATAACTCTAGAACTACGGAGACTAAGCATGTTGTGAGACATTAGGATACGCAAGTCAATGACACATTCTCTGCTCTCATGGATCTTACAGTCTTGCAGTATTGCACTAGGTTTGGAAAGTCTAGGGCATTTGGAGATATTTGTACCTAGAATCATGATCCTGGGTCAGAAATATCATTAAATAAATATCATGCCTCACATGCTAGTCTCATTGCAGTCATGGTGAATTATGAATCATGCCTCTGAAAACACATATACATTTACATCTTCATGCTTTTAAACATGATTTTATATAACATACTACTTTTATCTCATCTTACCCACCTAATTATCCTTTAAAGCAAAGCTAATTATATGTTCAGCATTGTAAAGAACCTAGTAATTGCAATCATCATATTATATCCTAATTACAAGTAATACTTCTCTGTGATCCTCTCCTTTAAAAATTGTCTGCCCATGAAAACAGACATGTAGACTAATAGAACAGAATAGATAGCCCAGAAATAAATCTACACATTTATGGTCAATTGATGTTCTATAAAGGTGCCAATAATGCACAATGTGGGAAAAAGGCAGTCTCCTCAACAAATAGTGTTGGGGAAACTGGCTATCCACAATGCAGAAGGATAAAGTTGGACCTTTATCTCATGTTATTAGTATATACAAAAATAAATTCAAACGGATTAAAGACTTAAGTGTAGGACCTAAAACTCCTGGAAAAAAACATAAGGAAAAGTTTCTTGTCATTGGTCTGAGTAATGATTTTTCTTAATACAACCCCAAAAGCACAGGCAACAAAACCAAAAATAGACAAGAAGGACTGCATCAAATTAAAAGCATCTGCATTGCAAAGGAAGGAATGAACAGAATGAAGAGGCAACCTATAGAATGGAAGAAAAGGTTTACAAACCACATATGTGCTATGAAGTTAATATTCAAAATAGAGAAATAACTCAAACAACTCAATAGCAAGAAAATAACTAACTCAATTAGAAAATGGCCAAAGGACCTGAATAGACATTTCTCAAAAGAAGACATAGAAATAGCCAATAAATATTAATATATGAAAAATGCTTACCATCATTAATTATGATGGAAACGCAAATCAAAACTACAATCAGGCTGGGTGCAGTGGCTCACGTTTGTAACCACAGCACTTTGGGAGGCCAAGGTGGGCACATCACCTGAGGTCAGGAGTTTGCCCGGCCATTTCAAACCCCGTCTCTATTAAAATTACAAAAAAATTAGCCAGGAATGGTGGCATGTGTCTGTAGTCCCAGTTACTCGGGAGGCTGAGGCATGAGAATCGCTTGAACATAGGAGGTGGAGGTTGCTGTGAGCCAAGGTTGCACCACTGCACTCCAGCCTGGGCAACAAAATGAGACGCAGCCTAAAAAGAAACAAAAAAGAAACTACAATCAGATTTCACCTCACAGGCTGGAAGCGGTGGATCATGCTTGTAATCCCAGCACTTTGGGAAGCCAATGTGGGCAGATCACTTGAGGCCAGGAGGTCAAGACCAGCCTGGGCAATGTAGCAAAACCTTATCTCTACTAAACTTGCAAAAATTAGCCAGGCGTGGTGGTGCAGGCCTGTAATCCCAGCTACTCGGGAGGCTGAGGCATGAGAGTTGCTGGAACCCGGAAGCTCGAGGTTTCAGTGAGCCAAAATTGTGCCACTGCATTCCAGCCTGGGTGACAGAACAAGACTCTGTCTCAAAAAAACAAACCAAACAAAAATATCACCTCACACCTGTTGAATGGCTACTGCCAATAAGATGAAAGACAAGTGTTGGCAAGGATGTGGAGAAAACTCTTGCACACTCGTAGTGAGAGTATACATGAGCACAGCTATTATGAAAACAGTATGGAAGTTCCCCCCAAAATTAAAAAGAGGACTACCATATGATCCAGTAATTCCATTTCTAGGTACATATCTAAAGGAAATGAAATCAGGATGTCAAAGACTATCTGGACTCCCATGTTTATTGCAGCATTATTCACAATACTAAGATGTGGAATAATCCATCTCCATCAATTAATTAATGGATGAAGAACACAATGGAATACTATTCAGCCTTAAAAAAAGAAGGAAATTCTGTCATCTGTGACAACATAGAAGATCCTGGAGGACATTATGTTAAGTGAAATAAACTAGGCATAGAAGGATGAATACTACATGGGCTCACTTACATGTGGAATATAAAGATTCAAATTCACAAGACAAGTAGGTATAATGATGGTTGCCAGGGGATGGGGATGGGTAGGAAAGGGGGGAAACGGGAAGATGTTACTCAAAAGGTACAAAGTTTTAATTAGATGGGATGAATAAATCCTGGAGATCTACTCTACAGCATGGTGACTATAGCTAATAATAATGTATTGTATAGTTGAAAATTGCTAAAAGAGTAGTTCTTAAATGTACTCAGCACACACAAAAATATTCTGAGTGAGGTGACAGATAAGTTAATTACCTCGATTGTGGTAATCAATTTATAATGTATACATATATTATTGTATACATTGTATACAATGTATACAACATCACATTGTATACAATAAATATATACAATTTTTGTTTGTCAATTATACCTTAAAGCTGGAAAGAGAGTAAAAATAATAAAAATTGTCACTCACCACTCAACATGCAAACACTAAGCTCCATGAGAAAAGGAGTCCTAATCGTCTTTTTTCCTACCTAGCCAGTGCCTGCCATAATGCCTGATGCTGAGGAAGTCACCATTTTCTTTCGCCACTTTCTGTGGAAGCAAGGCCTGCTATTCATTCATCAAATCACATCAAGAACCTTGTAGAGGCTAGTTACCTTTAAGAAACACCAGGCTAGTGGTGGAGGCAGAAATATAAGAAGCTAATTATGATACTAGATGACAAATATTCATGGGAGAAAGGTGCTGAAAAATACTTAAAGAGGCAGAAATATGTGTAAGTTCTCAACCTAAGGAGGAGTGACTTTAACCTCGAGTGGTGGAATCAGTTGGTACTGACAGTGAAAGCTAGATGCCTACTTGGCTTCTATTGACGTTTTGTCAGCCTCCTCATCTGAGTTCTCTTCATAAATACTTCCTCCCATGTCATTCCTCCTCTCATACCCAGTGTCATCCCTTCTAACCACCCTGCATTCACCAGAGGAACTAGATTACCAAAACCAAGACACTAAGGAGAAATTTATTCATTAAAGAGATACTCTTAGAAGAAATAAAAATTAAGTCAATGGGAAGTGTCTTCAATATATATCCCATTGACTAGGGCAAAAGCAGAAAATGAGTAAAAGTGCATTCAAGGTCTAGGAAATGGTATATATGAAAGCATGGAAGTATAATTGTTCTTAAATCTGTAGTAGGTCATTTATGATGGGTGAAACAGAACACAAAAGGGAGTGTTAGAACACAAGGCTGGAAATACAAACATATGATAGAACAGGTGTTTGGGTTTCATTTGGTTGCCAGTGGGAACCGTTATAAAGCATAACTATGACAGTGCGGCAATCTGTGTTCTAAAAGAATGACTCTGGCAGTAGTGTGGAGGGTGGACTGGAAGGAGTATTTGCTGAAGGTAAGGAAAGAGTTCAGAAAGGTTTTGCAGGAATTCATGCAAAAAGTAATCCATTCCATATCCACTTGGTATATCCTGATATGTGGTAGGCGTTTAATAAATATTTTAACCAAATAAGTAAGCTAGAACATGAAGTTCCTCCACAACAAAGATCCATGCACTGCATTTATAGAATTTAAACAAACAACTTATAATCTTAAAAGGAGGAAAGTGTTATTCTTTTATATAAAGGTAGACAGAAACTGTGTTCTGTTTATTTTTCTTCTTTTATAAAACCTCAATGCAGAAAGAACATTCAATTATTGTCCACAAACCTGTTGCTTGTCTACTTTGGATTCCCTGACTAACATCTCACCTGGCATTTAGAATTGCCTATCATGTTCAGCATGCTGCCAAAATTTTTAGACAACCTTAAACTTCAAAGCTTCTGCTTATTTTCATGAGGTTTCAATAAATACATGTTTGCCAAATACCAGAAAATATCCTCATCTAGATACTGTTGTGCTGCATTCCTCTGCAAAACGGAAACGAGGGTATTAACTAAATTAAAATTGATTAAAATGCTGGGTATTATTACCAGGATATTATAAAGCAGATGGATGAGCATATGTGATTAATTTTAATTTTCTGAAGATAGTACCTAAATAAGATGCTTTAATGCTTTAAGCCAAAAGTTATTTTAAAATACCATTGAACATGTTTATGTGTTTTCCCTTAATATATAACACTTAATTCTACTCTGAATTTCCTATACTCTGCTGAGAAAGTTGATAAATTGTTGCAATATATATGTCATTAATGATTTAATCAAATAATCGTAGAATATCAGATTCAAATCCAACTACGTTTCCCATGTAGAAATCTCTCCTACCACCTCCCTGACAGGATCATCTGAACTCTGCTTAGAATAAAGAAATAAGAGATTCACTCTTTTGTGAGGTTGCTGGATGTTGAACACAGTGGTCTGCAGCACAGATCAGATGCCCATTCTTCTCGCTGCCCTGTGAGGCAACACAGGTCAGCCTGCTGCTTCTGTACCACAGCTCCTCAGATATTCAAAGAAAGGGGCTATGTTCTCCCTCAGTCTGGAAGCTGCTTAGGGGAGTATTTTATGGGAGTAAAGTCATTCCCAGAAGAATGAAAATGTGCCATCATGAAGAAGGAACAACTTTTTGTTCTCTTCCTGGATGTTGGGGTAAAGAGAGTTAAAGATACCCCAAAGCACAAAAGTCTACAATCCTGAGTGAGAAAAAAAGAATATACCATTATGATAGAGATAGGGGGTTGGAAGCAAGTTAGTATAATGGAACATTCTCTGTCTCAGAAGAAGGGAGAGAACATTCTATAAAACTCATTTTGCCCGTGACTCAACTGGCTGAGAAGCACTTTTGAAGTAGAAAACGGGAACTCACCAGGTTTCCAGTGCTCACTTGGTTGTGTTGTGCTGTGCCCAAAGTGTTGCTTCTTCTATGACCTGAATCAAGTGTTCTGCATTATTCCAATGTCAGACCTGCCAGAGGGCAAATTACCAAATCAACAGTCTCCTTGGATGATAAATCTCGAGCTCTTCAGCAGAACAGCAAAGTAAGCCTCCTGAGTTTGTGTTTCCATTTTAAAAATCAGTTAATAGACTTTTACTCAGGTTTTACATTTTCTAAATTCTAAAACATGCTTGATTTGCAATTTCTCAGACCTTTGAGAAACATGGTTTCCTGCCTAGAGAGTTTCACATATTACATTAATCAGCCTCCCTGGGTCAATATAATTAGGAAAATTAGTTGGTACATTTATTTCTTGGCCTCTTCCTCTAGAGTCGTTTTACTTTGAAGCTTATTGTGTTTGCTTCAGCATTAATATTTAAATAATAAATATGAAATTCCTAGGTGAATTCACTAAGACATGTCTACAAAGTATTTTTAAAAACCTATGATAAATGCAGTATACAGCACCATATGAGGAGAGAGGCATCTGGAGTCAGCAAGATTAGCTGAACCAGGCCCCGTCATCAATAGAGTGACAAACACACACAAAAGAAAAATGATTAAGCCATCTTAACACATCTAATAATGATCTTGCCAAATTTCTATTGTGCTAATAGTTAACAATAATGTACTGTACATTTAAAAATTTGTTAAGAGGGTAGATATCATGGTATGTATGTGTGTTTTTCTTTCCTTAAGTATAAGTCAAAAGTCCCATGCTGATTTTCAGGATCCCTTCTTAATATGTCTTATAGGGCTCTCCAATATTCTTGTGCCTCGCCTATCTCACCTATTGCCATTCCACATTGTACTATAGTCAAATTAACCTCTCTGGTTCTTCAAATGTTCCTTATTCTCACAGCCTGGCTCCACTTTAAGATACCGACTTTACTCACCCTCCTCACCGCACTCCTAAGCTCATTTGCTGTCTGTTACTCATCCTCCAGGTTTCAAGTTATATATCTTTTCTCCATGATGCTTCTCCTTGAATTCCTTTAAACCAGACTACCTATTGTTCCTGCTTTTTCTCTTATAACAATTCCAACATAATGGCAATAGCTCTGTACTACCATTGCTGCTTGACTTGTCTGCCTCCCACCCATCCTAGACTTGAAGTTAAGAATGTCTCTTTTCAGCCGGGTGCAGTGGCTCACGCATGTAATCCCAGGACTTTGGGAGGCTGAGGCAGGCGGATCACGAGGTCAGGAGATCAAGACCATCCTGGCTAACACGGTGAGGTTAACACATCCTGGCTAACAGGAGAACGGCCTGAATCCAGAAGGCGGAGCTTGCTGTGAGCCGAGATCGCACCACTGCACTCCAGCCTGGGGGACAGAACGAGACTCTGTCTCAAAAAAAAAAAGAATGTCTCTATTCATCTTTATACCCCAAGAATTTAGTCCAGCACCTGGCATAAAGTAGGGTTTCAATAAACATTTGTTTAATGAATGAATGAATTGATAGCAGAATGGCAATGAAAAAACACCTGTCTATGCTTTAGAAAACACAAATACTCTTCAATATTTTATTGAGTTTCAGGATAGCTCTCTGCCATGAGAAATCAAACTTTTTTCCTTACACAGGTATTAATTTATGTAGTGTCCTGTGCTGACATTTATTATTGAAATAGTTGAATCATGAAAAAAAAAAGCCATCTAATCACAATTTATAGAGAGGACCTATTAAATGCTTAAATCTGTGAATTAAAGAAGTTTTTCTGGCTCTAAGCCATTTAGAGTGCAGAACAGAAGTTGAATACTTGGAGCAATATTGCAATATCTTAAGGTTTACAAAACAGTGTAACAAGCTTAGTAGCAAAATATTAACTGTTTATCACAACGTCATTCTTCCCCAGTTCTAGCAACATATGTGTTTTCTGTTCCAATTATAAGTTTTCTTACCTTTTGAGATCCTCCTCCTTCCTCTACTTTCTTTGGTTTACCTCATTGCTTAAATAGGCAGAAGTCTAGTTTTTGGATGTTTTTTTTTCTGAAAAGTTGGTTTTATGACTCACATAGAATATCAAGGAAGTACATGACCAAGGTTCAAGTAATTTTATAGGACATCTGATACTATTCTAATTCAAGAATATGAGCCAAAACTTTGCATTCATCTATTTTCACACCCTATAAAGATACTACCTGAAACTGTGTAATTTACAAACAAAAAAGGTTTAACTGACTCACAGTTCCATATGGCTGGAGAGGCCTCAGGAAAGTTACAATCATGGTGAAGGTGAAAGGGAGTAAGGCACGTCTCACATGGTGGCAGAAGAGAGAGTGTGCAGGGGAAAATGCCACTTTTAAACCATCAGATCTCATGAGAACCCTCTCACTATCATGAGAACAGCATAGGGGAAACCACCTCCATGATCCAGTCACCCCCCAACAAGCCCCTCCTCTGACACATGGGGATTACAATTAGAGATGAGATTTGGGTGGAGTCACAGAGCCAAATCATATCAAACTTGAACTTTATTAATTATCAGAGTTGCAAGAGGAACTGGACAAGAGCTGTCCAATGAAAGATCTAAGGCATAATGCAGGAGAAGATGTTTTGTTAGTCCTAAATTACTTTGCAAATTTAAACATAATATATTCCTTAATTCTTAAAATATTCCCAAAGAGAATGATCTGTCCATGAATATCTCCCTATTATAGAAGAATGTGAGAATTTGAAATTGATTGAGTGAAGATAAGGATCAGTGAAGATAAGTAACAAATGGCAGTGTTAGGATGAAGGAAGGGGAAAGTATGTCAAGTAACCAAGAGATCAAGACGCTGTAAGGATTCTCTATGGGAATATTAAATTTCATTAAGGATTATGACAAACAAAATTGAAGAGAGTACCAATGAGCCTGGAAGTAATATCTTGATAGTGCAAGTCAGGTAGCCTAAGCTTCAGTGACATAGCTAGGAGGAGAAGTGGATGGCTTAGTTCTCAGGGAGAAGTAATGCCTTTAAATTTATTTGTATTTTATTATACCTAACAACTCATCTACATACATGTGAGAAATAATTCAGAGAAACACATCTATGAAGACAGTGTGTAGTCCATGTTTTGGGATTTATGCAATAATTTGGGGAGTCTATGCAATAACTAGTATGACGTATTTCCAAAAGGTAGAAAATAACTATACTGTATCAGCTCAGTTTGATATCCCAATTGAATTATGCATAGGAGATGACAGAAGGTGCCCCAAATTGTAGACCATTTGAGTTGATCTTTGAATAAGATTTAATTATATGTCTCTTCTTTCATAATTTTTAGGTATTCTTCTAAAATTTGAGTTTAAAAGATCTTCTTGTTTTTCATTTATTTAATGCTACTCTCTAGTTTTTCCTAAGTGGAATTATTTTCAAGATGTTCAGAATTTCATTTTTTTTAAATTTTGGTTCAATTGTCAGATGTTTCCATTCTGAAAATCACTCCATTTACCTGTACCTTTCTTCATTTAGGCCTTTCTATATGCCAGTCTTCTGATTATTTGCTTAGTTAACCTCTCCTCCTCCTCTTTCAAACCTCATCCCAAAATATGTCTTCCCTAACTTCGCAGTCTCCAACTAGGTCATCAGATTAAATGCACTTGCAGCATGTACCTTTCTTTCCAGCATTTGTCAGCACCAGAACTAAATGTTTAAGGGAGTAATTTGTTTGTTATGTTCTATATTGACTACCCTACCATCTTTCCAGGACCAAGCATAGTACTTTATATAGAGTAGGTGCTCAATGAACAATTACTGGATCAGTGAACAGATGCAAGAATGAATGAATAGCTTAACATAGGAAATACTATTTATCCATTAAGAATGATATCATTAAGTAAAAATAAAATTACAGAGCACCAATTTTCTTAATAAAAACAAAAATTAAATTCAAAATATCTATAAAATGTTAAAAATGATTATGACCAATAAAATTAAGACAATTCCAAATTTATAATTGTATAACTTTTTTAATACATTATTTTCAAGTTAAAATAAAATGACTTAATCTAAAAATATAAACTTTGATTTCTATTTTTAAAAGCCTTTTTCTTCATTTGATATCTATTATTTATTTGAATATTTGAAATGTTCTTTCTTTAAATCTGGCTTTAACTGCTACTATCATGTTATAGTGATATAAGGCTTTTCAGTTTCCAAAGTTTACTTATCTACCTTAGCTTATTTGACCTCCACAAAAACTATATGATATATGCAGGACAGGTCTTTTTCCCATTTTACAGATGAGTCTGTAAATACACCTTTATAGCAATGTTTACTAATGTCTTCCCTTTCTATTTCTATATTCCTCTAAGGTTTTTATTACTAAAGAGTACTTATTTATCATATCTATATCAATGAAGGCAAATGCTCATATTACTTCACCTACTCTTTAAGAAATGAGGTTGTCAGAAACGTAGGTCAAGATTTTATCCTATCCTCCTCTTTAAGCATCTTACAGGAACTATTCAGAGAGTTGAAATTCCCATAATTATTAAATTTTTCATTCATTCAATAAATGCTTACTGAGTACTTAAAATGTGTTAGGTACTGCAGTCATAATGATGAAACACTTACCCTGGCTTCATAGAATTTGCAGTTTAGAGTACGATAAACATATAAGGAAATAAATGATAACCAAATTTGAAGAAAACTAAAGTGGAAAAAACAGATTCAATGAAAGTGAATAATAATAAGGAGACTTTATTTAGATTGGGAGGCTGACTAAAGTCCTTTCTGAAGTATGAGTGAGAATTACCTAGGTGAAGAGTAAGGAGGGAGGGCATTTCAATCAGAGAGAACAGCATATACAAACACCCTGAGGCAAGAAAAAGCTTGGCCCATTTGAGGAACTGTAAGAAGGGGTTGCTGGAGCAGAGAGTAAGAGCAAGAGTGTCACAAGATGAAGCAGGGGAGAGAAAATAGAGCCTTCTCTTCCTGTTAGATGAGCTTTTGTTACTGCCTTAGTTTGTTTGTGCTACTATAACAGAATACCACAGACTGGGTAATTTATAAACAATAGAAAGGTATTTCTCACAGCTCTAGAGGCTAAGAAATACAAGATCAAGGCGTCGACAGGTCTGGTGTCTGGCGAGGGTTGCTTTGTGCTTCCAAGATGGTGCCTTGACTGCTACTTCCTCTGGAGAGGATGAAGGCTACGTCCTCACAAGGTAGAAGGAGCAGAAAGGCCAAAGAGGACAAATGCTGTCACCTCACATGGCAGAAGTGCAGAGGAGAATGAACCCACTCCCAGGTTCCTTTTCATAAGGGTCTCTAATTCCATGAGGGGTCTGCCCCCATGACTTAATCACCTTCTAAAGGCCCTACTTTTTAATACTATTACACGGGCAATTAGGGTTTAACATATAAACTTTGGGGGACATACTCAGACCTTAGCAGTTACATCCACAAGAATCAGCCTATGATGTCTCAGTCTTCACTATGATGCATTAGCCTTCATCATGAGCTCTTTCTGTCAATTTTCTGTAATAACTGTAAGAAATAAGTTAATTTCCTACATTTAAAAGGCAACTTCAAATTGTATACTATATTAATTCTGTGCACTGTATAGAAGAAAATATGGTTGTTAATATTGAGATGTAGGAGGGTACTTCTAAATTGACAAATTAAATTATTATTTATCTTAAATTTTTACAGTTTCCTAGAATCTTATCTATAATTCTACCTATAAAGTTGATAATAAGTGATTTCCTAATGAAGGAATCAGGTAACATGTTTACGACTAAATGATAGAAATTAATAATTGTCATAGAAATTCCATAGTTAAAGGATCCCATGGCAGATCTTTGGAATGTAAGAAATACTATCTGATTATTTCTTGTGAGTTTAAACATTTTTTATTGGACATCTCATCACATATCATCAATAAACCTTTGCTTGTTTATAACAGTGCAAAAGTGATTTGTGCTATAAGCACAAAATCATATGGCAAGCAGAATATATGGCACTTAAGAGAGTGTGGCTTATCAGGATGAATGAGCTAGAGAGAACAGTCATTTCTATACAACTGAATCCATATAGAAGATGAGAGTCCCGGGAGAGAATGCATCTAACCTAGGGGAGAAAGAACCTATTGCTTTCCCTTGCAAAATGAAGCCAGAAAAGAGAGAGGTACAAATACAATCACAGAAATAAGGTTATTGCCAGAGGCCTATGTGAAAGCTAAACTGAAAAGCAACAGACGTATCACAGAGAAAATGGTCAGCAGTGTTATACTCAATTCATGCATTTTTTTGTCCACATGTTAGTGGAGGAAAAAAAACTGAAAAATGCTTACTGAATTGAATTTAAAGATAATTTGGGGTGATCTTATAGGCATAACTTTATAATAAAAGAACTCAAAATTTAGACACACACATATTTGGATATTTATTTAACTGGACCAGTTACATAACTGACACATAGCAGTTCAACAGTTAACTGACTGTTACATAGCAGTTAACAGAATATTTACTTTTTCTGTAGACTGTAAAATGACTTTAGGATTCTGGATCCATCATCAATATGACATATTTAAAAAATTTCAGATTTCAAAAGCAACAACGTTAGGTTAAACAGGAGAATCTTGATGGCTCAAGCACCATAAGTCTTGCTTCAAGTATATTTGGTGTTGCTATTCATTATATTTGCAGTGTACAATTTTTCTTTTACAAGAAATGAGCACATTTCAAAGACCATTGTTGCATGTGAAGATTTATTCTCTAAGGACATAAAATTCATGCAATGTTCATAACACGCCTATTTGTTATTTGAGAATTAATTTTAGTTAAACTTTCTGAGTTTTGATAAGTCAATTTTGGTTACAATTTTGGAATGTTCTAATATTCTGTGATAAATGACCTCAACATAATTATTTTTAAGGAAGACTGTCTCCACAAATCTTACACAAATATCACATAGATCTTTTGGGTAAAGTTAGCTAAATTAATTCTACAATGCAATGACTGAAACTTAGATTTCCTTAATTATAAAATTAAAACGTATCTATTTATTTTAAAATTATTTCATACTAGACAATGCCCACATTATAAATAATTTTCTTAAAGAAATATGAGTGTAATTATGTGTACTTATATCAATATTCTGTATAATATCTATCTTATCTACTTTTGTTGATAATTTTTTTTTTTTTAGATGGAGTCTTGCTCTGTCGCCCAGGCTGGAGTGCAATGGCACAGTCTCAGTTCACTGCAACCTCTGCCTCCCGGGTTTAAGTGATTCTCCTGCCTCAGCCTCCCAAGTAGCTGGGACTACAGGCATGTACCACCACACCCGGCTATTTTTTTTTTTTTTGTATTTTTAGTAGAGATGGGGTTTCACCGTTTTAGCCAGGATGGTCTCGATCTCCTGACCTCATGATCCACCCGCCTCAGCCTCCCAAAGTGCTGGCATTACAGGTGTGAGCCACTGCACCCAGCCGATAATCCTTTTTAAGAAATCTTTCCAGCTGCTTCACATGCTTTCCCACTAAGACAATTAAGCTATTTATGAAGACAGTGAGTCCAAGGATGTATGCACAGGGCAGAGTCTTAGGGAAATCCCCAGAGCCAAGCATCTGTGTGGCACTGGCTCAACCTTCAGTGATGCCCTTGCACTCTAGGAAGAAAAGTTCACTTTGTTTTTTTAAAACATACTGGTCATTACCATTTCTGATTAGTGACAGCAGAAACTTATTTGCAAACATAAGAAACATAGGACTATGTATTAATAATTGTGAAATTTAAATAAGTTTATACTTATACTTCCTAATGCCCTACTTTTCTGTTCCTTAATTCAGAAAAGCCAAGTGCTCTTAGCAACTTTGCATGTAGTGTTCATGTCTGAAGTTACAAATTTTGATAGGATCTGTTTAACATCATTATGCCTTTTGAGATTGGTATTTTAATTAGTAAGCTATTTTTTTCCATGAATCCTAGTGAGATAGCCATGCAGACAAACCTTAGATCATTAGCCTCGCACACTCAGTTGATTAGAGAACACAGCTCTAATGTGAATAAGGTCTTTAAATTTCCCAGATGCCAGTTATCTCTGTTCTAAAGGCACAGCCTATACTAAAATAATAGCAAGTGTTCTCATTATGTGTACTTTTCGCTTTAAGGTAAACCCGTTGATAAAATGAGGATAAGAGAGCTCAAGCCTATCAGCATGTATTAAAAGGCAACTCAGCTCAAACATTCTTCCAACAATGGATGAGAATATTATCTTCACATAGATAAAAACGAGCCATCATTGGTGTCAGCCTCTTACAATTAGATCCATTAATTATCACCTGCTTCTGCTGGAACAGTTATATATCTATAAAATTATATTTGTGGGAGGCCAGGCACTGTGGCTCACACCTGTAATCCCAGCAATTTGGGAGGCTGAGGTGGGTGGATCATTTGAGGTCATGTGTTCAAAACCAGCCTGGCCAATATGGTTAAACCCCATCTCTACTAAAAGTATAAAAAATTAGCTGGGCATGGTGGCACGTGCCTGTACTCCCAGCTAGTCAAGAGGAGAATTGTTTGAACCCAGGAGGCAGAGGTTGCAGTGAGCCAAGATCACGCCACTGCACTCCAGCCTGAGTGACAGAGAGAGACTCCACCTCAAAAAAAAAAATTATCTTTGTGGGGAAGAGGGGTAGAAAAATGAGAAAGACACTGTATTAGGGAAAAGGACATGGTAAGGTTAGAATAGGATGAAACTTAAAAATCTTGTCTTCTCATTATACATAAGACTGCGGACTGGAAAAATGAGCTGAATGACTTATCCACTATCATTAGGATTACAGGATATATACATACATATATACACTTGGTTTCATATATATATGTTTCATATATGTTTCATATATATGTTTCATATATATAGTTTCATGTATATATGTTTCATATATATATATGTTTCATATATATATATATATATATATATATATATATATATGAAACCAAGTGTCTCTAATAGTTAATTTTGAGTGTCATCTAGGTTAGGCATGGTACCCAGATTACGTTGCCAAACATTATTTTGTATGTTTTTGTGAGGACATTTTGGATGAGACTGACATTTAAACTGGTGGACTCTGAGTAAAGCAGATTACTCTATGTAATGTGGGTGGGTTTCATTCAATCAATTGAATGTCCAGATTAAAAAAAAAAAAGAACTGTCCTACCCTCAACAAGAGTGGATGCTGCAGCAGAGTCCCTTTGGATTTGAATTGCAATATCATCTTTTCTTGAATCTCCCGCCTGACAGCCTTCAGACTGCCTCCCCATCTTGAAGAATTTGGACTTGCTGGTTTCCATAATTATGTGAGACAATTCCTTAAAATAAATCTATCTATATCTTCATCTATATCTATATCTATATCTATATATCTATATCCGTATCTATCTAGCTAGCTAGCTAGCTACCTACCTACCTATCTACACATTCTATTGTTTCTGTTTCTCTGAAGACCTTTGACAGTGTCATAAATTACATGTACTTACAAATGAAAAGAATGGGCAAAACATCAAATGTCTGCCTTTAAAAGTTTTTTTGTTCTTTGTAATGAATTAATTGTATTTATATCCTGATGTAGTCTCCTTCTGAATAGATAGTTGCATATGGATATAGAGAGATTTATTTCAATATTTTGGATTTCAAAAACCACAATAATATGCATTATACAAAGGATGAAATTTCCCATTACACCACTCTCCTGAGTTACGAACTAACTTGTTTTTCTTCTCTTACTGTGAAGTATTCAACTTGACATTCCAAAAACAGACTGCATAATTGTAAAGCCATTAATTTTCTAAGAACACACAAAAATATTGTCTTTTTATTACAATGAACAAGAGTCAGTGTCTTTAGCCTATATTGAGTGCTCAAATCACATAGATATATATGGTTATTCATCCCTCCTGCCTGTTCCTATTCTTAGTCAACTGCTCTTCCTTTGAAGCATATCTCAATCTTCACCTTGACCATGCCATTTTCCTATTGACTATAGTTCATGTTGGGATATCTCTTCAAAATCCTTTTTACATTAGTACTTTATTTCCCATTGCTTTCTAACTTTCTGAGCCACCCAATATAGTATTTAACCTTATAGGTTTTACTCTTTAAGATAAAGAGAGGTAGAAAACCTTAGAACATTGTATTAGTCCATTTTCACTCTGCCGATAAAGACATACCCGAGACTGGGCAATTTACAAAAGAAAGAGGTTCATTAGACTTACGATTCCACATGGCTGGGGAGGCCTCACAATCATGGTGGAAGGTGAAAGGCATGTCTCACATGATGGAAGACAAGAGAAGAGAGATGTACAGGGAAACTCTCCTTTTTTTAAAACCATCAGATCTCGTGAGACTTATTGACTATCATGAGAACAGTAGGGGAAAGACCTGCCCCCATGATTCAACTACCTCCCACTGGGTTCCTCCCATAACACGTGGGAATTCAAAATGAGATTTGGGTGGGGACACAGCCAACCCATATCAAGCATGTGCCTGAGTGACTTTGTCCTCCAGGAATTAACTGTACTATGAGTGGTCATTGTAGGACTCTGAGGACAGCAGAAACATGATTACAGAAACAACAAATCTGGGCTCTTTTCCTAAAGAACGTAATTGTATGCAAGACACAAGAAATCCAAAGATTTATGGGGGTAGTGGCATGTCCCTTATTCCAGCACCTGAAAGCACCATGTCTTAGAATGTGACGATAATCAGGGTTGAAATACTCCACACGGGCTTTCCCCTAAGCAATGTCTTAAATCTTGTACACAGAGGGAGGGATAAGAAAGCTGTAACATTAAAGGGCCTTGCCTTTTGAAGCAAGGAAATCTCAGGGAGCTGGGAAGAGATATCACTATCAAAATTTGTATGACTGTTTGAAGTCAGTTTTCCAAAGGAGAGTAAAAACAGAATACTTTTAAGGGGCTCATTAAGTCCTTGGAAGAGCAGACTGGCAGGGCAATATTTTTCAAGGCCGGGCAATTTTCAGTGCAGTGCAGATAGGAGCTCCAGTGGTCTCTTGAGGGTCCAGCAGAAAGCTAACGGGCAACCAACAAGGAACAGGATGTGAGTGGTGGAGTGGGAGGACATAGGGTGGAGGTGGGAAGGAGGCAATAGCAAGATCTCCCACTAGGGGCAACACTGAGCCACATATATTAAAGTAACTGTTGTATGAAGAATCAGTAGTGGCCAGTAGAATGCACTAGTATGGTGAATGATGGATTGTAAGGATCCAAATTGGGGAAAATATGATGTAAATTCAGACAAAAGTAGGAGAGAGAGAATGTTGATAAAATTTATAGGCTGGTCCCAAGCAACATGCAAAGAGCTCTTGGAGAGGTGAGGCAGCCCAAGGATTCCTGTGCAATAGATTTCACCCCAGTCCCCAGGCTTTTCTGTTCTTAAAAAGACTCCTTCTCTGGAAAGGCAAAAATATTTTAAGGCCTAACACTACCTTCCAGCTCTGCGATTCCAGATGTTTCAGGAAAAGTATTAGAAGAAAAGCATCAAACCCTTAATTAATCCAGTACTTTCTTTTCTTTTAGGAAAATGCAGCTCTTTTTATTTGCTGCTCTCTGTTTCTCCTTGAGAAAATGAGGCATGATTACTGAAGTGCTTCTGAAAGAATTCCATTGTCTTGCATTTAGAAATCCTGCGTGTGGAATTCAGTAAGGGTTATGCAAGAGAGAACTCAGTTTTCAAAGTGTGCCTTGTTTGCATGACATTCATGTAGATCACTTAGTATCAGTTATCCTATTACCCACAGCTGCTCACTTCACATTATCTCATTGCCATGTCAACATCCAATTCACAGCAACCTGCTTTCTGGTCTCGTTCTTTTTAGGATAATTTGTTCTGAAGTGATAAGTAAGTACCCCTGACAATGGTTCCGGCTCTTCATCAGTGTGTGGTTGTGGGACTCAATATTATGGCAGGAATAGAGTCAGTGCACACACCTCAAAGAGGGAAATGTGATTACCTTTAACATAAGACATTAAGCTTTGCTTAATGGCATCATCACATCTCCCATCAACTTCCTGTTTCTCCTTCGAATTTATGAAATATTCCATAGAACTTAGATATGTGAAGTGTAGAATATTTTAAAGACAAATAGTCATTAAGTTTCTGGACAGAAAAAAAGTCTAAAAATACAAAAAGTCTGAAAAGTTTTTAAACACAAAAATCACCTGAATCAGTATAACTGGTAAAACATTTCTCATGTTTAAGAGCTTAAATAATATTGATTATAAATGTATAGATTTTTTATATTTGTGAAATGGTGACTTCCATCTTGTTCATACTCCTTTGTGCTATCTTTCACTATGATGAAGCCAGCTGCTATTCTCTGAGCTGCCTCATGGAAGGGCCCAACTGGCAAGCAACTGAGACAAGCAATCGTCAGAGAAGAATGGATGTACCCCATCCAAAGTCCTGCAATGAACTTGAATGATCCTGCAATCTCAGAATTGAAAGAATCCTATCAAAAACAAAGAACTTATGAGCACATACTGTACAGTAGAACTTGAGATGACTGCAGCTCTTGTCTGCACCTTGAAGATTTGCAAGAGTCCCTGAACTGGAAGACCGCACTAAGCTATGCTCAGTTTCCTAACCCACTGTAACTGTAAGATAATAAATGTTATTCTTTTAAGCTTCTAAGTTTTAGGGCATTTATTACACAGCAATAGATAAATTATACACAGGCCATAAAATGTCCCTTGTGGATATTAATATCTTCCATCTCTGAATGATACCACTCGTTTTGTAAGTTAATCATTAATTGTCTTGCATTGTTTACTTAGTGTTAATTGGTCATGTTCAAATGATGTTCTACAGGGCCCTAAGGAATATATGTGTATGAATATGTTTGCTTTTTGTATGCAGTGTGAGTGTGTGATTGGGGTGAAAGTTTAAATAAAGAAGTTAGGTAGACAGGGCTCTGAGTGCATTTTTTCTACCTTAGCAAGAACAGTTTCTCTTTTATCTGCTAAATGTATTAGGTTGGTGCAACAGTAATTGTGATTTTTGCATTGTTGAAATTTGCAGATTGATATTGGAATATGTTCTTAAATAAATGTGGTTATGCTATACATCATTTTAATGTGCAGTTCTCGCTTTATGTTTTTTGGCTAATGACCTGTTACTTGCTGTTTATTTTACATTTATTTTAGACTATGGAAATGATGATAGACAAAAAGCAAAATCAAGTGATTTTCTTATTCAAGTTCAAAATGGATCATAAAGCAACAGAGACAACTCACATCAATAATGCATTTGGCCCAGGGACTGTAATGGGCATACAATGCAGTGGTAGTTCAGTAAGTTTTGCAAAGGAGTCGAGAGCTTTGAAGATAAGAAGCGTAGTAGCCGGACATCAGAAGTTGACAATGGTCAGTTGAGAGCAATCATTGAAGCTGATCCTCTTACAACTACACAAAAAGTTGCCAAAGAATTCAACGTCGACCATTCTATGGTTGTTTGGCATTTGAAGCAAATTGGAAAGGTGAAAAAGCTCAATAAGTGGGTGCCAATGAGCTGACCAAAAATTTTTTAAAAATTGTCATTTTAAGTGTTGTCTTCTCTTATTCTGTGCAACAACAACAAACCATTTCTCAATCAGATTGTGACATGCAACAAAAAATAGATTCTATACGACAACTGGTGATGACCAGCACAGTGGTTGGACCAAGAAGCTCCAAAGCACTTTCCAAAGCCAAATTTGCACCAAAATAAAGCCATGGTCACTGTTTGGTGGTTGGATGCCAGTCTGATCCACTACAGCTTTCTGAATCCCAGCAAAACCATTACATCTGAGAAGTATGCTCAGCAAATTGATGAGATGTGCTGAACACTGCAATGTCTGCACCCGGCACTGATCAACAGAAAGAGCTCAGTTCTTCTCCATGGCAACACCCAACTGCACATCGCACAAGCAATGCCTCAAAATTTGAATGAATTGGGCTGTGAAGTTTTGCCTCATCTGCTATATTCACCTGACCTTTCACCAACCAACTACCACTTCTTCAAGCATCTCAACAACTTTTTGCAGGGAAAATGCTTCCACAACCAGCAGGATGCAGAAAGTGCTCTCCAAGAGTTTGTTGAATCCCAAAGCGTGGATTTTTACACTACAGGGATAAACAAATTCATTTCTCATTGGCAAAAATGCATTGATTGTAATGGCTCCTATTTTAATTAATAAAGATGTGTTTGAGCCCAGATATAATGATTTAAAATTCACAGTCCAAAATCGCAATTACTTCTGCACCACTAGAATATGGCATAGTGCTTCACTGAGGAGAAAAGGTGCTATTGTAAAAACATTTTTAAATTACTGACTTAAATGTTTTGGGGCTTTATGTCTTATCCACCATTAAACTTAAGCATTTTAAGGACAAGGAGCTACTAAATACTTGTGGACAGTCTGAATTTCTGCTTCAGGTATCAAAATCTAGAACTCTTAAATCTCACTTTATAAAATATGCTCAGCCAAGTAAAATAAAACCAAATAGTCTGTAAATCACACAATAGTATTATCACTTTATAACTTGAGAACGTGATTAGAATGACCATAAATTTAGGGAACAAAATTGGTTCTATGCCTGAATGACTGCTTAAGCCATAAAATAATAGAATCTCAGAATTGAAAGAGATCATAGAGTTTATCACTACTAAATATACACACCAGATAATTTAACCTCCTTATAAGCCCTTTATCAGGTTGCTAGTCTATTCTTGAATAATTCCTGTGATACTAAACTGGAGGCTTAAAGAGAAAGTTTACAACTTAGGCTTCCACTGGAAATCTGTAATTTTGGCACCTACAACCTCAATAAAAACTCAGTAAGTATAATGTAACTGGTAAAGCTGCTGCCTCTGGAGGTAAAAGACTTTATAACTGTAATAGAGTGCAACATAGTATATTCGCTCATTCATTTATACTTTTATTTATTCTTCATTGCTCAAACAAATTTTCACAAATGTTGAATTTACCTATTCTCCACTTCCTTACCCTTTCCTGCATTGCTTTACGCTCTTCACTATGTCTTCCACTTACACCACTCCACTGAAACTCTCCTTGCTAAGGTCAACCATGGTTTTATACTATAATACTTATTCCTGAAACTATCATATGTTACAACATATGTTAAATCATATGTTAAAACAAATGTTTAGCATTTAGAAGGCCACATTTTCAAGATGCTATACTTTATTAGATACTGAAAGTAAGAGGAAATAAAGGCCAAAGATAATTCCCAAAAGTGTAACATTAATAACCTGATTACTATCTCTTATCCCTTTTTCCCAAGGACATTTCTAGAACATTTAGATTTTCACCTCTCCTTGCTATCTCTTATATTTTGTTGTGGTAATTGAAATACTTTGTAGGCAGAGAACAGAAAAAGAGAGAATGTTGTTAAGCAGAGAGGAAAACTAGCTGAAGCATAAGGAAAGAGTGAGAGAGGAAGGAAAAGGGGGAAGTTTTACTTGAAAGTTAAAAACAAAGAGTGACAAGAGAAAGATCTGAGCATAGTTATGGTATTTGAAAGACTTGACTAAGAGTTGGAACAATGGAAGTGATACTAAGTGTTGTGTGTTATCAATTAGATCTTCTTCAATGTTCTAAAATCACCAAAGAAACTTGAAAGATGAGAATACACATTGCTTCACCAGGTGTATTATATAGTTGACCCTTGAACAACAGGAGTTTGAACTGCATGGATCCACTAATACACAATTTTTTTCAGTAAATATATTGCAAATTTTGTTGGAGATATGAGACAATCTGAGAAAACTTTCTGATAAATCTTGTAGCCTAGAAATATTAGAAAACTTAAGAAAAAGTTGGGTGTGACTTGAATGGATAAATGTATGTAAAGACTAGTCTATTTTATCATTGACTAATATAAGATCTACAAAAATCTGTCATAAAAACTTACAATTTATCAGCACTGTGAACACAAACACTTGTAGTCCAAACAATGCACCATTTGCAGCTGAGAGAAATGTAAGCAAACATAAAGATACAGTATTAAATCATAACTGCATAAAATTAACTATAGTACATATTATACTACTGTAATAATTTTATAGCCACTCCCTGTTGCTATTTCCCTGAGCTCCAGCGTTACAAGTATCCACTCAAAACACCATGCAATGCTAGTCATCTCCTAGCCAGCAGTTTGTCTCTCTAGTAAATTGTCTCTTGCAGTAAAAAGTGATCTCTCATGGTTTTTGTGCATTTTACATCATGTTTAGTGCAATATCATAAACCTTAAGTAAAACCATGGGACCCATAGAAAGTGCCACTAGTGTTGCCAAAAGTGCTCCCAAAAAAGCAGAGAAAACTCATGACATTAAAATAAAAAGTTGAATTGCTTGATACGTACTTTAGATTGAGGACTGTAGCTGCAGTTGCCTTCCATTTCAAGATAAATGAATCCATTTAAAGAACCATTGTAAAAAAAATTATGAAATCATCACTGCAACTATGCTAACAGGGGCAATGTATTTCTATAAAGTTACACCTAGTGTCTGCCTCTCCTGCCTCCCCTTCAACCTCCACTTCTTTCATTTCTGCCATACCTGAGACAGTAAGACCAACCCCTCCTCTTCTTCCTCCTCCTCAGCCTACTCAACAAGAGTTGATTTTTAAAAGGTGAGTGCCAAGTTTCTACTTCATAAAATATTCATAATTCACTAAAAATGAAATGGATAAATTTGCTTATTGTTAATTTGTGAGGAAAATAATTCTACCTTTGGAAAAAATTAAAAGGCAATATACCTTTGGAACTGCCTAAGAGAAAGGCAAAGAATAAACCTGTTCAGGACATTTATTTGAAATTCTCCAGTAATGTTAAATTTTCAGTGTTTGTTGATTAATTTAATTTTCAGATATGGGCCAAAATTATTCAGTAACTGAAAAGTGAGGTGAGCATTTAAGCAGAATCATTTCATGTAAAAAAGGCAATGTGACTATTAAGCAATTAGTTAGATTTTATACGGCACAAAAGCCAATCCTGAGCTTGTTTCCAAAAGAGAAATTTTTAAAGCCTTTGCAAAATATCATTTTCATTAGTGTCAGCATATTCTTTCTTCAGATTGTGAGACTGACCACTCTCTACTGCACTGAGGAGGCAGGTAACATAAAGCAACTATTTTGAAGGGCTACATGTACATTTTGCTCATTTCAAAATTACTCCAGATGATTCCTGAATCAAAGTGTGCAAATATAGACAAACTCTACTCTTTTTAAAATTAAAAAAGACAATGAATTTTTACAAAATAAGAGCCCCTAGCTACCCACTGAGAGAATGCTAAGATGCAGGGTCATGAACTGCCATGAGTGTGGCAGGAAATGTCACTGAAGATTCCAGTGTGATAGCACAGAGCAGCAGGGAAGCTGAGAAAGAAGCAAAACCCACAACCACATGTCATTCCTCTTGTATATAACCCAGTCTCTTGATGAGGGGAGACTTCTGAATAAAAAGCTCAGAGAAGAAAAGGTGAAGGGACATTTTGTGACTTAAAGAACTTTGGATGAGATACAACAACTTATGAATGCCAAAAACTGAAGAAATAGATATATAACAAACAAATAAAATGACAAGAGTTCACATGTGTATGTTCTGATAAAACGCTGTGTAATGACCCAAATTACCCTTCTCTCTCCCACCCCAAATCCAGGCACTTCAGCAGCCAGCAGGCACTACAATGACAAAAATTTTATTATGATAAAAATAAGTCTACCTCTTCTTCAAAGCTGCTATCATGTTAAATGATCAAACACTTGAAACATACCTATTAAAAACAGAAAAAAGAACCCATAGCCATTATCTCCACTCTTGTTTAACATTTTTTTTTGGAAATAATAGCACAATTAGAAAAGATAAAGTATTAAGAGATATAGAAATTGAAAAAACTACAAATTATATATCTGGAAACCTTAAAAGAATAAGCTGAAACAATTAGAAATGGTAAGAAAATTCAATGGGGTGGATAGGTTAAAAATTAACATGCAGAAAACAATATTTGTCAGATGTGCAAACAAGAAATTTTAAAAATATATTGGAAAAAGATGCCATTACAATACCATCAAGAAAAGATAAATGTAGGAATAAACATAACAGTAAGTATAAGATCAATATGAATAAAATTTTAAAATGCTACACAAGAATATGAACAGAAGACTTGAACAAATGAGAAACATATCATGATATTGAAAAAGAACACTCAAGATCACAAAGATACCAGTTTCCCCAAAGTAAATTGAAAGTGTAATTTAGTCCCACTAAAAATGTAAGTAAGAATTTTGAATTATATGAGTTCATTCTAATATTAACATAAATAGAAACATAAAGACTACCCAGAAAACTCAAACTACATAGTAAGATGGAGGGGACTAGCCTTACCAGATATTAAAACATGGTAAAGCTAATCAAAACAGTGTGGTATTGGCACATAAATAGACAGACAGAAGAATGAAGCAGAAAGGATAGTGATGAGAATGAACAGGGGATCTACAGACCAGGAGAAAGTATTTGCAAAGCACTTATCAGACAAAAGACTTGTATACAGTATATATAAGGAAATCTCAAAACTCAACAAGAACAAACAACCAAATTTCAAAATGGGCAAAAGATTTGTACAGACCTACAACTAAAAAAATAAATGGATGGCAAATAAGCACATTAAAAAATGCACATTATTATTAGTCCTTAAGGAAACGCAAATTAATATGACAAGGAAATACCGCTGCATCCATACAGGAATGGCCCTAATTAAAGCCTGATACCAACTGTTAGCAACGATGTAAAAAAAACGAGAGGTTCATACACTGCTGGTAGAAATGTTAAATGATATAGCCACTTTCAAAAACAATTTAGCAATTTTTTAAAAGTTAAATGCATACCTCATATATGATTTATCCATTCAACTCCTAGGTTTTTATCCAAGAGAAATGAAAGCATATGTCCATACAAGAACTTGTGTATGACTGCTCATCACAGCTTTATTTGTAATAGCCCAAAACTGGAAACAGCACAAAATTCCATTAACAGGTGAACAGATAGGCAAAGTGTAATGTGTCCCTATACTGGAACATAAGTCAGAAATAAAAAGAAATTAACTTTCTACAAAGAACCTGACCCATGTTCTTCAAAACTGTAAAGGTAAAAAAAAAAAAATCAAGAAAAAACTAAGAATTGTCAGAGATGAGAAACAGCTAACAAAACATGAAGACTACATGAAGGTTCTTACCTAGTTTACTGGGTCTTACAAGCTCCAATTAAATTCCAATATTTATTTATTGGCAAAGCTTACCCTAAGAGATTAACATGAGATATACAAACCATTTTGAAGACCTTTAACACAAGATATTTTTCCCAACTAAGAAAAGAAAACAAACAAAGAAAAACATGGACAAGAATATTTGTGAAAGAATGCTCATCAGAAGAATAAGTTCAGGGATAATTTAAGATGACCATAACCAAGCATTTTATAGGAGATGCGGAATACTTTATTGAATATCTAATACCAAGGTGTGCTTTTTGACCGTTGTGGATTTAGAAAACTAATTGCGATTATACCAACTTGTTTTATTACCACATTATTTTGAAACTGTTTTTCAAGATTCTAACTCAGTCTTCAAATCTTAGTAGTTCACGATATTCCAGGAAACAGTTGCATGGAACATCAAAAGCCCGTGGTTTAGCCTATGGTCCCAATCTTTCTAAGATGACCCTCTCTGACAAGAGAAAATATACTGAAGAGTTGACAATGCAATAAACACTAACATACTCCAGGAAAGTTAAAAAAAAAAAAAAGCGGTCAGTAGAACCTCAATCAGAGAAATGGTAAAATACTTTCAAAGAAGTCACACTGTTTCAGCCATCTTGCTGAGGTGACATGTACTCTCCATCTAAAATTTGTTTTGAGTGTCAAGACTGATGATACCACATGTGCACCATGAGGGTGTGAATAAGGATTCCTTTAGTCAGGAGAGCAGATCAAAATCCCAAACAGGTTCCAAAATGTCTTGAGAGACAGCAGGGATAGGAAACTATCTAGCTTGGGTTTTTGTCGTAGTTGGAAGGGTGACTGGGATGATGGTTCCCTTGAATGAGCTAGGGTGTTCAGAGATTTGAATTTCCTGCCAGTGACAAAGGAAGGAACACTGGGCTTTCTTATCAGCTTTCCTAGATATAGAGGAAGAGAGAGAGTAGGGATATTGGGTCTTGTAAGCAGTGAGCAGTCACACGTCAAAAATAGAGTCAGATTCTTTCTTAGACATACAAACAAAGGAGGCAAAAACAGCAGCATGATAACGATTTTTAGAAAGATAATACAGAAGATGAAAAATGTGTGCATACATTAAGCAAAATTTGAATGTGAACATTGAAATAATTTGTAGCTTATATCCAGGAAAGGTAATAGAGCTCAACCCATGCCTAGTTATATTCTGATAATGTTGCTGCATTTCAAGGATAAGGAAAGAAGCACCCAGGAAGAAAAAGCATAGTACATTCAATAGGGGGAAAAATGAAGTTGACCTCATACTTCTCTGTAACAAATATAATGCCAGAAGATAGGGAGCAACATCCAGTGAGTTATAAGACAAAATAGTATGCCAAAGGAATTTATGTCCAGCCAAGTTGCCTTTCATATATAAAGGCAAAAGTGAATTTTTTCAAGCATAACAAAATTAGGAACTATACATGCTTGAGTATTTCTTTAAAAGACTACTGAACTATAAAATTTAGCCAATGGAGTGAAAAAATAAGGAATTTAAGGATGAAGAAACTGCAGAACAAGGTGAGGAGAACTGACACAGTTTAAGCATAGAATAAAATTTTCAGATTTTTATTCTATAGTTATGGAAGATAATATATACATTACAAACCTTGAGAAGATAAAAGTTATAATTAAAGGACCAAGAGGAGAGAGGGAAATGGGAATATAAGGGTGCCACTTTTATTACCTTTCATAGTAAATAATCAATATATACAGTATAAAGTTACAACCCATAGTTAATTAATGTAGGCTCTTTCTCAAAATCATTTTTTCTGGCTTTAGAAGTCTCTTTTAGGAACTAATAGGTTTGATGGTAAAATATCTTTATTTGAAATTCACCTTTTACTTCAAGTTTCACTTTGTTGTTTTCCTTTTTGGTTAAATTCAGGTAAAAATTAATATTAGAGTTTTAATTTTAAAAGGGTATATCAAGTATAATAATTTTCTAAAATCCTTATTCTATAGCTATTTATCCACTTGGTTTTATAACTAAGCATTTACAGAGATATCCATAAAAATGTCCACCAAATATTTAATGAAAACTATCCCTGAGTAGCAAGATTAGTGATATTTTAAATAACTGTTTTATTTTAGAATAGCTTTACATCCACAGAGAAATTGTGAAGATATTACAGAGTTCTAACACACCTCACAACCAATTCCCCCACTATGAACATCTTACATTAGTAGAGGAAATATATATTAGTATAATGTGATTATAATAATTTGTCACAAATAATGAGTCAATATCAGTACACTATTATTAACTAAAATCATGTTCTATTCATATTTTCTTAGTATTGATATAATATCACTTTTTCAAAGATCTCGTTTGGGATGCTATGTTACATTTAGTCATTATGTCTCTGGGCTCCTCTTGTCTATGACAGCGTGCACATCCTATTTTGTAGAAAGATCTTCAGTTAAGATTTGTATGGTGTTTTTCTAACGATTAAACTGGGACTATCAGTTTTTGGAAGGCAAGAGTGGTAAAATGTAATTCTCATCATATTATATCAAGAGTACATACTGTTAACAGGACATCACTGTTAATGTGAAACTTGGTCACTTCACTGAGATAGTACTTGTCAGTTTTCTTCACTGTAATGGTTACTCTTTTTTCCTCCTTTCCAAACTGTACTCTCTGAAAAAAAAAAAAAAAAAACCACCATGCACAGACTAAGGAGTAAAGAGTTAGGCTCCACTTCCTTGAGAGCAGAATATCTACATAAATTATTAGGTTGATGCAAACAAAATTGCAGTGTTTGTCATTAAAGGAATAGCAGAAACTTCAATTATTTTTGCACCAACCCAATATTTGTAATTTCTCTGCATGAAGGAGTTCTCCATTTCCCTCCCCCAACATAATTATCATTTATTTACATTTATCTCTAACAATATGGACTGACTTTATTTTATGTTTTGTATTATAACTGAATACTACTTTATTTTATTGCTCAAATTGTTCCAGCTTTGGTTTTTAGGAGCTCTTTCACTGGGATCCTGAGTTCCTTTGACCTACTCCCATCATTGTGGGTTTGAGGGTGTTTTTTTGGAGGGGTGCTGCATTACATTCTGACACTGCAAGGTGCTCTAGGCTCATCTTGTATAATTCCTGCCTCAGTCCTAGAATCATACAGTTCTCAAAGGAGTCTTGGTTCCTTTTATTGGAGAACTGCATTAGAAACCAATGTCTGGATACAAGGTGTGTTTACTGTTATTGGTACGGCAGTGCTTCTAGTTCCTCTCAGCTGAGAGAGCAAGAAAATACGTGTATATACTAACCATGTATATACTCATCTCTATAAATATTTCTGTATGTAACCATCTGAATCTATATTAAAACAAACACGAGCTCATAATGAAGTCTCCAACTCTATAGATCATTCTAGCTTTCTACTTTTGCTTACCTATAACTTCCCATTCCAACAGTAAAAAACTTAGTTTCCATCATTTGACATCCATTTGCCTAACTGCTCAGTTCCAATATACATACACATACAGTGGTTTCATACTTGTTAACTCATATCCCGCCCCCCGCAAGGAAAGCAAATTTATCAACTATAGTAAAGTTCTTATCCACATTTCTTTTTGCCATTAGTCTTTCAGATGCTATTCATTTACAAAGTTACTTAGGTGAGGCTCTTTTCCCCTATTCTCTTTAGTGACAATTTTATATATTTGTAATGCAGTTAGGTTATTTTGTCACAGTTGGCATTCCATCCTGTGATCTCTAAGCCTCCTACGTGACTTTTCATTTGCACACATTAAGGATCACTCTTTGTGCTACAAAATTCAATGGGTTTTGACAAATGCAGTGTCATGTATCATCTATGCTATTCGTACCACCACTATCAGGCAGAATGGCTTTACTACCCTAAAAAAAAATCCCTGTGCTTCACCTATTCAACCTCCTCCCCATTAGGTATCTTTTCTATGCTTGCTTCCTTTTAATTTTCTCTGTTTCTTGATTTTAAAAATTAGCATATATCATTTGCTTACAAATTTAAGTCATTAAACTTTTTAAATAAGAACTGTTTCTTTAAATTTACTTCATTAGGGAAGTTGCCGGAGTGAAACAGCATACTTAGAGAGAGTATACACTGTCTTTAAAACAAAAGGAATATGGCAGTACCTCAACATTAAAAGTTCTAAATTTAAAACATTGCCTCTGGGTAACCAAAACACCATTCTTTAAACACTGAAAATTTTAGCGAAACAAATAGATGACATTTAAAGTTATGGTATAACTATAAAAGACATATCTCTATGTCTCTTTATAAGATTAAGATTGGCTCAAGTGGCTAATAAGTGGCTAGAAGATTAAGAATAGCCACAGGCTCACTCAAACATCTTACAAGTCCTACACTATGTGTTGCCGAGCAAGATGATGCAACCTGGCCTGGGGATTTCCAGCCCTGGCCAGGAGATTACCAGGTCTCTATGACAATGGTCTCTATGACAAAAACCCTGGCTACTCTAGACACAAGGCCACCTTAGCACAGATGCAACTTCATGAACCTTAAAACAAAGCTTTCCCTTACAAGATGGCTTAAACTTTCTTTATGAAAAAAATAAAAAATAAAAACAAAACAAAACAAAAAAACACATGGCAACTAACCCAGACTGAATAGAAGTACACAAAAGAGGAAGAATCCCTCAAACTCTGAAAATGATATTGTAATGAAAGCCCTGTCACTCAGGCGGTCATCCTTCCCCTAACTGCATCTGGCCAGGGCTGCCAGCCTCCTCCTGCTGTTCATCCTGTAGAAGCGCTGCCAGAATAAGCTTCTTGAACATCACACAATGCCCAAGACGTATTTGTGATGTGAATCTAACTGGAAGGGAGGAAGTGGGTCAACCAGAACCACCTGAGAGCCCCCAAACTTGACGACCATCTGAGAGCTGTGAACGCAACAAAGGTTTACATCAGATTATTTTCCTGTACACGGTCCACAAAATTTACATAGAGGTGGTCATTACTGTCTGCCAAATATCTAAGGCAGATTGTAATATCATCAATATTGCCTTTTGTTTCCAAATGCCATGCTGCTTTTGTTTTAAAAATAATTTTAAAAGAACATTACTATCATTTTTAATGAAACTTTTTGAAACACCTTTTTTCCCCTCCTCTGTGTCGAAAATTTAGCTTTTCTTTTATTCTAACTTTAGCAGCAATAATAATAATAATAAACCTTCATAATTGAGGTTAGTACATTAACTGAAAAACTCATATCATCTGAAAACCGATCCTGTGGACATTTAACTTTCAGATTCCTTTTTTCCAAGTAAAAATGTGAATAATATTGTATTATAGGGGATTAATGAAATAAAAGAACAAAAACTTTAAAATTTCAATACTATCCTTCTTATTGCAAGGTTTATGATGTCACAGCACCTTTTGACTCTTAAAGGAAAATGACTACTCTATCTTGTATTACAAGTACTTTTACAAAAGCATTTAATTACACAAACATTACTGAGAACGTAATGCTTGCAACATATTTCATCTGGGAGCTGGAGATGTGCAAAGGTCCTAAGAAATGGTCTCCACAAGGAAGGAACATTTTATTTAGTTGGACAAATCCAGATACAATTTTTTAAAGTTCTTGGATTTAAAAATTTTAGAAAGGATTAAGAGAGGAAGGGCTGAAAAGGAAGTACTGATAGCTTATCTTACTCTCCTAAGTTTCTCACTTCATAATTACTATTCAATCCAATATAGTTATCTGCATCCATTCTGTTCCACTGAAAGTGCTCTCTAAGGTTGCCAGTATTCTCACATGCACTGTTAAAGAAAAAATCATGCCTAAGCAAACAGATATTGATTTTATTCTAATACTATCGCCAGCCATAGGGGAGGGAGCACAAACCACATCTGGATACTTAGCTCAGCTAAAGTAAAGGGCAGAGAGTTTTGCTTTGCTTTGACAAGCTGGTGTTGAGAGACTGTGTGGCATCTGTATTTGGGTAATTGGCTTTATCCAAATGAACAGTGAACTTTCCCCTCTCTTCATGACTGGGGGTAGTTTTACAGCCTATAGCATGGTGCCCACGGAAATTAGGCTCCTACCTTTCTACAAAGACTAGAAGGTAGGAGCTTTCTCTTTCTAGAAAATTACATTTCAATTGAAACAACCCTAGGTCCTTGCGAAAGACAGTCTTGAGTTGTAAAGCTGGCAAGAGGATTTTTACAAGATTTACATCTCAAGGAGGCAGACAAATGCTTTAAAAATTACACCTTTTTTTTTTTAAAGGAAATTCTTTAAGAGAGGTCAGTGCCTAGAAGCCTATCTAAAGTTAATTCAAGCTGTGGAAACCATCTAGTTTCCCTTGGTGGGTGCTAAAGCAAATAATGATTTTCAGATCCCATCTTAATCTGAAATTTTCATTTTTTCTTTTTCATGGGCAACTCTTTTATGTATCAACCGTATATTAGGCACTAATAATTCAAAAAGAACAGAATCTTATTGGGATCTACTTCAAGGAACATTTTGGCCAAAATTCAGTAGATATTTCATTCTTCTTAGTAAGTCCTAAGTTAATTAGCAGGCTATATTTATAAAGCAATTCAGAACTCTTAGAGAAAACCATCACTCAAATAGTTTGTGATGTTATTAATCGCTCTAAACAAACAGCCTGTTTATTTTCTACTGAAACTAACAATAAATAATGATCAACTATTACCATAATGGGTTCTTACCATGTAGCTATTGAAGTTTCTCAACATCAAAGATTCAAACAGAATCAGAGACTCCCAACTATCTGTCCTGTTTTGTAAAGGAGTTGTTATAATGAAATTAATTTTCTGTCACTCTCCATCAACAAAATCTTGGTCATTCTCACTCTTTCAGGAATACCATTTATCTCTTTTATATTTGGGATAACCAAGTAATTACAACTTTTTCTTTTTGCATTTTATGAATACCATAGTTTGAGCTTCCTCTACTTTCTAGCAGATATATGTAAAATAATTTTTATGAGTAAAAATTCTGTTTACGTATTTCAGAATACAAAAAAATGAAGAACACTTTTCCCTATTTTGTTAGAATGTATATAAATTTTCTCATGGACTTGCTCACAACTTGCTATTCCATGCTCTTAAGAAGGAAGCAACGTTATGGCATGGTTATCCAGGGATACTTTATTCCAATTTTTTACACTTCCCTGATTTTCCTCAACTTTTGATCGCCTATAAAATATAGCTGCTCTCCAAGATTCTATTTCATCACTGACCATCTTCTCTCCCGGAGAGATAAGCTGGGCAATCTACTTTAGTTTTCTATTCACACCTTTGACTTCCCGCTGTGTGCTGATGATTTCTTGTTCTATGTCTGTGTTAGTTCGTTCTCATTATGACTGGGTAATTTATAAAGACTGGGTAATTTATAAAGAAAAGAGGTTTAATTGACTCACAGTTTTGCATGGCTGGGGAGGCCTCAGGAAACTCACAGTCATGGTGGAAGGCACCTCTTTACAGGGCGGCAGGAGAGAGAATGAGTGCCAGCAGGGGAAATGCCAGACACTTACAAAACATCAGATCTCATGAGAATTCACTCACTATTACCAGAAGAGCATGGGGAAAATGGCCTCCATGATTTAATTACCTCCCACAACACATGGGGATTATGGAAACTACAATTTAAGGTGAGATATGGGTGGGGACACAGCCAAACCATATCAATGTCTTACCCACATCTCTCACCTGAAGTTTATATCCTGTTTCCAACTGTCTAGAGGGCATCATTAGATATCTCACAAATATCTCAAGCCAAGTTATTTGCTTTTCCCTCAAACCCACTTCTCCTTCTCTATTCACAATGTTGTTTGTTTATTGCCCCCCTCCAATCACCTAAACAAGTAACCTGAGAGAAGGCCTATCCCTAATATTTGTGGGGCCCTATCCCTCATGTTCAGTTTCTGCTCACTTGCTCCCAAACATCTGGCCTTTGTCTAGCTCTCAGATGAAAGGATATATACATAGCGGTCTGATTTATCCTCATGAGAAAGAGGCTGGCAAGAGGCCCACTTAGGCCCTGGCAGTAGTGTGAGAGTAGTTTGGATAGGGGATTCTCTGTCCCAGGTACTCAGAGCATAATTTGGAAGGGGAAGTGTGACCTCAGCTTGGATATGTCTTTTGTTCTGCAAATTTCACACCCTGTGGAAAGAGCCAGAGTAGGACTTCCTAAAGCTTGAGGTTAGGGCAAGGAACACTCTTGCCTGGATCTAAGGATGGTACCACGTCAGCCCATCTTCATATCTACCTTTTCTATCTCTCACCATAGCAAATTGATTACTAAGCCCTATTAATTCACCTCCAAAAATACTTCTCAGGTCTGTTGACTCCTCTTCATATGCCCTTGTACAACTTTCGTACAGGATCCCACCATCTGTCATTCTAATTATTTCCATATCCTTATCATTGGTCTCCTCCTAACCATCTTCCATACTGCAAATGCAACGGCCTTCCTAACATGGCCATCTGATTATGTTTTCCTGCTTAGCACCCTCAGTGGGTCACCATTCTCTATAGGATAAAGTATAAACTCTGAACAGTGTTGTTTTGTGGCATGGCTTCTGCCAACTTAAGTTTTGTTTCTTCTGTCATCTACCCCCTAACCTGAACAATACTGAGCGATTTACAGTTGTTACACTGATATACTCTATTAATAATTTCTACTTTCATGCTTTATCCCCCAAGTTGATGCCCCAGCCTAGAACTGCTCAGCACTTCCTCTCTTCCTGCCTCCATCTGCCAACATACAACTCACCCTTCTAAACACATGCCAAGGGCTTCCTTCCCCAAGAAGCCTTTATTTTTCAGAAAGAATTAGAAACTCCTTCAGAGCTATGTCAGAAGGCAGAGTGTGATGGGATTTGAAGTCAGCCACAAGTGGACCTGAATCAGATTTCCACCAGATATTGTATAACTTTGGGTAAGATCATTAAATTTAGGTTTCTTAAATAGGAGAAAAACATCTGCGTTTTAGGATGGCTGTGACTATTAAATGAGATTATATTCATATATGTGAAGCACTTAGCACAGTGCATGCCAAATGGTGGGTTCCTAAGAAAAAGTAGTTATTATTAATAGATTTATTACATATAGATAGGACTCTATTATTGTATTTTATCTTGTTTTATTTTCTGTACCCCATAGTTCCTAGACAGCAACCTCCCTTCATAGAAGTGTTCAATAAGTATTTGTGACATGAATTACTCTATTGTAACTAAAAATATTCCTCAAGTAATAGCATATGGTCCCACAGTCTCTTTCTTACTGTTTTTCATTGTTCATTCGTTGTTCAGCATCTGCAGCTGCTGCCTTGAGGGCTTTTTTCTATTTATGGTATTGTCTCTTCGGCACAGATATATGTGGATAAGAGTGGAAGCATAAATGAATATTTTTATTATACAGTCTTTAAGGTATTTGCTTCAGAATTTCTTATGTATAACTTTCTGAAGAAAGTGATGATTTTTAGACCCAACCCTAAAGCCACTTCTGTTTCTCAAAGGATTTATTTAGTCTTACAGCTTTTTTTAAAAAAAACTGGTTTTTATACAAATTATTTTAGAGTGGGATTATGGTTACTAAGAACCTGAATGTGATATTTAACCCCAAAAGAGAGACATAATCAATCAATACTCAAAAATAAGTACTTATTATGTGCACAGTGTCATGTTAGACAACAGGCTCCAGAATTCAATCATGCATATGAAGTCATCAGTAACAATAATAGTTTAAGTAATACAACTAAGTAATAGTTTGTGAGATTCTGTCTAGTTGCAAAACAATTTCAAAGGGGAAGAAAAAAGATGAATTTGAATAGTTGAGGACGCTGCATCAAAGAAGACAAACTGGCTCAAAATCTGAAAAGGCCCCAAACTGAGTCATGATGTTTATGCAGAAAAAGGTAGAAGGAGGATATTTTCAGACTTTCAAGAGTGTAAATCAGTGAAGGGAAAGGAATCTGAGTGTGGCATGCACAGAAAGATGGTTTGACTTGGATAGGTGGGCATTCGTGTGTGTGAGCATGCTATCTTGGGGCTGGGAGTAAGTTGAGTTGATAGATAGGTGGGAACAAGGAACAGATGACCTTGAAAAGTGGGATGTGTTCTATGGATTAAGTAACAGGGCCAATAATACTTTAGCAAAGCAGGCTAAACATTTAATGTTTTTAAATGAGTCACCTCACCGTCTAATGGACTAAAAATAGGAGAGGCTTATCACTGTTGAAAGGATAGGCTCGATCTGAAAGGTACTTCAAAGGACTATACAAGAAAGAGAAATAGCAAAGAGGAACTTAAATTTTGCAGCCTTTGACAAAGATATTTTTGTTGAGAAATTGGAGCGTTAGGATTGCTTTTTTGTTTTGTTTTTGTTATAGTTGTTTTGGAAAGATAAAAATACAAATTCATTCACTGAAAAATTAGCTTTGATATGATTGTGGAACAATGGCTAGAAAAGCCCAGAAGACAGTGAGAAAAACAGCTAAGGATAGAAGTAATATGTCATATCTGGAGATTCAGGTTTGAGAATTAAGAGTGGATGAATGAGAAGCTATCACTAATTCCATAAAAGTGAATGAGAAATAAGAAAAATGCTGTTCATTTTGAAACAGAAAAATCACGACATCAATTTCTGTAAACTGACCCTGTGTTTGGTTCCTGTCCTCCAATTCTTATCAGTAGATAGTCCTATGCAAGGGAATATCCTCTAAAAGTGATCATAAATATTGAAAGCAGATACTTGAGTACCTAAAGTTGAGTGAGTCTAATATTTATTATGAAAGAGATAGATCCTCACAACCCACTGAAATATAACTGTTTAGAAAACATTCAAGAAGATCTCACCACATTATGAAGTCAAAATCAAGTTTAATAATATCATGTCTCTCGGGCTTGAATTAGTATCATCCAAGCAAGAGTCCAATAATTCTCTGAAGAAATACCTTTAATATATCCTCCCACTTTAGCCAAAAACATTCTAAAAATAAAGGCTCATTTCAAAATCCCTTTTAATATTTCAAAGGCTAAAAGCAAAAATCAGAAAACCCTACAAAAGACCTTTGATGTCATCAATCAAATGCAAAACAGATGCATTTGTATATTACTAACTTCCACAAATCTGCAATGATTATGGCGTTTATTCTTTAAAAAACAAACTTGAAGCAGGCTTTTGGATTCATTCTAATATCTATGGACTTCAATGTTTCGGGTGGAAAAAAATTTCCATGGCATAAAAGTCATGTGTCTTCCTCAAGTCTTTTTTTTTTTTACGACAAAGTCTCGCTCTGTCGCCCAGACTGGAGTGCAGTGGCGTGATCTCGGCGGCTCACTGCAAGCTCCGCCTCCCGGGTTCATGCCATTCTCCTGCCTTAGCCTCCCGAGTAACTGGGACTACAGGCGCCTGCCACCACACCCGGCTAATTTTTCTGTATTTTTAGTAGAGATGGGGTTTGGCCGTGTTAGCCAGGATGTTCTCCATCTCCTGACCTCGTGATCCGCCCACCTTGGCCTCGCAAAGTGCTGGGATTACAGGCGTGAGCCACCACACCTGGCCTCCTCAACTCTTAACTAATATAACTGAGAAAGATTTAGTTTTGAAAAGGTGGTTAGCAAACATGTTGTACCAACTTTTAAAATAAGAATAATGCCAACTGTTGTTGGCATTTTGCATAAGCATCCAATTTCAATTCCCAGGGTTATTCTGCAATTCCCCATCTGCCTCTGAAGAGCAGCTTCATTTTTTTCCCTGATTACCATCCTCCAAGCCTTAGTAAGAACCCCGACTAATCCATGAAGCTATATCTAAATATTGATATGCTTGCATCCCATTATCTATCACACTTTGAATCTGTAAACCATTCTTACCATTTAATTGCATCGTATTATCATTTAATATATCATATTGTATGTATACATTACACATATATACATGTATATGTTTGCATATACATGTACATACACATTACATAGTGTATATATAGATTATATATGTACATATCAATGTCTATGTTATGTATAAAATTCTCATATAGACATACATATAGAGAGGCTTACCACTTACTGAGGGGTTACTATGTGCAAGCACTAACAAATACATAGTTTTTCAGTCTTTTCAATAACCCTATAAGTTGATCATTAATATTATTTCCATTTACATTAGAGACAACTGAAATTTAAAGAAGCTAAGCAAGTTTCATGTAATTTCACAACTAGTACTGAGTAGTGAAGTTGGAATTAGAAATTCAGACTATCTGAATCTAAAGCCTGAACTTGTAGTCACTATAGAGTCCTTGAGGGCACTAACACCTTCCGTATTTCTAAAACAAGCAGTTATATCAGTACCCAATAAGTATAATTTGAAAAAAATGAATGAATAATTTCTACAGATGTTTAAAAAAGTATAAAACCTCAGAAGATATCCTTGTGTTTGCTTAGATAAAAGCAAAGTAAATTTCCTAGGTGACAGCATGTTAATTTTAATATAGCTTTTTGCGTTCCAGCTTGTCAGCCTCTATGTCAAACTGGGCCTCAAAATAGTATTTGCAAAGATTATCACTGCAACGGGCAGCTGGAGTCTGTCACTTGAATGCATGTAATCAACTTATCAGTTGGTTGGCGAGGTGACTAGAATTGCTCTTTATTCTATTTAAATTTTTTGATATGTAGAAAATAATCTTTGCAAGCACAAACCAGAGTATCCTGTGGGGTGGAACAAGTGGGTATTAGAAAGAGCCTAAATAGACAGCATTTTTACAAAGGATGAAAGACTTACCCTTAGTTTAGTACAGGGAATGCTGGGCCATTCACAACGCCCTGGGGAGACAAATCATAATAGCAGGAGGAAAAAAATGACCTTTCAGCCTCATCTAAAACCAGAAAAAAACCCATCAACATCATTTTAAATTCTTAAATACAGTGATAATAGGACTTAGAGAGGAGCAGTGTTTTCCATTCAAAATAGCACAAAGTTTAACTTTTCCTCAAGCTCATCTAACCTCTTTTATTTTCTCTTCCCCTGACACCTTTGTTTCTAGACCAGCTTCTTCCTATAGCTACTGGTCTTCGTTCCTATGCTCTGTACATTCTAATTATCTTCATTCATATATATTAAAAAAATTTTATATATGTTTTCTCACTACATCCTCACAGCCTCTGAGGTGAAATTTATTATGGGTCCAACAGGCACCATTTTCAATCCAAGGAGATACAAATATTCTCAAATAATGTATACATGGCAAAAACCTATTCCTTTAATTATACTTTTATGACCTCTTTTTAACAGCAGAGTCAGAGCATTTACACATTTCCTGGTTTCCTTTAGTTTACACTCAGGGCTTCCTGAGTGCTATGGATCCTGAATTCACTGCCTAGATCCCCCATCAAAATGGAGTCACCTATTTCCTTAGAAGCAGAGAGTGTTTGCTGATGGCTGACAGCTGAATCCCTTCTCAGGCATTGCTCTTGGCCAAAGGGAAATTTTGTCCAAGTTTTGCTTCCTTGTTGGCAGTTCCCATGCAATGACTAGTTGAGATGGGATACAAAAGCCTGTACTTCTTGCCTTAATTCAGGTCACCTTTCAAGAGTCATCTAGGTTTCAGCACTCCCATGAGAATGGCCAATGATTATTTTAACTGTATCATAGTCTTCTGCCCAATAACAGATGCTGTCCCCACAAAGTCATTCACCAATGAACATTCTACATACAAATCTTCATCTCAAGAGTCTATTTCCCAGAAAACCTAACTAAAACAGTGAACATTTGCTACCATGAGAAAATCCGTTCCTTTGAAACAATCCTTTTTTTTTTTTTTTTTTTTTTTTTTTTTTTTTTTTTTTAGTGTTTCTCTTTCTCCTTCTGAGGGCTTTTTCCAAAAGGCTCATTTTGGGTATATTCAATGAGCATTATGTATTGTGGAACAAACAGTGACCATCACTTCTATTCTCCTTAAATCCCACTGTCAGAGTGAAGTAATTCACACAGTTCTTCCTCTTAACCCGTTTCCAAACCAGCATACATCCTCTTCCATAATCTTGCCACCAAATCGCAAACTCATTCTAGATATCCAGGTAAATTTAGAACTTCACAAGCTTCCTGAGAAATTTGAAATTTTGGAAGCACCTAAAATATCTAATTTAAGCCACTCTCAGGAAGTCAGGCTCTAACTAGACCATATTCTTTATGCCATGCATGTGGTGTCACAGAGTAACCCAGAATGCTCTCCTGTGAGACTATTGTATGCTCAGGTGATAGCTTTGGTTTGGCTGGTGGGCAAGACTACACCCTTGCTATAATTAAAGTAGCACTTCTCTTGAAAGATTTGGGCATTCAAATTCTCAGCCATCCTAAAAAGATAGAGATCTTACGATTTCAAATTAGGAATTTGGGGAGGGTGGGTCTTAAAGATGAAAAAGGGTCCCAAGTATTTAGCCTGAATTTTGAAGTGTCTATGTGTTTAAGCACGTTCCTAAGGATTGAGGTGTACAGGCCTCTGTCACAAGGAAACAGTCCAGTAAATATATATATAGAGACATTCCATGTAGGAGGCAGACATGGGGCTGAGATGAGAGGTTTAGCCTCAGCTGTAATGCGGGAAATGTAGGAAAGAATCTGTATCCGTGCTTAAGCCAAGATGGTATATGGAAGAGCAGTAACCCTGAGGTCAGTTTTGAAGAGCAGCAGTCTGAGGGAGGTCCAGAAACCCAGAACTACAGGAAGGGATGTGGCAGTGTTTTAGGGAGGGAATGGGGAGTGACAATTTGGAAATGTGCAGCAACGGGACAGAAGGCTGTGGTGGAGCTGAGGTTAGCAATGTGGAGCCAGGCAATGCACAATCTGCAGCTTGGACTGCTGTGGATTCCTTCTGGTAGTCTCCTCTAAAGTCTGCGAGCACAGGGGAGAGGCACAGGGGAGAAGGACCTTGGAGAAGATGCCAAATGTTTCCCATCAGGCACATAAGAGCCACACAATCAGTGGACTGGAAGTTCATCTACTAAGGCAACCTTACGTGTACTCCCAGACTGGTAGAGTCTGGGGCATTCATAGTGCTCACCTGTCTTTCAAAACCAATGCAGTTTTCATTATTCCTTCCACCACTGACAAAAATTTCTATTCATTTTTATTATTTTTATTATTTGACATAGGATGCCTTGGTCAAGCAGGCAGCTTAAAGCCATCCATTGGTCAGCCTCTGGGACATTTACCTACACTATCCAGAAAAGAACAAAAAAGTATGGAAGATAAAGGATATGGCGGAACATATGGCAGAAGAAAAACAGTCTGGGCTTTCTGTGTTCTATGGACAGACAAGGGTCACTGTTTTGTGGCTAGGGTGGCAGCTTATAATGGTCAACTACTTTTCTCTATGCAAGTGCCTCATTATTAACCCAGCAGCCAGGCTACAAGACCTCCTACTCGTCCCCAACAACCCCTATCCTTGACATAGTAAAAGCCACCCAAGGTGTGGAAATCAAGAAGTACCAAACATTTCACTTCATGGACCAATGAAATACAGTGTTGGCAATTTTTTTCAAGATGACATAAGAAAAAAATCTTACGTAGTAGCACAATTATTTCATAAGACAATAGATATTTCAATATCAGAAAAATGAAAAGGAATTCATATCATAGAAAAGGGCCATCTTTTAAACTGAGAGAATTTAAAATATTTCTAAATTATTTTATTTTTTCTATTTATTTAAATTTTCATTTAGCCTTGAACCGATAAAAAAAAAACTCTGTTGTGAATTAATACCACTTTTTACACAGTATTACGGAAGCATCACCCTAAACTACATGAATTCAGACAGTAGCAGGCCCAGAATAATACTCCCCAACATTATCTGTTAACTTTATGTTTTACTTCTTCCAGAGGAGTGCTTGGAAGCATAATGTCTTAACTCATAAGAAAATCCCTGCAAGGATAGCCATTTCAGACAGTCCATTAGAGGATCACATTTTGTTTTATTAATTCAATCAACAAATGTATATTCCAGTCATTATGCTTTAAACCATGGACCTTTTAGTGCACATGTAAATTTCTGCCTATAAAGAAGGTAAGTCCTGCCAAAATTGCCCCTGGGAGCCACTTAAGGCCAGCAACTACATTGGTTTATGTTTTCACTCAGGAGTTACAAGCATGACTAAAACATTCTCACTAGAGGGCCTCAATCTTTTTATTTTTCAGGGGGAAAATGATGTACTATAACTGGATGATCTCCAAGGCCTGGTGCAATTCAAAAATATTATGGTTCTGCAAACACACAAGCACCAGAACTTGATGATGTTTATTTTCACTGTTGGATTTGTCTCAGTATGCACAGCAGTAATGCAGCCAAGTTTAAGAATACCTTCATTCATTAATTTTTCCAATACCAGAATATGTGACTAGCATCCCAGTGAAAACAAATTGAGGCAGAAAATTTAAAACCATAAGAAATTTTGGAGATTGAAGACCATATAGATCCTACCATGGTGTTGTGGGTAGAGAGCTCCAGAAATTTCCCCCCTCCCATTTTATTTTCCCTTCAACCTAGGAAAGTCCCATTGTCCTGTTGTGCTTGACTTTGTTAAAAGGGATAGTCTCTTAGCTTTAGTTTTGCTTGCTATTTGTGGAAAAGCTTTAAACCTGCACACTGAAAAAGCATGCATAACAAACACGATGTGTTCATAAAGAAACATACATACCCTTCAAAAACAGAAAGAAAAAAAAGACGCATTCTGTATTTGGAACGCAGGGCATTGTCTTTTTGTCCAGCTATACTCTCAAGCCCAGCAGACACCATTAGAGCATTTTTTCTTTCTTCCCAATAAAGCCACTGAGACCACAGTGGCAAACATTAGTGTCTCTCAATTGTGAGGCATTAGAGATATGGAAGGTTTCCTTTGCCCCGATGTGCGCTATCAACTTTGCTACAGCTTACAATTAAGCACAAGGATAAAAGCAGCTTCAAGATGAATTCATTTTCCTCTTTATCCCTTTATTAACTCTGTATTGTGGAAAAATAATATTTCTTCAACTTTAATATAGGCTGAAGTTGGTGAACTGGAAATATAAAGAGAACATACATAGAAGATCTTATCTGTTGGGTGGGCCATTCATGTCTGACACTTTCTGTTTTCCATATAACTACATATAAGGTAATATTTCTGCAGTAAGTGTGGGGAACAACAGGAGAAAAAATACCTCAGCAATGTTTTTAGATGGAGAGGAAGTGAAAGTGCCACTTTTTAAATATATGAGATTCTTAAGAGTAAAAATATGTATATATCTTAAAGGTCAATGCAGAGCTAAACACAGAGAATAGCACATCTGCTGTTTATTTGTTTACGGGAAAACACACAGCAGTACTATTGATGTTAAAGTCAAAATTTTATTAGCAAAGATGCTTTGTATAGCCCTTAAACTAAATGACTTATCCAAATAGACAAGGGTATAATAAATGTTTAAACAAAGTTTCTAAATTTTGAAAAGATGGATCCTCTAGCACACAGAATGCATTCCATTCCTAGTGAATCAAGGATATTATATTTGTTAAGGTTCAAATTACTGCCGTGACTTTTCTTCTGTTGTGGAGCAATGAGCAGTATAGCAGGCAGTTACACGAAGAGTTCAGGGTGTTATGTTGAAGTGTATTCAAAAGTTATGACCTGCAAAAGATGACAATGTCACAGTACTATGAGTTTCTGGGGCGCTCTCTACCAATTTTTTTAAAGTATGCCGAGAGTTACTCCTTGAACTGAGAGTACTTTGACAAAAAAGAAATCCAAGCTCATAAAGCAGTCACATTCAGCAGAAATGTCAGTATGAACAGCTAGAACATTTCTTGAATTTCCTCTATTACCTTCAACCAGGGATTAATATTTAGAGCATCGTCACCAAAATAAAAAAGTCATTCTGATACATAATGAAATCTGTAGGCATTATATTTATAATATAGTGATTTGGATGAGTAAGGTGCAGATAAAATGCATCTTATAACTTACTAGCTCAGGAGATAGTATTTTCCTGCATAATACAATTGCTGGCCATTGTGATTTAAGAAGTATAAAGTGGCTGCCATTCTGACAGGTAATCCATCTTGCAGTGCATTTTTAAAGAACAATATAATTATGTTCACATTACCAAAGCATTGGTGCACTGGAAAGCCTTGTCCTTTCCTCTATGGGGAAATAGTCTGAGCCCTTTTCCTTATTTATAATCACCTTGGTTGGCTCATATGCATTCCCAAATCCACCAGTCCTTGTGGATTGCATTACATTGCTTTTTGAATCAAACTATTATGAAACAATTATTGAGGTTTTTTCTTTTTATCCACTTTCAGAGAAAACTAAGATCAGCTTCTTAGTGCTCAATTTCTTCTTGCTTTATATGTTCTCAAGCTCCATCACACCATGAAAACATTAAATCATTTCTCCTGAAATATATCTCTCATGTCTATATCAAAAGTAAAGTGAGATTCATGAAGTTAACTTACAGGTAAACGCACATCATCTCAAATTTCTAACTACAGTTTCTTTTTGAAATATGAGAAAATTGTCTAGAAGAATTTAATATGGTTTAATCATGCTGAACTTGCACAGTTTATACCGCTCTTAGTCTTTTCAACTTGACACCAGAGCAACTAATAGCTTAATAACTTATAATGAGTCATTTCTGATTATATATATATGTATGTATAGGCCAAAGGAAACCTCTGAAATATTAAAACCACCTGGGTAGCTTTTAAAATAGTAATACTGGGAACCCACCCCAGACCAATTAAATAAGAATCTTTGATGGGAAAGAGTCCTAGGTATTAATATCTTTAGAAAGCTTCCCTGGTGATAGAAATGTGCAACTGTTGTTATTTGATGTAGCAATAATTCTTACTTTCAAGGAGGGAAATAGCACATGCTGATGTTGTTACTGTTATTGTGATTGTCATTTGTCTAGAGAGTCATATTTAGTTATTGGAAGAAAGCTTCTTCAATATGAGAACGGAGAACATTATATCATGAAATTTTCCAATATTATCTATGAAGCACTGTGTTTATTTCCTAGTTAAATCCAAGAAGACAAACTTTTAAAGATAGATGTGTAAGATGCAGCTTTGTCTTGTCAGATTGTGAGCTTCCTCCTTCCAGTCTTAGCCAGAATACCATTCACTTAACCACATTTGCTAATAGACATCCTAAAAAGATGTTGTAGTAGACAGAATAATGGCTCCACAAAGATGTCCAAGTACTAATACCCAAGACTTGTGGATATGTTATCTACATAGCAAAAGGGAGTTTGCTGATATTATTAAGGATCTCAAGAGGGGAAGTTTACCTTGGATTATCTAGGTGGCCTCAATGTAATCACAAGGGTTCTTATCAATGGAAGAAGAAAGTCAGAATCAAAGAGATTTGAAGATGCTACACTGCTGGCTTTGAAGATGGAGGAAGGGCCATAAGCCAAAGAATGCAGGCAGCCTCTAGAAGCTAGAAATGGCAAGAAAATGGATTGTTTCCTTGAGATTCTATTAAAAAAATGCAGCCTTACAGACACTTGATCATAGAATTTCTAACCCCTCCAAAACTGAAAAGTAATATATTGTGTTGTTTTCAGCCACTAAGTTTGTGGTAATTTGTTATAGCAGCAATAGAAAACTAACACAGACACATTGAATTACCTCAAGCATTACCCAAATTGAAAATACCCTCCACTTTTCTCTTGTTCTAGCACTCATTTATTAATTGATTCAAAAAACTGAACTAGACATTGAGAACACAGATGTAAAGGCAAGGGCCTTCAAAGGGCTAATATCCAGAATCTATAAGGAGCTTAAATAAATCAACCAGCAAAAGCCACTCATTTAAAAGTGGGCAAAGGACATAAACAGACACTTTTCAAAGAAGACATACACACAGCCAACAAGCATATGAAAAAATGCTTGGCATCACTAATCATTAGAGAAATGCAAATCAAAAACACAATGAGATACCATCTCACACCAGTCAGAATGGCTATTACTAAAAAGCCAAAAAATAACATGCTGGCAAAGTTTTGGAGAAAGGAAAATGCTTACACACTACTGGTGGCAATGTAAACTAGTTCAGCCGTTGTGAAAAACAGCTGGGCGATTTCACAAAGAACTCAAAGCAGAATTATCATTTGACCTAGTGACCCCATTATTGGATATCTGCCCAAAGAACTATAAATTGTTCTGCCATAAAGACATATGCATGCATATGTTCATAGCAGCACTATACACAATAGCAAAGACATGGCATCAACCTAAATGTCCAACAACAGTAGACTGGATAAAGAAAATGTGGCACATACACACTGTAGAATACTACACAGCCATAAAAAGAACAAGATCATGTCCTTTGCAGCAACATGAATGGAGCTGGAGGCCATTATCCTAAGCGAACTAACACAGGAACAGAAAACCAAATCAAATATTGCATGTTCTCACAGGAACAGAAAACCAAATATTGCATGTTCTCACGTATATGTGGGAGCTAAACATTGAGTACATATGGACACAAAGAAGGAAATGACAGACACCGGGGCCTACTTGAGGGTAGAGGGAAGGAGGAGGGTGAGAATCAAAAAACTACCTATCAGGTACTATGCTTATTATCTGGGTGGTGAAATAATCTGTACAGCAAACTCCTGTGACACACAACATATATATATATATATATATATATATATATATACACATACACACACACACACACACACACACACACACACACATACATGTGTGTGTATATATATGTGTATATATATGTGTATATATGTATATATATGTGTATATATATGTATATATATGTGTATATATATGTATATATGTGTATATATATATGTATGTGTGTACATATATATATAAAACAAACCTACAAATGTGCCCCTGAATCTAAAGTAAAAATTAAGAAACAAACCATTGTCCTTGCCCTCAAGGAGTTTATAGTTAAGTGGGGGTATAAAAACTTTGTAAAACAGCATAGCAAAGAACACAAAAGGTTTGCAGTGTGCTATGAAGTGCCTTGTCAAGGCTATTGCAGTTTGCTTAAGGAGATGGTGCTTGACCTATTCCATGAAGTGGATCAGTGGAGACATTAAAGAAAAGTGAATGAGGTGGGAAAGTTGGAACATTGTAGGTAAAAGCATAGGTAAAGAGTAAATGTAAATAATTATGTATAGGCAAAGTGTTTAAGTAAATGAATGTGTGGCTAGAGCTCAGACACACATTAGGCAGTGCTTAAATATGAGATACTCAAGCTACACATACCAGTCAGCAGCACCACAAAGGTACGCAGTACATGTATTTTGCTTAAAGAGTGACTCATCCCAAAATAAAAAGGAATTCCAGGAATACTCTAATGTAATTATCACTGAGGCCCTTGATCTTGATGTAAATTAGGCTTCCTGTAGGTCAGCTTCCCAGAACATGTCCCAGACATGTTCAGGGACAGCTCATTCTGAATTATATTCAAGCTGAGAAAGCTGAAAACCCTGACCCATTATATGAACCCTTAGTCTCGTCTTGTTTGTTGTTCTGTGATGATATGAAGACTGAATGTAATTCAAATCACTTGGGTCAAGGTGAAGAAACTCCCCAACCCTTACTCCATCTTTGCCAGAGAAATAGTAATGCTAGGGACAGAACACTGCAAGTAGCTATAACCAATTCAATGTTTTAAATGAAAGAGGAAGAAGGTTCAGCTTGTGTGTGTGGGTGCATGTGTGTGTGTGTGTGTGATCATGCTCCCACCATGCCTAAGAAGGTACAACCCTCTTATGAATGCATTTCATATATCATCTTTCTTTTTTTTTCCTTTCTTCCACCTTGTCTCCTGTCCCTAAACCCAGATTTCCTAATGACTATCAAACATGCTTCTGTCAAAAGGATTTAAATGTGGCCCCTAGTAGAATACACCAGAGTCTCAGTCTAAAAACCCTGAAAGTGATTATTTATATAACCATTATCAATATCTCCTATATAACTTTATTTCATTATTAATATTTCTATTTTTTAAACATGTGTTCTCTCCTGGAGGTGTTATGAATCATTTGAAGGGAAAACATGGGTCCTAGACTTTTACCCTGCCACATTCAGTGACTATAATACATTTAGTTAGTCTTCATTAAATATCTTTTCATATAACAAATCCAAAGTCCTCAGAGGTTGAAATTTAGATGGATTTTGGTGCAACATTAAAAGCAAAAGGGGATTTCAAGTTCCCTACAACAAATTAAAACTTGAATTAATCATGAGTTTTGTGTTTTCTCCCTTAAAAAGTCATCTAAGTAGTGGCCAGGCACGGTGACTCATACCTGTAATCCCAGCACATTGGGAGGCCAGGGCGGGCAGATCACCTGAGGTCAGGAGTTCAAGACCAGCCTGGCCAACACGGTGAAACCCTGTCTCTACTAAAAATAGAAAATTAGCCAGGTGTGGTGGCACGTGCCTGTAGTCCCAGCTACTCAGGAGGCTGAGGCAGGAGAATTGACTGAACGGGAGGCAGAGGTTGCAGTGAGCCGAGATCAAACCACTGCGCTTCAGCCTGGGCGACAGAGTGAGACTCCATCAAAAAAAAAAAAAAAAAAAAAAAAAAAAAGAAAGAAAGAAAGTCATCTAACTAGCATGAATTCTAAGACAAAAAGGCATTTGGTATCTGATTCCTTTATAGCAAAGACTCTAATCACAGCTTCCTTCTGGAAATAAATTTGAAACATAGGCTTGCTCATCCTTCATGAAGCCAGTTTTCTAATTCTAAGGTATTATGATTCAGCAAAACCTTCCCACTACATGACTGCTATATTCCTGGCATAGCCAAAAATTTCTCAGAGGGAATACGTGAAACAATCAAGTTGCCATCAATGGGGCTCATAATTTTCTTATTTCCTCCCTGCTTGGTTATGATGGCACTTAAGAGCCTAAGGGAATTAAAAAATACAGGCAACCAGGGACTACCTGTTATTGATTCCAAGTTATTAACTCAAGCATTTTAGAACTCCACAATACTTTAAAATTCATTTTGTCCCAATTATTCATTTTATAGATGATGAAACCAAAACTGAAAGAGGTTAACTGATTGCCCAACTGTACATACTTTGCAGTTACAGAACTAGGACTAAATCCTGGGTTTCCTGATCCCTCTCAAGAAATGTTCTGTTTCACCAAAAGTGTATATTTCAAGGCTCTTTAATGTTCCTGCTATAAAACTGGTAAGTTGACTATGGGCTGGCTCTTTTTAGTTACAACTTGGGTGTTCCAGTTACCTACTTACTATAGTATCATAAACTACTCCAAAACTCAGTAGCTTACTTTTTCATCACCCATGGTTCTGCAGATGGTATGTTCAGCTTGGAGTCCTTCATAGAGTTTCAGCCACAGAGCAGCTGAGGATAAAGTCCTCTGACAGCTTCTTCATTCAAATCTGGTACCTGGGCTTGAATAGATGAACAGCCAGAAGCTTCAGGCATCTGCTTCTCTTCCTGTAGCTACCTTGGGCTTCCTCACAGCATGAAGTCTTGGGCTTGCACTACTTACATGGAGTTTGCTTCCCCCAAAATAAGTGTTCCAAAAGACCAAAGAAAAAGCTGCAAGGCATTTTATAGTTTTAGATGTCTCAGAATGCTACTTATCTTACATTTTCTCTCACATTCTATCCTATTGGCAAGCAATATACTCAGCTCAGATTCAACCTTGAAATAACATGGGTGAAATAACAAGAGAATTTGTGACTGTCTTTAATTTACTTTTTATGTATATTTTAACAATTTATTTAAATACTGAAGGCCTTATTTTAGCCAGAATTCTAAATCCCCTGCATGATAACATTCAATCATTATTCAGAGACAATTAGACAAAATATAGCAGTTTGTCTGTATATGAAAGATATTTTCTACCCCAAAATTATTCAAGGACCACACTCTGTATGGATGTTCCCAACCTTGAAGTCTATAGTCTATTTAACTTTTAAAAATGGAATCCTTTCCTGTCTCATAGCTATCGGTTCATTACTAGACATTAAATATAAAATGTATGCTGTTTCCTCCTTGAAAAATTGAAAAATTAGGCTTCTCCAATTAGTGTTCTACATTGGGATCTGACAAGGTAAAAATACACAGTTTCTTCTATTAAAATGTCCTATCTGTAACAAACAAAAAAAGCTAGTCGGCACATTTTGTTCTCTTTTCATCATCTTTTGACTCTGCAAACAAAAATGGGCTGTGAAGTATAAATTGTATGTATTTATAAAATGCCTAGAAAAAACAGAGAAATATTATTTGGTTTTCTCTGGTTGATGAGAATCTGTGTCTTCAATTATTACTCATACTCACTTCCAGAAACATAAATGATCTCTGTAATAAAATAATAATAAAATGTTAAAGAAGAGTTATAGATACATTTTCAGAAAATTTTTTTCAGGCACTGTAGAGACTTTTATCTTGAACTATTTGCTCTATGACTACCAACTATTAAAATAAATCACATTTAGTAACTGAAGCTAAAATCTATACATTATAACCTGATTATCGTGGAGACTAGAGGGTAAATTACATGGTTCAGCACTAGATAAGCTATGAATGTTTTACCAAAACAGAAAGTCATAATTTAGATGTCCATCAAATTACATATATAATAAAATATGGCCAATCTCTAGCAGTAAAACTTGGAGACTCTGACCACGCCTTTAAAAATGTATTATTAGAAATTATCCACAATGATCTCTTGAGGAATACTGTAGTGCTGTGGAAAAATTAACTCTCAGTTTATGCCCAAGCAGAAGTGATTCAGCTTTCTGGTAAAGTTTATGCCATAGGAGGACAATCTCGATTATGTAAGTTTATGGTTTTTCCTTGGCCGGCAACAACAAGCAGCTATACTCAATACATTTGTTAATTAAAGGATATGATATCAAAGCTACTCCAGCCTAGTTCTTTTCAGAAACTCAGTTAAGAGAAGTAAGATCCATGGACCTGAGTGACCCATAAACCAGTAAGCATCCTTGAGAAATCTGAGTGTCAGAGACGTCACCCCTCCCATCTTCTGCCCCCTCCTCCCAGACAGCAAAATGTTTTTACAAAACTCTGTTTTGAATGATGTCATATTATAGGACCTGATAAGAAATGCTCTATATAGGTCCTTATTTTGTCTAAGATACTACTAAAGTTGTCATTTAGTATGAAGTTATACTCTTTGTCCCATGGGAAGAACTGTATCTTTCTTCTTAACACATTGTGCTGTTCTTGAATAACTGGGTTATTTATGTCAAAGTCATTGTGCAATATGGGATTTTTGTCTTTTCTTCTGCTTTATGGGTGTTAGAAAACTGAGAATCTAATGCGTGCCTCAAATCAAGAAGAGCTTGACATTTCTAGGATTTTGTTCTACGCCTTTCAGGATTCTCAGTATGTAAGCTGCTCTCAACCACAAGAAAGGAACACCAGTGATATCCACTACTTCATTTAGTACCGTATGTGCTAAGGAAAGAAGCAGGGAATGATTTAATTATTCTCCCGTTTTGCACAATGCCTTCTTCTTTCTCTCAACAAAGTGTTTAGGAGAAATGAGGACCCCCAATACAGTGCTCCCTTCTCGGTGATTATTTTTCTTCCTTGGAGACTATTTCTCTTCCTTGGAGATTTTTCATACCTATTCAAATTGGCCTAATGAACTGACTGGTATGCACCACTTAGTGAATGGAAGTTAGGTGTATGAAGCAGTAAAAATGGATATTTGGGTGTCTATTTCCTGGTAATTGTGTCTATATCAACAATCAACTTATATCACCAATAAACATCAGTATGAGAGATTTTGAGACACTATTTGAGTTGGTAAAATAAAAATTAAAAAAAATTAAAACTGAAGTTTCTTATTTGATAATGGGATTATTTCATGAAAAGATTAATCCCTTCTTTTGCTTACAAACCACTTATTTTGGAGTGGTTTATGAATTGCTCAAGGTCTAAAATTACCATGGCTTAAAACAAATGCATTTTGTTGATTAAGTAGAAGAGAGAATAAAAGACATTATAGATTTCCCTTTGGAAGGGCAATGGAACACGTGTTTTACTTACAGCAACTAAACACCTTATACAAGAGTAACTGTATTCAACAAAAGTGAATATAGTAATGAGAATGAATGAATGAAACTCCACACACTGACTCAAATATACTCAGATACTTAAATGCTACTGAATGACCACAACATAAGGAGATAAATATTATAAATATGTCCAGAACTTTGTACCCAGAGTTTTGAACTTCATACATGCTTTTCCTTCAGCATCTTTGATATTGGGGCTGTTATGGTCTGTAACAATGAGTGGACTCCAGGTATATAAAGACCAGGTTGTGGTCATGCCAAAATTTATCTCCACACATTAACTTCACAGTGGAAATTCCAATATTGCAGACCATATCTATAACATGTCATTAAGGGAAATTTACATAAAATAGGTTGGACAGATGACAATAGCGTAAGACATAAGCAACATTCGTCACTGTTGCTCCTCCCCACATGACACAGATAAAAGCAACCACAAGTGAAGACTCTCAAATCCCTCAATCCAGTGGCAAACTGACTGCCATAGAAATTAACTCCTAAATAGTAGGTGGAAGGGTGCATTTGAAGTTTCTTTAATCTAAAATCCAAAATAGACACACACACAAAAGGCCCTGACACAGTCTTTTTGGTGTTGAAAGAGGATTTAAATGATCCAATGGATGGTATAAGCTACTAATAAATTTCAGTATTTAGGCTGGGCACAGTGGCTCATGCCCGCAATCCCAGCACTTTGGGAGGCTCAGGTGGGCAGATCACCTGGGGTCAGGAGTTCAAGACCAGCCTGGCCTACATAGTAAAACTCCTGTCTCTACTAAAAATACAAAAGCTAGCCAGGCATGGTGGCATGTGCATGTAGTCCCAGCTACTCGGGAGGCTGAGGCAGGTCCTCAATACCTGCAGCTACCACTTGCCTTTCTTATATTGTTTCAGGGGAAAAAAACAGATGGAAAAATCAGAATGTTTCCTCCACAAATTAACAATAGATGGAGATATATGAATTTATGTACTTCAATTTTTGGTTTATTTTTGCATAATTACATAATAAACCCAGATCCAGAACTTGGATTATGGCTATAGAGACATGCCTGTTACTCACAAGCATGAAATACTGTTCTGTGGCCCAGAACCTGAAACAGCTTTCTGTACAGTACAACTCCCTAATACTTGGAATTCAGGAAGATGGTATTACTGTTATTGCCATTTGATTCTCCATCTGAGGCTTAAAAGAAAACATGTTATTCCTCTCCATAAAACATCCCCCAAGGCCGGGAACGGTGGTTCATGCCTGTAATCACAGCACTTTGGTAGGCCAAGGCAGGTGGATCACCTGAGGTCAGGAGTTCGAGACCAGTCTGGCCAACATGGTGAAACCCCATCTTTACTAAAAATAAGAAATTAGCCAGGTGTGGTGGCACGCACCTGTAGTCCCAGCTACTCAGGAGGCTGAGGGAGAAGAATTGCCTGAACCGGGAGCCGGAGTTTACAGTGAGCCGAGATCATTACCGCACTCCAGCCAGGGCGAGAGAGTGAGACTCCATCTCAAAAAAAAAGAAAAAAAAAGAAAGAAAGAAAGTCCTCTAAGTAGCATGAATTCTAAGACAAGAAGGCATTTGGTATTTGATTCCTTTATAGCAAAGACTCTAATCACAGCTTCCTTCTGGAAATAAATTTGAAACACAGGCTTGCTCATCCTGCATGAAGCCAGTTTTCTAATTCTAAGGTATTATGATTCAGCAAAACCCTCCCACTACATGATTGCTATATTCCTGGCATAGCCAAAAATTTCTCAGAGGGAATACGTGAAACAATCAAGTTGCCATCAATGGGGCTCATAATTTTCTTATTTCCTCCCTGCTTGGTTATGATGGCACTTAAGAGCCTAAGGGAATTAAAAAACACAGGCAACAAGGGACTACCTGTTACTGATTCCAAGTTATTAACTCAAGCATTTTAGAACTCCACAATACTTTAAAATTCATTTTGTCCCAATCATTCATTTTATAGATGATGAAACCAAAACTGAAAGAGGTTAACTGATTGCCCAACTGTACATACTTTGCAGTTGCAGAACTAGGACTAAATCCTGGGTCTCCTGATCCCTCTCAAGAAATGTTCTATTTCACCAGAAGTGTATATTTCAAGGCTTTTTAATGTTCCTGCTATAAAACTGGTAAGTTGACTATGGGTTGGCTCTTTTTAGTTACAGCCTTGGTGTTCCAGTTACCTACTTACTGTTGTATCATAAACTACTCCAAAACTCAGTAGCTTACTTTTTTATCACCCATGGTTCTGCAGATTGTATGATCAGCTTGGTCTCCCTCACAGAGTTTCAGCCACAGAGCAGCTAAGGATGAAGTCCTCTAACAGCTTCTTCATTCAAATCTGGTACCTGGGCTTGAATAGATGAACAGCCAGAAGCTTCAGGCATCTGCTTCTCTTCCTGTAGCTACCTTGGGCTTCCTCACAGCATGGAGTTTTGGGCTTGCACTACTTACATGGAGTTTGCTTCCCCTAAAATAAGTGTTCCAAAAGAGCAAAGTAAAAGCTGGAAGGCATTTTATAGTCTTAGATGGCTCAGAATGCTACTTATCTTACATTTTCTCTCACATTCTATCCTATTGGCAAGAAATATACTCAGCTCAGATTCAACCTTGAAATAACATGGGTAAAATAAGAGAATTTGTGACCATCTTTAATTTACTTTTTATGTATATTTTAACAATTTATTTAAATACTGAAAGCCTTATTTTAGCCAGAATTTTAAATCCCCTGCATGATAACATTCATTATTCAGAGACAATTAGACAAAATATAGCAGTTTGTCTGTATATGAAAGATATTTTCTACCTCAAAATTATTCAAGGACCACTCTGTATGGATGTTCCCAACATTGAAGTCTATAGTCTATTTAACTTTTTAAAATGGAATCCTTTCCTGTCTCACAGCTATAGGCTCATTAGATCACTAGACATTTAATATAAAATGTGTGCTCTTTCATCCTTGGAAAATTGAAAATTTAGGCTTCTCCAATTAGTGTTCTACGTTGGGATCTGACAAGTTAAAAACACAGAATTTGTTCTATTAAAATGTTCTATCTGTAACAAACAAAAAAAGCTAGTTGGCACATTTTATTTTCTTTTCATCAGCCTTTGCTCTGTGAACAAAAATGGGCTGTGAAGTATAATTGTATGTATTTATAAAATGCCTAGAAAAAACAGAGAGAAATATTATTTGGTTTTCTCTGGTTGATAAGAATATGGGTCTTTAATTATTACTCATACTCTTTGTCAGAAACATAAATGATTTCTGTAATAAAATAATAATAAAATGTTAAAGAAGAGTTATAGATACATGTTCAGAAAATTTTTTTGAGGTACTTTAGAGACTTTTATCTTTAACTATTTGCTGTATGATTACCAAGTATTAAATCATATTTAGTAGCGGAAGCTAAAATCTGTACATTATAACCTGTTTATCTTGAGACTAGAGGATAAATTACATGGTTCAGCACTAGATACTCTATGAATGTTTTCCAAAACAGAAAGTCATAGTTTAGATGTCCATCAAATTACATATATAATAAAATACAGTCAATCTCTAGCAGTAAAAACTCAAGACTCTGACCACGCCTTTAAAAATGTCTTATTAGAAAACATCCACAATGATGTCTTGAGGAATACTGTAGTGCTGTGGAAAAATTAACTCTCAGTTTATGCCCAAGCAGAAGTGATTCAGCTTTCTGGTAAAGTTTATGCCATAGGAGGACAATCCCGATTATGTAAGTTTATGGTTTTTCCTTGGCCGGCAACACCAAGGAGCTATACTCAATACATTTGTTAATTAAAAGATATGATATCAAAGCTACTCCAGCCTAGTTCTTTTCAGAAACTCAGTTAAGAGAAGTAAGATCCATGGACGTGAGTGACCCATAAACCAGTAAGCATCCTTGAGAAATCTGAGTGTCAGAGACGCCACCCCTCCCATCATCTGCCCCCTTCTCCCAGACAGCAAAATGCTTTTACAAAACTCTGCTTTGAATAATGTCATAGCATAGGACCTGATAAGAAATGCTCTATGTAGGTCCTTATTTTGTTTACTTTAAGATACTCCTAAAGTTGTCATTTAGCATGAAGTTATAGTCTTTGTCCCATGGGAAGAACTCTATCTTTCTTCTTAATATATTGTGCTGTTCTTGAATAACAGGGTTATTTATGTCAGAGTCGTTGTGCATTACAGGATTTTTGTCTTTTCTGCTGCTTTATGGGTGTTAGAAAACTGAGAATCTAATGCGTGCCTCAAATCAAGAAGAGCTTGACATTTCTAGGATTTTGTTCTACGCCTTTCAGGATTCTCAGTAGGTAAGCTGGTCTCAACCACAAGAAAGGAACACCAGTGATATCCAATACTTCATTTAGTACCATATGTGCTAAGGAAGGAAGCAGGGAATGATTTCATTATTCTCCCCTCTTTTGCAAATACCTTCTCCTGCTTTCTCTCAACAAAATGTTTGGAGAAATGAAGACCCCCAATACAGTGCTCACTTCTTGGTGATTATTTTTCTACCTTGGAGATTTTTCATACCCATTCAAATTGACCTAATGAATTGACTGGTATGCACCATTTAGTGAATGGAAGTAAGGTGTATGAAGCAGTAAAGATGGATATTTGGGTGTCTGTTTCCTGGTAATTGTGTCTATATCAACAGTCAACTTATATCACCAATAAACATCAGTATGAGAGATTTTGAGACACTATTTGAGTTGGTAAAATTTCTAAAAATTAAAAAAATTAAAACTGAAGTTTCTTATTTGATAATGGGATTATTTCATGAAAGGCTTAATCCCTTCTTTTGCTTACAAGCCACTTATTTTGGAGTGGTTTATGAATTGTTCAAGGTCAAAAATTATCATGGCTTAAAACAAATGCATTTTGTTGGTTAAGTAGAAGAGAGAATAAAAGACATTATAGATTTCCCTTTGGAAGGGCAATGGAACACGTGTTTTACTTACAGCAACTAAACACTTTAAACAAGAGTAGCTGTATTCAACAAAGGTGAATACAGTAATGAGAATGAATGAATGAAACTCCACACACTGACTCAAATATACTCAGATACTTAAATGCTGCTGAATGACCACAACATAAGGAGATAAAAATTATAAATACGTCCAGAACTTTGTACCCAGAGTTTTGAACTTCATACATGCTGTTCCTTCAGCATCTTTGATGTTGGGGCTATTATGGTCTATAAAATTTTACATACAATGAGTGGACTCCAGGTATGTAAAGACCAGGTTGTGGTCATGCCAAAATTTATCTCCACACATTAACTTCACAGTGGAAATTCCAATATTGCAGACCATGTCTATAACATGTCATTAAGGGAAATTTACATAAAATAGGTTGGACAGATGACAATAGCATAAGACATAAGCAACATTCTTCACTGTTGCTCCTCCCCACATGACACAGATAAAAGCAACCACAAGTGAAGACTCTCAAATCCCTCAATCCAAGTGGCAAACTGACTGCCATAGTAATTAATTCCTAAATAGTGGGTGGAAGGGTGCATTTGAAGTTTCTTTAATCTAAAATCCAAAATATATACACATACAAAATGTCCTGACATAGGCTCGGTGGTGTTGAAAGAGGATCTAAATGATCCAATGGATGGTATAAGCTACAAATAAATTTCAGTATTTAGGCTGGGCACAGTAGCTCATATCTGCAATTCCAGCACTTTGGGAGGCTCAGGTGGGCAGATCACCTGGGGTCAGGAGTTCGAGACCAGCCTGGCCTACATGGTCAAACTCCTGTCTCTACTAAAATACAAAAATTAGCCAGGCATGATGGCACATGCCTGTAGTCCCAGCTACTCGGGAGGCTGAGGCAGGTCCTCAATACCTGCAGCTACCACTTGCCTTTCTTATATTGTTTCAGGGGGAAAAAAACAGGTGGAAAAATCAGAATGTTTTCTCCACAAATTAACAATAGATGGAGATATAGGTATTTATGTACTTCAATTTTTGGTTCATTTTTGCATAATTACATAATAAACCAGATCCAGAACTTAGATTATGGCTATAGAGACATGCCTGTTACTCACAAGCATGAAATAGTGTACTGTGGCCCAGAACCCGAAACAGCTTTCTGTACAGTACAACTCCCTAATACTTGGAATTCAGGAAGATGGTATTACTGTTATTGCCATTAGAATCTCCGTCTGACGCTCAAAAGAAAATATGTTATTCCTCTCCATAAAACTTCCCCAAGGCCGGGCACAGTGGTTCATGCTGTAATCCCAGCACTTTTGGAGGCCAAGGCAGGTGGATCACCTGAGGTCAGGAGTTCGAGACCAGCCTGGCCAACATGGTGAAACCCCATCTTTACTAAAAATAGAAAATTAGCCAGGTGTGGTGGCACGCACCTGTAGTCCCAGCTACTTGAGAGACTGACGCAGGATAATTGCCTGAACCAGGAGGCAGAGGGTACAGTGAGCCGACATCACAGCACTGCACTCCAGCCTGTGCAACAGAGTGAGACTCCATCTCAAAAAAAAAAAAAAAAAGAAAGAAAAAGAAAAAAAAGAAAGTCATCTAAGTAGCATGAATTCTAAGACAAGAAGGCATTTGGTATTTGATTCCTTTATAGCAAAGACTCTAATAACAGCTTCCTTCTGGAAATAAATTTGAAACATAGGCTTGCTCACCCTGCATGAAGCCAGTTTTCTAATTCTAAGGTATTATGATTCAGCAAAACCTTCCCACTACATGACTGCTATATTCCTGGCATAGCCAAAAATTTCTCAGAGGGAATATATGAAACAGTCAAGTTACCATCAGTGGGGCTCATAATTTTCTTATTTCCTCCCTGCTTGGTTATGATGGCACTTAAGAGCCTAAGGGAATTAAAAAATACAGGCAACCTGGGTCTACCCATTATTGATTCCAAGTTATTAACTCAAGCATTTTAGAACTCCACAATACTTTAAAATTTGTTTGTCCCAATCATTCATTTTACAGATGATGAAACAAAAACTGAAAGAGGTTAACTGATTGCCCAACCGTACATACTTTGCAGTGGCAGAACTAGGACTAAATCCTGGGTCTCCTGATCCCTCTCAAGAAATGTTCTATTTCACCAAAAGTGTATACTTCAAGGCTCTTTAATGTTCCTGCTATAAAACTGGTAAGTTGACTATGGGCTGGCTCTTTTCAGTTACAACCTGGGTGTTCCAGTTACCTACTTACTATAGTATCATAAACTACTCCAAATCTCAGTCCTTACTTTTTCATCACCCATGGTTCTGCAGATGGTATGTTCAGCTTGGGGTCCTTCATAGAGTTTCAGCCACAGAGCAGCTAAGGATGAAGTCCTCTAACAGCTTCTTCATTCAAATCTGGTACCTGGGCTTGAATAGATGAACAGCCAGAAGCTTCAGGCATCTGCTTCTCTTCCTGTAGCTACCTTGGGCTTCCTCACAACATGGAGTCTTAGGCTTGCACTAGTTACATGGAGTTTGCTTCCCCTAAAATAAGTGTTCCAAAAAAACCAAAGTAAAAGCTGCAAGGCATTTTATAGTCTTAGATATCTCAGAATGCTACTTATCTTACATTTTCTCTCACATTCTATCCTATTGGCAAGAAATATACTCAGCTCAGATTCAACCTTGAAATAACATGGGTGAAATAACAAGAGAATTTGTGACTGTCCTTAATTTACTTTTTATGTACATTTTAACTAATCATTTAAATACTGAAAGCCTTATTTAGGCCAGAATTTTAAATCCCCTGCATGATAACATTCAATCATTATTCAGAGACAATTAGACAAAATATAGCAGTTTGTCTATATATGAAAGATATTTTCTACCTCAAAATTATTCAAGGACCACTCTGTATGGATGTTCCCAACATTGAAGTCTATAGTCTATTTAACTTTTTAAAATGGAATCCTTTCCTGTCTCTTAGTTATAGGCTCATTAGATTACTGGACATTTAATATAAAATGTGTGCTCTTTCCTCCTTGAAAAATTGAAAAATTAGGCTTCTCCAATTAGTGTTCTACATTGGGATCTGACAAGTTAAAAATACACAATTTCTTCTATTAAAATGTTCTATCTGTATCAAACAAAAAAAAGCTAGTTGGCACGTTTTGTTCTGTTTTCATCAACTTTTGACTCTGTGAACAAAAATGGGCTGTGAAGTATAAATTGTATGTATTTATAAAATGCCTAGAAAAAACAGAGAGAAATATTACTTGGTTTTCTCTGGTTGATAAGAATATGTGTCTTTAAATTTTACTCATACTCTCTATCTACCAGAAACATACATGATTTCTGTAATAAAATAACAAAAAAATATTAAAAGAGTTACAGATACATTTTCAGAAAATTTTTTTCAGGCACTGTAGAGATTTTTATCTTTAACTATTTGCTCTATGACTACCAAGTATTAAAATAAATCACATTTAGTAACTGAAGCTAAAATCTATACATTATGACCTGATTATCTTGGGGACTAGAGGGTAAATTACATGGTTCAGCACTAGATATGCTATGAATGTTTTACCAAAACAGAAAGTCATAATTTAGATGTCCATCGAATTACATATATAATAAAATATGGCCATTCTCTGCCAGTAAAAACTCGAGACTCTGACCACACCTTTAAAAATGTCTTATTAGAAAACATCCACAATGTTCTCTTGAGGAATACTGTAGTGCTGTGGAAAAAAAACTCTCAGTTTATGCCCAAGCAGAAGTGATGCAGCTTTCTGATAAGGTTCATGCTGATTATGTAAGTTTATGGTTTTTCCTTGGCCAGCAACACCAAGCAGCTATACTCAATACATTTGTTAATTAAAGGATATGATATCAAAGCTACTCCAGCGTAGTTCTTTTTAGAAACTCAGTTAAGAGAAGTAAGATCCATGGACCTGAGTGACCCATAAACCAGTAAGCATCCTTGAGAAATCTGAGTGTCAGAGACGCCACCCCTCCCATCTTCTGCCCCCTCCTCCCAGACAGCAAAATGCGTTTACAAAACTCCGCTTTGAAACATGTCATATCATAGGACCTGAAAAGAAATGCTGTATATAGGTCCTTATTTTGTTTACTCTAAGATACTCCTAAAGTTGTCATTTAGTATGAAGTTATAGTCTTTGTCCCATGGGAAGAACTCTATCTTTCTTCGTAATACATTGTGCTGTTCTTGAATAACTGGGTCATTTATGTCAGAGTCATTGTGCACTATAGGATTTTTGTCTTTTCTTCTGCTTTATGGGTGTTAGAAAACTGAGAATCTAATGTGTGCCCCAACTCAAGAAGAGCTTGACATTTCCAGGAACATATTCTATGCCTTTTAGGATTCTCAGTATGTAAGCTGGCCTCAACCACAAGAAAGGAACACCAGTGATATCCAATACTTCATTTAGTACCATATGTGCTAAGGAAGGAAGCAGGCAATGATTTCATTATTCTCCCCTCTTTTGCAAATACCTTCTCCTGCTTTCTCTCAACAAAATGTTTGGAGAAATGAAGACCCCCCCCCAGTACAGTGCTACCTTCTTGGTGATTATTTTTCTTCCTTGGAGATTTTTCATACCTATTCAAATTGGCCTAATGAATTGACTGGTATGCACCATTTAGTGAATGGAAGTAAGGTGCATGAAGCAGTAAAGATGGATATTTGGGTATCTATTTCCTGGTAATTGTGTCTATATCAACAGTCAACTTATATCACCAATAAACATCAGTATGAGAGATTTTGAGACACTATTTGAGTTGGTAAAATTTCTAAAAATTAAAACTGAAGTTTCTTATTTGATAATGGGATTATTTCATGAAACGCTTAATCCCTTCTTTTGCTTGCAAACCACTTATTTTGGAGTGGTTTATGAATTGTTCAAGGTCAAAAATTATCATGGCTTAAAACAAATGCATTTTGTTGATTAAGTAGAAGAGAGAATAAAAGACATTATAGATTTCCCTTTGGAAGGGCAATGGAACACGTGTTTTACTTACAGCAAATAAACACCTTACACAAGAGTAACTGTATTCAACAAAAGTGAATATAGTAATGAGAATGAATGAATGAAACTCCACACACTGACTCAAATATACATAGATAAATGCTGCTGAATGACCACAACATAAGGAGATAAAAATTATAAATACATCCAGAACTTTGTACCCAGAGTTTTGAACTTCATCCATGCTTTTCCTTCAGCATTTTTGATGTTGGGGCTGTTATGGTCTGTAACAATGAGCGGACTCCAGGTATGTAAAGACCAAGTTGTGGTCATGCCAAAATTTATCTCCACACATTAACTTCACAGTGGAAATTCCAATATTGCAGACCATATCTATAACATGTCATTAAGGGAAATTTACATAAAATAGGTTGGACAGATGACAATAGCGTAAGACATAAGCAACATTCTTCATTGTTGCTCCTCCCCACATGACACAGATAAAAGCAACCACAAGTGGAGACTCTCAAATCCCTCAATCCAAGTGGCAAACTGACTGCCATAGAAATTAATTCCTAAATAGTGGGTGGAAGGGTGCATTTGAAGTTTCTTTAATCTAAAATCCAAAATATACACATACACAAAAAGTCCTGACACAGTCTCGGTGGTGTTGAAAGAGGATCTAAATGATCCAATGGATGGTATAAGCTACAAGCAAATTTCAGTATTTAGGCTGGGCACGGTGGCTCACACGTACAATCCCAGCACTTTGGGAGGCTCAGATGGGCATATCCCCTGGGGTCAGGAGTTCGAGACCAGCCTGGCCTGCATGGTAAAACTCCCATCTCTACTAAAAATACAAAAAGTAGCCAGGCATGGTGGCACGTGCCTGTAGTCCCAGCTACTCGGGAGGCTGAGGCAGGTCCTCAATACCTGCAGCTACCACTTGCCTTTCTTATAACGTTTCAGGGGGGAAAAAACAGGTGGAAAAAATCAGAATGTTTCCTCCACAAATTAAAAATAGATGGAGATAGATGTATTTATGTACTTCAATTTTTGGTTTATTTTTGCATAATTACCTAATAAACCCAGATCCAGAACTTGGAGTACGGCCATAGAGACATGCTTGTTACTCACAAGCATGAAAGTGTTCTGTGTCCTAGAACCTGAAACAGCTTTCTGTTTGGTACAACTCCCTAATACTTGGAATTCAGGAAGATGGTATTACTCTTATTACCTTTTGATCTCCTTCTGAGGCTCAAAAGAAAATATGTTATTCCTCTCCATAAAACATCCCCCAAGGCCAGGTGCAGTGGTTCATGCCTGTTATCCCAGCACTTTGGGAGGCCGAGGCGGGTGGATCACAAGGTCAGGAGATCAAGACCAGCCTGGCCAACATGGCAAAACTCCATCTCTACTAAAAATACAAAATTTAGCCAGGCATGGTGGCATGTGCCTGTAGTCATGGCAAAACCCTGTCTCTACTAAAAATACAAGAATTAGCTGGGCGTGGTGGCATGTGCCTGTACTCCCAGCTCCTCAAGACGCTGAGGCAGGAGAATCACTTGAACCAGGGAGGCGAAGGTTGTGGAGAGCCGAGATCATGCCACTGCACTCCAGCCTGGGTGACAGAGCGAGACTGCATCAGAAAACAAACAAACAAACCCAAACCCAAATAATCACATATAAGGGCTAATTGTATTTGTTTTTTTGGGTTTCATTTTTAGCCTGGCTTTACACATTAAGAAACAGAATAAAAAGCTTACTGCTTAAGTGCATTCATTGTAGTAAATAGGTCTTTTGCCAGTAGATTGTTTTATGTGAGTAGATTTCAAAACTGTTCCTGGTACATGTCCATGATGTTCATGAAAAAGCCATCAAAAAGGAAGAACTGCTTTCCATGAAGTTGGGGGGCTGTGACAAGTTCAAAACATGGCATGCAGTAAGGACAGAGGGAATGAGACAGTGTGGGTAACGCCATGAAAGGGCAGGATTTGAAAAATGTGAGAATAGGTGACTCAAGATTTTCTAGACAGCAGTGAAAGTCAAAAGATCTTAATAGGAGTTGCTGAGGACTTGCTTTGGGACTATTGTTTTTGAGATAGATACAAATACAAATTGGAATTTTTGTTTGAGTTTGATTCTGCAAATAAGATGTCTTTCCAGGGGCATGTGTATATATAATTCCAGGAATATATCTATGCTGCAACAACTATCAAATCTCTGTTTCCATCTTTGATATCTTTTCTAAGCTCCAGATCATGGATCCAGCAACCTGTGAAGACCTTTCACTTCATCGTCTGTCTCAGAACCTAACATGGCCAAATCTGAATGTATCAAATCCCATAAAACCTCTCCTTCCTCCTCCATTCCTTCTTTGTCTTCCTCCTCCTGCATCCCCAAATCAGTGAAGATTTACCACTAGCCACACATTTCATTTACCTAAAGTAGACACTGGGTTCTTCTTTCAATCCTTCCTATCTCGTCTTTTACTTCTAATCTCAAAAAGTTGATTCCATCTGCTAAATAACTTGCAAATCTATCCACTTCTTTTCATTTTCAGTGTCTCTAGATCAGTTCAAGATAGGGTCATTTTCCATATATGTTTCTGTAATTGTCTACCCATATCCTTCAAATTTGCCACATTTCAACACATTTTCCAAACTGTACTCAAATAGATTCTTGCAAGATGAAAACCTGAAAATATCACAGCCCACTTGAAAAAAAAATCTTTTAATACCTCTCATGAATTTTAGGATAAATTCCAAATTCCTGAGGTGTTTTGTAAGTCCCTATATGATTTGTATTTCTCCTGATCTTCCAGCTTACCTCTGTCGCCTCTTTCAATCACTCTAGATCCAGTCATGTGGTAGAATTTCATTAAGCTTGCTCTCATTCTAAGCCTTTGGATATGAAATTTCTTCTTGTCCCTCTTTCCTCTTCTAAGGGATGATGTTACTCATCCTTCAAATTCCATTTTATTATTAGTTATAATAAGAGTAATGATGATGGTTAATATTTAATACTTTTTTCAGTTATGTCTATACCCATAGACTATTTTTGTTCCTTTTTAAAACTTTTTAAGTTTGGGGTACAAGTTCAGGTTTGTTACATAGGTGAGCTTCTGTCATGGAGTTTGTTATATGGATTATTTCTTTTATGTGCTTAACACTATACACAAAATTTTTTTCTTTGCACACCAAATCCATGAGGAGGTACATAAATGGATGCTTTAAAGATGAGGAAACTAAGGTTAAATAATGTGAGTAAGTTATTTACTATACAAATCCTTGGTTTCTTTGCCACCATCTTTCTTGCCCTTTAGAACTTGGGTTAGTTCTCTGCTCTTGTGCTTCCATATCATCTGGTACCTATTCCAGTGGTGGCACTTCTCAACTACTGTCTCCTCTTCCTTATTTGCTATTTGTTTTCTGTTTCCTTTACTACAATTTCCATACATTCACGAGACAATCTTATTCCACATTGTACTGCCCCCCCACCACCCCCCACCAGCCTCTCTAGCACAGTGGCTGACACACAGAAGGCATTCAAAAAATATATATTTATTGCATTAACGAAATGATAAATTTTCTTTTTTCTGAGATTTGCTCATCTTGTCAGAAGGAAGAAACTATTAGATTTAGCTATTTATTAACCTTTGCCTTTCCCCTTTCCCCCAAGGTTTCACGGCTTTGTGGAATGAAATCTCCTCTTCACAAAACTGTTGGAAATACCCTGGTCTTTACTTCACTCTTTAATTTAAAAAGATTAAAAATTAAATTTCATCTAGAATGATTGCAAGTTCACAAAATAAGAAATATATTAAAACTAAGCTGCTGTTTTGAAATTGGTTTAAATTACAAAATAGCCAAATTCTGCATAAGCTATGATGGTAAAACAAAAGCTCCTTGTTCATTTCTGTGACATTAGTTAACTCTTGCATTATTTAGTGAAAAAGAATCTGCTCACCAACTTGAGCAAAGTAACTTGCACTCATTCAGCAAAACCAGAAAAGGCAGGGAATGATATTTCATCCATAATTTCAACATTCATTATAGCAAAAAAAAGACCTACACCATCTGATCATATAACAGAAGGCCAAAGATCTGTTCAGAGTATTACAAACTTCTCCCTGTTTAATTATGAGAATCCAAGCCAGTTAACAACTTGGTGCTTTTTTTTAAATATAGAATATAATACATTCTCCCTTTTTGCCTCTGATGGTGTTGAGACTACAAATAAAATAATAGACTGGAAGTACTTGTAAAATTGTATGGCAATTCTAAGGAGTTACAAAGTGATTCAAACAAATTTAAACATATATACTTAAAAATCAATCTTTTAAACTAGGAGGCTAATTTTACATTCAGTGCATGCAAACAAACTTTTCTGAAATATTTTGTTTTCTGTTTGTGCTTAAAAACAAAACACCAAACAAAACAAAATGAAATTTAAGAAATAACCTTCATCTTCAAAAATGCAGATATTACTTAAGTTAATATTTTTACCACTTAAGCACAATATTTCAAATTGTAAGCCATGAGACTCATGCAAATATAAAATGTGTATGTGACAAAGATTTTATATAATTTATTAATTAGTGTGGAAATCAGTCCGATGTTGGAATGGGTTTAAAGGTAATTGGAAGAATAGACATATAGGTATACAGACAATTAGAAATGCTGAAATACATTTGCTAATAAATGTAAAACAAATTAATATCTTATAGAATAATAAAATATAAAGCTTGGATTATATTTTCTACAGAGAATAAATAATCCTAAACAAGAATAATTTGCATTATTCTCAGCTTCCTACAACTTAATATTTTACTCCTATAGAGCTATAAATCACTCCAGGCAATAGAAAGACAGAGGTGCATTACCCCTAGATAATCAGATAATTTCCCCAAAGATCCACTTGATAATGTCTTACAGTCCACCGAAAGGACCTAGGAATCCCTTTTGCCTATTTCCATGTTTGACAAATTTTCTTTGACATTATTTGTAGAATGAAAGACAGAAAAATCTGGCTAGTAGAGATCCTCCCTTCTGTAATACATTTTTAGTTTTAGATAGTCATAAACTTAAATTTAAATGTTCAACAAGTTAAAAATCTTCAGTTGTTGCAAGATAGACCCCAAATTTCTAAGATTGAAAATGATTTAGGAAATAATTATTGTAAAAGTCCCTACAATGATGATGTTTAAGATAACTGTAACTGAGCCTTTCAAAGAAATAGCTCACAAAATAAATTCTAACACAGGACATCATCCAAAATAAAGGTATTACTGCTGCTGTTGTTTATTTCTTTTACTTTATATTCTATATTTATTCTGTGTCATAATATAATTTAGGTTTGGTTTTAAATCTGCTTTGCTCGTATTTCCCCTTTCATGTAATATTTGGTTACATTTATACAAGATCAATAATTTTAATTTCATTTGTGTTTCCAGTTTTCTCAAGCAGCACAAGTAGTTAGTTTGGCTTTCTATCCTGCTGCAAAGTAAGTGCCATGTAGCAAGGGTGTTCTCTTGTTCAACGCTATCCCCCCAGTATGCCTGCTTAGGATGAAGGCTCAATCAACATCTATTAATTGAATGAATATTCTGGCTGAACTGCAATCTGAATAGTTTTGAATAAGATACAAGAATACTGAATTGACTTGACTCGTTCAACTTTATAAATATTAATTTTTAATAAATCCCTTTATCATATATATGTATATATAGTTTGTGAATGAATAAACATAAAAATAAGAATATTGAGTCAATGGACAAAATGATAACTTCCATTCTGCATTTTTTTTTCAGTGAGCACAGGGATCAGCTTTGATATTAAGCAATTGAAGTAAAATATTTTTTCCATTATCCTTCTCTGTGTAAGAGGTAGCAAATCAGTTGCATATTGCATAATTCCTAACAAGGCCACTAAATAAATGCACTATTGGAAAATAATGAAATAAAATCTATCTTGTTCATATCTTGGATTTTGCCTTTTTCAGCATTCAGCTAAAAATTAAAAAGAAAACATCGATATATAGAAAAAGAAAGCAAGGACTTTTGTCTTTTATTAAAACTAAAGAATGACCTGGAATCTGGACAAAAGTAGATCAATACTTTATAATTCTACATGGAGTATATCATAGTTGAGAATTTGAGCCCATAATGACAACTCTTTAACTCCTACAAGATTCTTAGACTTAAAAGAAAAATTAAGTTTAATAGATTAGTTTCAAAGATTGAAAGGCAGCCTGATTTTCTAGAATTATAAAGATACTTGCTTTAATAGCTCTGAGTTAGCAAGTCTATGTACATAAAATCACCCCATTCCTTGAACATCCCTTTAATCCTGCCAGAGACAAAGACTTAAATGTGTGTGTTACAAAGAGAAAATTTTGCTATTTGCAGCTAAAAACGTTTCTTAAATGTATGTATTATATATTCTTTCATGTTAGGAATAATAGTGTTATTCTTGTAAGAATTATTCATGTTCATTGTAAAGAAAAAAGTAAGGTATACAAATTCACCACTGGCACTTAACTTTCATTAACATTGGACAATCATAAATTCAGAAATTCTCTTATTCATATATATGTAGAAGATACACAGAAAGATAGATATAAATAATTTTAGAATACTTTGATCATATTATAAATGCTACTTTGTAATAAAAGGCAACCATTTTACTTTCTGAATTAAACAGAAGGGGAAAAAACTGGAAGTCAACCTGAAAGAATCTGAAATGTACATAAAAGTTTCTTCACTGCAGGAGATATTATTTCCTAAAAGGCCTTCTAGCAGAAAGAAAAAATCTGCAAAAAAAAACAAAAACCAAAAAACAAAAAAACATTATTCTTACGTTTAAGGTCTAATACTCTTGGCATCCATTGATCTGAATCCAGTTTCCTGAAACAAAACGTGCCTTTTTAAGCTATAGAGTCAACTGTTAATTTTAGGGATCACTCCTTTGTTACACTTTTGACTGATGCTTTTTCTGTTTCATTCACTGAGTTATTCTGAAATATCACTTATCATTTATAGGTTTGTCTCCACCCTCCACACCTAAAAAGGAACGTGATGGAATATAGCGATGAAGAGTACTGGCACTAGAGCCAAGCTGGCCAGCTTCAAGCCCCAGCTTCTCCGTTTCCTATTTCTGTGACCACTGAGCAATTTAACTTCTTAAAGCTAATTTTAAAAATATCTTTTTATTAGAGAAATAAAAATGATAATTCCTATTGTTGTGTTGATTGTGTCAGATGAAGATATATGTAAAGCCCTTAAAAAGTACCTGGCACAAATTGCTTAATAATCTTATTTTTAACTGCTATCATATCTGTTGTTACAATATCATTGTCTTTTATTTACTCCATTTTTCTCGTCTTTCTTCTCTGTCAGTGTTATCAGTCAGGAAACAGCACAATCAAATGTGGTAATTTGGGGAGAGTTCAAGAAATAAATGTGTGGGAAGGTCATAGGAAAACCCCAAGGGATGTGCAGTGACAGGAATTGTGGGAAGAAGAGTTCTTACCTCCCCAGATGCGAAGTGGTGAAGCAAGGAAGTGGTTACAGAAACTCAAAGAGAAATACAGAAAGAGAGAAGGCGATGGGGGTAGAGGGAGAGGAGGACAAAGACAGCGAATATGCACAGTAGAGGGGGCCTATGGTTTGGAGAAGGCTGGCAGCCAGCCCACTCTCATCCTCTGATCCTGTGAGGAGCTGGCCAAAGAGAAAACTACCCAGACCTCAGTCTCCTACCCCGCTCCAGTCTTTGGCAGGTACGTCCCTTTAGCTAAACACAGCCAAAAGCCCCAGAATGAGAAACCTTTGATGTATTATCTTATTCTGGTTGGCCACTGGGGATACAGTGCCATTACAGCCAAATGGAAAACATCCAGCACAGTATGCAGTTTTATTCTTTCTTGTCTCCTCTGTCCCTTGCTATTGCTAATTTATTGTTCTGTGTTGGTGTTATTTGGGGGTCTCAATTTGTTTCTTTGACTCTGCTATTTTCCTTTTCATCCTGTGTAGTTGTTTTATCATCTAGTCTCTGATCTTAAGATGTATTAGATTCATATTCTTATTTGATCTTGTATTTTATTAAATTCATGTTTTCATTAAAATATTTTATAGTCTCATGGGGCTTTTTAGAAACATGTTCTTAGGTTGCCTTTTATTCAGAAAATTCTACACTCTTCTCCTGCACATTGATTTTATGTTTGCTTTGTTTCATTTCCATATTATCATACTAGTTGTTTTCATCTTGATCATACTTAATATGAGATCCTTTATTAAAGTTTTCATTTCTTCTGACATAGGATGTTTAAATTCTCTTTCATAGCCTCACTGGCTATAATTGGAGTCTCGTGTTCTATAGTTCTGGGAAGCGATGGTGGGGAAAGTCTCTTCTGAAGGCACGTGCACCTTTTGCTGATGGAGCTTGGCCCTGTCCTCTCTGAGATAGCTGAAATGTCTAAGTTACCCTTGGAGTTCAAATCTTTCTAATTCTTTATATAGTCTTAAGCCTCGGTTCTTCAGCCCTGAATGCTTCATCTACACCTCCCCACCAACTGTTTATGCTCTCCCTCATCTGAAACGGGGAAACAGAAAATATCCTCAGACAATTTTTTTGAAAATGTCAGCTATTCATAAGGATTTACAGGATGTTGTCAACTCACCGGTACTGCTTCTAGAAGGTGGTGGTAAAAGAGGGGCTAAGAGATTCTTCTGAATCCTCAGACTCTATCCCTTTTACCACCTCTTGATATTTAAGGTGTGTGGATAAGAACCTTCTTCTGCTTTGTCACAGTTTAATAGTCAGTAAATTTTCTATTCATTTTTATTATTTTCAGGTGTTTTTCATTTCATTAGATACTGACTATACAGACACACACACATGCAAATATACACAATTGAAATATTTCCACAGCTTCTTTAGATGAGTTGGTATTTGTATTAGTCTGTTTTCACACTGCTGATAAAGACATACCTGAGATTGGGCAATTTACAAAAGAAAGTGGTTTAATTGGACTCACAGTTCCACGTGGCTGGGGAGGCCTCACAATCATGGTGGAAGGCAAAGAGGAGCAAGTCACATCTTACGTGGATGGCAGCAAGCAAAGAACTCCTGTTTTTTTAAAACCATCAGATCTCGTGAGACTCATTTACTATCATGAGAACAGCATAGGAACGACCCACCCCCATAATTCAATCACCTCCCACCAACTTCCTGCAATGACATGTGGGAATTCAGGGAGTTATAATTCAAGATGAGATTTGGGTGCAGACACAGAGCCAAATCATATTGGTATTTTAATCTGTTCTCACACTGCTATGAAAAATACCTGAGACTGGGTAATTTATAGAGAAAAGAGGTTTAATTGACTCAGAGTTCCACATGGCTGGGGAGGCTTCAGGAAACTTATACAATCGTGGTGGAAGGCACCTGTTCACAGGGAAACAGGAGAGAGAATGAGTTTCAGCAGGGGAAATGCCAGACACTTATAAAACCATCAGATCTCGTGAGAACTCACTATCATGAGAACAGCATGAGGGATACTGCCCCCATGATTGAATTACCTCCCACTGGGTCCCTCACACCACACATGGGGATTATGGAAATTACAATTCAAGATGAGATTTGGGTGGGGATACAGCAAAGCCATATCATTCTATGCCTGTTCCCTCCCAAATATCATGTCCTCACATTTCAAAACACAATCATGCCTTCCCAATAGTCCCCCAAAGTCTTAACTCACTTTAGCATTAACTCAATAGTCCAAGTCCAAAGTCTCATCTGAGACAAGGCCAGTTCCTTCTGCCTATGAGCCTTTAAAATCAAAAGCAAGTTACTTACTTCCTAGATACAATATGGGTACAGAAATTGGGTCAATACACCCATTCCAAATGGGAGAAATTGGCCAAAACACAGGGGCTACAAGCCCCATGCAAGTCCGATATCCAACAGGGCAGTCATTAAACCTTAAAGTTCCAAAATGATCTCCTTGGACTCCATGTCTCACATCCAGGTCATGCTGATGCAAGAGGTGGGCTCCCATGGTCTCGGGATGCTCTGTCCCTGTGACTTTGCAGAATATAGTACCCCCATCCCAGGGGCTTTCACGGGCTGTCACTGAGTGTCTGTAGCTTCTTCAGGCACATAATGCAGGCTGTTACTTGGTCTACCATTCTGAAGTCTGGAGGATGGTGGCCCTCTTCTCACAGATCCACTAGGCAGTGCCCCAGTGGTGACTCTGTGTGTGGGCTCTGACCCCACATTTCCCTTCTGTGCTGCTTTAGCAGAAGTTCTCCATGAGGGCTCCTCCCTTGCAGCAAACTTCTGCCTAGACCTCCAGGCATTTGCATACATCCTCTGAAATCTAGGCAGAGGTTCCCAAACCTCATTTCTTGACTTCTGGGCATCCCCAGTCTCAACACCACGTGGAAGCTTCCAAGGCTTGGGGATTGCACCCTCTGAAGCCACAGCCTGAGCTGTACTTTGACCCTGTTTAGACATGGCTGGAATGGCTGGGACACAGGTCACAAACTTCCTAGGCTGCACAGAGCAGGAGGGCCCTGGGCCCTGCCCACAGAACCATTTTTCCCTTCTAGGTCTCTGCACATGTTATGGGAAGGGCTGCCAGGAAGGTCTCTGACATACTCTGAAGACATTTTCCCTATTGTCCTGGTTATTAACATTTATCTCCTCATTATTTATGAAAATTCCTGCAGAGGAGTTGAATTTCTCCCCAGAAAACGAAACGGGTTTTTCTTTACTACTGCATCATCTGGTTGCAAATTTTCCCAACTTTTATACTCTGTCACCTCTTCAATGCTTTGTTGCTTAGAAATTTATTCAACTAGATATCCTAAATCAGCTCTCTCAAGTTCAAAGTTCCACAGCTCTCTAGGGCAGGGGCAAAAAGCTGCCAATCTCTTTGCTAAAGCATAGCAAGAGTGACCTTTACTCCAGTTCCCAAGAAGTTCCTCATTTTCATCTGAGACCACCTCTGTCTGGACTTCATTGTCCATATCATTATCAGCATTTTGGTCAAAGCCATTCAATAAGTCTCCAGGAAGTTCCAAACTTTCCAACATTTTTCCTGTCTTCTTCTGAGCCCTCCAAACTGTTCCAGTCTCTGCCTATTACCCAGTTCTGAAGTCACTCCCACATTTTCAAGTATCTTTATAGCAGTACCGCACTCTCTGTGGTACCAATTTACTGTTTGAGTCCGTCTCACACTGCTATGAAGAAATACCCAAAACTGGGCAATTTGTAAAGAAAAGAGGTTTAATTGACTCATAGTTCCACATGACTGGGGAGGCCTCAGGAAACTTACAATCATGGTGGAAGGCACCTCTTCACAGGTTGGCAGGGGAGAGAATGAGTGCCAGCAGAGGAAATGCCAGATGCTTATAAAACTATCAGATCTCATGAGAGTTCACTCACTATCATGATAACAACATGAGGGAAACTGCTCCCATGATTCAGTTACCTTCCACTGGGTCCCTCTCATGACACATGGGGATTATGGGAATCATAATTCAAGATGAGATTTGGGTGGGGACACTGCCAGACCATATCAGGTGGCAAATAGAGAATGGATATCTTATTAACTCTTGGTATTTAATTCTCTTTTCTCCAAATAATTATAAATTCTAAATATAATTGGAAAAAATAGAAGGAAAAACAGATACATCAATATAATTAGCATTTTTTTTGTATTTAGCAATGCTTAGAATCTTTGTTTTTATCAAACAAAAAGATGGAATGATGACCGTAGCTACACTTTGGGAAAGTTCATAAAAGGGAGAAGAGAGCGCATTCCTTGGCATGAACTTAATTGCAGGCATAGCAAGGAAAAGAGGACATTCTTTTTAAGTGGGTTTCCTGAAGTACCTAACAAGCAGGAAGAACTCAACAAATATTTTCTGACTGTTTAAAAATCAGAACTTAAATTTTTGCCACTTCATAAATCCTGTAAGTCAAAATAGCCTAATTATAGTTTTCAAATCAATGAAAAATGTTTCAAATAGACTTGATTTCGTGTGGCTCAGAAGCCACTCCACCTAGTCACTATTATTGGAAATTTTCTGTGCCCCTGGGCATGCTTGCCACTTCCTATTTATCACAGAAACCAAATAATAAACCTGCTCCCTGAAGTTTATCAGAAAAGTGCCGGCTGTATTATTCAGGGGAGAGAAACAGAGAAGATGGTGATGGTGGTTATTAACAATAATTAATTATTTATACAGTGCTGACAGAGGGCTCACTGATGGAGAAGGTGCAGAATCCGAGATAGACTCCTCTCTGCCTGGAGTCAGAATTCTAAGTGAGATAAGCAATTCAGACATGAAATAAGTCTTGTCAAGCAGGAGGTTAAAGCTTCTAATTTCAGAATTTCTTTAGCATAAGTTTCACTTTTTAAAGTTATTAAGAGCTTATTCTATACTGCTAACAAGTGGCCTTCCAATATTACACAAGTTTAGGTATAATACAATATGTTCTCCTCTCAAAACAACTTAAAATATGAATGAATATCCTAAATTATAAAATTATTTTGACTAGAGGCTCAGAAATGGAGTTCAATTACTACCTTTCCTTTCTTACTTCATTTTTGTCTGAAATGACCGTGGATTTTTTAAAATGCAGTTTATTAGACCAAGGTAAATGCTGGCCTTAAACGGGCTGAAAATAATATTCTAGCATGTTTTTATTAGCAATTTCTGCCCAATGAGGTAGAGCAGGAAATTTAATAGAAGTCGTGGCCTCTAGGAGCCTTTGGAGACAACAGAACTTTCTGAGGAAAACTCAGGGACCAGGACATCTAGCTTTCTTAAAAAATTCTTTTTAGGTCTGAACTACTGCCCAGCTCAGTTACTCTGGAAAAAGCAAACAGCTCTCATCGACATTTTAGGATCTGGGGAGGAGGGGTGGAAAGCTCTAGCGGCACTAAGAAAGCAGCCAGCCATCAGCCCCAAGCCTGTTTCATTGCCTGCCACCATCCACGTAAGATGTGACTTGCTCCTCTTTGCCCTCCACCATGATTGTGAGGCCTCCCCAGCCACGTGGAACTGTGAATACAATTAAACCTCTTTCTTTTGTAAATTGCCCAATCTCAGGTATGTCTTTATCAGCAGCGTGATAATTGGAAATGTGCAGAGTCCTTTAAACACCTCCATCCACTTAGGGAAGCTCTGGTCCCCCAAACTGAAACAACGACCCTATTCTATGGTTGCTTTTTTCTCTCTTCTTGGTACAAATATATTCTTTAAAAATACTTAAATTGCCCTGGGGAATAAAGAATTGGAGATGAGAACAGTGATTTTCTGAAAATAACACTTTAGCAGATGTATCTTCAGGCAACAACAAAATTAATGACCAGTCATAACCCAAACCAGAGCATTCAGAATGGCAACTGACATCTTGCTACATTCTTCCAACTTGTCACGTTCTTTTTCTCTTGCTTGAAGGGGAGATAAAGCTCTTAATCATCGACAATGCTTAGACTAGTGATTGAAGAGAGTCATATTCAAGCTATTTCTTCCACAGTGGGTTGTGACTTTGGGGCTCAAATTTTTCCAAGCTGCTGATTTTTGGGTTATCCATGAGAAATAGCCATTCAAATAACATAATTCTAGAAACATAAAAACTGGACCTCAATTTCTTCCCCTCTGCTATGTGATTTACATGTCACTCTACCTCATCAGTTTCTTGTCACTTGGGAACTAAATTGATTAAATCTTGTTGAATTATCTGAGTGAACTATCACCAATATCAAAGCATCTCTTCCGTACAATTTTTCAAAGCTAAGCCTAGCTGTCTCCGTATTACATTTCAAGCCAACTACAGCATCAACTCTGTCCCATTAATTACAACAACTGCTCTTTTTCTTTGCCAACTCTTGCCCTAGCTATTGGGAAATTTACCAGCAACTAGAGATCTCTCTCTAAGGCTTCTTCTACATCATAAAAATTTTGTTCAGTTATACTGAGGTGGAATGTAGCTTACAACTCCATTTTTGACATGTTAGACTGTAGGTTTATTTTTATAAAAATAAGTGAACTGTGCATTCAATAGGACCATCTTCTTGATCTAAATAACTAAAATTAAACATAAAACCTCTGTTGTTTGTATACTTCTGCGGTGTACATATATGTTTGTATTTGTGTGTACACACGTGTATATATGCAGTGATGGTGATATAAATATGCATGTATATAAGCTGTTGTATTCACAAGCAACCATATATTCTTCCAAAATCATAGGGTTTCTATATCGATGGACTTCCTTGAAAAAACAGAAAATTTAATTTTATATACATATACACACACACACACACACACACACACACGTACATACACAGAAAGAGGAGAGAGTCTCACTCTGCCACCCAGGCTGGAGTGCAGTTGTGTAATCTCGGCCCACTGAAACCTCTGCCTCCCGGGATTCAAGCAATTTTTGTGCCTCAGCCTCCCTAGTAGCTGGGATTACAGGCATGCACCACCATGCCTGGCTAATTTTTTTATTTTTAGTAGAGACGGGGTTTCACTATGTTGGCCAGGCTGGTCTCAAACTCCTGGCCTCGAGTAATCCATCTGCCTCGGCCTCTCAAAGTGCTGGGATTACAGCATGAGCCGCTGCAATCAGCCAAAATATTTAATTATATTTAAGGGAAAAAAATAGTCAAGAACTTCAACTCCATTACAAGAAAATGTAACATGAGTTCCTCTTGAAGCAATCACATAATCAATTTAGAAAAATATTTTGATATTTAATAATTATAAAATATATATATTTTACCATATCATTGAATAGTTATTTTCTAATCCATGAAATTGTATATTTTTCTAAGATCAAATTTATCTACATTAATATACTAGTATAACCTTTAAACTAATTAAGGTGACAACTGATCAAGGGTGAAGAAGAGTACCTCTTGAATACCAAGAGACAATTTGATTATATGGTTCAAATTGTAAAGAGTCTTGTAACTTCATCAGATAAACAAGACTTTGGCTATAGCTTTGAAATAGTATCAGCTACATAAAATTGACCTTGAAAAAATTGTGTTTTCAAATGGTATGAAGATCTTCTATTGAATATTGTAATTTAGCAAGGACCACAAAGATTTTCCTAATCAAAGTGTAGATACATTTTATCAGTATTGTGCATAGGTTGTTTTCATTGTATATACTGCAATTATCGCAAATTTGGAACTGACTCTAAAATCCAGCCTTTAGGGAATTATTAATAATATGGGTATAGAACAATGCATAATATTTCCACCATTCCAGAAATTTCACTCTTTCCTCTTCCCATTTTCCTGATTCTCCAGCAGAATCACTGGTCTGATTTTTTTTTTACCACGACAGTGGTAGATTTGCGTTCAGCATAATGTCTGTGCACTTTTTACATAAATCATTATGTCTACATAAATCATAATTTTACATAAATCATAAGTGTCTATCCAAGTTTTTACACAAATCATTAATTCTTTTTATTGCTGAGAAGTATTCCATCATATGACTGTATCACAATGTGTTTATCCACTCACCTGTTCATGGATATTTGAGTTGGTTCCAGATTTTGGCTAATAAAATTGAAGATGTTACAAATATTCTTGTGAAGATCTTTGTGTAGATCTATGTATTTATTTTTCTAGTGTAATCAGTTTGGATTACTGGGGCATCGGGTAACTACAAGAAACTGTCAAACTGTTTCCCAAAGCAACTTATGAGAGTCCAGTTGCTTCATATCACCACCAACATTTGGTATTCTAGGTCTTTTTAATTTACCTATTCTAATACGTATCTCATTTTGTTTTTAGTTTGCATTTCACTGATAATAATAAATTTTCATGTGCCTATTAGTCATTTATATATCTTCTTTTATAAAGTGTCCACGCCTCTTAATCATTTTATGTTATCTTTTTAATACTGAGTTGTAAGTATTCTTCGTATATTCTAAATGTACATTTTTTTCTCAGATACACATATTGTTAATATTTCTGTATCCTTTGGCTTGCTTTTTCATTTGATGATCAAAATGTTTAACTTTATGAAACATAATTTGTCACTTTTTACTGTCCTGCTAAGAAATCTATTTCTATTCCAAGGTCATAAAGATTTATTTATTCGCTTTCTTCTAGAAAATTGAAATCTTAGCTTTTAAGTTTGGTTTGCAGAAATTGTCTTCCAACATTGTTGTGATTTTTAAGTATGTAAAGTGAGTAATAAGAAAGCTTTTCTTCTTTGAAATGCATGAAGTGAATAGCAGTAATTAAGAGTGTCTACGTGGAGGTTAGCAACATTAAAAGATAATTTCATATGCAAAAATGAAAGTACTGTAAAAATCTTTCTTTATAGACACCCACAATTATTATAAAGTGAACACTATTTTGATGCCCTTTTACTCTATTTTGTTTTGATGGAAGTTAGTGCATGATTCAAAGCCAGAAATCATGGATGTGTTCCTTAGTTTTGTTAAAAGCACCCCGTATGGCATTGCCCAAGACCTTTCATGTCCATTACCACAAGGATGGTTTGTTATTCTCTCAGTGATCAGGATTATAGAAGGAATTAATTAAGTTCAGTGTAGATGAATTTACTGACTCTCTAGCCATTCCCACAACCCTGCCCCAGCATAATCACTTAAAATGGCATAGCAGCACTTCCACATGCATTATATATAATTTGAGCCATAGAGCTATCCTATGAAATAAGTAGGGCTGATATTATCATCATTTTACAGATGAAAAAATATGATTCTTCTGAACAATACTAAGTTACTGAAGGCTCCAAGAGGTTGGTGCTATGAGTTAAAAAAAATTAGTAAATAACAAAAAAGAGACTTAAACCTCATCTGCCAACATCATCATGCTCTTTCCCAATATCAGGCAGCATAAGCTCATTTAAATTTATGTATTGGAAATTGATGTCTCCTTAGTCCACCATGGTGGAGGATACATTAACGCAGCTGATGTTTGAGTATTTACTATACATAGTGCTCTTTTATACAATATACAGGGAATATGAAGGAATGTAAGATATACCCATGTCCTTCATGATTTTTTTCAGACTTAACTATAATATCAGAAATATATAAGATGTACAAAAATGGTGAATTATATCAGAATTTTAGTAATTCAGACAAGAGGAAGTTTACTCCTGAATGACATAAGGCTATGTCATAGAGATAAGTGAGGGGATTTGTCCTTACATTGTTGAACGCTGCTTCAAAGACTCCCTTTATATTCCCATAAAAACTGAACAAAGTTTTTATGTTTGGATTGTTTGCTAAAAAGTTTTTAATCTAATTGAACACCACAATTTTAAACCTTTCTCAACTCCATAACATTACCACATGGCAGTTTGTAAACAGCTCTGGTTATTGGCTTTGCTATAATTACCATTAAAAATATGGTGGACAAGGAAATGAAAACAAAATAGAGTTTTTGAAAGGCTTTTCAAGACAGAAAGCATAACAGTGTATAGAGTCAAGGAAAGCTGTTTTATTTACTTACTATGTGACCTTTGGCAAGGAAGTCTTACCTCAATTTCTTCCTCTGTAAGATGGTAAAATTAATACCTACTCTTCATCATTAATATAAGAATTATTAATAATAGGTGAAAAGTAGCTATACATTATTTTTCACTAAATGGTAGCTATTATCACAAAATAGTTCTATTTAAAGTTGAAAATTCAGATTTCAGATAATTGATGAATAGATTCTTACAACAATTATTTGTTTTGCAGTGCTGCATGGAAATAATTTTGTTAGATATTGCTTGAAGATACAAAAAAATTGTTAGGTATTGTTTGAAGATACAAAATACTACTACCACTAATATTTCCCACTTCCATCACCATCCGAAGATGGAGAATGAGTTAGAAGAAAGGACAGACAGACAGAAATTACTGAACTGTAAGGTAATGAATGAAAGAGAGTAAAATATTACCAAGAAAGGACTGAAGGCAGAATCAGCTAACTATGTGTTTTGGAAATTGGGTGATAATCCTGTAAATCAGATCAGAACATGATACCAACAGATATTTGTAAACTGAGCATTATTTTGGCAAGACATGATTACCAAATTCCAAATTTTGCCTTTTACCTACCTCATTATGTAAGTTCCCAAATGGGAAAAAATCCACAGAGCATGAAGCAAAGTTAAGGAGCACTATACTGCTAGCTAAAGGTACAGCTTTAAAACCTAGTTTTTATTTGTTTTGAAAGCATAGCTTACTGTATAAGTCTTTGAAGACACTATTTTTTTCTATCATCGAGTTACTGAAATTCATTCGGGATTTCCCACATGTAGAAAAATAGATCAATCATTTTCTACTGTGTTTAATCATGTTGCTGTGTAATATTTCATTGTGTGAATGCAGTAATATATAATTATGATTCTTCTGTTTATGAGTATTTGGGTTGTTTCTAGTGTTTGTTATCGTGAATATAGATGCTAAGAACATTTTGTCTCCTTGGTTTCTCATGAAATGTATCTAGGATTGAAACCTCTAGGTAAAGTATTAAAATTGTAGTGAATGCAGAGGTTCAACTTTTAAAATTAAATTTGAATTGCTTTCCAAATTTATTATATATTTTTTTTTTTGAGACAGTTTCCCTCTGGAGTGCAGTGGTGCAATCTTGGCTCTCTGCAACCTTTGCCTCATGGGTTCAAGCGATTCTCCTGCCTCAGCCTCCCAAGTAGCTGGGACTACAGGCACTTGCCACCACAACTGGCTAATTTTTGTATTTTTAGTAGAGATGGGGTTTCACCATGATGGCCAGACTGGTCTTGAACTCCTGACCTCAAGTGATCTGCCCACCTTGGCCTCCCAAAGTGCTGGGATTACAGGCGTGATTCACCGCACCCAGTCTATACTAATTTATACCTACCAGTAATGCAAAAAATAAAAAGGTCTTCATTGATGTTCAACTTCTCCAACACTTGATAATTTCTTAATTTTAAACTTTCTTAATTTCTGGTAATTGAAAGAGTTGTTAAATGCCATCTCACTATGATTTTTATTTTTACTTCACTGATGAGTAGTGAGACTAACACTCTTTTAGTATATTTATTGGTTATTTTTTCTTCTTTGGTGAAAATCCTTTTCATAACTTACATATTTTTCTGTTTTATTGTGTACCTTTTTCTTGTCGATTTGTTAGAGGTTTATATATATATATATATTATTGATGCCAATCCTTTGGTGATTGTACATGTTGTAAAGGTCTATTCCCAAGTTGCGGCTTCTCTTTTTCCTTCACTTAAAGTGTTGCCTGTTTAAATACATTTCTTGATTTTATTATGGTTAAATTTATCAATCTTTTTTCTTCTATGGCTAGAGATTTTTATGCCTTATTTAAGAAAGCACCCCCTATCTATAGGTTATGAGGACATTTTATTGTTTTTATTCTAAAAGCATTGAAGTGTTGTATTGATACTCAAATTTATAATGTATCTTGTGTTTAGATTTTGATTGATCCGAGACAATGATCCAAATTCATTTTTTCCATTTGAATGACCAATTTTTCCAGCTCCATTTATTGAACTTCTCCTCCTTTCCCAAGTAATTTTATGCTATTTCTGTCATATATCAGAATTTCATTTATATGTAGTTCTGTTTCTTAAAAACTGGCCGGTTTCTTAACCGTTTCACTAATTCCATACTATCTTAACTACTATAGTATTATAAGAACTCATCATATCCATCAGGAGAAGTCTGTAATCTTTCTTCTTCTTCTCACCAAATATTCAGACTACTTTTGGTCCTTTACTCTTTAGACTATATTTTTAAATCAATTAATTGAGCTTCTCAACTTTCTCAATTTGATTAGGATTCTTTTTGTTGTTGTTTCTTTGTAAGTTGTAACCTACTTTGGAAATGATAAAATTATTTATGCATTTTCTTTCTATAGCATTTGTGACATTGCTTGCTGACAGTTACTGTTTATTAAGTATTCATGGCTTGTGGAGCAGTGAGCAATAGAAAGAATATTTAGGTCCACCTAAGGGCATAAGACAGTAATGATTTCTCGTTCAAAAGGGATATTTTGTTAAAACTGGTGCTGATCTTTTCTATTTATTTTTCTATAAGTTATTGGGGTACAGTAGTGTTTGGCTACATGAGTAAGTTCTTTAGAGATGATTTGTGAGATTTTGGTGCACCCATCACCTGAGCAATATACACTGCACCCTATTTGTAGTCTTTTATCCCACGTCCCCCTCCCATGCTTCCTCCCAAGTCTCCAAAGTCCATGGTATGATTCTAATGCCTTTGTGTCTTCATAGCTTAGCTCCCCCATATCAGTGAGAACATACAATGTTTGGTTTTCCATTCCTGAGTTACTTCACTTAGAATAATAGTCTCCAATCTCATCCAGGTTGCTGCAAATGCCATTAATTCATTCATTTTTATGGCTGAATAGTATTTAATTGTGTGTGGGTGTATATATATACATACATATATATATAGTTTCTTTATCCACTCGTTGATTGATGGGCATTTGGGTTGGTTCCATGATCTTGCAATTGCAAATTGTGCTGCTATAAACACATGTGTGCAAGTATCATTTTTGTATAATGACTACTTTTCCTCTGGGTAGATACCAAGTAGTGGGATTGCTGGATCAAATGGTAGTTCTACTTTTAGTTCTTTAAGGAATCTCCACACTGTTTTCCACAGTGGCTGTACTAGTTGACATTTACCAGCAGTGTAGAAGTGTTCCCCTATCACTGCATCCATGCCAACATCTACAGTTTTTTGATTGTTTGTTTGATTATGGCCATTCTTGCAGGAGTAAGGTGATATCACATTGTGGTTTTGATTTGCATTTCCCTGATCAATTTTATTAGGATTCTTATTGGAGTTATACCAAATATCTAAATTATTTAGAGAGAATGATGTTTAGGGGATATTGATCATTGATATTAAGCCTACCTATTCCATGATGAGGAATCATAACTTACTTAGAAGTAATTTAATATTTTTCAAAAACTTGCATGTATGTTGCACACACATGTTTATTGTGGCACTATTCACAATAGCAAAGACTTGGAACCAACCCAAATGTCCATCAATGATAGACTGGATTAAGAAACATGGCAAATATACATCATGGAATACTATGCAGCCATAAAAAAGGACGAGTTCATGTCCCTTGCAGGGACATGGATGAAGCTGGAAACCATCATTCTAAGCAAACTATCACAGGACAGAAAACCAAACACCTCATGTTCTCACTCATAGGTGGGAGTTGAACAATGGGAACACATGGACACAGGGCGGGGAACATCACACACTGGGGCCTGTCAGGGGGTGCGGGGTGGGGCTGGTGGAGGGATAACATTAGGAAAAATACCTAATGTAAATGACGAGTTGATGGGTGCAGCAAACCAACATGGCACATGCATAACTATGTAACAAACCTGCACATTGTGCACATGTAGCCTAGAACTTAACGTATAAAAAAAAAATTGCATGAATGCATTGTTTGTTAGATTTACTACTAGGCACCTGTATTAGTTTTCTAGGTCTGCCATAGCAAAGTACCAGAGAACAGGTGGCTTAAACAACAAAAATTTATTTCCTCTGAGATCAAGGTGTCAGCCAAGCCGGTTTCATTCCGAGGCCTCACTCCTCGGCTTGTGACAGTCATCTTCTCCCTTTGTCTTCACATAGTCTTTCCTCTTTGCATCTCTGTGTCTTAATCTTCTTCTCTTATAAAAACACCAGTCATGTTGAATTAAGGCTCATCCATATGACCTCATTTAACCTTAATTACCTCTTTAAAGACTATCTCCAAATGCAGTCACATTCTGAGGTACAGGGTATAGAACTTCATGGGGGTAGAATTTGGGGAAACACATAGTTCAGCCAGTTAACAGCACATAATATTCTTTACTATTTGTTATTTAAAATTGTTTTTTAAATTATTTTTTAATTGCTGTTCATTGATCTTATATCCAGCCATATAGTTCTACTCTTGTATTTTTCTAAAAATCTCATTTTGTTTGATTTCTTTTCCAATCCTTCCCTGCTTGTTTTTTATTGGGCTGCCTACAAACTCAATGCAAGACTGAATAAGTGGTAATTCTGTACATCTTCGTTTTCTACCTGACTTTTTAAAAGAATGCTTTCATCTCCTCTCCAGTTAGCATGGTATTTTTTTTTACAGATTCTTTAGAGTTGCCCTTTATTGAGTTAAAGAAGTTTCTATACTAATTTCCTAAGAGGTCTTATTATGAGTTGACGTTGATTGAGTTTTATAAGAAGAAACATTAAGAGACATTTTATGCCCATTGTTAACATGCTGTCGATTTACGTTTTTTTTTTTAATCTAAATCTCCAGACTAACTGGCTAACTCAGTTAGCTAGATTAACTGGCTGCAAAAAAGATATTGTTAGCCTTCACATGTGTACAACTTATTCATCTGAAAAGAAAAATATTTAAGGGATAGGCATGTGTTCATGCTTTCCCTATGAAAATAGCACCCTTGTATGCTAAAGAATACAAACTAAGCTATCTCACTCTTCAAGTGAGATATTATCATTCCGCTAGGCAGTGTGGTATAGTGCTTTGAGAATGTGGGCTCTGCAATCTGAAAATCCCTATTTACTACTTACTAGGTGTGGATCTTAGCGAATTTATTTCATTTTTCTATGCATCAATTTCCTCATATGAACAATGCCAATTATAATAATAAAGTATGTTCCCTATAGAATTGTTTTAGAATGGATCCACATCCTTACATTGCTTAGAAAAACTCCTGATACATAAATGATCAATACATGTTGACCATCATTGTTTTGTTGTATGATATGCAGGAATAAGTCCAAATCAGAAGTACAACCCCTTGCACAGGTATCCATTTGCACTTACCTCCACCAAAAATGTCCTTGTGTTCTTGCTAAAATTGAAATGATGACCCATCAAATGTTCATTTCTCTAAGGGCTGGGCACAGTGCTAGTGAAGCTAAGCTTATATTAGCAGAACTGTAAAGAGGCAAACTGTTCCAGGATCATGAATGCCACCTCCAGACACTCATCTTTCTAATAACTGTCAGCTGTCAAGAAGGTAGAAAGAGAGCGGTGTTTTTAACCCATTTTCATTATTAAAAATACTGTATGGCACATGTTGATAGTGATGTCTCTACACTAGACATCAACATATTGTCATAGCAAAACTGATGTTTTGAGGGGTTACTGAGTGTGGATCAAGGCCTGTCAGAAGATAGTTGGGATGTTTTTCCAGGCACAATTTCTTAGCTGATAATAAAGTCTCTAAGAGAACTTATTGACTGTCAGTTCATAAAGAAATCAGTGCAAGGTGAATCGTTTTTTTTTTTTTAAAGAAAATGGGATGTTTTTTCTCTTGTATTGGTTGTAAGTGCATTGTAAAACCCACAGAAGAAGAGTGAAAATGTTCGTTTCCCAGAGTGTGACTTATTTCTGGCATTGAGCCTATGGACCTGCAATAATGTATGATTGAACCAGTGCCTTTAATGTGTGAACCTGAGGCATCGCAAGACATAACACATACTCCAGACAAATGCCCTCAGAGACAGGCATGTCATTTGGAAGATTTTCCCCATGAATAACATTGCTGACACATGGCCTAACAAAGACTGTCAGATGTTTTCATTTTCAAGTGAAACAGAAAACCATCTGGTACCCAGAGCAAATAGTCTCAGATCACTACAAAGAGAAACCCAGCATTCTACTCCAGCTGAAACTTAGGCAAATTCAAATTTTAAAAAGGATAAAAAGTTGATCAGCAGAGTACTTTTCTTCTCTTTTTTTATATTTTTGAGACAGAGTTGCGCTCTTGTTGCCCAGGCTGGAGTGCAATGGCGCGATCTCGGCTCACTGCAACCTCTGCTTCCTGGGTTTAAGCAATTCTCCTGCTTCAGCCTCCCGAGTAGCTGAGATTACAGGCATGCGCCACCATGCCCAGCTAATTTTGTATTTTTAGTAGAGACAGGTTTTCACCATGTTGGTCAGGCTACTTTTGAACTCCTGACCTCGAGTGATCTGCCCACCTCGGCCTCCCAAAGTGCTGGGATTACAGGCATGACTCACTGCGCCAGGCCAGTGGAGTACTTTTCTACCCAAGTTATCAGACATAATTTTGATAGAGAGAAATGTTCTCTCAGACATGAAACGATCTATCGATTGCTATTGAGATAACTTAAGACAGGCAACCACTTCCAGTAGTCTATTGAGCAAGTAACACAGAAACCTGCCTTCAACTGGAGGCAGGTAGTTAAAGTGAACAAGGAGACTTAATGCTTTTGTTTATCAAGAACTCTGGACCAGGTACAGAGTTAACTGTTAGAGGCAAAAATATCATGTTCTTTCAACTCAAAGATCTTACAATACAGTAGGGGAAATACACTAAAAAGATCATTAAAATCAATGCTGAAAGAGATGGAAAAGCTCTACACAGAGGAGAATAAAGGAAAGCAGCACCTCACCAAGGCCAACTGTCCAAAGATGATGTCTAGGACTGGAAATAAAGATTCACCTCACATGACTACTAAACAGTTAGTAAATTTTCATAATAGTACCTCCTAAGAAGCCATACTGCTTTTCAGATTCCTTTTTCTCATAATAATTTTTTTCATCCAAAAACACACTAAATAAATATGCTCCAAGAAATAATAGTTTGAAATTATAATTTCAGGCAAAGATACACATGTTTACTCAAGATACAAGTCTGTAGTCAGAGATTATCATTTGGAACAAATATGAATTGTGTGCCATATTTAGAGGAACTCAAAACATTTTTCTCTGGGTGTGTAAAGAGAGTGGGATGAAACGTTTGAATTTTCAATGGCTCTTCATAGAAAATGTGCACATTCGCTTTTTCCATAGCCTTCAAAGCACTCTTGTGTTTAGCATTTATTTTCCCTAAATGTGATTGTCCTGTGCTACACTGTTTTTAAGTATAGTTAAATTCAAGATACACATGACCCTCATTAAGTTTGAAGAATTAATAAGGAAACAGTAAGACTTTTTCCCTCAAACCCTTTCATCCCCAACACTCACCACCTTTTGTCTTCATCATTTAGTACATACAGTAAATGTTCAGTGCATTTCATTTTATAAACCACCTGCATTCCTTTACGTGCAAACTTACGTTTTGTTTATATGAACTTGACTTTATTGTTATATTGCAAAATGTTTTAGCCTGTAAAAACTACTAGAATATTTTGTATTGGGATACAATGGATTGTAATCTTTCCAACTCACAAAAAACGACTTTGTTAAAAATTTCACAACTTTTCACATATTAGCATTGTTTTCAGGACAAAATAGCCAAGTCGTTAAGTAAAAAATAAGTGTACATGCCTTAGTTAAGTCTTAGACCTTTCTGTGGAGTAAGTCAGGCAAATAGAGGATTTAGATGTATACAGAGAAGGAACAAGGAGAAAAGTTAAGGGAGTGGGGTCAGATAAATATGGATTAAAATACGAATGTTTTTAAAACACAGAGAAAGTTTTGATCATTATTCCTAAGAATATAATTTCACTCTTCCAAGTACTGAATATTATTGAAAATCAACTTTCTAAAGTTCATTTTAAAAAGCAATATGGTAAGTGACGGCATTGCAAAGATAAAATATGTACCCAGATAGAATAAAAGGGAGAAAGACGAGAACTGACCTAAGGTCCTAATGTTACAAAAATGGGTAATCTTGCACAGGGAAACATTTCCAGGGACAGAATCATAACATAGATTTTACTTTTAGGCTGATATAACAAAGAGCTTAGTTGGAAGTGAAGACAATTTGCTATAGAAAAACATAGGTTGACTCAAAAAGTTGCTCTAGAAATAAAATCACTGGTGTTGAACACGTATATGAATAGTTTGAATAAAATTATTTGAAAAAAATGTGAGTGTAAAATACTACTGTAGGTATTTAGCCACATACTGTTCTATACTATTTGTAGTTTATTTTGATTTGATTTAATTCACTATTCATGAGTTTCTCTTTCCATTTGAGACTCTAAGCTCCTCCAGAATAGGTATATATTATACTGTCAAGATAAACGCTTTACCTAACACACAGTTGTAGCACATTAAAGCAATTAACATTGGTTGAATTAAATTGCACTTGCATATAAAAAAGTCATGAACTCAAAGCAGACAAAACAGAGTGGACTTCGTGACCTCCTTTTTGCCATTCATCATGTGTGAAGTCATAACTGACATCCCATCCACAGGGTCTGACTTCCACTTAGGTTCCTGTTTGTCAGATGGTTGGCAGGGCAGATGAGAGCAGAGCTGACTGTCTCATATTGGATTTCAACCTTTGACCTTGGCCTCTTTAACACAATGGTGACCAATTGCACTCACCCAGCCATATGCCCATCCTTACACTTGACAGGAGAAACAGCACCATAAAATGGCTTTGTTTCTGTGCAATCACAATTAATAAACCATTCCTTCCAATGGTAAAGAATTTTCCTATCTGATTTTTCACACTTCTAGCAAACAGAAAGCTAATTACTAGTTGCAAATAATAAGAATAATGACTAAGGTTACAATGCAGAGATGGTGTTTCTAAATGCTGATAAAAAATCACCATCCTCATGCCTTATCCAAATTCATTTTTTGCCATCTTTGGAAAAAATTAAAGATACTATGAACCTACTCAAAAGTTAAATCATTGCTACACTTTCATTTAAACTTTGCTTCAAAGTGATGAAAGGAGCAAAAGGCTATTAGTGGCAAGAAAAAACTGATATTTTTATTTAACATATTCACATACTCAGATACTCATCTTTCTTTCTCACCAACTAAAATAACTTTTCTGGTTATGCCTTTCAAGTGAAAAAGAATTTGGAGATAACATTAGCACTCAGCTCAATGAACTAGGCTTCTTGGAATCCAATGCTGGAAGGAATCTAAAAGATTAACCAGCCCAACCTCTCACCTCACGGAAGACTACTGAGATTCAGGGTCGCAGAAATACTAAGTGGAAGAGGCACTTCCAAAAATATCTAGCATTAGTCGTATCGTAAAAAGATAATAAATAATTTAAATGTGACTCTATCTTTGGGGTTGAGGTAGATAATTAAGACAAGAATTTCTTAGCTACTTATATTTCTAAATCTCAATTATTTTATTTCATTTGTCCTTCTTGACTCTAAATATGCATTGATTATCTACTATGTGCTTGGTTCCTGGATAAACACCCAGATAATTACAATAGAGAAGATATTTTGAGACAGAACTTATGGTTTTATTTAGGCACATTGAAAGCAAACTCAAAGTATAAAAGTACTCTATATAAGACAGGAATCCCTGAAACCCAACTTCTCTTGGAGTCAGACTTCTTCTCTGAGACTCTAGAGAGTGAAACTCACTCCAAGGGGTAAGAGGCGAATTATGATCATGGATAGGGTTGAGTCAGGATTTCTGTTGCCCACATTACCTTTGTAATAACACAATGTTTTCTCGACATTATAAAATAGATCATATATGAAGGTCAGGTTTCTGAATACAAAAATAAACAAAGCTATATTCTATCTCTTCCCTAAAATTAACTTTTACTGTTAAGATTATTGAAATAGTTTCTTAAGGGTATCTACCCATCAAAAACTATGAAGAGTTTGAGATTTTACAATACTTTGCAGGTATCAAGTTAGCCTGCCATGGTTTCATGAGTTACAGCAGGAGACACATGATTGTTGTGTGAGAGATAAAGTACTTTATTACAGCATAGCAAGCAATATATTTGTGTCAGTTTTTCTTACCCCCAAATTCCACAGAGGCACTGAAGACGGGCCCAGGTGAATGCCTGCATATACAGTGAGCTGCCTTACAGAAGAGGAACCTCTAAGCTTTAGGGAAATGGAATATTTCATAATAGACAGTAGGCTCACCTGTTTTTGCTCTAGAGAAAGACACTCTCTGTGCTCCAAGGTTTTTAACCTTAAAAAAATCCATAAAAAAGATAGCTCAAAACAAAGGTAGTCAGTGTCTGCTTGCAATACATGCATAAATGCAAGAGACAATAAGGAATTACTTCACAACGTTCTCTATCTCCAGTCTCTGCTTTCTCTAATCCATCCCATATAATACTTCTAGCTCCATCTTCCTTAAGCATAATTGTAACCTTTTCAATTACTTCTTTAATTTCTGTCAATGTATTCCCCATTCCATGAAAGATAAAATCAAACTTCCTTGCCTCACATAGGTCCTGTACAACTTGGCCTAGCCTTTCCACGCAGACTTGCCACTCACTGTTCCCCCTTAGCTCCAGGGTCATGAGAGAGTCACTTTTTCCCAAACATTAGCAGCCTGACCAGGCTCCCTGCCTCATTCCCTTCAAGCTCTCTCCTTGGTCTGAAAGTCCATTCCCCTCATCTGTGTCTGTTGAAATCCTGGTTGTTCTTTATACTCACGCCTGCTCCACGAGGCTTTTCCTAAGATAGGTAGCATGACTGTCTTCTCTCCTGTTCCCATGCTGCTAACCTCTTGCATCTTTATTTTCAATCTTACTTCAGTGGGGTGTGAATTATTCTTTCTTGTGTGTGTCATTTCCCTTGCCAAAGTGCAATATCTCTAGAGGGCAGAACTGTTCTTTTATTTTCTTATCCTTGAGGACATGAAACATGGTGTCTGGCATACAGTAAACCCTCTTATATCCTATTAATTGGACTAAATTTTGTGTCAATGTTTCCCAAAAATCCAAAAAGTGTAGATGACAGAGCTACGTAGCTTTCTCTCTACCCTGCATCTTCTGACAGGAAGGAGCCTCTGCATAACCATCTCCCATGCACCTCAGTTGTGCTATTTTAGTTATTTGTTGCTCTTTACTGCTTTGCCTTTCTTCTTTTCTTCATACCCTTTTCTCCTATAACCCCCTGAAACTCATCAGGACTATTATCAGAACAGTAGCGATACTATTTTCTTTGCCCCTAATTTAAGCCCCCTTTCAATAAATACGTAAGTGCCAGCCTGGCCCATTCCCCAAACTTCTGTGCTTCATGGTTGATTTTGATGTGTTTCTAGACTTCTATCAGCGAGCAGGTCAGGAGAGGAGAGATGCTGCTCTTGCCTCAACCCTGTAGTTATGCGCTCAAGCAGAGGTTTACAGGATCTGCAGTGACTTTTGGTCAGCTCCTGCAAGTTCTTGCTAAGCAGCATATATTCCTATGTAACAGGTACCTAAGAGCTGAGAGTGGGCAGCCTGCCTGACCTTGGACTCTCTACCTGGTCTGCCTTCCAGGTGTCTCCACTGGGAGCACTGTAGGGAAGCTCAGCTTTTAGAGGGCATGGACACTCATGGCTGCCATATCCTCTCTCATCTGTCCTTGAGGAGGATGTCATCCCAAGGGCTATGTACTCACACATGGTTTCATCATTTTACTCATAATCAGCATTCTCCTAAGCACATTTTTATCATTATTCTTTCTTTTTAATCAGTTAATTTTCTTTTAGCTGAATCTAATTGCAGATTTTGTGTATGAATCCAAAGAGAACCTGCCTCTACAAGTGCCTGTCAACAGCTATTGACATGCATAGGGTGAGAAGATCATTCTGAGAATATAAATTAAACTTATATCAGTGACTGAGGTTCAGAAATATCCTGTATAAATCCAGGCACCAGTCTGAATAGTGTAACCTGGAAAGTGTGATGCTGGGGTCAAATCCAAAGAGAAAACACAGCAACCCAGCCACAAGCCCTAAGGTTTGGCAAGAAGTTGTACCCAGTCCTGCCCCGGCACAACATGTACTCCCTGGGGAGAGAGGGAAAAATGATATGTTAGTCATTTTTTTCTTATTTATGTTAACATACTTTTGGGTTTTCAAATGAAAACAGGAGATAACAGGAACAGATAAGTAGCCTATAGCTCGGCCAGAAGGAACTAGAAGCCTATAGCATTGAGTAAACCCTATTCAAGCTTCCTTGTAGCCTGAAACAGAAGCCCTGCTAACCCCCCATGAATCATGCTCTACTAATTAGAGTCAGGTCAAAGACTGGCAGCTTATTTTATTCATTCAAGTAACTCAGGAGATCCCCAGAGCAAATTACCCCAGCAGAAACTTAATAAGGTCAGTTTCAAAGAAGAGCTTAGGGGAGTTGCTGGCACAAAGTTCTTGTCTGCATTTCCAGGACAATTCAGTGCTTCTGTGAGCATATTTGTGCACCAGAATCCATGGTCTCTGCTATGCACAATGCCCTAATTGTGGCGACTTCTGAGCAGGGTGTGTTACCTGGGGAAATGCATCTGGGTCCCCTCTGATTCTTAGCCAGGTCATGTTAAATCTTTTAAAAAGATATTTTGAAAGAAGAGATCATAGAGGAACAATACACAAATAACCAAAGTTGTTTTATGCTAACCTACTTCCAGGATAAACTTAAATAAATTGATTCAGGTACCTTCAAAGCAAAAACCTAAAAGGATAGTAACTCACATGTAGGTCTTCCCAGATTTACTCCCTCATGCAAATTAAAGCAATGATTAGGATTAGTATAATTCCCTCCCCCAAAATAATTGTTTAATGTTGTTTCCAACAATAATAATTGTTGTTGAGAAAACAACAAAAAAGGCTAGTTTTTTCCAGTTATGCTTCCCCTCTTCTTAAAAACCTGTCGGTAAATCCTGAGATAATCATAATGTTACAGAATAGAGAGCCCCTAATATCAGAAAATCCACTTCACCTCCTAACCTTCCTTGAAGATTCCTGTAATTAGCAGATATATGTGTTCAGAAATATTTTATTAATTTATTGATGAAAGAAACAGAATGTTATTATGGGCAAAATTGAATCCCTCTAGAGAAAAATAACATAGATGTATAAATTCTCTATATCTACACCCAAATTTCACCAGATCACAAACACATGCTTACAGCTATCCTTATAGCTCAATGCCAAAGAAAAATAATTACAGAATAAATATTCCAAGGAAGGAGAATAAAAGAGTTATTGCTCCATCCAAAGGCTATTTACTCTTCTCTTTTTATCACTGCATTTTCATAAGAGCTTGACTGAGTTTATGTCCTTGGACAGAACTCAACTGCATCGGGCCTTTTCCACCTCGTATAGTTAGAATATGGCAATTGAAAGAAATCTAGGCAACATCTCTCAAAGGGCACACATTCTTCATCTTAGCTTAGATAATATCCAAGTCTTTCCTTCTCAAGCTAAGAATCTGTTATTTTATATGGTATTACCCTTGCTTCAAAGTGCCCTCATTCCAAATCCTCTTCACCGCATACTTCTAGGTTGATTCTTATCTATACTCACTGTCACTTTTACTAACCATAAAACATCATCACCATTTATGTCTGTCTGACTTCTCTCCTTCCCAGAGAAACTATGGTAGAACACTGGGCAGCCTTGTAAGGGTGTTGAGGGAAAAAAACCTTTTATTTTTCATAGAAACTATTGACAAGATGAAGCAAAAGCCTTATGATCAGCCCAGACGGTAGTCACTGACACTCAGGGAAGAAAAAGAGATGTACCCCAAAACAGATCAAGAAATGTAGCAGCAGGAAGTAGTAAATGAGTTAGCCTGCATGCGACCAAAGGTTTTTCTGTTGACAAGAAAGGAACAGTCCTCTATGTGTAGAGAGTTTGTGTGTGCACACATGTGCATGTGCATGTATGTTCATGAACAGGGGTCTGTAAAGTGGAGAAGAGAAATCAGATTAATGGTCAAAATATTAATAACACGATGCCTGTCCCTTACCCAGTTCCATGGACTGTGCGTGGGGCTCATGAATGATAACCTGATTCCACATTGTTTTAGGTCCAATTTCATTGGCCCAGAGCTCATAACAGGGATTCAGGTGAATATAACTTTTTTACTGATAAATAAAATTCTATGTACAATATTCATTATGTACAACAGGATGTTTTGAAGTACATATACATTATGAAACAGTTAAATCTAGCTAATTAACATAAACATTAGGTAACATATTTATCATTTTTCTGGTAAGAATACACATTCACTCTCAGCATTTTTCAACAATACAACATATTATCATCAACTTATTCACCATACTGTACAATAGATCTCTTGAACTTATTTCTACTATATAACTGTAATTTTATATTATTTGACCAACATCTTCCCCCAACTACCCCAGCCTCTGGTAACCACCATTTTCCTTTCTCTTTCTACGAGATCAACTTTTTTAGATTCTACATATGAGTGAGATCATATGCTATTTGTCTTTCCATTCCCGTTTTATTTCATTTAACGTAATGTCTTCCAGGTTCATCCATGTTATCCCAAATGACAGAATTTTCTTCTTTTTTTATGGCTGAATAAGATTCACACACACACACACACATATCTATATCACAATTCCTTTATCCATTCATCTATTGATGGGCACTTAAGTCATTTCCATATCTTGGCATTATGAATAACACTGCAATGAACATGGGAGTACAAATATTCTTTGACATACTGATTTTATATCCTTTAGATATGTACCCAGAAGTAGAATTTCTAGATCATATGTGGTCTAGAGTTTCTAGATCTAGATCATATGTGATCATAATTCTATTTTTAATTTTTTGAGAAACCTCCATACTGTTTCTCATAATGACTGTACTAATCTACAGTCCCACCAACATGACGGGTGCATAAGTTTTAGTGAGAGTATGCTCTACAGTAAAACCTGTATGGTGTTGGTAACTTCCCTGGCATTTCTAGGTAAAGTGGCAATCCTCTTGAAAAGATTACAAGTGTAAGCTATTAATCACAGCATTTAGATAAGCTGAGAGAGGGGGATACTACAGGGAAGGGATCTGCATGGGCAACAAAGAGAATCTATTACGTTTAACAAAACTACCTGATGAACTTTTGAAATGCACATACTGGAGTTCTACCTGGAAGATTACGTCAATAGGTCTGAAGTATGACCTGGGCATCTAAATCTTCTTAAAGCTCCATATAAAAGTTTTGAAGAGGTGAAGACAGAGAACCTGTACCTTTAAGAAGTAGGAGTTAGAGCCAGAAACTGAAGGACTACTTTCAGGAAATGTTTATTGAGACTGGGCATAAGCATTGCTGTCTTTGAGCATAAAAAACAAAATCTAGCTCAAAATGAGGAAAGGTGATGTATTAGTCCATTTTCACTCTACTGTAAAGAAATATCAGTACTGGGTAAATTATAAAGGCAAGAGGTTTAATTGACTCACAGTTCTGCATGGCTGGGGGGACCACAGGAAACTTACAATCATGGCAGAAGGGGAGGCAAACACATCCTTCTTCACAAGGCAGCAGGAGAGAGAAGTGCAGAGTGAAGGGGGAAGAGCCCCTTATGAAACCATCAGATCTCATGGGAACTCACTCACTATCGTAAGAACAGCATGGGGGAACTGCCCTCATGATTCAATCACCTCCCACGAGGTCCATCCTCTAACACATGGGGATTACAATTCAGATTACAATTCAAGATGAGATTTGGGTGGGGACACAAAGCCAGACTACATCAGTCACATTCTGCTCTTTTATCTGCAAGAACAAGTGGTAGCAGGATCTGAGAACACTGCAAAACGGAGCTAAGAAGCAGCATTCACTTAGGAGGTGCCAACATTAGCAGCAGAGTCAAGACTCCTCCCCAGTGATGGTGGTGGGGCTTCCTAGAAGATGCTCAAAGGGAGAAAATATACATGGGCTTATTCCTGTAAACCAATAAGACAACCCCAAGGCCTTCCACAAAAAAACTAATAAATATTAAAATCATGCAAGAAGGGGCTATGAAACATCATAATTTGAAAAGTAATGTTATTGTGACTCCATTTTGATGTATAGGCTGATAAAGCTTGAGCCATTTTGGGTTGCATAATATTTAGGAGGGCAAAAACAAATGAAAAGATCCCTGAAGTCTCTAGGCCTAAGAAAATGGTTGTATACATTAGGACAAGTTCATACAATGAAACACTATGCAACCATCAAAAGTCATGTCGTACAAACATAGTAACTATAGTTAATAACGATGTGTTGCATATTGAAAATTGCTGAGACAGATGGTTAAGTGTTTTCACTCCCACAAAAATATAATTATGTAAGATAATGTACATGTTAATTAGCTTGGTTTAGCCATTCCACAATGTATACATTTATCAAAACATCATATTGTACACTATAAATATAAATGATTTTTATTTGTAAACTTAAAAAGAAAACGTGCTAGGCACTTAAAAATAATATTGTACAATACATGCAATAATATTTATTTATATGAGGAGATGTTCCTTATAGACTGTTTAAATGAAAAACAAAACAAAATTCTATGTAACATATGTCAAGTTGTGAATATTTATCATCTCTGGAATTATGAATAAATTTTCTCTTTGTTAGGTTTTCTGCATTTAATATCTATTCTTTCAACAATTTAAAAACTATAATTAAAAATAAACAAAATACAGTAAAATAGAGCCTATAAATTTTCCCATTGTAAGAAATTTGTCATCTATACTGAATCTCAACTAGGATGAATACAGTCTGCCTTGATAATGTCACTAAAATTTAGCTGTTGTAGATGTATGCAACCCTTCACTGCAAAATAAAAGTAGCTGCTTGGTCCCTGAACACCTTAGTAAGCAGTCAAGGTCACAACTCATCTTTTCAGGGATTTTTGCATGGCACAAGACAGATGGGGAACTTCTTTGAATGCAACTGAGAAGGAAGAATTATCACTAACTACTTAGAAAAGATGTGAAGTTTAGAAAGTGAGTGAATTCCAACTAACAGCCTTAGCCCTCCCATTCTCTTTCTTTTACCTAACTCTTTGGGCAGGTAATTTTGATAGAAACAAATAAAAATTGACCTATATGATCTCAATTCTTTTAAGTTGCATAGAACAGAAGATACTGACATATTACTTCCCCAAAATAAAGAGAAGATAGTAAGTTTCCAGAAAAGAAAAAACAAAGCAACTAATAAAGATTAGAAGTAAAAATAGCACTTGATTTCTCATCGCAAACATTGGCAGTGCTAGAAGACAATTAAACAAACTTTCCCTTTAAAGTGCTGTGAAAGAATTATAGAGCCATAGGACAATTGATCAAATATGAGGGTAGAATAAAGCTATTTTAAAATGTGTACAATTTCAAAAAAATTACCTCCCATGCACGATTTCTCAGGAAGCTATTAGAACATGTACTTCAACAAAATGCAGGAATAAACCAGTAAAGAGGAAGACATGAGAATCAAGAAACCAGGAATGCAACACAGAGAAGAGTCAAATAGAAGTCTCTGAATAGCAGCAAAGTCATACCACTGCTTCACCAAGCTTGGCAAGCAAAGCCCTCTGATGTAGCAGAGGGCAAAGTGTTCCAGGAGCTGGTTCTACAGAACAAAAATGCAACTGATAAAAGATCTCGAGGTTAGACTGCATAGAAAACAATTTCAGATTTCCTGGAGGCTGCATAAAATTTAACTATTTAAAGATAATTAAAGAAGCATTAAAAATAAGAAGATTATCATCTCCAGCAAAATATAGAAAGTAGTACAGGGAACAAAATATAATTAGAGAATTTTTGCTCAAAGAAAACCATCTTTACATTGTAACAGGAAAAAATGTGTGTGGGTTTTACCAAATTTTTATTTAGAAATGATAAGGAAATAAGAAGTCTAAATGGTTCCAAATTCTAGTATGTCAAAATAGGAAATCAAGTGATAATATCTAAAAGTGATGAATCAACAAATAGCTATAGTCAATGGTATTTACATACATAGAACTAAATATTAGAAGGAACAACCAAAGAATTGAACATCTTTGCCTGTGAAGAGTCACTTAGGGATTCGAAGGGAAAAGCAGACTGATGCTTTTTTTGTCTCAGCACTATGCGATTTTTAAAATTGTTTTCCCACAATATATTGATACAACTAAAAATTATTTTAAAATTAAAAGTTTCTTCAGTGCTCCCCTCTGTCAAATCTTTAAAAGAATGAAAGAATCATATTTATTTTCCAAGTCAGTCTAAACAAAGTTTTAAGTCCATGCCTGAGATTTTATCCACAGCGTACAGCAACATTTCTGTCTTGCCAAATTGAGTTTGTTCAGCAGCTTAGAAACACTGGCAAGATACAAAACTAGTGCAAGCATATTTTATTTAAAAAATAGTTAGCAATATACTTTCTTTATCTGTAACATATTTGGTGAATTATTCATACTAAAACCCTGCAAATAAAGTTAGACATAAAAAATGCCCACATAATTAAAAATAATTTTGAAAAGTTTACAATAAAAATATACCCTGATAAAACTTGCATTTTGTATGAAAACTAACCAATGGTGTTTGAAAGATGTTGTCTGACTAAATCCTATAGAACATATAAGTAGCAAGTGAAGCTGACATTTCCTGAAGACGTAACACATCGTAAGCCGACTTTAAGACCTAGCTGTAGGTTAAGACGCAAGTCCTCTATCTTGTTTCATCTTCATCAAAACAAACAATCTAGTAATGTGTATTGGGATTCAGAGGCTTATTATATAAATCAGAAGTAAAGCCCGTAGAAAAGTAGAGTTTAAAATTTTCTTCTCAGGAGTTCACTGCCAATTAGGAATTTTACAACAAATACAAATGAAGAATGTTTTGAGTGCCCATAAATCTGAATAGGGCTGTATCCCAAAGCTATATACATTCTAATTTTATGAGAATTGGGAGAGGACTTAAAGGATAATACTAACTATATGTGATTTTCTCAGAGGTCTAATTTGATAATAAAATCCTTGTGCAAGATTCAGCTCTGCTTTACAAGGACTTCTTGAACATTACAATATAAGGAGATACCTCACCTGCAGAGTTTTCTACTTTTGTGATCATTCTATCAGCACAGGTGTCACTATGTGCCAACTTATTTGAGAGAGTATAAAATGTTAATCTTAAACATTTAATATTTTCTTCTTCTATTAGGTATATGTCACTTATTTTAAAAGTAGCAAGCCTCTTCACATTAATCTAACAAAACACATTACAAAAAAAAGACAAGCATAGTAATTGACAGCTTCTGATTTGTCACCACTAGACTGTAAAAATGTTACATAATTTCTGTCTTCAAATGAGTAGATGTATACATCAATCAGGATTTTGTATAATTGAATATGACAGAAAACCAAAATCATAGTTCCATAGACAAGACAGAAGCTTATATTCTGTTTTTTGTTTGTTTGTTTGTTTTTGAGATAGAGTCTTGCTCTGTCGGCCAGGCTAGAGTGCAGTGGCACAATCTCGGCTCACAGCAACCTCCACCTCCCGGACTCAAGCAATTCTCCTGCCTCAGCCTCCCGAGTATCTGAGATTATAGGTATGTGCCACAAAGCCCGGTTAATTTTTGTATTTTTAGTAGAGATGGGGTTTCATCACGTTGGTGAGACTGATCTCGAACTCCTGACCTCAGATAATCCACCCACCTTGGCCTCCCAAAGTGCTGGGATTACAGGCATGAGCCACCGTGCCTGGCCAGAAGCGTATATTCTTTTGTATAAAGGAATTCATAATAGGCAGCCCTGGGCTAGTAAGGTAGATTCTCAAGCCCAACAGAGATGCTGATCTACCATGCCTCAGTTGAGCAACATTGCTGCCAGAGTTCCAGCAATCACATTAGGTTTCAGGTAATGGGATGGAGAAAAGGAACAATAAAGATCAGAGGCACTCTCAGAATCCGCCATATAAAATTTCTACTTACATGACCACACCCAGTATAAAGAAGGATAGAAAACGCAGTCTTCATTCTTGGTGGTCTGTGCCCAGTGAAAAACTGTGGTTTCCTTTCTTAGGAAAGAGGAAAAGGATATTATAAAAGACAACTTGCCGCCACTGCCACCATGTGCATGCTTAGATACTTCTCTATGCTATATCAGGCAGTGGTAATCATTGTTGAGTGAAACTATAGAATGCTAGAGGAAAACCTGGGAAAACTTTTCTGGATGTTGGTTTAGGCAATTAATTCATGAATAAGATCTCAAAAGCAAATGCAACTAAAACAAAAATAGACAAATAGGACTTAATTAAACTGAAAAGCTTCTGCACAGCAAAAGAAATTATCAACAGAGTGAACAGACCACCTACAAAATGGGAGAAAAATATTTGCAAACTATGCGTCAACATAACACTAATTTCCAGAATCTACAAGGAACCCAAACAAGAAGAAAATAAATAACACCATTAAAAGTGTGCAAAGGATATTGTGATGGTTAATATGGAGTGTCAACTTGATTGGATTGAAGGATGTCAAAGTATTGTTCCTGAGTGTGCCTATGAGGGTGTTGCCAAAGGAGATTAACATTTGAGTCCATGGACTGGGAGAGGTAGACCCACCCTCAATCTGGGTGGGCACCATCTAATCAGCAGCTGCCAGCTTGGCTTGAATAAGCAGGCAGAAGAACGTGGAAGGACTTGACTCACTGAGTCTTCCAGCCTTCATCTTTCTCCTGTGCTGAATGTTCCCTGCCCTTGAATATCAGACTCCAAGTTCTTTGGCTTCTGGACTTTTGAACTTACACCAGTGGTTTGCCAGGGGCTCTCAGGCTTTTGGCCACAAATTGAAGACTGCACTGTCAATTTCCCTACTTTTGAGGTTTTGGGACTTGGACTGGCTTCCCTGCTCCTCAGCTTGTAGACATCCTATTGTGGGACTTCGTCTTGTGATTGTGTGAGTCACTATTCCTTAATAAACTCCCCTTTATATATATTTATATATATACATATATATACCCACACATACATATAGATATATAGCCTATTAGTTCTGTCCCTTTAGAGAACCCTGACTAATACAGATTTGAACAGACATCTTTCAAAAGAAAACATACAAATGGTCAGCAAACATATAAAAAATGCTCAACATCACTAATCATCAGAAAAATGCAAATCAAAACCACAATGAGATACCATCTCACAATAGTCAGTATGGCTATTATCAAAATGTGAAAAAATAACAAATGATGACAAGGATGGGGATAAGACAGAACACTTACATCCTTTTGGTGGAAATGTAAATTAGTAAAATCTCTATGGAAAACAGTATTGAGATTTCTTAAATAACTAAAAATAGAACTACCATTTGATCTAGCAATCCCACTACTGGGTATCTACTCAGAGGAAAACAAATCATTATACCAAAGATATCTGCACTCATATGTTTGTCTCAGCACTATTTACCAAAGCAAACATATGGGATCAACTTAAACATCCATGAACAGATGATTAGTTAAAGAAACGATAAACACACATACAAATACCATCAAATACTACTCAGCCATAAAAATGAATGAAACCATCTCTTTTGCAGCAGTATGAGTGGAACTGGAGGCCACTATCCTAAGTGAAATTACTCTTACACAGAAAGTCAAATACCACATATTCTCACTTATAAGTAGAAGCTAAAGAATGTGTACACATGGACACAGAGAATGGAATAGTAGACACTGGAGACTCAGAAATGTGGGAGAGTCGGGATATGAAGGATTAAAGATTACCTAATAGGTACAATGTACAACCTTTGGGTGATGGTTACTCTTGTAGCTCTGACTTCACCATTACACAATATATCCATATAACAAAACTGCACTTGTACCCTCTAAATCTATAAAAATAATTTTTTAAAAATGAAAGCTCATATAACATCCTTGCCATAATGTCACATGTATAAACTTTAATGAGATTTTTCTCAATGTTAACATCTCCCTCACCTACCAAGTGGTAACTTTAGGCTAAAAGTACATTTTCATTTTCAGGTTTTAATTTATTTCCATAGATTTTTGTCTTCCAAAGAAATGGAGAGTCTTATTTACATGCTTACTGTGCTGTTGCAAGATGCTATTTTATCTTTGCAGGGATAACAGGAATATTTTACATTTCATTGTATTAAATACATTGAGGCAATGAGTAATGTTTTTACTCTGTTTTGAAATAAAATTTGAACCTCTAGTACAAATAATTGTCATTGTATTTTCTCATCTTCAAGTGACTGTCAGTTTACACACATTGCTTGGAGTCTGTAGTGTAGCAGCATGAGCAGGAGTGCATGGGCTGGAAGATACCCTTGAGCTTTGCCTGACATTTTAAGAAGTTCAATGTGCATGTGCTCGACTGAGTACCTGCTAATACAAATTTAGCTCAGCAGCAGTGTAGAGGCTAGACTTTATAAGAGCTCTAATAGAGCTACAGTCTTCATCATTCAGTGATGGTAGAAAAGGACTTTCTTATTTAGATCAGCCCCCAAACTAGTTAGCCTAACAGCTCAAGCTAATGTGATGATTTCCAAGGTATGAAAATTGGTTCAGAACTTATTTTTGAAAATGTCAACTTTTATTAAAGTTTTAAAATAATTGAATCAGACATTTACAGACACTCAAGCATCTAAGATTTGGGGAACTTAGTTTAATGAATGTCATAGATATAGATAATAAGAGCTGCCTGACCCATTGAGGTCTCCCTTTTGCTTTTTGTGATCTCATTTATCCACACAACCCTGTACAGCACTATAACCCCCATTACAGCACTTCTTTTCCTTTTCCTTTTTTCTTTAAGGCAAATAAATAATCTGAATCTAAGAGGAAAATGAATAACCTGAAGCTATCCCACTTTGCAAACATGCAGTCCTGGGTTTTCATGCTCATAGACATCTATGACTGCTGACAGAAAACTTGGCTTAATGGTTTTACACTTAGTAGAGAAACAATCTTGAATAGTGGCCGCATTATAAAAAGAGAAGCTCATTGTTAGTTGAGATCTCACTGCCACATTCCACTTCAGAGAAGTTGGCTGGGGAGAAAACAACAATGAAAATCAATGACATTAAGTCTCTGGTGTATCTGTGATGTTATTTTTAAAAGACAGGCGAAATATGTTTTTGTTGTCATTGCTGCTGATCTGAATGTTATCGCTGGTGCCCTTGGCTGCAGCCTGCTGTGTCAGTGCATTATTCCACTTCTGCTATGCTGAATGGGAAGTGTTGGGGCAGAGGGGGCAGGGGGATGATGGTTGTGATCAGAGTGTTCTTAGGGGACAGTGCGTTGAAAGAAATTTTGTTGACTTTCAGAAACCACATCAGCACCCATATAACCTGGAAGTAAAAATGACTCTACCTTTCTTGTTAAGGTTAAATTATTTTAAATGGACACAACCATTTGTCCAAATGATATTAATATTTACTCTGCAGAAATCCATGATATTTTGGGACCAGGCAGCATCAGCCAAAGAGAAACAAATGTTTGGAGAATTAAAATTAAGAGGATATTTCATATATTCAGCAGAGAAAAGTCATATTGGCCAGCAGAAAAACTCCCAAGCAACCCTAATATGGTTTGGATATTTGTCTCCTCTGATCTCATGTTAAAAAGTGACACACCACCCCCCCAACCCTCTCCCCAGCCAAGCACAGTGGCTCATGCCTATAATCCGGCACTTTGGGAGGCCTAGGCCAATGGGTCTCTTGAGCTCTGGAGTTCGAGACCAGCCTGGGCAACATGATGAAACCCCATCTCTACAAAAAATACAAAAATTAGTTGGGCATGGTGGTGTGCACACCTATGGTCCCAGCTACTTGGGAGGCTGAGATGGGAGGATCACTTGAGCCTGGGAGGCAGAGGTTGCAGTGAGCCAAGATCACACCACTGCACTCTAGCCTGGGCGACGGAGTGAGACCCGGTCTCAAAAAAAAAAAAAAAAAAAAAAAAAAGCGATCCCTCCCCACCAATGTTGGAGGTGGGGCCTAGTGGGAGGTGTTGGGTTGCAGGGATGGATCCCGCATGAATGGGTTGCTGCCTTCCCCACGGTAATGAGTGGTAACGAGTTCACTAGAGATCTGATTTTTTAAAAGAGTGTGAAATCTCCCCCCTTCTCTCTTGCTGTATCTCTCCCCATGTGACATGCCTGTTCCCCCTTTGCCTTCCACCATGATTTTAAGCTGCCTTAGGCCCCACTAGAAGCAGATGCCAGCTCTGTGCTTCCTATACAGTCTGCAAAATTGTGAGCCAAAATTTACCCCTTGTCTTTATAATTTACCCAGTCTCATGTATTCCTTTATAGCAATGCAAAATGAGCAGACAAACCCCAATCTAAAAAACTTACAACAGAGTGTTTCCTTTCAGGAGAACAATTATAAATGGAGGATGTTTCTTAAACCCAAGGCCAGAGTTCCTTTTGTTACTACAGCATTTTAAAGAATTCTGGGAGACACTCAGAGAGAAGCTAATCTACCCCATACCTCCAGTTAAGGTGGGGAAAACATTATTAGCTGCTGAGTAGATATAGATGGTAGTGGTAGAACAAAATGACATGACGGCATCGATCCTAGCATGAGACAAGAGATACCTGTGGGGTACAAAAGGCCAGGGGTTTTGGGCAGCCACTGATGAAAGAGGGTGTAAAACTGGCAATGGCCATGTAAAGGGAGGAAGAACACGTGCTTGCCAAAATTGAGATGATCTTTAGAGGATACTCAATAGGATTAAAGGAAAAATCAAACATTTCACATGTCCATCTCATAGGCTACCTTTATAAAATATCTCACAAGACAATAGAACTGAATTTAACATTAGGATTTTAAGAGAAGGCATTTTAACTTGAAGCAATATAATTTTTAAACATGTGCTTGCATTTTCAATGTTTCCTCTCCATAATTTATAAGCAAGGAGAGCTAACATACAAAAGCTTTCTGTTAAAGTCTTACATTGTAATGACAATTTCTCACGGGGAAAAGAAAAAACACAACTCCGCTAGGCTTAACCTAGTAGTAATCTCAATCACATTTCAAAATTCCCTATGACATTCACAGAAGCATGATGAGGAAATGTCTGATGTGGTTGCGGTAGAGGATAGTGCAACTATACACAATATATAAAATATTTAGACACTCCTGCTTTTATTTTGGTTAAAGCCTAAGACATATCATATCAACGGAGAAAATGAAAGCTGCAGATAGCTCCCCATTGAAGCACCTGGAGCAGAGCAGCGATTTAATAAGCTAGCATGTCAGAGAACTAAAGGATATATTTTGATAGAAGGAAGTAACCTTCAAGGTCTGGGAGAAGTTTTCAGATGGAAAACTGTTTTTCACCAGAAACATAATATTGAGTTAGAAAAGATCTGTAACACCTGCCATTCATCTGTGCTTGGGGAAAAAAAAAAAAGCTAGATACTAAAGGTGGGAGAGCCTGTGCTACATGCAGATGGTGATGTGGCTCCACTAAAAATAGCTGAAGGAGGCCCCTCCAGCACTAGCAGGAGGGCAGAGGGCAGATAAACAAGCATCCTAATGAGAAGAAGCACCCCAGGAGGCCACACTAGAAAAGCTTTAAAAATAAACACACACACACACACGTGCACACATACACAAAAATTATACTAAGAGCATTTTCTAATATGTGTATAATATTTCAAACACATTACCTCATTTGAGCTTTTTAAAAAAAGATAAAAAGAGGTTGTGATCTCTTGTATACCAATCTCCTGTATACCAATAAAGAAACGTTGATTCAAAGGAGTTAAATGTTTTGTCCAAAGTCACACAATTTATAAAGTTGAAGCAGAGTATTGGTGTATTCAGTATTTAAGAATATCCAACAGTTCAAAAGCACATAGCTCTTTATACTAAGCTATATATGAATATTAAATACTAGCCTTCCTGAGGGTCCTTTGTGAATTAATGAAATTAAATTGCTGCAATCCTGTCTTTAGGAGGAATTCCTTTTCTCTGGGGTCCATGAGGAAGGATTTTCCCTAAACACCATCAAGCCTCTGTCATCCCTGTTCAGTTTAGCACGTGACAGGTTTCTGATTAAAAAGCAGGCCAACACGTCCAAGGCTGTAGTTGTCGTCAGAAGAGGCTACAACTACAGGAGGCTCCTGTGTACAGCATGGCCTGCAACTAGCTGAGTACATCTGCCTTATTCTGGGTTTCAGTTAACAGGCAGAGTCTACTCTCATGCTAAGCTATCTTTGCAACTTTCACGCCATTATTAACAAAGAAAATATCTTAGATAATATTTTTACTCTTCATCTTATTTCCCAAGATGTTGCTATCTCAAATGGAGATGAGGGATGATATTTATTGAGGACCACTTCAAAAACCCTAACTCTAAAATAATGCTATCATTCTAAGCATAAGTGCCATTAAGATTTCAGATCTAGGTTATCAAGTTCTGGGATTGAGTAGTCTGGCCTAAACTCTGAGTAGAAAAGTTCAATGCCATATTTTTTAAAATCTCCATAAAAGGCTAAGAGAGTTAACTAAACAGTAAATATTTACCTAGAGGCTTAGGAAGATGAGCCCAGAAATTTGGTGTCGCTTTTTTCTTGCAGATTCCAAAAGAAATGTCAGAGAGGATAAGACATTGAATAGTGCCTTTTGAAGGCCTTCTCAGGATAGGGATTTCAAAATTAGAGTAGAAAGCTGTAAGAATTTGAGAAAGGGAAAAAATACTAAATCTTGTAAATAAAAAGCAGTAGTTACACCTTAGTGTAGACTGAAGCTGAGATTTGAACCATTTCAATTCTTGAAATAGATTCGAACAATTCTGCATTGCTAGAGACACCATGAAGTACCAGCCTGGAAGATGAAAACACAAGTCTTCTCTGGAGACAGAAAACATCATAAAAGACCTTGGATTATTTCTACAAACAATTTTGCAATGACAAGTACCTACACAATAAAAAATAACATGCATAAATTGACAGAAAGACAAAAAATAGAAATATGAATAAAAATATGTATTAACAATTAACAAAATAACATATCCAAATGGCCAGCAATTATAAAAATACAACCAAAATCTCAAATATAAAAACATAATCAAAATCTCATAAATGGAGAAATAAAAATTAAAAATGAGATAACGCATTTGCCCATTGAATTGGTATACATTAAAAAAGACTATCATATCTCTTTCTGCTAGAGCTATAGGATAATCAATATAGTACAAAAAAAGAAGCCTTCAGGTAAAAATGTTGACTTACACAGCCTTTTAAAAAAATTCAACATTTATTAAAATTAAAATAAATATGTCTACTATTTGGTTTAGCCATGAATGGACTCTATCCCACAGAAAGAAAACTAACAGTACATGAGGACATATGTTATTGGTGCTTACTGCTGCATTATTCTTAGTGGCAAGAAAAAGAAAAGAAAAATATTAATTCTTATGCAGTGTATCTGAATATTCAGCAGTCATGGAAAACATGTCCAACAATCTTTAATCAATGGAGAAATGTGTCAATTTACACAAGCTGGAAAGACGTTTCCCAGAATTCCCTTCTGGTATGGTTGCATTTTAGGGTTACTCACAAGACAAATTTGCCCAAGATTTGAAAGGCAAAAGTGAAGCAGTAGCCATCACATTATGAAGGTGAATATAGGTGCTGGGAGCCACTACAATTCATTACATTATTACAGCTTGCATACAGTGTAGCTAATCTAGTAGTTCACCTTGTTGGTCTGCAGCAGCTGCCAGACCCACATCTACTTCAACTCCCAAGGAATCTTCTCTTCAGCTTCTTTGACTCCTGGGACGGGCACTTGTGCAACCCCATGGTGAAGATCATCAGCTTTTTCTTCTAGGTCAAACACATAGGCAAGCTACAGGCAGTAAAACACAGACGTGGATTCCAGTTTGACTTCACAGCTTCTAGTTAGGCTTCATCATTTGCAATTTTTTCTTACTCTTCCCTGCTTCATTTCCAACTTTTCTTCCTAACTACTGGCCCTTCTAGCCTACGAAATTGTCAGCTTCACACCATATGCAGTGGTAATGGCCCTCCATTGGCTCCTTCTCCAGCTTCCACAAATGCATTGGGTCTAATCTCTATAATAAATCCCTTTTCTTTTCTTCTTCTTCTTCTTTTTTTTTTTTTTTTTAGACAGGGTCTCACTCTGTTGCCCAGGCTGGAGTGCAGTGGCGCAATCTCGTCTCACCACAACCTCTGCCTCCCAGGCTCAAGCGATTCTCCTGCCTCAGCCGCCCAAGTACCTGAGATTACAGGCATGTGCCACCATGGCCAGCAAATTTTTTTATTTTAGTAGAGACAGGGTTTCACCATGTTGGCCAGGCTGGTCTCAAACTCCTGACCTCAAATGATCCACCCACCTTGGCCTCCCAAAGTGCTGGGATTACAGGCATGAGCCACCGTGCCTGGCCGATAATCCCTTTTCTATATCATTGAAAGTTGTTCTGCTTCCTAGATCAAACTGTGATACAATTCCCATTAAGAAAAAACAGGTAAAAACAATGATTACAGAAAATGTATAACATTAAATTTATGTAAAATTATGTGAGAATATAAGTATATAAAGAAATTAAAGGTTTTTAAGAAAATATATAGAGAGACGTCAAAGTATTTTTGCCTATATCTCAATGAATAATCTTATATGTGTGTATATATACACACTTATCTGAGAACAACCCTCAAATGGATGAGGGAAAATGTCCAGGATTTCTTGTCTCCGTTTTCCTTAGCTCTCTTTATCTTGATTCCTAAAAGTTGACAAACATCACAAAATCCAGAAAAAGTAATATAGTATTTGTATTAGTTAACTGTCTTACATACTTATTGGCTATATTTTGGAATACATTCTGATTACCTCTTCATATACATTAATATTTTCTATAAAGATAGTAGGAAAGGAATTTAGTATTTTCTCTAGCATGGTTGATGACAAGTTATTTGTTATCTGTTATTGACAATTTAGCTTCCCAAATCATTGTCATGTAAATTCTTTAAATTGTTGTTAAATTTGGGGAATTATCTATCAAGTTTCTTTTGTAGATGAGCAATAAGATTTAAAAATTTGTATGATCTGTAATATGTTAGGGCATTTCAAGTTCTGTTGTGTTGTAACTACTCTGTAATACTCTTTGAATTGACAGTGCTCATAATCACGTTGTTGTTAATGTCATTGAGTCTGTTTTTTCAAAGGGGTGTAGAAGAATTTTTGGAAACCATTCCTTCACTTGGATAGATAGAAAACACCCTGTTCACAATGTGACTACAAACCAAATAAATACAATTCCATTAAACGCAAACTTAAATTTATCAACTTAACTTTTCCTTAGAGTGTCATGTCAAAAATGCCTGTGGTCACTCCAATGCCACCCACATAAGGGGCCATGTGGCCAAATGGAGGTCAGAAAATAGAGACTGTGGTATTAATTGACTGTGTTCAAATATTTACTTTTATAAATTTTACAAACTCTGCCAATGCTTCTCATGAAATGGCCTGTGGACCTGAAATTCCTGAAGATTAAGGTTTTTTTCACTTCATGATAAATAATAGTGAAACTTTCATCAAATATCAGCAAGATTTTGGTAAAACCTGTTACTTAATTCAAGTGGCCTAACTCCTAATCCACAATGTCTTTCTTATTCCTTGTTTAAAAAAAAAAATCCAGAAAAAAGTTGGCAATTTCTTCAGTACAGGAGTCTTTTTCTCTCCTACCAGACCTAAGTTAGTGTGAAATATCAGAGATTTAGAATTGTTTATTTTCAGAAATCAATCTTAGAAGTAGCATGTTATAATAAAAATACCTACTGGACAGAAGTGGTGTTAGGAAATTTAGATTGATAAATCACGCTGTGACTGATTAATTTTGGTCAAGTTAACTTCTCTAGGGCCTCACTTCTCACCTGCAAAATAAAAGCCCCACTAGATTATTACTAAAGTTATTTTCTCAGCCTAAACAGTGAAAATTCTTAGTTTCCTACTTTATCTCTCTGACTCCAGTCTGTCCATTTCCAATTTGTCCTATTCACCCCATTCCAAACTAATATCCCTAAAATTTCCTTTAATCATCTTATCCTACAATATAACAGTTTTACTTTCATTCATTCATGCTATAATATTAAGGAATTCTACAATTCAGAAATTTTCTGGTGATTTTTAATTGTTTTGTGCTTACAACATATTTTACATATGATTTATTCAATATATTATTTCCTGAAATCCGAACACAAGAAAAATATCTCAACATCATATGTATTGTGAGAGCAAAGCCTGTTGTCTTGGCAAAAGCAAAACTGTCTTTATTTTACTTCATTGAGTTGTTACACTTGAAACAAATAATTTTAAAAAAGCTGTTTCACTTTTATTTACACTGCAACCATTGAACAAGACAGCTCACAGGAACACAATTTGCTCTTCTCAAATTGCCCTGGCTGATGGCATCTTAATTTGAAACAGCAAACAGATTGCTGTTTAAAATAAAATAAAAGCAGGAACATCTAGGAAGCAAATAGCTTCCACTCTTCCACCACTGACAGCTACAAAGTTATCATTGCTTCACACCTAGAAGTATCACAAAGAAAGCTACAACCAGTACCCATTCTCAGAACTGCATTCTACAGCCCAATATAAATTAAATAGTGTTATGAATACTAGAAGGCTTCTGTTCAGAGCTTTATGACAGCCTGGCAACCAATTCACATAACGGAAAAGTGGTTCATTTGGTTGATTAGCACTGAAATTCATCATCAATTTGTCTAGATTTTGATTTTTCATTAAAGAAGCATTTATATGCTAAGATTGTTTTAAAAGATACACAGCATTCACTAGATTCTATCAAAATAATAGTCTAATTCGACAGACTAGTTATGTCCTTTAAACACTTAAACAAAAAAAAATAGTGATTTGGTCAAATGTAAATATGCTCTGTGACCTGTTAAATCCACATCTCAGATTTGGGGATATTCAAGTTACAAGTTAACATATATGGCTCGATGGTCTCTGTTGTTCTCAATATATGTTTTATATAAGTAGGTTGAAAAAATTAAAGTGACAAGGAACAAATTATGGGAAAGGGAAAAGAGAAAAATGATTTGTATAAATTCAGTTTCTCTTTTTCACTGTGTGGCAGTGAAAGGTACCAAATTCTGAGAACTAGTACTCAACTTTCAACTTAGTTTTATTGTATTCTAAATGTGAAAAGCTATGAATTGGAAGAGAAGACAGCTTGCCAATGTAAATTAAATCTTTTTCAAGGTAGAGTATCATTCCACAGAATATATTAAATAGCTACCAGTTAAAAATTTTTAAAAGACATAGAGCCTAACAGTTTCAACATAGTACTCTAATGATCAAATTGAGGTTCAACATAATAATCTAAGAATCAAATTATTAATCTAACACTTAATTGCCAAAGCCAATTTGGCAATTAAATTTTGGTTCAGGCAATGAAGAGTTAAATTAATAATTTGGTATCTAAAAGAGAATTCTAAAAGCAATAATGATAAAGTACCTGAAAACAAAAATGTCATGGGCCTAAAAATTTCACTTTGCAAAATCAGACTGCTGTGTCAAAGTTCAATGATAATGATTCTCCATTCTGTTTTAGTTTATTTTCAGGATTTTGAAATTACCTTCCTTTGTGTATGATGACAAAAAGAATATAATGTGGGTAGTGGTAAGCCATAGTGTCTTTAGAGAGATTTTGTGTTATTAAATTTTCAAGCAAATCAAGGTAGATAGGTAAATATTTTCTGGCTCCAACTCTTTGTTTTAAAATACGCATTACTGAATTCTACTGACATATTTCACAATGTGCTTATGTGAAAAAGCTAGACTCTTATTTATACACATACATGAGATAGAATATTCCTGCAATAAAGGCTGTGCCCTTCTTTTCACCTGCTGCCCTCCCATGTCAACTCACATTATGGTAAAAATATCTCTTCTGCATTTTTCCAGTGGGACTTAACTTTAAAAATCCTTACTTTTGGATCCAATCATAGACACATTCTTCCTCTTCTTTACCCACCCCCTTCTCTCTTGCCTATCTCCCTTTATTCTGTTTACTATTACTTTTTCTACTTGCATCTTTTCTTCCCTTGTTAAATTCTGACTCTTGGCATTCCTGAAAATCAAATTTTTAGATGATATTCTCATTAAACTGACAAATGAATGAATCTCAAAAAAAGAAAAGGGCAAAACAGTTTTCATGACCCCTTCAATTTATTCAAGCTGCTATGGATCTGAATAGCTCAATTATAAGCGCTTTCTATTCCACTCTTCTTGATATATTAATTAACCAACAATTTTTCAAAGTCTACTGAAGTAGAAAAAATTCATTGTATGAAATGTCAACCAAATTTTTTGGGGGTATGTTTTCTACCACCTTTTTCTTTCAAGAAATAATATATAAGCTGATGGGAGGCTTAGTGTATGCCTTTTCCAAAGTATCTAATGTAGATTTGATAAGATTCAAATGATTCTGCTGAAAATATTAAATATTTCAGAATGTCTAACTGAAGAGCATTTTCTTTGTGAACTATTGTGGGGAAACCATCTAATCACTATTTGTCAGCTGACATAATTCATAAAATTCATTTAATTTATAGATTTTTTGGAAGGACCTTATAGTTCAATTACTCCAAATTTCTTAATGTGCCAAATAAGGAAACCAAGACCCTAGAAAGGATAAGTGATTTCATTTCTCCTTCCACGCTGTCAACAAATATTTATTTGGCACTAAGTACATGCCAAGTACTGTGTTTCTTGCTGGCAATGTAAGTATGAAAAAGACAGTGTTTTTGTCCTAAAGAAGCTGATCACCTCCAGGGGAAGATGGACCTCTAGTTCTATTATAACACCCATGTATGAAGTGATAGAGGGCACAGCCGACTGATGAGCCACTTCTGCTCAAAGGGACATGAAGGGTGCCGGGCTGGTCCAATATTCTTCCCACTCCACCACAGAGCATACTAGTTGTGAGACAATATAGGAAAGAGACTCAGTCCTGGCAGACGAGACATGGTAACCAAGACTGACACGGACGGGAAGTGCTGGGAAGGGAAGAACATGTTCCCTTTAAATGATACAGAAGAGGGGAAGGGAAGTGCTGGGTAGAGGGGAAGGGAAGTGCTGGGTAGAGGAGGCCGTTGTCCCTGGCTAGGCTCCACCCCCCATAGACCTAGGTGAGGACAGGCATTTCCTGCCCAAATGTTGCATTTCCCAAGACCACCCTGGCTTGCCACGCCCCCATCCTGTGCCTATTAAAAAAAAAAAAAAAACCTGATACCCTAGCAGGCAGACACAGGTGGGCCGACTTTGAGAGGAGTAAGTCAGCAGAATAAGACACAAGTGGCTAGAGGTCGAAAAGGACATGGAGGGAGCACAAGCACACTGACAGACACCGGACAGCCGATGTGATCAGTGGGATGAGGCAGAGTTTTGCCGCGGCAATCAGAGGAGAGCTGGGGCTGCGGAGCGGCCCAGCTCCAGGGAAAAACCGTCTCTCTTCTGGCTCCCTGATCGTCTAAGAGCTACTTCCACTAAATAAAACTTTGCACTCATTCTCCAAGCCCACCTGTGATAAGATTCTTCCGGTACACCAAGGCAAGAACCTGGGATACAAAAAGCCGTCTGTCCTTGTGACAAGGTAGAGGATCTGATTGAGCTGGTTAACCCAAGCCGCTTATAGACTGCAAACTAAAAGAGCACCCTGTAACACACGCCCACTGGGGCTTCAGGAGCTGTGATCATTGACCTCTAGACATTGCTGTCGGGTCACAGCCCCACAGCCTGCCCATCTGTATGCTCCCACAAGGTTTGAGTGTTGGGGCACTGAAGCAAGCCACAGCCCCCACTACATGCCCTGCTAAGGGGACAAGGAAACCTTTCCCGTTTTCAAGACCACATGGGCGTCACATGTCCAGGCATATTCCCTCCCTTACCTTCTTGCCTCCCTTAATAAGCTGACCCAAGTTATGTAGCAGAAAGATGCCTCCTCCTAACTTAGCTGACCAAGCTGAATTCCCAACCATGAAAGAAAGAACCTACCCATTTATTTCCTTGAGTTACTTCTCCAAAGATTGTCAAAGCGGGACTCCAGCATTCCTGATAAAAATCTAATCAGATCCAGCCAGCTAAAGACAAGATGGCCTCTAGTGCTGAGCTTTCACTGAGTTTTTCCTCACTATAATGTCATTACACCCAGAGGTGGAAATTTAACATGAGACATGAAATGCATGAAGAGGCATGTTGTCGAACTGCACAGGTGCTAAAAGTTCCCTGCCTCTTCATGCCTGCATATTGCTCCTTTTTACCCCTCGGCTTCCTTAAAATGACAAGAGCTAAGCCCCTGCAGAAGTTAGCACCAGGATCCCTTTCTCATACACTGCCCCCTTGCTTTGCTTGAGCCACAAGCCTATCAAACTTGGCCTGAGAACAATTTCTGTTTGGCCTGGTGTTATTTTCTATTTATGTGAGAGCCAAGAACTCAGGGACCAAACTGCTGCAGTGATTGTACCCAGCATTGCTTCTAATTGATCAAAGCATTTATTCTACTTGGTTGGTACCTCTTCCTACTTGTTATTAAATATTTTGATTCTCACCCATAGTACCAGAGAAGGCTTCAGAGAAGATAATATTCCTGAGCTGAATTTTGAATGGTGTTTCTAAGTACACCAGATAGAAAGGCTACTTCAGCCCAAGAAAGTAGCACCAGTAAAGGTACTAAGTTTGAAATTGCAGAAATCATAAGCTTAATAGTTTGTTATAGATAAATTACAGTGTGTGTTGAAAGTTGATGAGAGACACGGTGACAAAATATGTAAGAGTTCAAAAATAAAATTTTAGAAGTCAAAGTGTTTGTTGAGATAGGTGGCATAATGTGGTTAGAAGCATGATCTCTAGAGCCATGTACTCCTGGATTCAACTCACAGCTCTGCCACTTAATGGCTGTGTAAGCTTGGGAAAATTATGCCTCAGTGCCTCATTTAATCATCTGAAGAATGGGATTCATTAACAACCTCATAATGTTGTGTGATGGTTAAATGAGCTACATACACATATAAAGTAGTCAGAGAGTTCCTGAGATGTAGTTAGTGCTGTAGAAGTTTAATTGCCTGTATTATTTATGATGTAGAAAATGAAAGCCTTGAAGAAAATAACTGACATGGTCAGATTTTCATCTCAGAAAAATCCCTTTGATATTTATCAGTAGTGTAGCTAGTATGGGGTTAAAATGGCTTAAGGAGGAAATGTTATTTTCATAAACTCTGTTCACCTGGTATTAGTACTATTATATTACTTTTTACTTTAAGCTTGCAATGAGAATGAGTAAGATAAAATGTGTAAAGGTCCTAGAATAATGTTTAGAACAAAGGAAGCACTCCATAAATGTTGCTTATGGTTGTGAAAGTAGCAAGAGTAGCATGGAGGTGGTACTAGTGATTATTTTCCATTCCCTTCTTTTTAATCTTTCTGTGTGTTTTAATGCATTCAGGCTGCTGTAACAGAATGGCATCTACTGGGTAGCCTAAACAAGAAACATTTATTTCTCACTGTTTTGGAAGCTGGAAAGTCCAAGGTCAAGGTACCAGCAGATTCAATGTCTGTTGATGGCCTGATTCCTGGTTTGCAGATGGTCATCTTCTTGGATCCTCACACGGTGGAGAGCAGAGAACAATCATCTCTCTGGTGTCTTTTATAAGGGCAATAATCTTATTCATGAGGGTTACAACTTTATGACCTAATTTCCTCCTGCTATAGGCTGAATGTTTGTGTCCCTCCAAAATTCACATGTTGAAACCTAATCACCAATATGATGAAATTAGGAGGTAAGACCTTTGAGGGGTGATTAGATGAAGGCAGTACCTTCATGAATGAGATTAGTGCCCTTATAAATGAGGCCCCAGAGAGCTGCCTTGCTTCTTCTATCACGTGAGGACAGAGCAGGGAGGTGTCACCTATGAACCAGAAAACAGACCCTCACCAGACACCAAATCTGCTGATGCTTTGATCTTAGACTTCCCAGCCTCCAGAACCATGAGAGATAAATTTCAGTTGTTAGAAGTCACTCAGTCTATGGAATTTTGTTACAACAAGCCAAACAGACTAAGATACCTCCTAAAGCCTCCATCTCCAAGTACTATCATATTGGAGATTTAGAATTCAACATATGAATTGGCACTGGGAGGGACTAGGGGGAGTACAGAGTGATAAACATTCTGTTCACAGCCTTGTGCCACTTTATTTTGGTTGTGCCAACTATAAATAAGTTATAGTTGTTTCTAGAGTTTCTTTCTTGTAATGAAGTTTATATGTACTGTGATTACTTATAGTTGAACAAATTTCATTCATTTTATTTTATATTTTCTATTATCATATTATATCTTTGCCTGTTTTTTCTTTCCTGCCTACTTTGGAATTGAAACAGTTTCTTTTTTAATTCTTTATTGGTATTTCCCTTAAAACTTGTTAACACTCCTACTTAATTTATTTTAATAAAACCTGAGACTTAATCAGTGCCTCTAACCTTCTCTCAGGTAAGACATAGCAAGTAAGAGCTATTTATTCTACATTTCATCTAATGGTTGACTACAATGTTAGTTCTTCTTTATTTTAAATATTCAAAAAATTATATTTTTAGTCATTACTTTTTATTTTCCCAATATATGTTTATCAATGCCTTTGCTGAACATTTTTTCTTGCGTCACAATTTTTTCTTCAGGATTTATTTTTTTCTTGTTGCTAAAATATACCCTTTACAGAAATTTCAATTACATTCTCAAGAGAAGATAATACATTTTAGTCTTTAGATGTCCCAAAATATGTTTTTTTCACCATTGTTTCATTGAACAGTTTGCAATCTTAATGACATAAGGTCCAGTCTACCTGATTTTTTTTTTTATTATATGTAGCATTTAGAGTATTCTTTCTGTATAAAGACTTACATCGCTCTTCAATTTTGGAAATTGCTAGCTTCTCTTTCTGGAAACAGATTTTACTAGAGAATCTAAATCTATGCTTTATTTCTCTGAATTTCAAACACGCACACAGACACTCACATGTTTTATATATATATATATATACACACACACATATATAGACACACACACATATATTTATACATATATGTGTCTCTTTTTAGGCTGTAGTCACAGTAATTTTCAAAGTTCTCTATTACAAGTTTTTTCTTCAACTGTCTCAAGTATAATGTTCATTTTTGTTTCCATTTTATTAACTTTTTCTTCATGATTTACAAGTATGCTTTTGTTTCAGTAACCCCTACTTTTGTTTTATGGATATTATTTTCTCCTTTATTTCTTCAAGAATTTTAAACATGTTTACTTGAAGCACTTTCTAGATTATTTAGTTTCCTATTTTTGTGAGTAAATATTTTCTTTTGTTGCTTTTTGCTGTTGTTTTTATGTTTGTGTGTTAATTTGCAATGGCAGAGAATCCGTATCACGGAGTTGGATTTGTTCATATGCTTTGTAATTTTTGTTGATGTGTTTATTTTCCATTAATTTACTTTTCTTTCTCTCTTCCACGTCTTCTTTCTTCTTGGGCAATATTTAAGTAGTTTCAGCTCAGTTTTTAAGGGTTTACAACTCTTGGGCAATATTTAAGTAGTTTCAGCTCAGTTTTTAAGCGTTCACAACTCAGAAGCATGTTTTATGTCTCTTCAGGGATTTCACTTTTTAGAACTGAAGTCAATACCCTGTATTTGACTAATTATTAATCATTTAGAGTTTTTTGCTTTCTCCCTTCACATTCATAAGAATGATGTTTCTTAATGCAAAATTAGACACAAAAATAGAGGTTTCACAGGTTTCATTTATATATAGGGGAATATTGTATTATTCCAGTCTCACACTGCTACAGAGAACTACCTAAGACCGGGTAATTTGTGAAGAAAAGAGGTTTAATTGACTCACAGTGTACTAGTCCATTTTTACACTGCTGGAGAGAGCTGCCTGAGACTGGGTAATTTATTAAGAAAAGAGATGTAATTCACTCACAGTTCCACATGGCTCTGGAGGCCTCAGGAAACTTACAATCATGGCAGAAGGCAAAGAGGAAGCAAGGCATGTCTTACATGGCAGCCTGAGGGTGGTGGGTGAGGGGGGATGTCAAACACTTAATCAGATTTCATGAGAACTCACTCACTATCACGAGAACAGCAAGGAGGAAGTCCACCTCTACAATTCAGTCACCTCCCACCAGACCCCTCCCCCAACACCATGGATTACAATTCAACATGAGACTTGAGGGAAAACACAGAGCCAAATCATATCAAATATGGTCTGCAGTCCATTGACTCTTGTGGAATATATTCAGACTACATTTCTCTGAGGCACTGAAATCTGGAACTCCATTGCCAACTTAAGGTGCCAGTACCCTGTGAGGTTACGGCCTTAGCCCCACTTTGACACTATATATCAAATGTAAAGACTTTTACATTTTTAAAATAAGAATATGTATTTTTAATTATTATAATAATAATTGTATATGACTTATACATGTAGGAAATGGAAGAGAGAAATTGAGAGCATCCAGGTCTTCAAGACAGCACAGCCAGCTAGGGACAGGGTCAAAAAAACATGAATATAGTTTCCTTATGCCTAATTAAACACACTGCACTACTGATCACTCAGAAGTTTTATAGTCTCTATTGGTTTATGTATAATTTGCTCATTTTTCCCCAATGCCCATCATTAACATGAGCTGAATATAATCCCAGGCTTTAGAACATCCTCTCTCATAATTTACAAATTTTAAAAATATTTAATCAAGAACCGAGTCTTTGTATATTGTCCAAATAGCAAAACATTTTCCTTGAGAATTTCTCTCTGTATATATTTTCAATATAAAAAATTTCTACAGTGTATCATAGACATAGGATTTTTTAGTTCTTTAATGACAGATAGCAACAGATAATAGTAATGATAACTACAATATTATTATTAAGCAGTAATGTTCTTTGGCAAAGATGAGTATATGTATGTTTGTGTGATTCTTTTGTAAAATAAGGAATTTTACTGAACTGTGTTCTTGATTCCTAGGAGGAAATCTCTAAATCCTTGAAATTTTCAGAGTTTTATCAGTATCTTTGTTATGCCAAGGAGGCACCACATGGTCAGCCCCTAGATAGCTTCTTAACAGGGACAGCTCATGTTGGAAAACCTAATCATGTAATTAGAGGGTTAGAACTATGAACTATGTGATATCAGCCCAACTTCTGGAGAGGGTAGGAGGGCTGGAGATTGAGTTCGAACATGTGACCAATAATTCAATCTATCATAGCTATGCAATGAAACCCCAATAAAATTTCTGAACATCAAAGCTCAGTGGAACTTTCCGTGCCAGAGAGCATTCATGTGCCAGGATGGTGACATGCCCTTATTCCATGAAGAGAGAAAAGAGATCTGCATTTTCTCCCAGACCTCATCCCATACATCTCTTCATTGGGTTGGTTTTCCTGATTTGCATCCTTTGTAATAAAACTGTAATCATAAATATAGCACTTTCCAAACAAATTCAAAAGATAGCAGACTACAAGAAATAACAAAGATCAGAGCAGAAATGAAGGAGATAGAGACACAAAAAACCCTTCAAAAAATAAATGAATCCAGGAGCTGGTTTTTGGAAAAGTTCAACAAAATTGATAGACTGCTAGCAAGACTAATAAAGAAGAAAACACAGAAGAATCAAATAAATGCAATAAAAAATGATAAAGAGGATATTACCACCGATCTCACAGAAATACAAACTACCATCACAGAATACTATAAATATCTCTACACAAATAAGCTAGAAAATCTAGAAGATATGGATACATTCCTGGACACATATACCCTCCCAAGACTAAACCAGAAATAAGCTGAATCTCTGAATCAACCAATAACAGGTTCTGAAATTGAGGCAATAATTAATAGCCTACCAACCAAAAAAAATTCCAGGATCCGGCCAAATTCTACCAGAGGTACAAAGAGGAGCTGGTACCATTCCTTCTGAAACTATTCCAATCAATAGAAAAAGAGGGAATCCTCCCTAACTCATTTTACGAGGCCAGCATCATTCTGATACCAAAACCTGGCAGAGACACAACAAAAAAAAAGAAAATTTTAGGCCAGTATCCCTGATGAACATCGACGTGAAAATCCTCAATAAAATACTGGCAAACCGAATCCAGCAGGACATCAGAAAGCTTTTCCACCACAATCAAGTTGGCTTCATCCCTGGGATGCAAGGCTGGTTCAACATACACAAATCAATAAACGTAATCCATCACATAAACGGAACCAATGACAAAAACCACATGATTATCTCAATAGATGCAGAAAAGACCTTTGACAAAATTCAACAGCCCTTCATGCTAAAAACTCTCAATAAACTAGTTATTGATGGAATGTATCTCATAATAACAAGAGCTATTTATGACAAACCCACAGCCAATATCATACTGAATGGGCAAAAACTGGAAGCATTCCCTTTGAAAACTGGGACGAGACAAGGACACCCTCTCTCACCACTCCTATTCAACATAGTATTGGAAGTTCTGGCCAGGGCAATCAGGCAAGAGAAAGAAATAAAGGGTATTCAATTAAGAAAAGAGGAAGTCAAATTGTCTCTGTTAGCAGATGACATGATTGTATATTTAGAAAACCCCATCATCTCAGCCCTGAATCTCCTTAACTGGTAAGCAACTTCAGCAAAGTCTCAGGATACAAAATCAATGTGCAAAAATCACAAGCATTCTTATACACCAATAACGGACAAACAGAAAGCCAAATCAGGAGTGAACTCCCATTCACAATTGCTACAAAGAGAATAAAATACCTAGGAATACAGCTTACAAGGGATGTGAATGACCTCTTCAAGGAGAACAACAAACAACTGCCCAAGGAAATAAAAGAGGATACAAACAAATGGAAAAACATTCCATGCTCATGGATGGAAAGAATCAATATCATGAAAATGGCCATACTGCCCAAAGTAATTTATAGATTCAATGCTATCCCCATCAAGCTACCACTGACTTTCTTCACAGAAATGGAAAAAACTACTTTAAATTTCATATGGAACCAAAAAAGAGCCCACATTGCCAAGACAATCCTAAGCCAAAAGAACAAAGCTGGAGGCATCACACTACCAGACTTCAAACTATACTACAAGGCTACAGTAACCAAAACAGCATGGTACTGGTACCAAAACAGATATATAGACCAATGGAACAGAACAGAGGCCTCAGAAATAACACCACACATCTACAACCATTTAGTCTTTGACAAACCTGTCAAAAACAAGCAATGAGCAAAGGATTCCCTGTTTAATAAATGGTGCTGTGAAAACTGACTAGCCACATGCAGAAAGCTGAAACTGGATCCCTTCCTTACACCTTATACAAAAATTAACTCAAGATGGATTAAAGACTTAAATATAAGACCTAAAACCATAAAAACCCTAGAAGAAAACCTAGGTAATACCATTCAGGACGTAGGCATGGGCAAAGACTTCATAACTAAAACACCAAAAGCAATGGCAACAAAAGCCAAAATAGACAAATGAGATCCAATTAAACTAGAGAGCTTCTGCACAGCAAAAGAAACTATCAGCAGAGTCAACAGGCAACCTGCAGATTTGGAGAAAATTTTTGCAATCTATCCATCTGACAAAGGGCTAATATCCAGATCTACAAAGAATTTAAACAAATTTACAAGAAAAAAAACCCAAAAAACCCCATCAAAAAGTGGGCAAAGTATATGAACAGACACCTCTCAAAACAAGACATTTATGCAGCCAACAGTCATATGAAAAAATGCTCATCATCACTGGTCATAAGAGAAATGCAAATCAAAACCACAATGAGATATCATCTCATGCCAGTTAGAATGGCAATCATTAAAAAGTAAGGAAACAACAGATGCTGGAGAGGATGTAGAGAAATAGGAACACTTTCACACTGTTGCTGGGAGTGTAAATTAGTTCAACCATTGTGGAAGACAGTGTGGCGATTCCTCAAGGATCTAGAACTAGAAATACTATTTGACCCAGCAATCCTATTACTGGGTATATACCCAAAGGATTATAAATAATTCTACTATAAAGACACAGGCACATGTATGTTTAATGCAGTACTGTTCACAATAGCAAAGTCTTGGAACCAATCCAAATGCCCATCAATTATAGACTGGATAAAGAAAATGTGTCATGTATACACCATGGAATACTATGCAGCCATGAAAAGGGATGAGTTCATGTCCTTTGCAGGGACATGGATGAAACTGGAAACCATTATTCTCAGCAGAGTAACACAAGAAGAGAAAACCAAACACTGCACGTTCTCGCTCGTAAGTGGGAGTTGAACAATGAGAACACAGGGACAAAAGGAGGGGAACATCACTCACACACCAGGGCCTGTTGGGGGGTGGGGGCTGGGGGAAGGATTAGCATTAGGAGAAATACCTAATATAAATGATGAGTTGATGGGTGCAGCAAACCAACATGGCACATGTATACCTATGTAACAAACATGCACATTGTGCACATGTACCCTAGAACTTAAAGTATAATTTTACAAAAAAGATAAAAAAATACAGCACTTTCCTGAGTTCTCTGAGTCATTCCTGTGAATTATTACATCTGAAGGGAGTCATTGGAATCCCCAACTTTACACCCAGTTAATCAGAAGTGTAGGTAACCTGAGAACCCCCTTAACTTGTGTCTGGCATCTAAAGTGGGGGTGGTCTTGTTGGGGACCCTGGCCTTAAATTTGTCTGGTTTGACACTATCTCTGGGTGGTTAGTGTCAGAATTGACTTTCAGTGTACCAGTTGGCCTTGGAATAGCTGAAGTTAAAGCAGAATGTTCTTCTTATATTTAACCAAGCAGTATCACTATTTCATAAAGTGTTTTATGAAACTTGATTTTATAAAGCCTGATTTGGAAACTTAAACAGAAAAGACAAGAAGGAAGCATGTTTCCAAATTTTAGGAGCTGGCTGCCCCCTGCTGACACTGTCATAGTCACTACTAGCATGGGAGTCTAAAAGTTGATTCCCTTAGTTTTTGAAACAACTAATTATATAAAATGGAAACACTCTCTGAAACTTGTTTCCAGCGTTTGTTTAGCTCAGTGGTCCATTCCTTGATATTTAAAGGCTACTGGAAACTTTTGGATTTTAATCAACTAAGTATTGAGGTAAAGAGGCTGCTACTCAGTGATAAATAGTCTAAAGCCTAAATTTAATCAGTCTCTCTAACTTTCTCTCAGGTAAAACATAGCAAGCCTGTGTTTCCCTCTGTGTGATCTTGGCAAGCCACATTAACACAACAAGCTCACACTTCCTCATCTTTAAATTGAAATTATTTTACAAAATGATCTCTGAGTTCTCCTCCATGTAGGAGGTTATAAATTTTTCAAGAAGGAAGTAATCAAGAAACTTAACATATCAAAATAAAATTACACAAGGTAGTAAAAATTTCTAATCTTCCAATTCCAAGGTTTTAGAACTTCAAAAGCTTTATAAATTTTTAAGACACTCTTTTCTCCCGTGAGGCCCAGAGAGAAGTCATGTGTAATGTTCCTCAAATATGCAGAGCAAAAAGATAAAGTGGTTAGGGAGAAGGGCTGGGACCTCATACTTTACCCACTAATGTGACAAAGATGCAGTGCTGAAAGATTTTGTAAACTCTAGGTAAACTTTGAGAACACATAACAGGTGGAGTTACCCTGAAACAAATGCTGATATAAAAGTGTTAATTAGTTGAAAACACACAACCTAAAATTTTAGGATTGAATCAGTGATGGTAGAAGGGGCTGGAGTAGCATAAGACGGGGAACATCACCTGGCTCTAGCAAAAGCAAACACAAACACTGTGGGAATTTAAGCACTCTCAGTTTAGTCAACTAGGTTTTACATATGTAAAGATCAACAAAATATGTAGAGTAGTCCTCTTATCCAGTGTTTCACTTTCCACGGCTTCCATCACCCACAGTGAATCATGGTCAGAAAATATTAAATGGAAAATTCCAGAAACAAACTATTTACAATTTTTTAATTGCATGCCATTCTAGGTGGTGTGATGAAACCTCTTTCCATCCTGTTTCATCAATTCATCTCAATCACATAGTCATTTCATCTCACGTCATTACAAGAAGAAGGGCGGGTACAGACGGTACAATAACACGTTTTGAGAGACAGAGGCCACATTCACATAACTTTTATGACAGTAAATTGCTGATAATTGTTCTATTTTATTATTGTTGTTAATCTTTTACTGTGTCTAATTTATAAGCTTTATTATAAATATTCAAGTATAGGGAAAAACATAGCATATCTAGGGCTCAGTTCTATTTGTGGTTTCAGGCATCCACTGGAGGTCTTGGAACATGCCCTGTGAATAAAGGGGAACTACTCTACTACCAATAAACATACATCAAAGGAGATAATAGATGTACTTCAGAGGAAAGGAAAGTAACCCTAAATGGAAAATCTGAGATGCAAGAAAGAATGAAGAGCGTAAAAAAATGATATATTTGTGTATTTGTTATTCAGAACAGGCTAGTTATATTAGGGCAATACATCAACCCCGAAAGCTCAGTGGCTTAACATAACGAGGTCTTTTTTTCACTCAAACTACATAACCAACAACAGTCACTAAGAGAATCTGCTCCAAAAAGTCACAGTGGTACCAAGGCTAATAGAGTTCCGTCTTCATGCAGCTGTACAACTGAAACATATAGTCTCTCAAGATGTCATGGTTGGGAAAGAAAACACATGGGAATATACATAGAAGTACATATGTCACCACTTCCAATCATAGCCCATTGGTCAGAATTAGTCATGTAACTCCATCCAACTACAAAAGAGCAGGCAATATAATAAAATTAAAATATTCATAACAAAGACTTGTCCACTGGGGAATTCAATCTTCTGGAGTCCTTGTATTATTTGGAAAGAGAATAAAGATATGTTTAGTAGTAGAACCAATTCTTCTCTTACCTCTCTAAATGAAAACTCAGGCAGATGCACTGACTTTTCTCTTCCCTGCTAGGCAAAACAAACTGTATACAGTCATTCCACACCACAAAATAAAGACTTGTTTAATGATTTAAATGCCCATGACCATACAATTGAAAAACTTTAATCTTGGTTTAAAATCCTAGATGGGATATGTAGGAGTCAGGAAGGGTGGGAGTAATCAGATTACTCTTTTTCCATTTTAGTTTCACTCCTTCTATCCCAGATTGCAAGATTTCTGCTGGTCCTTTGGAGTAGACATTGGGGGCAAGCACAGGAGTAAGAAAATAAGAAAATAATTTAATTTGTATAGCACTGGTAATCTTGTGTCAGCTTTCTGAACATTAAAAATGTTTAAGCTTCAGCTTTTTTATCTTAGGCAGTTGGAAACACTTCCCCTATTCCCACTTCAGTGCTAATCTAGGGAATCGCTCATCTGCAGTTCTCTTGGCAGGGAACCTTCTAGCCAGCTCTAACTTGGTCCTCACCACTAAAAATTCTATAAACCAGGCTTTTTATTTTGAGCTTCTCAATATACGTGCAGAATCTCAAAAGTGATACAGCTACTCAAAAAAGGGTGGGAGTGTCTTGATGTCTATACAACTTTTTTAAAAAGAAAACAAATTCACTATTCATCTTTTATTTTCCATGTCCACACAGAGCATAAGACTAAACAATTTTTGATATGTTTAGTAACATTAACTTTGAATTGAAAAATCTTTTTTTTTATATGGGTCTCACTATGTTGCCTAGTCTGGTCTTGAACTCCCAGACTCAAGCAATCCTCCCACTTCAGTCTCCCAAGTAGCTGGAAATACAGTCGTGAGCCACCATGCCTGGCAAAAGATCCATTATTATAACATAAAGGAAGCAAAACCTTTTGCCAAACAGAAAGCTTACACTACTTGAAAAATGACTTCATAAAATTCTAAAATCTTCTCAAAGCTATAATAAATATCTTAATTGTTCTAGTTGTCATCATCATCATTGTTGTTGAAGTTATGACTCTTTTTGTGACTACCATTATTACTATTCTTATCATGAACCGAGCAATATTTGATAGGCACTTTATGTGCCATCCCTTCTTACCTTTAGAACAATCAAAACTAATAAAAAGAAGATATTATTGGTCCCATTTTTATGCTTTGCTTACTTAGTTTTCTCTTTGTTTTTACATTCAGGGGATAGCTGTGCAGGTTTGTGGCATGGGTGTACTGTATAATGCTGCGTTTTTGGCTTCTAGTGAACCTATCACCCAAATATTTAACATTGTACCCAATAGGTAGTTTTTCAGCCCTTTCCCCCAGGCTTCTCTCCCCAATTTTGGAGTTCCCTGTATCTATCATTTTCATATGTATAACCCTGTGTACTTATTGCTTGGCTCTCTCTTATAGGTGAGATGGTGTAGTATTTGATTTTCTGTTTAAATGTTAATTCACTTAGCACAGTGGCCTCCAACTATGTCCACGCTGCTGCAAAATTTCATTCTTTATATGGCTGTGTAGTATTCTACGGTGTATATGTGCCACATTTTTTAAATCTAATCCACTGTTGTCGGTCACTTAGATTGATTCCATGACTTCGCCATTATGAATAGTACTGCAACAAACATACAAGTGCAAGTGTCTTTTTGATAACATGATTTATTTTCCTTGGGAAGATACCCAGTTGTGGGATTTCTGGGTCAAATGGTAGTTCTGTTTTCAGTTCTTTGCAAAATCTCCATACTGTTTCCCATAAGGGTTGAACTCCTTAACATTCCCACAAGTGTATAAATGACCCCTTTTCTCTGCATCCTCACCAACATCTGTTATTGTTTGATTTTTTGATAATGCCATTTTGACTAGAGTAAGATAAACATTTCATTGCAGTTTTGATTTGCATTTCTCTGCTGATTCCAGATGTTGAGCATCTTTTTACATGTTTGTTAGCTGCTTGTATGTCTTCTACATACAAGAGAAATGTCTGTTCATGTTCTTTGTCACTTTTCAATGAAGTTACTTTTTTCTTTTCTTGTTTATTGAAGTTCCTTATAGATTCTCGATATTAATCTGTTGGATGAATAGTTTGCTATACTCTTTCATTCTGTAGGCTGTCTGTTTAATCTGTTGTTTCTTTTGCTGTGCAGAATGTTTTTAGTTTAATTAAGTCCCATTTGTCTATTTTTGTTTTTGTTCTATTTTCTTTTGAGGTCTTAGCAATAAATGATTTGCATAGGCCAATTTCCAGAAGAGTTTTTCCTAGGTTTACTTCTAGGATTTTTATAGTTAAGTCTTACATTTAAGTCTTAAATCCATCTTGAGTTAACTTTTGTATACAGTAATAACTAGGGGTCCAATTTCATTCTTCTGCATATCACTAGCCAGTTTCCCAGCACCATTTATTGAATAGGGAGTCCTTTCCTCATTGCTTATCTTTGTCAACATTTTTGAAGATCAGTTAGTTGTTAAGTGTGTGGCTTTATATCTGGGTTTTCTGTTCTGTTCCATTGATCTGTGTGTCTATTTTTGTAGCAGTACTATGCTGTTCTGATTACTACAGCCTTATACTACAGTCCAAGGTCTGGTAAAGAGATGGCTCCAGCTTTGGTTTTTTTTGTGGTTGTTTTTGGTTTGTTTTTGGCTTTGCTTTTGCTTTTGCTTTTTTGGGGGGTGGGGGTTGTTTGTTTGTTTGTTTCTCTGCTTGATTAGAATTGCGTTGGCTATTCAGGCTCTTTTTGGTTCCATAAGAACTTTGGGATTTTTTTTTCTAATTCTGTGAAAAAACACACTGGTAATTTGATAATAATTGCATTGAATCTATAGACAGCTTTGGGCATTATGGTCATTTTAACAATATTGATCCTTTCTATCCATGAGCATGGAATGATTTTCCATTTGTTTGTGTCATCTGTAATTTCTTTCATCAATGTTCTGTGGTTTTCTGTGTAAAGGTCTTTCACCTCCTTGGTTAAATATATTCCTAAGTATTGTATTTTGTGTGTGAGGCTATTGTAAATGAAATTGGGTTCTTGATTTTGTTCTTGATTTGAAAATTATTGGTGTATAGAAATCCCACTAATTTTTGTTCACTGATTTCGTATCCCAAAACTTTACTGAATTTGTTTATCAGGTCTAGAAGTCTTTTGAAGGAATCTCTAGGAATTCCTAGGTATAGAATCATGTTGTCAGCAAACAGAGATAATTTTACTTCCTCTTTTCCTATTTGGATGCCTTGTATTTCTTTCTCTCATCTGATTGCTCTGGCTAGGACTACCAGTACTTTGTGAAATAGGAGTAGTAAGAGTGGACATCCTTGTCTTTTTCTAGCTCTTAGGAGGAATTCTTTCAACTTTTGTCCATTCTGTATGATGTTGGTTGTGGGTTTGTCATAAATGGCTCTTGTTATTTTGAGGTATGTTCATTCAATGCCTAGTTTGTTTGGGATTTCATCATGAAGAGATGTTGAATTTTATCAAATGCTTTTTCTGAATCTATTGAAATGATCGTATGGTTTTTGCTTTTGATTCTGCTTATGTGGCTAACCACATTTATTGTTTTGCATGTGTTGAACAATCCTTGCATTCCAGGAATAAGACCCACTTGATCATGATGAATTATCTTTTTGACATACTGTTGGATTTGGTTTGGTAATATTTTGTTGAGGATTTTGCATCTGTGCTAGTCAGAGATATTGGCCTGTAATGTTCTTTTTTTGTTGTGTCCTGGCCAGATTTTGGTATCAACATCATACTGGTTTTGTAGAATAAGTTAGGTAGGAATTCCTCCTCCTTGGTTTTTTGGAATAGTTTCAGTAAGATTGGTACCAGTTCTTCTTTGAACATCTAATAGAATTCAGCTATGAATCTGTTTGGTTCACTGCTGGTTTTGGTTGGTAGATTTATTATTGATTCATTTTCATAACTCATTATTAGTCTGTTCAGGATTTTTATTTCTTTGGTTCAAGCTTGGGAGTTGAGTGTTTTCAGGAATTTATCCACTTCCTCTAAATTGTCTAGTTTATGTGCACAGTTGTTCACAGTAGGGAGCTGAATGTTTTCAGGAATTTATCCACTTCCTCTAAATTTTCTAGTTTATGTGCACAGATGTTCATAGTAGGGAATTGAGTGTTTTCAGTAATTTATCCATTTCCTCTAGATTTTCTAGGTTTTGTGCATAGATGTCATTAGTAGTTTCTGAAGATCTTTTATATTTCTCTGGTATCAGTTGTATTGTCACCTTTGTCACTTCTGATTATACTTATCTGACTCTTTTCTCTTTTTTTCTTAGCTAATCTGGCTATCAGTCAATTTTATTTATCCTTTTGAAGAGGCAACTTTTTGTTTCATTAATCTTTTGTATGGCTTTTTCGGTCTCAATTTCATTTGGTTCTGCTCTAATCTTCATTATGTATTTTCTTCTACTGGCCTTGGATTTGGTTTGTTCTTGTTTTTCTAATTCCTTTAGGTATGATGTTAGTGCTATTAATTTGAGATATTTCTAACTTTTTATGTAGGCATTTAGCATGATAAACTTTCCTGTTAATGCTGCTTTTTTCTGGATCCCAGAGGTTTGCATATGTTTTATCTCTATTTTCATTTGTTTCAAAAATTTTTTGGTTTCTGGTTAATTTTTTTGCTTACCCAAAAGTCATTCAGGAGCAAGTTGTTTTGTTCCCATGTACTGTGTGGTTTTTGAGGTTTCCTCTTGGAATTGATTTTTAATTTTATTCTACTGTGGTCCAAGGACATGCTTGACATGATTTCAGGTTCTTTTTTTAATTTATTGAGACTTGCTTTATAACAGAGCACGTGATCAATTGTAGAGAATGTTTTATGCACAGATGTGAAAAAAAGTTTATTCTGTGGTTGCTGGGTGAAGTCTTCTGTAGATGTTTATTAGGTTCATTTTGTCAAGAGTCTAATTTACATTCAAAGTTTCTTTGTTAGTTTTCCGCCTCAGTGATTTGTCTAGTGCTGTAAGTGGGGTATTAAAGTTCCTTACTATAATTGCATGACTATCTCTATTGACAGGCTGTCTATTGTATGACCATCTATCCCTTTTAGTAAGTCTAGTAGTAGTTGTTTTATAAATCTAAGTGCTCTGACTTTGGGTGAATATACATTTAGCATAGCTAAATCTTGTCAAATCAAACTCTTTATCACTATATAATGCCCTCCTTTGTCTTTTTTTCACTGCTTTGGTAAAGTTTATTTAATTTTGGCTTAAACTCTATTTAATCTGATACAAGAATAGCAACCTCACCCTTTTTTGTTTTCCATTTACATGATAGATCTTTCTCCATCCCTTTACTTTGAGCCTGTGGGTGTTATTGAAGGCAGCATAAGTTTGGGTCTTATTTTTTCAAGGCAATTTGCCATTCTATGTCTTTTAAGTGGAGCATTTAGTCTGTTTATATTCATGATTAATATTGAAATGTAAGGTTTTATTCCTGTCATGTTGTTAGCTAGTTGCTTTGCAGTTTCAATTGTGTAATTGCTTTATAGGATCTGTGAGCTTCGTACTTATGTGTGCTTTTATGTAGCAAGTATTACTCTCTTGTTTCAATGTTTAGAACTCCTTTGTGCATTTCTTATAGGGCCAGTCTGGTGGTAATTAATTCCCTTAGTGTTTGCTTGTCTAGGAAAGCCTTTATTTCTTCTTCATTTATGAAGCTTACTTTGGCAGAATATGACATTCTTGGCTGGCATATGTTTTCTTTAGGTAGGCTAAAAATAGGCTCCAATCTACTTGTCTTATAAGATTTCTGCTGAAAAGTTTACTGTTAGTCTGATGGGATTTTCTTTATAGGTAATTTGGCTCCTTTCTTTTCTCTATAAACTTTTAATATTTTTTCTTTCACCTTTTCTTGGATAGTCTGATAACTGTATTCCTTGGGGATGGTCATCTTGTGTGGTATCTCATATATGTTCTCTGAATTTCTTATACCTGGTTGTCTACTTCTCTAGCAAGATTAGGGAAATTGTCCTGAATTATTCTATAAAATGTTTTCCAAGTTTCTTGCTTTTTCTTCTCTCTCAAGAATGCCAATAAGTTGTAGGTTCAACAGTTTACATAATCCCATATTTCTTGAGGCTTTTTTAAAATTCCTTTTTTAAAAATTTTTCCAAAGACTGGTCTTCAAGCTCTGAAATCCCTTCCTTCTGCCTGGTCTAGTCTATTGTTAAAGCTTCTAACTGTTTTTAAAAAATTCTTTAGTGGGTTTTTGAATTCCATAAGTTTTATTTGTTTTTTCTTAATATAGTTGTCTCATTTTTCATATCCTGAGTCATTTATCTGGTTTCTTTGTATTGGGTTTTAACTTTCCCTTGGACCTTGTTTTCTTGCAATCCATTCATTTGGTTAGATCTCCAAAGGGTCCCACAGCTCCCCAGGGAGCTACTGGTTTCCTGTGCTTGCCAAAGCCAGAGCACTTGTGGGTATGTAGGAATGTTTGATGAGATGACTCAAGGGCAAAGAGACACTGGGCAAGGCAGTAGCCCACCATGGGTGCACAACTATCATTTCATTTAGGATCTGATGGAAGTGTGGCCTTGTTTAGTTTTCTTGCAATTTGTTCAATTTTGGATTCTTTATTCATCATTTCAGACTTTTGAATTTGTTTAGGATCCATTGCTAGAGAACTGGTGTGTTATTTTGGAAGTGTCAACACACTCTGGCTTTTTGTACTGTCAGAGTTCTTGTGCCAATTCCTTCTCATCTGAGGGAGCTGTTGCTTCTTAATTTTGAATTTACTATTGTTTGGGTGGGACTTTTTATTCTTTTATTCTTTTTTCCCTTGAAGATATGACTATGGTGTATGTTGTGTGTGATCATTTGGCTTTGTTGCTGGGTGCTTTCAGGGGTCCAATGCTCTGTATGGGTTCCTCTGTTGGGAATAGCTTCTGTTCACTGGCTTTCTCAGATGTTGCTTGTTGTAACAATGTATTAGACATGTAAGCTAACACAATAACTCATGGACTAACATTAAGCCCTTCTGGTGGCAGGTTTTTTATTCTGTGGTACAGTTCAGGCTGAAGTCCCGTACATGGCACTTAGGCGTAAGAGTTGGCTGGCTCTCAGGCTGATCTCAAGTGAAAGCACCTGCATTGCTGGGGGTGGGATGGTGGTGGGAAGAGATCTTGTTGAGGTATGGAGAGGTCTCAGGGAAAGGGGCAGAAGGTGTGAGGGGAACTGCTGCGCTAACTTCTCATCCTGAGCCATAGGAATATGATCTGCTTTCCTTTCATGCTGCTGTTGTAGGGCATAATGGCTCAAGACCTTAAGTTCATAAAGACTTTGCCCTTTGGTTTCCAGCTGCAGTGTGGCTGTGGGATATACTCCTCTGAGGGCTACCACCAAAATGGGCTCAGGCAGAGTCTCTTCCCCCAATCCATAGTAACTCCATGACGTGTCTGTTCTCCCTTGCCAGGCTGTTGCTATATTGTGTAGGGAGAGGAGGTTGGGCCCTATCCTTTATGCAAGCCCAAGTGGCACAGGTTCACTTACAGCAGGGATGGAGTTTCAGCAAAATGTGGAAAACCCCTTTCTCAGAGTGCACACTCTGGCCTCCAATTGGAAGAACAACTGCTGCATCTGCAACAGTGTCAGGTGGGAGAGGTGACTCCCTCTCCATGCCTGTTCCTGGGCATTGGTCCTACCTCTTTCAGTGATTGGCACTGCACCCATATTTCCTTTGTCCACAGGGGACTTTAATGGGCTGCATTCCACCTCCCTTATGGGTGGCCCATGCTGAGGGTTAGATCTCCAGGTGTCTCATAGCTCCCTAGGGACCTGCTGCTTCCCTGTGCTTACCAGTGTCAGATCAGTTGTAGGTATATTTGCAATGAAGGTGGGCATGTTTGATGAGATGACTTAAGGGCAGAGAGTCTCCAGGTAAGGCATTGGCCCACTATGGGTGCACAATCATCATCTCAGTTAGGGTCTGAGGGGAAGGCGGCCTCTCAGTTCTCTGTCCCCAGGAAGTAGCAAAATCACGACCAATAGCATTTCCCTGGGTTGCAGAGGCAGAAGGGCTCCCCAACAGTTTGACAGTCAGCATATTGCCAGAGGGGAGAGGGGAGCAGAGCAACGCCCCACCTACCCTTTCCATGAGGGCCCAAGTTCCTCTGGGGTTCTAGTCTCATTTTAAAAAAAAGATTAATAAGGCTGAACTAGTAAATTGTTTCATCAGGATTTACACTGAGGTCCCCTGGTTTCAGTTTATTGTCTTCAACAACCATGTCATGGTGTAATATACTTTTAATTATTTGCAGTGATGATACCTTAAATATATGCCTAAATATGGCTTAATTGTATATCTTTATAAAATCTTTTATTTATTCATTCATTCAACCAATACCTATTGAGTGACTATTTCCCCAGTACTACTCTAAGCACTGGGGATACAACATTGAGCTAATAGATATACATGAATGAATAAATGGATATATATCAGGTGGTAATAAAAATAGGGAAAAGAGAAAAAAAGGTAAGGGATAACGGGTGCTGAGGTTGGAAGGAATGGGCACGTTTTTTAGAATGCATGGTCAGAAAAAAAAGCCTTTCTAATTTCAAAGCTAGAATGTTTGGCTACAGAGCCTGGACTCTCAAAAGCATCATATTTATTAAACAAACATAGATTTCATAGTGCTAACTGCTTTCTTTAAAGTAAAAGTGTGGATTGAATAACTAAATAAAACAAGACGTATGGTGTTTACAATCACCAATTTTGAATAGCATTTATTACGAAAAACTCTAAAACTAGTTATTAAGAAGATGAGAATGTTAAGGGTGTTTCTAATAAGTACCGCCCAGAAAATTCTAAAAAACGTAAAATTCAAGGAAGAGTTCTGCAAGACAGAACAACCAAACTCTGTTTATAAAACAAGGCTGATCAATTCAGACCATATATTCCTCCCAGAGAAGCTAAACTGTAGTGAAAATTTAACATTGAAAATACCACTACCATTTTCCCAAATTTCTTGACAATATTAACCTTGGAGGAGGTTATAAAAAGGCATTATCAGTCTCTGTTGTACAATTGTTATAGTTATTACCATTTGTTATGGGTTGAATTGTGTTCCTCAAAAAACTGCATGTTGAAGTCTTAATTTCAGTACCTTTGAATGTTACAGTACTTGGAGGGCCTTTGAAGACGTTATTAAAGTAAGGTTATATGAATGAGCTCTAATCCAGTATGACTTGTGTCGTTAGACAAAACAATTGGGACACAGACAATACACGTGAAGAAAGAACACGTGTAGACAAATGGAGAAGAACGGCGTCAATAAGCCAATGAGAGAGGTCTTGGAACAAAATCAACTCTTCCAACACTCTGATCTCAGACTTCTAGCCTCCAGAATTGTGAGAAAATAAATTTCTATTCCTTAAGCCCTCCAATCTGGAGTATTTGTTATGGCAGCCCTAGCAAACTATTATAGTATTGCAGTGATGCATCACATTTAGGCTCATTATAATCGTTGTGTTTTCGTGGACAAGATCACTAAAGTCAACTCTTAATAGAGAAGAAATTACCTAGTGATGGAAGTAGCTAAAAATCACCTGTTGTATTGATGCTAATTCTATCTGAAGTTTAGCATATACACTATGCATCACATAACTACGCTTTGGTCAAGAATAGACCACATATAAAGTGGTCATGGCGTCATACGCCATGATGTGGTTGTTGAAGACAATAATTAATATGACCATTATTAATGGTCATAAAATTATAATGGAGCTGAAAAATTGCTATCGCCTGGTGACATCACAACCATCATAACATCATAGTGCAATGAATTGAAACAAACCTACTGCAATGGTCATATAAAAGTCGTATAAAAGTATAGCACATACAATTGCATGTAGTATATCATACTTGATGTTGATAATAAATGACTACTACGTTACTGGTTTATTTACTACACTATACTTTTATTGTTATTTTAGAGTGTGCTCCTCCTATGTATAAAAAAGTTTTAACTGTAAAACAGCCTTCAGGTCTTTCAGGCAGTATTTATGAAGAAGAAGGCACTGTTATCATAGGAGATGAAAGCTCCATGGGTGTTACTGTCTTTGAAGACCTTCCAGTGGGACACCATGTGGAGGTGGAAAGCAGCAATATTGATGACCCTGACTCTGTGTAGGCCTAGACTGTGTGTGTTTGTGTCTTGGTTTTTAACAAAAGAATTTTAAAAGTAAAAAATAAAAATTAAAAATATTAAATAGAATAATTCGTATAGAATAAGGATATGAAGAGAATATTTTTATACAGCTGTACAATGTATTCGTGTTTTAAGCTAAGTGTTACTACAAAAAATTCAAAAGTTTAAAACAAAATACATTTATAAAGTATGAAAGCTATGATAAGCTAAGTTTAGTTTACTAGTGGAGAAAGAAGAGTATTTTTCTTTCTCAACTTTTATTTTAGGTTCAGAGGTACATGTGCAGGTTTCTTACATGGGTAAATTGTGTGTTGCTAGGGTTTGGTATACAAATGATTTTGTCACCTAGGTAGTGAGCATAGGACTCTATAGGCAGTTTTTCAACTCTCGCCCTCCTCACACCCTCCCCTTCAAGTAGGCCCCAGTGTCTATTGTACCCCTCTTTCTGTCTAAGTGTATGCAGTGTTTAGCTCTCACTTATAATTGAGAACATGTCATATTTGGTTTTCTGATGCTGTGTTAATTCACTTAAGATAATGGCCTCCAGCTGCATCCATGTTGCTGCAAAGGATATAATTTCATTTTTGATAGGCATATAGTATCCATGGTGCATATGTACCACATTTTCTTTGCCAGTCCACCATTGATGGGCATCTAGGTTGATTTCACTTATTTGCTATTGTGAATAGTGCTTCAATTAACATACAAGCACATGTGTCTTTTTGGAGAATTATTTATGTTCTTTTGTGTATATGCCCAGTAACGGAAGTGCTGGATCAAATGGTAGATCTGTTTTAAGTTCTTTGAGAAATCACTAAACTGCTTTTCACAGTGGTTAAACTAATTTACATTCCTGCCAGCAGTATGTAAGTCTTCCCTTTTCTCCATAACCTCACCTACATCTATTATTAAAAAATATTATTTACAAATTTAGTGTAGCCTAAGTGTATAGTGTTTTAAAAGTCTACAGCAGTTTACAGTAATATCCCAGGCCTTCACATTCACTCACCACTCACTCACCGAGTCACCCAGGGCAACTGCCAGTCCTGCAAGCTCCTTTCATGGTAATTGCCCTATACAGGCAGACCTTCTGTATGTTTTATGCTATATTTTTATTGTATCTTTTCTATGCTTAGAAATATTTAGAGACACAAATACTTAACACGTTGTTACAATTGCCTACAGTATTTAGCACAGTAATACATCGTACAGGTTTGTAGCCTAGGAGCAATAGGCTATACCATATATTAGGTGTTCAATAGGCTAGGTTTGTCTAAGTACATGCTATGATGTTCACACAATGATAAAATCACCTAATGATGAATTTCTTAGAATACCCTAATGATGCATTTCCTGGAATGTATCTCCATCATTAAGTGACACATGATACACATCAATTTAGCTCATGAAGTTTCTGATCAATGAAGAACTCACCAACCTTTAATTGGTATCAGTGGGAAAAATGAGAGACAGGAATCCTCAATGAAAGCAAAAAGTGTCTTCCCAACAGGGAGAGTGCCCGCTAAGAACACCAGCCTAGTAGCAGTAGCCAGACTCAATTGGGAGAAAAAATGTACTTGCCATTAGAAAAATTATCATCCATTTTATAGAGTCTTTAAACTTTTGTCATTTGTTTTTTCATTCATTCAAAAAAAAATCTTAAGCCCGTCTTCTATCAGGGACTGTGTGAAATCCTAGATGATCACGGAAAGTGAGAACATATGGGTTTGCAAGAGCTGTCATAAGAAAATACCACAGATTGGGTGGCTTAAACAACAGAAAATTATTTCCTTACAGTTCTGGAGTCCAGAAGTCCAAGATCAAGGTGCTGGAAAATTCTCTTTCTAGTGAAGCCTCTCTTTTCACTATGTCATCACAAGGGCTTTTCCATTTAACCTTAATTATCTCCTTAAAGGCCCTCTCTCCAAATATAGCCACACTACGGGGTTAGAGCTTCAACATACGAATTGCAGGTGGGGGACAAAATTTAGTCCATAATAGAGACTACTATAATCACTCATTTATTTCATAGTAACAAAGAAGCAGTTTGCAAAGTGTTTTCCTCTACTAAAGGGACAGTACAGGGTCTGTGACTCACATGTGCCATGTGAGTGAATAATTTAAATCACTGTATAATCACTGTATACTAGAGATGATTACTCCACAAAACAATCATATAAGACAAATGCAGAAAAACATATTTCCAAGAAAGATGCAGTTTGGAAGAATTAGAATCCAATGGTAGTTCCCTCATAGTAACATACAACTCTCCAACCCAAAGAACAAACTAAGCACATTTAATTGTGTATTTAAATAGCAATTTTTACATTATTACTAACAAACTGAGGCCATTAATCATGAAAAATGTGTTTGGATTGCACAAATATATTCTATTTAAGTGTTTAGGCCAGAAGGAAGAGTCTTTTCAGATAACACCAAGAGAGAAAGCCTAAAGCATGACTTAAATATTTAGTTTCAGGAATTAAAGGCTTGACAGAAGAATAATTCATGAATTCCTAAATCATCCATTCCTGTTGTAGCTGTTATCTGACCATCAGTAAATTAGAGAAGTAATATGTTTACTTATTCGTTATGGTTTTATTAAATTATTAAAATAATGTGCCTACCATTTGGAGTATAATCTTTATTATGTTTTTCTGCTATAGACTTTCGTTTAGCCTTTGGATAGCATCCATATTCACAAAGTGCTTTGTAGTCGTTTTATACTTCTTTTCAGGGGCAGCCCTGGAAGGCTACTTACAATACTGAGAGAAAACTGTATCCCCTAGACTTAAAGAAGGCTCAAAATCCAGGGAAGAAAAACTATAGTCAAAAATGGTTTTACATTATTTTTTCTGTGCTAACAAAATCTGAAATTTATATCTTGGGTAGTTAAAAATAAAACACAAAAACTTTGTTTAGTATAGTTAATACTTTTTAAATTATTTGTAAATGTTTAGAAGCAAAAAGCTTTAAATATATTTAAGTGTTTTGAATATAAAGTCAATGGCCTATATCCTATGATCAGCAATTTTATGACTCATTTTCTTTGGTTTTATGTGTATGTGGTTTTACATATTCAACTCTCCAGGACAGGTAGACAAAACAGATGGCAGCCCGCTTATGAAATGGCCTTTATTTAATAATCTGATGATACTCATGCTGCTGTATTGAAACACTAATGGAAGCAAATGTTTCTACAAAGTTCTCTAGTGAAAAACAAGCTTGCCTTGCTATAAGCCAAAGCCTATCACATCAAAGTGCCAAGCAAAGGAAAAACAAAAAGCAATCTTTTTTTTTTTCTGTGCTGAAAAAAGTACTAGATTAATACAGATAGATTCAGTTTTTTGAAAGTCAAACTAATTGCACTTAAATGACAGTTTACAGTCCTTCATCTCATAGGAATTTTAAAAAACATGTATTTGCATTGTCCTCATTCAAAGACAATTTGAACAAATAATTTCACAGAATAAATTCAGGTCAGCACCACCATAGTCCTAAATGGCTTTACAAATACCACCCTCTAGTGTTTCAAAGAGGCAATTTGTATTCTCACTATAGAAAAGTTCAAATCATTATAACTATTGGAAAGTCAACGCTGTGAATGATACGGCCATGGGCAGACTGAACAGCATAATAAGCTCTATTTAGTGTAATCCAGTCCTTGTGAGGAACAAACTTGCTTCAATTTCTTTGGCCAGATTGCTAGTTTTTTAAAAATTTTTGAAATAAATGAATAAATATGAAACGGTAAAGCTGATTTCACATTCTACACGGATAAATGCAATAGCAAAAAGGATGCATGATCCAGTTTTCTCTGTTTTTTACTCACAAAGCAGCAGATAACATCATCTATTAATTAGTATAACCTACTTTAAAATTAAAATACGAAAACAATAATTATATTGCCGCCTAGATTTTGAATATTAGCACTGTATATAAACTCCTATAGTATATAAATGTTAATATCTAAATATAAATAGCTTATAAATGCTTGACAGGATAAGGTATAGAAGTCTCATTATCACATAATTTAACGTATTATAGAATGCAGTGTAATTGAGTCTACATTAGTGTACTATAATGAGAACATATTATAAACTAGGACATGAGCTTCTTTGCATCATTAATTGAGTAATAAATTGTCAAGCTATAAGTTTGGGAGAGGTAGTATTGATATTTATTCTGAGAAAAAAACAAAACACATGTTTATATGATAACATTAAATTCCATAGGACATTTTTTTTGAGACATGGTCTCACTACATTGCCCAGGTTGGTTTCAAACTCCTGGGCTCAAGTGATCCTCCCATTTTGGCCTCCCAACATTCTGTGATTGCAAACATGAGCCACAATGCCCAGTCAGGATTTTTTTTTAGAAGAAACATTTTCAGAAGGTTCGTAGACATTAAGCACACATTTCTGTTCTGAGGTATATGTGCTTTTAGACTATACATTTAAGAATGTAGACCTAAATTGGATTAAATTAGAACATCTAGCTACTTGGTAAATAAAGGCAAAACCACAAATTAAAAAAATACAAAAATTAAAATGAAAGAAAGAAAATGTGCATTTACTAAATACAGCAAGGTTCTGGCAGCTTCAGCCCCAAACTCATCATACCCAGGCAAGGGACCCAGGAGAACACTCAGGAAGAGGGAGCTTAAGCTGGAGGTATGGAATCAAGCAAGAGGTATGGAACTCAGAAATAACCATAACATAATAAGAAAAATGGGGGAGCTACATACAGCACAAGTGGAGCCAAGCAGGGTCCAACCGAAATGAACTGGACAGAAAAACAGACCCAGGTATAGGACAGATCCAGGGAGTTTGAAGAGAAGTCAAGCCTAGGGCTCCTGTGTTCTTTGTTTAATCAAAGGGATTTTTACTGGGCTCCTTTGGCCTTGTCTACATGTTACAAAGGGATATGGAAAAGGACTGCACACTCCTCTTTAAAAATCCCTACCATTTAATTTCCCTTCCCTCCCAGAGGCTCTTCATTGGATATATAAACATGAGAACATCAATAGAACAGAACAGAAAGAACAGACCAGAAAGTAGAGTTGAATGGAGTTGAACTCAAGTGGGCATATGTTCTAAAAAGATTCACATAAGCCAGATTTTGAAAGGGCCTCAAATTTGTGGACTTAGGCACTCAAGAGCCAAGACACAAATGCAAATGCTTCTGTTATTCCCTGACCCTTTGGTAAGTTCCACTTTTGAAATCACTTCTTCCCACAAAGCTTGGACCCCTGAGGTTGATTCTTTCTCAGGGCAATAAGTATAGAGCATGATCATAAAAGAATGAAATGGATTTTTTAATAAGCATATCAAAGAATATATACAGATGGGTTGGTCCCTGAGACTAAGGCCAGCCTTTACTTCTTAGCAACCAGAATTCTAATAACTGTCATTAACAGTACTCAGTCCAAAGTACCATATTATCAGCTTGAGTTCCCATATCTTTAAAATTAGTAGGAAGTATTTCTTATATTATTCATTTTGATTAATAACTCATATCAGTTATTTTAGAAAACTCCATTTTCATGGTTTAGAAATGAGGTACAGTTATATTATCACAGCAATAACAAAACAGAGTTAGTCAAAACTGACATTTGCCAATTTCTAAAAGCCTAATAATAGCTAATATAGAAATGAAAAATGAGGCTGACTCCCATGTACTGTGAGTCAGACTTCCAGGCTTGGAACAGCCTTATGACTCCTCTTCCTGCCCTCCAGCCTTTCCTTATGGTCTCTGATGCATGCACCAGGCTCTATCTTTGTAACTCCTCAGACTGTTGTTTAAAGGGCAGATGAAGGAGACAGGAAAAGAAAACAAAGTGAGTGAAATTTAAAAGGATAGGCAGTGGGGAAAAAAGTACACATAAAAAAATCAAATTATTTATCTTGTGTGTCTAGTACAGTCTCTGAAGATGATGCCAAAAGTGAAGTTCTGAAAAGTTCTGAGCAGGGATAGAGATAGAGAATCACCTTCCTGTTGGTCCCTGCCTGCTCCTACACTCTGGCCTGTCAGGCTCAGAACTCTACCAATAATTTTGCTGTCTCCCTCTCCTGACTTGATCTTGAAACTGCAACCCAGGGACATGAAGTGACATATTCAAGACCTTACACTGGTCATCTGTGTCAGAATTCAGACTGCTTTTCACTATAGACTCACAGGCTCTGGATTCAGCATGTATCTCAGATCCAGTACCAGATGATTCTTTCTTCTTGGAATCTAAAAGTAGCGTCACAGAGATTGCATTAGCAAGCATGAAAACTTCAACCAAAGGACCAGATGAACTTGGACTTGAGGATTAGGCATGAGTAGCCAATCTATAAAAAGAAAAGAATAAAGCAGATGTACATCTGGGATTAAGGACTTGTATGTGTGTGTTTGTGTGTGTGTGTGTGTGTGTGTGTCAGAGAAACAGAAAAACAGAGAGAAGCTTGATGACTTTTCCCTTTCCCATTCATGTGAGGCACAGTACTTCTTGCAGTTTGATCTCATAAAAGTCCCTGTATTCATAATTGTCCTCCTCAAATCCTCCTTAATGTTATTTAAGCAAACTTCTGTTTATTGTAACAACTACTTAGCTATAGGCCTCCTACCAACTAGAAAGTAAGACACATTAAGGGGCAATAATAAAAAAGTGATACTCTAGCCACTACTGACATTAGGAGAGAAGTTCTCAATCTCCATGACAGCAACTTGGCAGCTTTGTTTCACAAATGAGTGATTATTATTCTAAAAGTAAGGAAGCACAACCTGACTTTAACGCTTACTATGAAACAATAATCAAGACAGTATGGTATTGGTGAAAGAACAGACAGATAAATGGGACTGAATTGAGAATCTAGGAATAGATCCACATTAAATACAGCAAACTAATCTTCAACAAAGGACCAAAAGCAATACAGTGGAGCAAAGAAAGACTTTTCAGCATGTGGTGCTGAAACAACTGGGCATCCACAGGAAACAAAATGAATCTAGATACAGATTTTACACTCCTTGCAAAAATTAACCCAAAATGTATCATCGATTTAAATGTAAAATGCAAAACTATGAAACTCCTAGAAGATAACAGAGGGGAAAACCTAGATGACCTTGGTATGGTGATAACTTTTAGAAACAACACCAAATGCATGATCCATGAAAGCACTAATTGATAAGCTGGACTTGAGTAACATTTTTAAAACTGCTCTGCAAAAGAAAACATCAAGATAGTGAGAAAACAAGTCACAGACTGGGAGAAAACATTTGCAAAAGGCATATCTTACTAAAGGAAAACTTGACAATTAAAAAAAATAACTCAATTGGAAAATGGCCAAATATCTTAATATTAGGTTGGTGAAAAAGTAATTGCAGTTTTTGCCATTACTTACTTTTAATGGAAAAAAACCCAATAACTTTTACACCAAGTTAATACAAGCTTGTTCAGCCCGTGGCCAAGGATGGCTTTGAATGCAGCACAATGCAAATTAGTAAACTTTCTTAAAACGTTATGAGATTTTTTTGTGTGATTTTTTTTAGCTCATTAACTATCTTGTTAGTGTATTTTATGTGTGGCCCAAGACAGTTCTTCTTCTTCCAATGTGACCCAGGTAAGCCAAAAGATTGGACACCCCTGCCTTAATAGACACATCACCAATGAAAGTATACAGATGCCAAATAAGCATATGAAAAGACATTCCACATCATATGTAATCAAGGAAACATAAATTAAAACGAGATACTATACACCTATGAGTATGAGTAGATACTACTATACATCTATGAGAATGGCCAAAATCTAGAACACTGACAATAGCAAATGCTGATGAGGATGTGGAGCAACGGGAACTCACCCATTGCTGGTGAGAATGCAAAATGCTACAGCCACTTTGGAAAACAGTTTGTCAGTTTCTGACAAAACCAATGCAATCGTGCTCCTTGGTATTTACCCAAAGAAATTGGAAACTTATGTCCATACAGAAACCTGCACATGGAGGCTTATAGCAGTTTTATTTTCAAAAACTTGGAAGCAACCAAGATATCCTCCAGTAGGTGAATGGATTAATAAACTGTAGTATATACAAACAGTGAAATACTATTGAGTGCTACAAAGAAACAAGCTATCAAGTCATGAATAAACTTAATGTATAGTAGGAAACTTCAACGTATATTACTAAGTGAAATAAGCCAATCTGAAAAGGCTACAAACTGTTAATTCCAACTATATGACATTCTAGAAAATGCAAAACCAAGTAAACAATAAAAAGATCAGTGGTTGCCAGGGGGTTTGGATGGCAGAGAAATTAATATATAGAGCATAGAGGATCCTTTAGGACAATGAAATTACTCTGTATGATACTATAATGATCAGTATATGTCATTACACATAGTTTCCAATCCATAGAATGTACACCACCAAGAATGAACTCTATTATAAACATGGACTTTGGATGATGTGTCATTGTAGGACATTAATATGTGTCAATGTAGTTCATCAAGTATAACAAATTTACCACTCTAGTGGGGGATATTGATCATGGGAGAGGCTTTGCACGTATAGGGGTAGAGGTGTTCTGGAAAAATCTCTGTACTTTCCTCTTAATTTGTCTGTGAACCTAAAGCTGCTCTTAAGAATAATTTTTTTTTAAAAAGTAAACTTCTGAATAAAGAATCATAAAAATGGGTCAACATATAAACACGTGTTCTTAACAACATTTTTATTACTTAAAAGAATAGTGAATTCCAGACTACTTGTGTCTAGAATCTCTATGTACAGTGTTCAAGATAAGGAGACAGAATTAATAAGTTAACTTGCTGTGACAGGATACAGTAAGTGCTCGTAGAGAGAACCACTAACACTGAGTATAGGATATTATCCTTAATCAAAGTTAAAAGGGAGTGGAGTCACTTAGCTGTCTTTCTCCCTTTTAAATATCATCAGCTTTTAAGTAACTTTTAAGTAACTTTCTGACACTAGTTGACTGATTATATACAATAAGATGAGTTATAAAATAGAAATGTAAATTTTCAAGAAATACAGTTAAAAGGTACATTTTGAAAGATTTATCAGATGGACTTTGAATAAAAGGAAAATAGTTCCCCACAAGTTAGAATAAGAAGCTCTCAAAGGAATCATAAGTGTCCCTAATAGAATTACAGATTCTAAAGAAATACCTACTATATCTCAAACCCAGAATAGCTATATGAAAGCAGTGACAGCCCTCTTTGTAGGAGGTGAGACATCTCAAATTGTGTTTCTGATTTCACAGCAGCATTTTCCACTGCCCCTCATTTGTGAATTATATTTTAAATTATTGAATGCCTTAAAATAACTGCAAACAGACCAAACTAGGGTGTCAGGATTGGGAGTCATCACAGTACTTGGCTTTGCCATCTTGTGGTGTGGCTTTACTCCCATGCCACTAATACAGCATATTTACAAACCTAAGGGTCAAATAATGGCAGAGGAGACTGTAACCTTCCAAAGTAGAAAGTTAAGCAGTCAAATACAGCAGAACTTGGGTGTGGGGTATTCTTCAAAAGTAAAGTCCATCCTATCATTACAAAAATTAAGATGTTTTTACTTGGTATTCTTTGCCAAACTCCTTGTTTACAACAAAAATCTCTTAGAACTATAAATCAATCAAGGACATCACTAAAATGCTACCTGTGAGATTACCTTTGAAGTGATATCATGTTAAACTAGGATCATCCTCCTTCTCAGCCTACGAAGTGAGATTTAAGGGGCTCAAAACTCCCAACTCATTCAACTCACCTTTAATTAAGGTGAAAGACACCTTGTTTCTTTGGAGTTAAAGATGGAATCCTAACATCGTAATTTAAGATGTAAATAATTACTAAAACCTTGGGTGTAGTAGGAAGGAGACATAGTATGAGAGTTCCTGAAGACTGGATAAAATATTCTTTGAGGAAAAGTGTGTGGGAAAAGTAGGCTAGAGAGAATTAAAAGGACACTATTACATTGCCCAAGATAGGTCCTCCTTAATAAGGTTCTTATGGTTCTTTAGAAATAAATGGCTTTGGAAGAAATCCAAAATAGTCCTACCTTAAAGAGTATTATACTTTATGGAGGATTGTATTATAGTAGCTTCAAATGCATTAGCCTCTGTAATTTTTTCTCTCCCATAATCTTCCAGCATATGTATCTATCATAGGACTAGCATTTTTAAAATTTTGCATCTTGCTCTACATGTCTTAGTGAATAAATATCATTCGTACTCTTTGTGCTAAAACAAAATATAAAATACCACTTGCCACTGAGGACAGCTGACTGTTTATAAAATCTGTGACTGTTTAGCACATCTTGTCACTGTCACAGTTATTAATATTGAAGAGTACTGGGGTGAAATGACAGTGATGTAGTCACAAAAATGCACAAACACATTATTATTAACCATCATTATTAAAACTATAATGTAACATGGTTTAGCATTTCAGAAGGGAGTCTTGCTAATTCACACTCTTTTCCTCAGTGAGCATATTCTAATAAAGAAGACCAATTTCTCTGTGAGGTAGCAAAAGTGATTTCTGGTCTGCTTACTTCAGAATATATAAATGAGCAATGGAACGGGGGTGGCTTCTATGAAAAAATAAAAGGCTGGAAGGGAAATGATGCAATAAATAAAAGATATTTAAAATTGTATATCCTTTAAAATGGCATTTTAAAGGATATACAAGAAACTATTAACAGAAATTGCCTTTCTGATGAGTGAAAATTGGGAGTGTGGGTGTGGATGAGGGGAGATAATCTTTAACTTTTACTTTAAGCACTTTCATCCCTATAGTTTTTAACTCTATGCATGAGTAACTTTTATAATGAAATCAAAGCTCCCAAAATATTTCAAGGAATATCTCTGGACATTAAAAAAATAGCAGTGCTATTTTACAAAATTCATTTAGATGTCAGTAGTATCCAGTGGGATTCTTTAACAGGCATTTAAAAAGTTGAACATACAGACTCTGGAAATAAAATTGTCATTCTGTTAGTAAAAAAAAAAAAAGTTATAGAGGAGGAAAGATCTTGAGCTTGCATTTAGCAGTTTTCAATATGGTTTTTAGACTCATGCAATATATTATACCTTCATTGTTTACACCACTTTATCAGGAGTTTCTTTTATTTGTAGCTGAAAGCTAGAGGAGGGCGGTAAGCAAGTGTGATAAGCATTCTGAAACTCTCACAATCCCACAGGAATTAGGGAAAGTTTCTTGAAGAAGATGAAACAGAGCTGAGTCCTTCAGGTGTAGTAGCAGTTGTCAGCAGATAATGTGCAAAAGAGATATGCCCAGAATAAGAAAAAGGTCCTTTCATCTTCTGGATACTAGAGAATCAGCTCCTAATATACAAGGATTGACTGGCATAAGATCTCTACTTACAAGAAAAGTCCACTTTAATATGAGTCAGAATTACTTTAAGTTGTGATAAATTGAGCAAATATCTGTAGAGTAATAACATAAAACAAAAGTTTAATAAAAGGAAAAAACTACGAAAATATGGCTGCTAAGTTATTCTCCATTCTATGCATACGAAAATACTATCTAGCTGAGGGAAATGGATACATAAATGTATACACACTACAGACAATTTTATTTTGACTTGTAGAAAGCTTTATATAAGGTCAACTTTCACAAAATAATAAGAAGCACCTCTTGAAAGCTCAGTATATGCCAGATACTCTTGTAAGCTCTTCACATACATTAATTCATTTAACTATTTTAACAACTATATCAGAGAAGTACTATTATTTCTCCATTTTTAAAAATGAGAGCACAGAAAGGTTAACTGACTTCCTCAAGCCACACAGCTTACATAGAGAAGAGATGAGACAAGAACCCAGTTAAACTAGTCTGAATGCCAAGATCTGTTGTATCATATCATTATATCAGTTAGGTACCATCTATACACATTTTCTCCTTCTCTGCAATACAACGTATAATTTTTGGGATGCTGTGGAAACTTAACTAATGTATATTTAATCATTTATTTACAAACACTCATTTTTTGTATTAATGTATGGTTATGAAAGATTTGTATTCTATTTTATAGCTATTTAGATATTAAAAGGATAATTCATATGCAAGAAGAATTTTATTTGTCATTGAAACACTCATTTTGAATTGTTTTTCAAAATTAGGTTTGTATTTCTTCAGATACAACCAAATAATTGATCCCAATTCACCTGAGGCCAAATGCACATTAATAAGAATAGAGCACAAGATTTGACCTCAAGAACACACCAAAAAGAGGTTACTTTAAGTAAAGTCAAAAATATATCATCACAGTCCACAATCATGATTAATATTATAAAAATGGCATTTTTCGCCTTCCTCTTCAGCAAAAAAAAAGGTAAATGCAACAAAGAAAATAAGGAAACACAAACAAAATACATCATTGAAAAATTAGAATAATGAATCTCTCCCAAAATTTAAAAAGATTAAAAAGATGGAAGTTGTCAAAAGCAGTGTGTATGTGGTAGGGTTATGATGAGGAGTTAAAACATAAATTGAATTTTTGTAGGAAAAGGATGAAGGTACACATCTCCAGAGTGCACCTTGATATGTACTCATATGTACTCCCTCGGGTACCAAACCAAAGTTTACAAAACTGCAAGTAGGCTAGAGATGAGAGCTTCAGTTATCCCAGCTTTGTTCTAATAAGCAGAAGAAAAAAGTACATATGAAATCTTACAGATAAGCCATACTTGCAAGGAGTAGCTGATTTTTACTAAAAACAAAAAAGAAAGGAAAATGAATGGTAGGCAGACTAGTTTGTAATTTCTAACATTTGGTTAAAATAAAGGCCAATAATATTTATTCATCAAAATTCAGCAACATAAGGAAAATGCCTACAAACTTGAAATATTGCTGTGGGCCCTACCCTTCAAATCATTGGTATAGGAAATCTCAACTCATTCAAAGATGGGTGATCAAAATAAAACCAGTAGAAAATCTTTTTTAAAAGCACTGCAAAAATAAAGGAAGAAATGAATAAGATAGAGCAAATAATAAAAAAAAACACAAAAATATTGCCATAGCACAGATGTGACAAAATAAATCATCTAGAATGTAAAGATCTGGCTGAAACAATTATTAAATCTACCTGAGCAATCTGTTGAGGGGGTATAACTTCTACAATATGTAGATAACCTCCTATCTGCTCCCCCTTCACAGGTTTCAATTTAGACTAACCCTGCTTATTCCTATGAACCAACTAGTGATCTCTTGCTGCAGCTCAGAAGAAACAGGAGAGATGGGTAATATTAAAATCTGGATCAATATTCTCATCCTAGGCACATACTGGAATTGGCTAGCAACCCCAGTCTTAGCAGGCAAGACTATAGCTACCAGCTACCTGGGTGTGTCGGCAGCTTTGGGAATTTTTAGAGGTGTTTTCACTCCCTTGTTTTATTTTGACATTCTTCTAAATCTAATAACCCAATTTATCTCCTCTTGACTTCAGGCCATCAAGCTCCAGATGATCCTCAGTGAGGGATACCATACTCTCACTAGTCAAGAGTTACCCTTCTACAGGGGACCCCTAGACTACCCATAAGTGGGACATGACAGAGAGGAAATCCTGCCCCTGTTTTCCTCGGACTTGGCTGGGTACCACTTTCACCAATCCATGGAGCCATCCTTCTGCCCTGAGAGCAAGCAACAGGCCAAGCCCCATTAAACTACCACCACCATCCCTATGTCAAAAGAAAGCAGTTATGGAAGACTGACCTTCGTCCGTTTTCCCCAAAGAATTCAGGTCTTAGACTCTTGAGGGGGGAAATCTTACAGTGGGTAACTAGTCCAGTATGAGCAGGGCAGGAGAAGACTTCTCCTGCTCCTCCCCACACACCAGGAGTATTCAGCAACCATCAGATGATGGTCATTGCTTGCTAATTGTCTCTCTAAAGTAATAATTGGTCACAGCTGGCACCAGGGAATGGCCATCTCCTAGTAGATAGAAAACACCTGAAACTGGTGATCAGCAGCTTCCCAATAAGATCTCAAGAATTGGGCGAGTGGGCTCAAGCATGCACAATAAAAGGCAAAATGGAAGAGTTTAGTATATGACCTATAAGCATTAAAGAAATTCAATTCGTAATTTAAAAGCCTTCCAGCAACCAAAAAATCTCCAGGTATGCATGGCTTTATCAGTAAATTCTACCAATCATTTAAGAAAGAAACAATACCAATCTTACATGGACTCAGAAAATAGAAAGGTAGGAAAAGCTTTCCAACTCATTTTTATTAGGCCAGAAACATATTAATACCAGAAACTGACATGAAGGAAAAAAAATCAGTAAATCTCTCAGTAACATAAATTTGAAGTTTTAAAATATTAACAAATTGAAACCAGCAAAATACAAAAAGTATAATCTGTCAGGATAAAATCAAGTTTATTATAGGAATGCAAGCGTGATTTAACATGAATAGTCATTGTAATGCACCACATGAACAGAATGTAATAAGGGTGTATTATTGCCTCAATTCTTCACCTCTTGTATCCATGCCTTTGTCATTTGAATTTGTATTTTATCCTGCTATATTTGAAATATATTGCCCTTCCCTTTGACTTTGAACTCAGCCATGTGATTTTTTTCTAGCCAATAGGACATTAGTAGACAGGAGGCAAGCAGAGACTTGAAATTGCTCTCACAGGTGGGCTTGATACCCACCTCTCTGCCATCACCATTAGAAGAACATGCTCTCACTACTCCACTGGTTTCAAGATGAGTGTGACAAATATATGAGCAGAATCATTCCAGCTGATCTACAAATCTCTAAAATGTTTTCAGGCATTCAATTTCAGGATGGCTTGCTTCCAGCACTATTGTGGTAATATCTAAGCAAAATGGAGCTAGATGATTTTTTAACAAAGCACTAATATATGTAATACTGGTTTGGGGCTAGATGATAGAAGGTGAGAAAATGTTTTGAGTCTTTAAAAATGGCAAGGGAACTAATACAAGACACTAAAATAAATGTCCTATGTTATATAGTCACAAGACTGTCACCAACTATAATGTGGAAGATGGAAAATCTACCTAATGAATTTATCTTCTTGAAAAGATATTTTCCAGGCAGAAGTTTCAAAACTTCAGCTGATAATTTTTGCTTTGTATAATGAGACACTACAAAGTAAAGATAAATTCAGAAGAGAACTGGCCAGTTTACAAGCAGATTTTAGAAGGCATACAAGTGGCCCAGAACCTGCTAGGTTGAAAAATAAAACTACTTCTAATCTATCCATCTCCCAAGAGTTAAATATTGTCAAATTATTATATAGCCTTGGGGAAATATTTAAAAAACTGTGGCTATTTGGTTAAATCTGGTGATTGTTATGGATTGGATATGACTTATTTTGATGGGCTGGATATGGTTTGCTTCCCCCAGAAAAAGTTCATTTTGAAATCTGATTACCATTGTGGCAGTGTCATGAGATTGGATCTAGTGGGAAGTGTTGGGGTCATGGGAGCAGATACTTCATGAACATCTTGGTGCTGTTGTCCTGGTAGTGAGTTCTCCCTCTGGCAAATTACATTAGTTCTCATGGGAATAAATTAGTTTCTTTGAGAGTGGGTTAAAGCTAGGATACCCCTTGGACTTTCTCTTTTCACATGTGTCCACCCTTCCCCTTTGACTTTCCCTGCCGTGTACGATTCTACAGCATAAAAGTCCTTGCCAGAAGCCAGAGCCATTCCTTTGAACTTCCCAGCGGGCAGAATTGTGAGATAAAGAAACCTGTTTTCTTTATAAATTGCCTAGTCTAAAGTATTCTGTTGTAGCAACACAAAATAAACTAAGACAGCAGTAGAAACAAAATCAAGGATGTAGTACTTACACCTTTCTTTAAGAGATATGAAAAAATTAATGTGGCACCTACTATATCCTTCCAACTGAATTAAAAAAAAAAAGCTTTAAGCTTTCCTAGAAAGCTTAAAGACATTGTCGCTTAGAAACTTAATGGATCCAAAATACCCATAATTAAGCCTAGAGAAAGCAAGAAGTATCTTTTTAAAAAAACTGTAGGGGCAGCTTTTGACATAAAGAGATGAGTGGAATAAAATATATAGAAAATTAACTAAATTTTTAAGAGGTCACCATTAGCAAAAGTCAGACTACCCTAAGCTAACAAAAGGAGTGGGTACCATGAGATTTTAAAAATCCTGATAATCTCCAACTTTCTACAGACAGGAAACATGCCCATAAAACTGCTTATCTGCTCCCTTAGAAAGCATATTTTCTAATGTCGTCTTCAAAAGAGGCCAAAGAGCAAAATGGAAAAGGAATGATATTGCAGAAGGTAGAGATAAGAGTCATGGTAAACAATTGATGGGAAGCCATTTTCAGATAGCAAAGTAGTTTAATCAAGGAATATTATCCATCTTTATATAGAGGGAGATGTTAACATTTTTCCAGCAGAATTTCAGAATTGTCATGGACTAGTTACCTCTATATGCCTCCCTTCTCCTCTTTTCTAATGAGAGCACATATTGTAGTTACCCCATCCATGGGTTAATGTTGCCTATAAATGGGGGTGATAACTTGGTTTTTGGGGTTTATAAGTCTCTAGGTCAAAAGGAGCAGCCTCTTGATCTGATCTGGGATTCAAGCTTTGTGGTGTGCATCATGAGATTCTGGGGATCTGAGGAGGGGTATAAGTGTATTTTGCATAAGAAGGATTGTGAATAATTGTGGCCACGGAGAGGACTTTTTACTGGCCCCTCCCTCTATCCGTGCCCTTTGTCATGGAACTTTGAAGTTCTTCCCACTGATGGTAGAGTGTATTCTTCTCCCGTTTTGACCTTGAACTAACCCATCTTACTTGCTTTGTCCCATGAGATATCAACACACTGAACAGAGATGATTGTTATAACTCACTGAGTTTGGGGGTGATTTGTTATGCAGTACTATAGCAACAATAACTTTCCAGTACACAGACTAAACAAGAAAAATCTTATGATCATTTCAGTGAATGAAGAAATGGTATTTTATTTAATTCAATATTTATTCATGATAGAAGCTCTAAGCAATTAACAGTATAAGGGTTTTTTCTTATTCTGATAAAGGAGGAAAAACCTATGGCAATTATCATACTTAATTGTGAAATATTGAAGGCTTTCTTTCTAACATAAGAAATGAGATGGCCGGGCATAGTGGCTCATGCCTATAATCCCAGCACTTTGGGAGGCTGAGGCAGGTGGATCACCTGAGATCAGGAGTTCACGACCAGCATGGCCAACATGGCAAAACCCTGTCTCCACTAAAAATACAAAAATTATCTAGGCATGGTTGCAGGTGCCTGTAATCCCAGTTACTCAGGAGGCTGAGGCAGGAGAATTGCTTGAACCTGGGAAGCAGAGGTTGTAGTGAGCCAAGATTGCACCACTGCACTCCAGGCTGGATGACAAGAGCGAGACTCCGTCTCAAAAAAAAAAAAAAGAATGAAAGAAAAGAAATGAGACAAAGATATCTTTCTACCACACTCCTTATTCAAATTGTACAGGAGGCCCTAGTAATGCAGCAGAAAAAAAGAAAAGAAAGAATGAAGATAGGGGAGAAAAAACTGTCATCATTCACACACACACACACACACACACACACACACACAAATTATGTATGTAAAAAATATGGAAGAATGGAAGAAGGGCTGGATGCAATGACTCATGACTGTAATCCCATCACTATGGGATGCTGAGGTGAAAGGACCAATTGAGGCCAGGAGTTCAAGACCAACCTGGATAACATACCAAGACACTGTCGTGAACAGAGAAAAGAAGAAATAATGAAAGAGAAAGAAAAGAAAGAAAAAGAAGGAAGGAAGGCAGGAGGGAAGGAAGGAAGGACAGAAGGGAAAGAAAGAAAGAGGAAAGAAGAAAGAAAGAGAGAGAGAGAGAAAGAAAAAAAGAAAGAGAAAGAAAGAAAAAAGAAAGAAAGAAAGTAAGAAAGAAAGAAGAGAAAGAAGTTAGCTGAGCACGGTGGCATATGTTTGTAGTTTCAGCTACTTGGGATGCTAAGGTGGAAGGACCAACTCAGGAGTTCAAAGTTACAGTGAGCTATGATTGCAGAGGAAGACCATGTATCAAAAAAAAGAAAAATCAAAAAAAGTTAATTTAGGTAAATTATTAGAATTACACTGTTGGAGGCTGAGAAGATGGCGTAATAGAAAGTTCCATGGATCAGCCCCCCACAAAGACACCAAGTTAATAACTATCTACACAGAAAAACAACACCTTCATAAGAACCAAAAATCAGATGAGCACTCATAGTACCTGGTTTTAACTTTATATCACTAAAAAGCCACTGAAGAGATAGAAAAAACAGTCCTGAATCAGGGACGCCACAATGTGTGGACAGCATATCCTGGTGCTGAGGGAGGAGAACACAGCAACTGTAAGGCATTGAACTCAGCTGAGTTTGGTCAGGAGAACAAGACTTCCTCTTGAGGAGAGGAGAGGGAACAGTGGGATGGCTTTGTAATGCATCTTGGAAGCCACAGCAGGATAGGGAAATTGTCCGAGTCATGAGGCCCCTGTTCTAGACCCCTGCCTCCCAGATGACATTTCTAGACACACCCTGGACCAGAAGGAAACCTACTGCCTTGAAGGAAAGGACCCAGTTTTGCCAACATTCATCACCTGCTAACTAAAAAGCCCTTGGGCCCTGAATAACCAGCAGCGACAGCCAGGTGCTATATCAAGGGCCTTGGTAAATCACTGAGACTTGCTGGCTTCAGGTGAGATTCAGCACATTACCAGCTATGGTGGCTACAGGGCAAAACTTCTGCCTGAGAAAAGCAGAGGGAAAAGTAAAAAGGACTTTGCCTTGCATCTTAGGTACCAATGCCACCACAGGCAGATAGAGCATCAAGCAGGCTCTTGGAGTCCCTGATTCCAGTACCTGATACTTGAACAGCATTTCTGGACCTTTTCTGGGCCACAGAGGAGCCCGCTGCCCTGAAGGGTGAGTCCCAAACCAGGCAGCATTCACCACAAGCTGACTTAAGAGACCCTGGGCCTTAAGGAAACATTGATGGTAGTCTGGCAGTACTCCTCATGGCCAGGGGTGATGGTGGCTACAGGGTGAGGCTCCTCTGCCTTTGGAAAAGGGAAGAGAAGGACTGCGCCTTGTGGTTTGAGTGCTAGCTCAGTTGCAATACAATAGAACATCAGGTAGACTTCTAAGATTTTTGATTCTAGTCCCTGACTCCCAGACAGCACTTCTGGACCACCTGGGGCCTGGGGAGTCTTACCGCCCTGAAGGGGAAGACACAGGTCTGGCAGGCTTTGCCACCTGCTGATTGTAGAGCCCCAGAGCCTTCAGTGAACATAGGCAGTAGCCAGGGAGTGGTTACAGCAAGCCTTGGGCAAGATCCAATGCTGGGCTGGCTTCAGGTTTCACCCAGCACAGTTATAGTGCTGGTGGCCACAGGGGTGCTTGTGTCACTCAACCCCTAGCTTTAGGTGACTCAAAACAGAGAGAGAGACTGTATGTTCTGGAGAAAGTAAGGGAAGAGAACAAGAGTCTCTGCCTGGTAATCCAGAAAATTTCCCAGATCTTGTCCAAGACCATCAAGGCAGTACCTCTATGAGTCCTCAAGAATTACATTATTGGTCTTGGGGTTTCCCCTAAAGAAGAAACAGCTTAGACCACAACACACAAGTCCTTTCATATATCTGAAAAGCCTTCCCAAGAAGGATGGCTGCAGATAAGCCCAGACACTGAAGACTAAAATAAACATCTAACTCTTCAATGTCCAGACACTGAAGATCATCTACTAGCATCTACACTATCTGGAAAACATGACCTCACCAAATGAACTAAGAAAGACACCAAGGACTAATCCTGGAGAAGTAGAGACATGTGACATTTCAGACAGATAATTCAAAATAACTGTGTTGAAGAAACTCAAAGAAATTCAAGTAACACAGAGAAGGAATTCAGAATTTTATCAGATAAATTTAACAAAGAGACTGAAATAATTAAAAAGAATCAAACAGAAATTCTGGAGCTGAATAATGCAATTGGTATACTGAAGAATGCATCAGAGTCCTTTAATAGAAGTTAATGAATCAAGCAGAAGAATAATTAGTGAGCATGAGGACAGGCTATTTGAAAACACTATCAGAGGAAACAAAAGAAAAAAAACTTAAAAAAATGAAGAATGCCTATAGGACCTAGAAAATGGCCTCAAGGGGGCAAATCTAAGAGTTATTGGCCTTCAGAAGGAGATAGAGAAAGAGATAGGGATGGAAAGTTTATTTAAAGGGTAATAAAAGAGAACTTCCCAAAACTAAAGAAAGATATCAATATCCAAGCACATGAAGGTTATAGAGCACCAAGCAGATTTAACCCAAAGAAGACTGTCTCAAGACACTTAATAATCAAACTCCCAGAGGTCAAGGATAAGCAAAGGATCCTAAAAGCAGCAAGACAAAAGAAACAAATAACATACGATGGAGCTCCAATGTATCTGGAAGCAGACTTTTCAGTGGAAAGCTTACAGGCCAGGAGAGAGTGGCATGACATATTTAAAATACCGAAGGAAAAAAATAAAATAAAATAGTATATCTGGCAAAAATATCCTTCAAACATGAAAGGCAAATAAAGACTTTCCCAGATAAAAGCTGAGGGATTTCATCAATACCAAACCCATCCTACAAGAAATACTGAAGGAAGTAATTCAATCAGAAATAAAATGACATTAATGAGCAAAAAATAATCACCTGAAGGTACAAAACTTACTGGTAACAGTAAGTACACAGAAAAACATGGAATATTATAATACTGCAACTGTGGTGTGTAAACTACTCTTATCCTAAGGAGAAAGACTACATGATGAACCAATTAAAAATAATAACTATAGTTTTTCAAGACATAGTACAATAAGATATAAATAGAAAACAAAAAATTTAAAAGCAGAAGGAGGAAGTTAGGGTGAGTTTTTGTTATTTTTTTATTGTTTGTTTATGAAAACAGTGTTGTTATCAGATTAAAATGATGGGCTGTAAGATAGTATTTGCAAGCCTCATGGTAACTTCAAAACAAAAAAAATACACTGAATACACAAAAAATTTTTTTAAAAAAAGAAACTAAATTAAATCACCAGAAAAAAATCACCTTCACTAGAGGAAGAGATGAAAGAAAGGAAGAAGGAAGAAAAGATTATAAAACAACCAGAAAACAAATAATAAAATACAGGAGCAAATTCTTACCCATGAATTATAACATTGAATGTAAATGGACTAAACTCCCCAATCAAAAGACATAGACTGGCTGAATGGGTGAAAAAAATGAGAACCCTTGATCTGTTGCCTACAAGAAACGCACTTCACCTATAAAGACACACATAGACTGAAAATAAAGAGATGGGAAAAGACATTCCATACAAATGTAAACCAAAAAAAAGCAAAATCACAGTACTTATATCAGACAAAATAGATTTTAAGACAAAAACTATAAAAAGAGACAAAGTAGGTCACTATATAATGATAAAGGGGCAAATTCAGCAAGAGGAAATAACAATTTTAAATATACATGCCACCAACACTGGAGCACCCAGATGTATAAAGCAAATATTATTAGGGCTAAAGAGAGAGATAGGTCCCAATACAATAATAGCTGGAGACATCAACACCCCACTTTCAGCATTAGGCAGATCTCCTAGACAGAAAATCAACAAAGAAACATTAGACCTATTCTGCACTATAGACCAAATGGATCTAATAGATATATACATAACATTTCGCCCAAGAGCTGCAGAATACACATTCTTTTCCTCAGCACAGGATCATTCTCAAGGATAGAATATATCTTAGGTCACAAAACACGTCTTAATATATTTTAAAAAATAAAGTTACATCAAGCATCTTCTCTGACCGCAATGGAAAAAAACTATAAGTTAATAACAAGAGGAATTTTTGAAACTATACAAATATATGGAAATAAACAGTATGCTCCTGAATGACCAGTGGCCAATGAAGAAATTAAGGATGAAATTGAAAAATTTATTGAAACAACTAACAATGGAAACACAACGTACCAAACCTATGGGATACAATAAAAGCAGGGCTAAGAGAGAAGTTTATAGCTCTAAGTGTCTATATTAAAAAAGAGAAAAAACTTCAAATAAGCAGTCTAACAATGCATCTTAAAGAACTGGAAAAGCAAGAGCAAACTAAACCCAAAATTAGTAGAAGAAAAGAAATAATAAAAATCAGAGCAGAAATAAATAAAATTTAAAAATACATGAAACAAAAAGTTGTCTTTATGAAAAGTTAAACAAAATTGACAAATCTTTAGTCACACTTAGAAAAAGAGAAGATCCAAATAAATAAAATCAAAAATGAAATAGAAGACATTACAACTGATACTGCAGAAATTCAGAGGATTATTAGTGGCCATTATGAGCAACTATATGTCAATAAATTGGAAAATCCAAAATAAATGGACAAATTCTTAAATACATATAACTTACCAAGATTGAACCATGAAAAATTCAAAATCTGAACAGACCAATATCAAGTAACAAGATCAAAGCTCTATTCTACCGAATATTTAAACAACTAATACTAATTCTACTCAAAGTATTCTAAAAAATATAGGAGGAGGAAATACTTCCAAACTCATTCTAAGAGGTCAGTATTACCCTGATACCAAAACCAGACAAAGAAACATCAAAAAAAGAAAACTGCAGCCAAAACCTCTGATGAATGTTAATGCAAAAATCATCAACAAAATACTAGCAAACAAAATTCAAGAATACATTAGAAAGATCATTCATCATGACCAAGTGGGATTTATCCCTGGGATGTAAAGATGGTTCAACATATGCAAATCAATCAATGTGATACATCATATCAACAGAATGAAGGATAAAAACCATATGAGCATTTCAATTGATATTGAAAATGTATTTGATAAAGTTTAACATCCCTCTATGATAAAATCCCTTAAAAACCTGGGTATAGAAGGAACATACCTCAACATAATAAAAGTTGTATACAACAGACCCACAGCTAGTATCACACCAAATAGGGAAAAACTGAAAGACTTTCCTCTAAGATCTAGAATATGACAAGGATACCCACTGTCACCACTGTTATTCAACATAGTACTAGATGTCCTAGCTAGAGTAATCAGACAAGAGAAAGATATAAAGGGCATCCAAATTAGAAAGGAAGAAGTCAAATAAATTATTCTTGTTTGCAGATGATATGATCTTATATTTGGAAAAACCTAAAGACTCCACAAGAAAACTATTAGAACAGATAAACAAATTAATTAAAGTTGCAGGATACAAAATCAACATACAAAAATCAGTAGCACTTCTATATGCCAATAATAAACAATGTGAGAAAACAATAAAAAGTAACCCAATCTGTAATAGCCACACATAAAATTAAATACCTAAGAATTAAATTAAGCAAAGAAGTGAATGATTTCTTATAATGAAAACTTTAAAACACTTATGAAAGAAATTGAAGAGGACATCAAAAAATGGAAAAATACTCCATGTTCATGGATTGGAATAATCCATGTTGTTAAAATGTCCATACTACCAAAAATAATCTACAGATTCAATGCAATCTCTATCAAAATACTGATGACATTCTTCACAGAATTATAAAAAGCAATCCTAAAATTTTTTTTTATTATTATACTTTAAGTTTTAGGGTACATGTGCACATTGTGCAGGTTAGTTACATATGTATACATGTGCCATGCTGGTGCGCTGCACCCACTAACTCGTCATCTAGCATTAGGTATATCTCCCAATGCTATCCCTCCCCCCTCCCCCCACCCCACCACAGTCCCCAGAGTGTGATATTCCCCTTCCTGTGTCCATGTGATCTCATTGTTCAATTCCCACCTATGAGTGAGAATATGCGGTGTTTGGTTTTTTGTTCTTGTGATAGTTTACTGAGAATGATGATTTCCAATTTCATCCATGTCCCTACAAAGGACATGAACTCATCATCCTAAAATTTATATGAAACCACAAACTACCCAGAATACCCACAGCAAACCTCAGCAAAAAAAAAAAAAAAAAACTGGAAGAATCACATTATCTGACATTAAATTATGCTGCAGAGCTGTGGTAATCAAAACAGCATGGTACTGCCATGAAAACAGACACATTGACCAATGGAACAGAATAGAGATCCCAGAAACAAATCCACACACCTACAGTGAACTCATTTTTGACAAAGGTGCCAAGAACATATAATGGAGAAAACACAGTCTCTTCAGTAAATGGTGCTGGGAAAACTGTATATCCATATGCAGAAAAATGAAACTAGACCCCTATCTCTCACCATTTACAAGAATCAAGTCAAAATGGATTAAAGACTTAAATCTAAGACCTCCAGCTATGACACTCAAACAACTCTGTAGGAAAAAATTTAAAAATCCAATCAAAAGATGGGCAAAAGATTTGGATAAACATTTCTCAAAAGAACACATACAAATGGCAAACAGGTATATGAAAAGATGCTCAACATCACTCATCATTGCAGAAATGTAAATCATAATTACAATGAGATATTATCTCACCCCATTTAAAATAGCTTTTATTCAAAAGACAGGCAATAACAAGTGCTAGCGAGGATGTGGAGAAAAGGGAACCCTTCCTCATACACTGTTGGTAGGAGTGTAAATTAGTACAACCACTATGGAGAACAGTTTGTAGGTTCTTCAAAAAGTAAAAATTGAGCTACCATATGATCCAGCAATCCCACTGCTGGGTATATACTGAAAAGAGAGGAAATCAGTATATCAAAGAGATATCTACACTTCTATGTTTGTTGCAGCACTGTTTAAAATAGCTAAGATTCAGAAGTAACCTAAGTGTCCCTCAACAGATGAATGGATAAAGAACATGTGGTACATATACACAATGGAGTACTATTCGGCCACACCCAAAAAAAAGAATAAGACCGAGTCATTTGCAACAACATAGACATGGAAATCATTATGTTAAGTCAAATAAGCCAGATACAGAGAGACAAACATCTCATGTTCTCCTTTATTGGTGGGATCTAAAAATCAAAATGATTGAACTCATGGACTACAGAGTAAAAAGATAGTTACCAGAGGCTAGGAAGGGTGGCAGAGTGCTGGTGGAAAGGTGGAGATGGTTAATAGGTACAAAAAAATAGAAATAATTAATAAGACATTAATTTGTATTTGATAGCACAACAGGGTGACTCTAGTCAATAACTTAACTGTACATTCTGAAATAACTTACAGTATAATTGAATTGTTTGCAACTCAATGGATAAATGCGTGATGGTATGGATACCCCATTCTTTATGATGTTCTTATTTGACATTTCATGCCTGTATCAAAACATCTCATGTAATAAATAAATATATACACATACTATATGCCCACAAAAATTAAAAATTAAAAAATTACTAGAGTTAAAATCAATTTTTTTCTCTATAGCAGCCACAAACAAAATACATTATTTGTGCAATTAAAAGATACCAAATAAAACTCAATTTCAGGATTTATTTATTCAACAAATATAGCATGTTGTAAGATACTTATCATTAACAATGATGCTCATTTTAAAAAATGTCCTCATACAAGCACTAAGATACTTCTTGGGTTGTGATTTCTTTAACCACTAAAACTTAGGCAATGCCTGCTTAATGGTGAGGTTTTTGTTATGTTTTGTTAAATTTTGGATTTAGATTTTTAAATTGCCAGGCCAGGCTTCTTCCAAATATAACAGATCTCTCAAGCTTGAGGCATCTGATAGAAAATTATGAAGATGTTGACACTATTTCCTTACCCCTACTCACCATAAATAGTTTTGAATTGGTCATTATTAATGATTGATAGCATTCAAAAATCAACATGATGTTCAGCCTTATCATAAAGAAGGTCTTATAGAATAGAACGTGTATTTGTTCTCTTTCTTCTATAAAGTTTTTGTATCAAGATTTTGCTTCTAAAAAGAAAAAGCCTTTTAATGTCTTCCAGTTGTTGCTGGGTCAATGTAAGTCTTTATAAGCCTTCTACACACTGTAAAGAGAGGAATAGAAAGTGCTGGAGCATAGATGCTAAGACAGAAGGAGAAAGAGGGAATGAACATTTCTAGTTTACTGTTCACCTGCTTCTCAGGACTAATAACAAATGAAACTAGGCTTTTACTTTCTTTGTCTTGTATAAGTGACTGGAATATAAGAGGTCCGCAAAGATTAAATATGTCTTTTACTTAGGTACTATCTTATATGGTATTTAATATAATGCTTACTAAATATTTAGATTTCTACCTACCTAATACAATTGGTACATCAGTGCTTCATAATTTTCATTATTTTTATCTCTGGTTGTTTTCTGCTTTAGACCCAGTCTTTAAATTCTTATTTCTAATAGGTTGTGATAAGAAAAAAGTGAATACCCACCTGTAATATTAGCACTTCTTTAACTATTGTCTTTTAAGAAAACTTCTTTCAAAGATAGGAGAATATTGTTCCTACATGATCTTACATTACAAAGAAAATAAAATTGGTCTTTAAGAGTGTTCTGGCATGAGCTGGCCCAAAACATTATCAGTTCGATGCTTTTAGTGTTTTGTCCACAGATATCTTTCACATATGAGTAGGTGGCTAAGGAAGGGAGAGTTGAACAGACTCTCTTGTGAGCAAGAGCAATGTACATTTGTGGTTGCAGCATCCCAGGATTTGTTGAAATGATAAGTCAGATCAATAATGGGGTTTTACATTTATGAAGATTTGGAGGCAAAAACAGCACTTGTGTGTAGCTTTAGTTTTAGTTCGTATTTTTTTATTTCCATTTCAAAAGAGACTGACCATCCTTAAAAAGCAATGGAGATGAAAGTGTCACATTGATGATTAGCAGCACTACTTTCAAACTTCTAGTGTGTATAGGTGTAAACAATTGCAGTCTTTGTTAATTAAACACAAATGAGAATATGGGAAACAAATGGCTTCCTGAAAGTCACATAGATGAAATTATCTGATTTTAATAGCATTTGGACAACCAAAGAGCTCTCCTCCCTATACCCTGCCCTCAGAAAAGAAATCCACATCTTTTAAAAATCAAGAAAAAAAAATTACAGGGCATTGAAAGGATCAGCAGAGACTGTATGCTTCCAATTATCTGTCTCATTATGAAGGACTTTTTCCTCATATTATTTTGCACCATCTTTGAGTGAACTGACCTGAAAAACAGTATCACCTTTATCTGGGAAAGTATGACTCTGAATCCCAGGTTGGAGAAAAAGAAATGTGTATAAGCCATCATTATTTAAGCACACCTTCAGTTTCAGACCTGACTAAAAACGTGAATAGCAGGAAAATACAAGAGTCTATTGTTTGTGCCCATCTGAAATCAGGAAGTGATGAATCCCACTGGAGAGAGCTTGTTTCTACTTGGTTCCAAATCCAGTTTTCAGATGAAAGCGCCTTGAAGAGGTAGGGTGAAGCTTTGCTTTGTGAAGCAAATGGTCGGCTTACCTCCAATGCTTCAACCAGCAAGCCTTGTTCTTTCTGTTCTGTTCTGAACCAGTTTCAATAGCAAAAGAATGTTTGTTGTTTGAGGACTGGATGCTATGAAGGAGCTTTGGAAAACAAATAGTCTCAGGGGCATGATCTTGCATACCAATGTCTCCAGAACTCATCTGGCTTTCACAGATAACTTAAGGTTGTATATATCCTAAAATAGTTGAATATATTTATCTTTTGCTATAGCACTTGCATTTTAAGAAAGTAGGATAACTAAACATTTTAAGAACCTAATTATGATTTAAAAATAAAGTTGAAAATGTAACTCTACGTTTAAAAAAAACAAGAGTAAATTTTCTTTTTTCTCTATTTTGAAAACAGCCTAAAAACAAAACAGATTGAGTTACATGGGGAGGAGAGTGGAAAGTGTGAAAGAGACACAAAATCCAGAGAATTAGGTTGTACCTAAATGAAAGAAATATTAAACTATGCAATGAAAAAAATAGAACATTTTCACATTATTTTTCCTTACGTCCCTCTCGCATGTCAAAATGAGTACTGATATGTCAGGGTTTCCTGCGAGTATGAGTAATTTATCAGGACAAGAAGGACCACTGGGGAAATGAGGACCCAGAGTTTTCTAAAGCCTATTATCATACAAAATAACCTCACAATTATATATTTGTGTTTTTCCCATTCTGAACTCTAACTTTGACAGAAACTCTCTCCTTGACCAAGACAAGTTCATTTAACTGTTTTTTTTTTCACCAGGCCTCATCCCTGTTCCCCTTCCTTCACCTGCTGAGCTCAGCTTCAGCAAAGAATCCTGATAAAATAGTTTGTCAATTATCTCCCCTACCATTGATATTTCAGGCAAGCTCTTTCCTCCACCTTGATGCCTAATTAAGTTCCTCTCCTCGTCCACCCTTTATATTAAACCAAGCTCCTATTAGTAATTTTCCATTCACTCTCTCACTCTACCCATTGGGTATAAATCCTTGCATGTCCGTATTGTATTCAGAGCTGAGTTCAATCTTTCTCCCCTATTGCAATAGTCTTAAGTTTTGATGCAATAGTCTTAAAGTCTTCTCTGCCATTTTTAACAAATGTCCAGTGCGGGTTTGTTGTTGTTGTTGTTTGTTTGTTTGTTTTTTCACAGCATCTGACACAGGATAGTATGTTGGGAATCTGGAATAATTTCACTGGGTTCAGACCCAACTATAGCATTTGCATCAGATAAGCTATTTAACCTCACCAAGTTTTAATTTTCTTATCCATAAAATGGGAATAATGATAAAGTCTACATCATACCATTGTTGACAGGAATAAATGAGAGAATCCTTGTAAAGTTCCCCTGTCTAACCCAGAGTTGGCTCTTGCTTCTTCAGAATGAAACTGGAACAGTGCGCATTAACCTTCTCTTTTAATGTCCACATAACTGTTTGACAAGCCAAACTATCTTCAGAAGATATTGGACATTATTAACCTTTCCCTTATATTACATTAAATTAGATTATTAACCTTACAAGTGCTTTTTTCCTGAGAAAAGAAGTATAGATTACCAACAGCCAGAGGACCAAACACATCAGCTGCTGATGCCATTGTTGTACCATGTGACATTGAATTGAAAGTCACCAAAATATCAAACGCCACTCCAGTAGTAACAAGCTCTCAATCTTGCTTACCAGAAATTCCTTTGAATTCTTAACAGTACAAAGTCTTACGTTTATTTTTTTAATTATATTTTTGCAGTATCCTTTCCTGCTATTTTCCCTAGCTTCCAACTTTAGACCTTCTGCATTTTAGGAGGTTTTACTCTGCTACCTCTCTTTTGACTGTGATTTGTTTTAAGTAAGGACAAAGATAGAGATAAACATAAAATTACATCTCTTGTGCTCAGTTGCTTTTCTTGTTATAGAGAATATAAGTTCCTATGCAAATTCTAGGGGAGATCTCCTTAAAAATATTTACAACTGCTTAAATATGACAAGGTAATATATGATGCATTTCTATATGGGAATGTTTTGATGCATTATGTATCCCCTATTTTCTACTAATTCATTTTTCTTTTTCACTTCATTGACTTCATTATTTTTCCTTATAAGTTTCTGGCACATATTGGACTGCTTATTATAGCAGATTTTTTCAAATATTAGGCCTAAGCTCATAAACATTTATCATTTAGAACCTGCCTAGTGAAAAATAAAACAGAGCATTAATTGGAATTTCACCAGTTTAGAAATGTATGGCAATTCTGACCTCGTATTTGTGTGTGGGGAGGAGGGGAGGGGGGGATTCCAAGTAAAAAAGATTGAAATAATTTATTTTTCTCTACATCTTCAGGGACTTGCTCTTGAAACAGGAGAAGTTAGGCTAAAATAATTTGCTTGCCTACAAGACCCAAGAATTTCTCATCTTCAGTTATTGGATCCTGACTTCTAGAATACTAAAATGTTTTTGTGCTTGTGTTATTATTCAGTATTATAAATACAAATATTTAGTTTGCTCATCTCAAATTTCTTTTTGTAGGCAATTATAATTTAGTAAGCAGTGCATACCAAGCTTGAAGATTTAAAATATTTTGCAACTGAAGCTTTGCATGAAGTACACACTCCCTTTCCCTTCCTTTTCTTAAAATCTTAAGGTACAATTTTTGAACTGTTTTTCAGTTTGGCTTCATAGTCTAGGCAGGTATTTCACAGTGTTATATGGGAACTTCAACCTTTTCCCTTATTGTTTTGTGAGTCTATTCATTTTCAGGGTACTAACTTACCTGATGAATAGTAGAATCATAGGCTAGTCAAGCCATGAAGGATACTAGAGAGCATTTCATGCAGTTCCATAATTTTTAAAATGGAGAAAACAAAGACAAAAGGTACAAGTCACACAGTTTGTTAATACTGAGTCCAAGTTACAAGATTTCCATCATTTTTGTGCCATCTCTTTATTTCTTAGATCTCTGCTCACAACCGAGACAGAACAAAATTGAAAGTAGGTGGAAATATAGGAGAAAAAATTCTACCTCACTTGCTCATTCCCCAACCATCACAATTTTCTCCTCTTAGTCATTCACATTTGAATCTCTAAAAAGTTTAAGTCTATTTTTCTTTGAGTTGTGGGAAACTAAAAACCTGAGTAAAAAAATCAGTATATCACATCAAATTCTGTGACTATTTTTTCATAAATTTAGATAAAAGCATAGTGACAATAATGCTTAATAAGTGAACCTGAGTGCATTTCTTTCACTCTTCATTTCTTTGCTTGTATAACTGCTCTTTCACACTTTATGCTGTTATTTGGTGCATTACAGAGTTAATATTTTTTATTGTTCCCTTGATCACAGCTCTATTATAAAAGAAAAATAATTGCAAACTGAGTCAATTAGTGCTACATCACTACTCTCTGTAATGCTCAAATTCTCAAAGATACTATAATAGTCACACTATTCCCTATTCTCTGACTTAGCCTAACAAACTATAAGAATATGGAAACTAGGAGATTTCACAGGAGAAATACTAGTAGAGACTGGACAATTTGTAAAGAAACTGCTTAGTGAAGTGTTAGAGAACAGATATCTGAGTCTGATGCACATATTATTCGTATTTATTTATTTAGTCCTTCAGTCAAAAAGACATACTGTGCACCTAATATACACCAGTCATTGTGCAAAAGCACTGTAAATGCAAGCCTGAATAAAGTATGACTGCTATCAAGATGTAAAAAGCAATTCTCTAATGTTCATTGTCAGTAGGAGGCAAATTCCAGAGTTAATGTCGCAGCATAAAACCACTTCTAAAAAGAAGGCACACTTTCTAAAGAATAGTGAAAGGATCAAATATGACTTCAATATCCCTATTCTAGGTCTTTCTTTATTATCAACCTTCTTAAGTGGCTCTCAGTTCAGCTCCACTCTTGTGGAATTCACAAAGAAAACTAGCTGTAACCAAATAACTCACACAAAGGTATTAGTCTTGATAAGTTAAATTTTACCAGAATATTTCCAACTTCTAAACATTTCAACTAAAGGGAAGCTTGGAGATGGATGCTTAACTCAAATGATCAGTTGCTGTTGGGAAACCTTCAGTAAGGGGGATTTTCAGAGTCTAGAATTCTCAACAACTTCATCTGTATATAAATTGCCTTGCCTGCAAATGTTTAAAAAAGGATAATTCCAGTTTGCCAACTGCATTAACCATGTTTTCTATTAAATAGTTTCTGTATCTGATGTGTTGACATCTGGGGCCTTGAGGCCAAGGCTTGCAAATTCCTAGAGACAGCAAAGAAGTATCCCTGGAGCATGCCTTTGATACGTGAACTAATCTCAAGCCCAAACCCCCGTCATGAGTACCAACCCTCACCCTAATTGCCCAAGGTTCAGGCCTCAGACAACCATGCTATACTCCAAAGCCCACTAAAATTATTTAAACAAGGCAATGCTAACTTGGATTCCTTAGCCTATCTCTCCTATTCTTTCCTATGAACCTTACTAAAGCCTTTATTTGCCGTTTCCCTCACTGTGCCTATGACCAGCCTTGGTGTTCTCTCCTGTGGGTCTGCTTGGTGCAGTCTACCTCTCTCCTCTTGAGAACTGTGAGTAATAAACTATTAGGTTGGTGCAAAGGTAACTGCAGTTTTCACCGTTGGCAGTACTGCAATTACCTTTGCACCAACCTAACGTCTTTTCTTTTTTCTTTTTTTTTTTTTTTTTTTGAGATGGAGTCTTGTTCTGTCACCCAGGCTGGAGTGCAGTGGCAAGATCTCAGCTCACTGCAACCTCCACCTCCCAGGTTCAAGCGATTCTCCTGCCTCAGCCTCCTGAGTAGCTGGGATTACAGGTACGTGCCCACCACACCCAGCAAATTTTTATATTTTTAGTCGTGACAGCATTTCGCCATGTTGGCTAGGCTGGTCTCAAACTCCTGACCTCAAGTGATCTGCCCACCTTAGCCTCCCAAAATGCTGGGATTATAGGTGTGAACCACCACGCCCAGCCCCTAATATCTTTTCAGTGGCAAATATCTCCTGTTGGTCTCATTGTATCTGAATAAAACCAAAATCCTGGGTGCATTGAAGTTGACACTTCAATCTGCATCAAGCCTTGGAGTCAGATTTAATGGCGAAGCTGAACAAACAGCAAGTCTACATTGTAGTAATTCACAGCATCTCCTGAGAGTCTTGTGTGCATCAAATATTAAGGATACAAGTAAACAAGTGGGGACAGCTCTTGTGATGGATTTTACAGTTCTTCTAGGGATGAAGAACAAACATACACACTCATAAATAACCTTTACAGGCCAATTCTAACATGTGTACCATGAATTTAATAAATATAGAAAGCACACATTTCCAAATCTTACTAATGAATGAAATAAAGAAGGTTAATTGAGGTGTTATCGGTGCATTTCATTGTTTGGACCAAATTAATTAGTTGTTTCACTGGCAATAATTTACAATTGTTAAATTTACTGAGCATGGAAAAAAATAGTACCTTAATCAAGCTATGTGTTTATTGGTCAAGTCAAAGCCTGGTTATTTCCTAACTATATATGATATAATGTGTCATATTTAATGAGTTTTTCTTTATGCCATGTCATAATAGGTTACTTACAAATTAATCATACCCTTAACAAATAACTTCAAGTTATGCTTCTCTTCAACAGAGTAGACAAGGAAGGGAAGAGACACTGGAAATCTTCCAGAACAAGCAAGTTGGCTATAAGAATAAAAGGGTGGGATTCAGACTGGAAAAATATAAACATGAAGGAGGGATTGAGGACTAGGCAGAAGGAGGAAATATTCAGTATTTTCTTTCACTGAGAAATCTTCTGGGCCAGCCTCTTCAGAATTGAGTAAAAACAGAACCTCAATTTGTTTCCAAACGTGGGAATGAAGTCCTCATAATTTGAATGGAAAAGATTTATCACATTCCTGAAGATGAACATACAATAATGTCACTATATAAATTTCCCCAAAATTTATGTATTCATTTAATATAATGTTAATAAAAACATTAGTAGCATATTCTTTTGGATAAATTGAACTGAAAAAATAATTCTAAAATTTGTTTAACAGATTAAATATATAAGAATAGTGTAGATAATTCTGAAGGTAAGTAATAAGGGGGTGCTGTCCTATTGAACAAAAATAATTAAAAGTGTGCAATTTTGTTGTCAAAATAGTCAGATAAATAAATCAGAACACAAAATCGTGGAACAAATATGAAAGAATATACAATTTTTATATTTGGTTAATGTGGCCATGCAAATTTGGAGATGAATTATTTAAAGATAGTTTTGGAACAAGTTGCTAATGATTGAAAAAGAAAAATGAAGTTAGGCATTTAATTTATACCATATAAGAAAATAAACTATATAGATTAAAATTTTAATGAAAAAAGCCAGACAATAAAAGCATTAGAAATCATGCTTAATTGAAATAGAGAGAAAAAATAAAGCAAGTGTAATAAAATGCTAACATTCAAGGAGGCTGGGAATTCTTCATATTATTTTGTAACTTTTTGTAAGTCAAAATTGTTCCAACATAGAAAGTTTAAAATGTATTAGGAGAAAATATACATAGATCTTGATAACCTTAAATTGAAGAAGGCCTATCCTTACAAAAGAGAAGATAATTTAAAAATTTTACTATACAAATTATAACATTTGAGTCAAAAATATGCATAAACATAATAATATTTTTAATAAAATGATAAATGACAAAAGGTGGAAACATTGGCAACATAAATGACATAAAAAAGTCAATGTTATTATTTCATGAAGAGTTCTCACAATCAAAAGAAAAAATTCTGTATTCCAATAGAAAGTATGTGGAGCATATATAGTAAATAGATTTGCAAAAGAAAATATTAAAGACCCAATAAATGTGTGTTAAAATAAAATTTACTCAGGAATAAAGAAGCTAAAAGAAAAAGATACCTAAAAGATTTCCAAAATTTAAAATGTTTTTACATAAATGACAATGTTATATATTGGCCTGAAAATGCAGAAAAATGACTACCCTCATAAACTGATAATGAGAGTACAGAGTATGTACCAAAAAACTGTTAAGATGGTTTATCCAGTAACAAAAATGAGTTCAAAAGCATTCTAAGTGAAAAATGAACAAAAATATTTTAGGTGATGTATATTAATACAATAATTATTATTTGCACTTTACAGATGAGGAAATGACTCACAGAGAGTTACTTGAGTAACATGCTCAAGGTCACACAGGAGGACACTGACCCCAGGAATCAGTGGTTTTTACTACCACACCCATTCTGGCACCAGTTATTTTAATTCTAAGCATTTAAAAATCTTAAAACTATTTTTATGAAATATACATAAATAAATACAATAATATCTAATCGTGATGAGTTACAAAGAAAAAATAGGCTAATGAGATCAAGAGTAATACAAGATTTATAAATCCTTGTTTAATCTTATGAAAAAAGTACTCTCAGTAACTTGATTTGAGAAGTCAAAAGAACTGGATATGGAGATATTAAGTAATTTATCCACGGTTATAGAGAGTCAGGATTAGAATAACACAGTAAACAGTAAAAATGTTTACTAAATAATTTAGAAAAAATAACTATAAAGTAAAATGTATAATATAACCTCTGAAGAAAAAATTGTAAAAATATACTTGCATGTGTATTTATACACATATATTCATTCTTATGTACTAATCATATATGTATATGTGTGTATCATGGTACCAAAGCAGCACTAGTAACATTCACAAAGGACCTACATATAAATGAATAATCATTATATTTTACATCTTATTTAATGTAATTTCTTAACAGTGTATAGTACTCTTTTTTTTTGGTTTTTCTTTTTTTTTTTCTTTTTTTTTGAGATGGAGTTTTACTCTTGTTGCCCAGGCTGGAGTGCAATGGCACAATCTCGGCTCACTGCAACCTCTACCTCTCAGGTTCAAGTGATTCTCCTGCCTCAGCCTCCCAAGTAGCTGAGATTACAGGCGCCCACCACCACACCTGGCTAATTTTTGTATTTTTAGTAGAGATGGGGTTTCCCCACGTTGACCAGGCTGGTCTTGAACTCCTGACATCAGGTGATCCACCCACCTCAGCCTCCCAAAGTGCTGAGATTACAGACGTGAACCACCATGCCCAGACAGCACTCTTGATTATTACTTCTTTTTGTCCCCTTAGGAAAAAATTATTTAATTAGAGGTGCTGTGGTCTGAATGTTTGTGTGCCCCCAAATTCAGATGTTAAAACCTAATCATCAGTGTGATGGTCTTAGGTGGTGGCAGCTTTAGAAGGGGATTAGGTCATGAGGGCAGAGCACTTGTGATTGGGATAAGTGCCCTTAGTTCTTGTGAACGTCATAAAATGTATTTACACAAACCTAGATGAGATAATCTACTGTGTACCTAGGTTATAGGGTATAGCCTATTGCTCCGAGGCTACAAACCTGTACAGCACATTATTATGCTGAATAAAAGACCTCAGAGAGCTTTCTCACTACTGTGGCCATGGGAAGACACAGTGAGAATATGGCTGTTTATGAATCAAAAAGGAGGGCCTCACCAGACACCAAATTAGCTGGCATCTTGATGCTGGACTTTCTAGCTTCCAGAGCTGTGAGAAATAGCTATGGTATTTTGTTATAGTAGCCTAAAAAGGCTAAAAAAATGGATCTAGATTTTTTAATCTGTTATGTTTTTATTGAATGTTTATAATTTTTTCTCAAATATTTAAAATAAGGAGAAATATAAAAAATAAAGAAACTCACATTTAGAAATAAAACATTTTCTATATATTTGATGTGTCCTGGGCACTCCTCCCTAATATAATACAAATTCTCCTCAACCATGACCAACAGAGAGAACCACTATCCTGAATTTGGTATTTCATATACTATTTCTTCACGTTTCTTTTTTTTTTTTCTTTTTTTTGAGACAGAGTCTCGCTCTGTCGCCCAGGCTGGAGTGCAGTGGCACAATCTCGACTCACTGCAAGCTCCACCTCCCAGGTTCACACCATTCTCCTGCCTCAGCCGCCCAAGTAGCTGGGACTACAGGCACCCACCACCACGGCCAGCTAAGTTTTGTATTTTTTTAGTAGAGACGGGGTTTCACCGTGTTAGCCAGGATGGTCTCGATCTCCTGACCTCATGATCTGCCCACCTCAGCTTCCCAAAAGTGCTGGGATTACAGGAGTGAGCCACCGCACCCGGCCCACATTTATTTTTTTCAACTGACTTTTTTCTCATCTTTATTGAGGTGTAATTGGCAATATAAATATTATACAATTACAGTGTACAATGTGATGTTTTGGTACATGTATACATTATAAAATGATTCTTACAATTCACTAGCATCCATCCCCTCACAGTTAACATTTTTTTTTATAATGAGAACTTTAAGATCTACTGTCTTAGCAAATTTCAAGTATACAAATGCAGTATGATTAACTATAGTCACATTGCTGTATATTATTAGATTTCCAGAACTCATTCATCTTGAAAAACTGAACTGTATACCCTTTAACCAACATACTTCCATTTCCCTTACCCCCAGCCCCTGCTTTCCACTGTTCTACTCTCTGCTTCAAAGAATTTGTCTTTTCAAAAAATTCCACATATAAGTAAGATAATGCAATACAGTCATGCATCACTTAACAACAGAGTTACAGTCTGAAAAACATATCATCATGAAATTTTGTTCTTGTGACCATCATAGAATGTACTTACACAAACCTAGATGGGATAACCTACTCCATACCTAGGCTATAAGGTATAGCTGGTGCTCCTAGGCTTCAAACATGTACAGCAGGTTATTGTACTAAATACTGTAGGTAATTGTAACACAATGGTAAGTATTTGTGCATCTAAAATAAAACTTAGCTTTTGTAGCTTTTTTACATTATCAACTTTTTTTTAGCTTTTAGATTTTTTTGGAATAACAACTAGCTTAAAACACAAACACATTATTATACAGCTTAAATGTTAAGCAGCTTAATAAAACAACTGTATTAAAATATTTTCTTTCTTCACATCCTTATTCTATAAGGTTTTCTTCTGTTTTTAAATTGAAATTTCTTTGTTTTTACTTTCTAAACTTTTTTATTAAAAACTAAGAAAAATATATACCATAACCTAGGCCTACACAGAGTCAGGATCATCAGTATCACTGATGATACTCCACATCTTGTTTCACTGGAATGTCTTCAGGGACAATAACAACCATAGAGTTATCACCTCCTATGATTACAATGCCTTCTCCTGGAATACCTGCTGGAAAACCTGCTGAGGTTGTTTAAGAGTTAACTTTTTTTAATAAGTAAAAGTACAGTCTAAAATAACAGTATAAAGTATAGTATAGTCATTATAGAAATCCATAACATAGTTTATTATCATTATCAAGTATTAGGTACTGTACATAATTGTTCATGCTATACTTTTATATGACTGGCAATGCAGTGGGTTTGTTTACAACAGCATTACCATAAATATGAGTAATGCATTATGCTATGAAATTACAATGACTATAATGTCTCTAGGCAATAGGAATTTTTCAGCTCCACTGTAATCTTATGGGACCTGTATTAGTTCATTTTTATACTGCTATAAAGAACTGTCTGAGACTGCATAATTTTAAAGGAAAGAGGTTTAATTCACTCAAAGTTCCAAAGTTTCCAAAGTTGGAAATTATGGCTAGGGTGGCCTCAGGAAACTAACAATCATGGCAGAAGGAGAAGGGGAAGCAAGGCACCTTCTTCACAAGGCAGCAGGAGGGAGAAATGCTAAGTGAAGGGAGAAAGAGCCCTTTATAAAACCATCAGATGTCATGAGAACTCACTCACTATCATGGGAACAGCATGGGGGAAACCACCACAAAGCCTACAATATCATCATGCCCATGGCCCCTCATAGATCTTATGTCCCTTTCATATTTCAAAACCAATCATGCCTTCCCAACAGTTCTCCAAAGTTTTAATTCATTCCAGCATTAACCCAAAAGTCCAAGTCCAAAGTCTCATCTGAGACAAGGCAAGTTCCTTCCATCTATGAGCCTGTAAAACCAAAAGCAAGTTTGTTACTTTTTAGTTTAGTTACAGTGGGGGTACAGGCAGTGGGTAAATACACCCATTCCAAATGGGGGAAACTGGCCAAAATGAAGGGCTCCAGGCAAGTCTGAAATCCAGTAGAGCAGTCAAATCTTAAAGTTCTTAAATGATCTCCTTTAACTCCATGTCTCACATCCAGGTAACGCTGATGCAAGAGGTTGGCTCCCATGGCCTTGCACAGCTCCACCCCTGTGGCTTTGCAGAGTACAGCCCCCCATCCCAGCTGCTTTCATGGGCAGGCATCGAGTGTCTGTGGTTTTGCCAGGCATATGGTGCAAGCCGTCTGTTGATCTACCATTCTGGGGTCTGGAGGAGAGTGGCCCTCTTCTCACAACTCCACTAGGCAGTGCCATTGGAGCCACTGTGTGGGGGCTCCAGCTTCCTATTTCCCTTCTGCACTGCCCTAGCAGAGGTTCTCCATGAGGGGGTCCACCCCTGAACAAACTTCTGCCTGGACATCCAGACATTTCCATACATCTTCTGAAATCTAGGTGGAGGTTCCCAAACCTCAATTCTTTACTTCTCTGCACTCACAGGTTGAACACCACATGGAAGCTGTCAAGGCTTGGGGCTTACACCCTCTGAAGCAAAGACCTAAGCTATATGTTGGGCCCTTTTTGCCATGGCTGGGACACAAGAACACCAAGTTCTGAGACTGCACAAAGCAGCAAGTCTCAGGGCCCAGCCCATGAAACCACTTTTTCCTTCTAGGCCTCTGGGCCTGCGATAGAAGGGTCTTCCCTGAAGACCTCTGAAGTGCCCTGGAGACATTTTCCCTATTGTCTTGGCTTAACATTTGGTTCCTTGTTACTTATGCAAATTTCTGAAGCTGGCTTGAATTTCTCCTCAGAAAATGGGTTTTTCTATTGCTTCATCAGGCTGCAAATTTTCTGAACTTTTATTCTCTGCTTCCCTTTTAAACATAGTTCCATTTCCAAACCATCCCTTTGCAAATGTATAAAACTGAATGCTTTTAAGAGCACCCACATCATCTCTTGAACCCTTTGCTGCTTAGAAATTTCTTCTACCAGATACCCTAAATTATCTCTCTCATGTTCCAGGTTCCACAGATCTCTAGGGCAGGGGCAAAATTCCACCAGTTGCTTTGTTAAAGCATAGCAAGAATCAACTTTATTCCATTTCCCAATGAGTCCCTCATCTTCATCTGAGACCACCTCAGCCTGGACTTCGTTGTCCATATCATATCAGCATTTTGGTCAAAGCCATTCAACAAGTCTCTAGGAAGTTCCATACTTTCCCACATCTTTCTGTCTTCTGAGCCCTCCAAGCTGTTCCAACATTTGCCTTTTACCAAGTTCAAAAGTCACTTCAACATTTTCAGGTATCTTCATAGCAGCATCCCATTCTCTGCAGTACCAATTTACTTTATTAGCTCATTTTCATTCTGCTATAAAGAACTGCCTGAGACTGGATAATTTAAAAAAGAAAGAGGTTTAGTTGACTCACAGTTCAGCATGGCTGGGGAGGCCTCAGGCAACTTACAATCATTGTAGAAGGTGAAGGGAAAGCAAGGCACCTTCTTCTCAAGGTGACAGGAAGAAGAAGGGCTGAGTGAAGGGGGAAAGAGCTCTTTATAAAACCATCAGATCTCATGAAAACTCACTCACTATCATAAGAACAGCATGGGGAAACCATCTCCATGATTCAATTACCTCCACCTAGTCTCTCCCTTGACACATAGGGATTATGGGGATTATGAGGATTACAACTCAAGCTGAGATTTGGGTAGGAACACAAAGCCTAATCATATCAGGATCACTGCCCTATATGCAGTCCATTATTGACTGAAACATTGTCATGTGGCACATGATTGTACCAAATATTATTTTTCCATAACCCTTTCAGGGACACTTAGGTTGATTCCATATCTTGGCTATCATGAATAATGTTGCAATGAACATGGGAGTGGAATATCTCTTCAGCATGTTGCTTTCAATTCCATTCAATATTTACCCAGGAGTGGGGTTGCTGGATTATATGGTAGTTATATTTAATTTTTTTTGAGAAACCTCCATAATATTTTCTATACTGGCTGTACTAATTGAAATTCCCACCAACAATGTATAAGGGTTCATTTTTTTCCACATTCCTGCCAACACTTTTATTTTTTGTCATTTTGATAATAGCCATTCTAGCAGTGTGAAGTCCTATCTCATTGTAGTTTTGATTTGCATTTCTCTTATGATTGATATTAAACATATTTTATATGCATGTTGGCCAGCTGTGTCTTCTTTTGAGAAATGTCTATTCGAATGCAGTGCCCATTTTTTAATGAAGTCATTTGTTTTCTTGTTATTGTTTGCATTCCATGTATATTTTGGATATGAACCCCTTATTGGATATATGATTTGAAAATATTTTATCCTATCCTGTAAGTTGTCTCTTTCCTCTGCTGATTGCTTCTTTTGCTATACAGCAACTTCTTAATTTGATGCAACACCCTTTGTCTGTTTTTGTTTTTGTTGCCTATAATTTAGGGGTCTTATCCAAAAAATCATTGCCCAGGTCAATTTCAAAAGACATTTTCCTTATTTTTTTCCTAATAATTTTACAAGTTCCTGTCTTATGAAGTCTTTAATAGATTTTGAGCTAATTTTTATACATGGAGTGAGATAAGGATCCAGTTTCATTCTTCTCCATGTGGATATCCAGTTTTCCCAACACCATTTACTGAGAGACCATCCTTTAACTGCTGTGTGTTCTTGACGCTTTTGTCAAAGGTCAATTGACCATAAATGCATAGTCTGTACCTGTCTTTATACTTTTATTTTGCACGTATGAATCACTAGGAAGCATGGTATTGTCCACATATTTTCAAATCTTACATAAATGGTGTTATAGTTTACATAGTCTCTTCTATTGTTTTGTTGTTGTTCAACACTGTTCATGTGTGATTTATCAACATTAATATGTCATTCTGTTTCATTTATTCTCAGTGTAACCCTACAAAATTCATGTATTCATTCTTCTCTTGGCAGATATTTGTTACTTTTTAAAATATTAAAAATAGTGCTGGTAGAGCAAGTAGTTATGCAGACATGAGCAGGGCAGGAGAGGTGCCTCCCCGAGAAATGTAAGGTGACCATCAGGTGATGGTCAGGTGGTTGTTAAACTGTCACTCTAAAATAATTATTGGGGCAGGCACTGCGGCTCACATCTGTAATCCCAGCACTTTAGGAGGCTGAGGCGGGTGGATCACTTGAGGTCAGAAGTTCAAGACCAACCTGGCCAACATTGTAAAACCCCATCTCTATTAAAAATACAAAAAAAAATTAGCTGGGCATGGTGATGAGCACCTGTTGTCAGCTACTTGGGAGGTTGAGGCATGAGAATTGCTTGAACCCAGGAGGCAGAGGTTGCAGTGAGCCAAGATTGTGCCACTGCATTCCAGTCTGGGTGACAGAGCAAGACTCCATCTCAAATTAATTAATTAATTAATTAATTAATTAATTAATAATTGGTGGCAGCTAGCACCAAGGCAAAGTAGTCTTTCAATAGATAGAAAATACCTGAAGCTGGTGATTAGCTATTTCCCGATAAGATCTCAGGAGTTGGGCAGGTGGGTTCAAGCATGCACACTAAAAGGCAAAATGGTGGAGTTTAACTGGTATATAACCTTCCTCTAGGAACACTTGACCAGTAAAGGGAAAACTTCAGTGAGCAGATGCACAACTTCAGTAAACACACTGCACATGTGGCCCCTCCCAAGTTCTGGCAGGCCACTGTGCATGCAGACAGCCCATTCCAAGGGAAGAATCGGGGAAGAAGAAACAAAAACCCTGGAATCATGCCAATGTATAAAACTGCAAGTCAAGAGTCCCTTGGCTCTCTCAAGTTGCCCACCTGGGCCTCTTCCAAGTGTACTTCTGTTTGTTCATGCTCTAAAACATTTTAATAAACTTTCACTTCTACCCCAAAACTTGCCTCAGTCTCTCACTCTGCCTTCTGCCCCTTGGCCAAATTCTTTCCTCTGAAGAGACAAAAATCAAGCTTACTGCATTCTCACCAGCATCCATTATTGCGTCTCTTTTTGATAAAAGCCATTATAATGGGGGTGAGATAATATCTCATTGCAGTTTTGATTTGCATTTCTCTGATGCCTAGTGATATTGAGAATTTTTCATATACTTATCAATCAATTGCATGTCTTCTTTTGAGGAATACCTATTCAGATTTTTTGCCCAGTTTTTAATCAAATTATTTGTTTTGTTGTTGTTGAGTTGTTTGAGCTTTTCCTATATTATTGATATTAATCCCTTGTCAGATGGATAATTTGTAAATATTTTCTCCCATTATGTGGATTGTCTCTTCACTTTTTTCACTGTTTCTTTTGCTGTGCTGAAGCTTTTTAACCTGATGTGATCCCATTTGTCCATTTTTGCTTTGGTGGTCTGTTCTTTTGTGGTCTTATTCAAGAATTTTTTGCCCAGATCAATGTGAGCATTTCCCCAGTGTTTTTTTTCTAGTAGATTTTAGATTTAAGTCTTTAATTCATTTTTTTATTTTTATTAATTGTGAGAGATAGGGGTCCAGTTTCATTCTTCTTCATATGAATATCCAGTTTTTCCACCATCATTTATTGAAGAGACTGTTCTTTCCCCAGTGTATGCTCTTGGTACCTTTGTCAAAAATGAGTTCACTGTAAATATGTGGTTTTTTTCTGGGTTGTCTTGTTCTCTTGGTCTGTGTGTGTCTGTTTTTAATGCCAGTACCATGCTGGTTTGGTTACTATAGCTTTGTAATATAATTTAAAGTCAGGTAATGTGATCTCTCAAGCTGGGTTCTTTTTGCTCAGGATTACTTTGGCTATTCTGGGTCTTTTGTGGTTACATAAAAATTTTAGAATTACTTTTCCTATTTCTTAAAAAATGCCATTTTCATAGGGAATGCATTGAATCTGTAGATTGGGGATTACAGACATTTTAACAATATTAATTATTTTAATCTGTGAACATGGAATTTCTTTCCATTTTTGGGTGTCCTCTTCAATTCCTTTTATTAATGTTTTATAGTTTTCATTATAGAGAGTTTTCACTTCTTTTGTTAAATTTATTCCTAGGTATTTTATTTTATTTCTAGTAAATGGGATTATTTTCTTGGTTTCTCTTCAACTTCACTGAATTTATCATTTCTAATAGTGGGTTTTTTTTTGGAGTCTTTAGGTTTTTCTAACGATAATGTCATATTATCTACAAACAAGGATAATTCCACTTTCACCACTTTTATTCAGCATAGTACTAGAAGTCCTAGCCAGAGCAATCAGACAAAAGAAGAAAATTAAGGGGATGCAAATTGTACAGGAACCGATACATTATTTAACCAGTTTTCACTGTACATAACTACAGCTTACCCCATAGTGAAGCTCTTGAGAAAGAATAGAAAACACATACATCAGAATTTTCCCAGTCAAGGGAAGATAGACATAAGGTATGTTTAATCTCATAGTTGTCAAATTATTGGGTAACAGGAGCCTGTGGATAGATATTAATTCCTAAACACTTCTGGCTCACGGTGGATTTGGATAAAGTGGGTTTTGGAAGCATAAGGGCAACTCTCTAACAAAGATGCATGTGGTGGTTGTCAGAAGTCAGGTGTACAGCTGGGAGGCACAGAAATGGTAAGAAAATCCAAGAGGCTATGTGGACAGACTACTGACTGCATCTGTTGTTACAGGATTGCTTGTTTAAGAGCGTGATTGTAATAAAACCTGATATAGATAAGCACATGTATAATTTTATTAAATTTTACCAAATTATTTCTTAAAGTATTTATGCTAATTTCACTAATAGTAAGAATGTTAATTACAGCATGTAACCATATGCATTATTTCACATCCTCATCCTTTTTTGTGGTAAGAACACTTAAAATTTACTCTTTGCAATTTTCAAGAATATAATACATTGTTCTTAACTATAGTCAACATGTTGTACAATAGACCTCAACGTATTTTTTCTAACTAAAATTTTGTATCATTTGACAAACATCTCCCCACCGTCCCCACCCCATACCCCATCCTCTGGTAACCACCATTCTATTCTCTGTTTCTATGAGCTTAACTTTTTTGGATTTCATATATGAGATCACATATTTTTGTGTCTGTTTTTGCCCCTTTTCTCTATTAAATCATTTATTCCTTTGTTATTTGAGTTGTAGAAGTTCTTTATATATTCTAAGTTCAATACTTTATTGATATTTGTATTACAAATATCTTTTCTACTCTATTGCTTGTCTTTTCTCATTTTTCATGGTGACTTTTGAGGACTGAATTTCAAATTTTTTAAGTAATTGTGTTTATCAATCTTTTTACTAACAATTTGTGTTTCTGGTGTTTTGTTTAAAATGCTTGCTTTTTTCTATCAACATTTCTGTCCTGTTCCTGAAGAAACAAAGACATAGGTACTCTTGAACACAATTATCCTCCTTCTATCTGACGTGCTTTCATTGTCCAGTATTGTAGTTCTATCTGAAACTCCTCAAAATGGACACTGTCTCAGTCAATATTTGTTTTTATTTACCCACATGTACACTGAGTTTATAATTCTATAATTACACTCTAACTAATGTGATGAATTAATTAATAAAGAACATTTATTTAGTCTCCCACTATACTATTGATCACTCTGCCTCTGGACAGAAACTCTCCAGAGGTCCCTTGATTTTCCTGTTCATTCTGACAAAACGCAAAACTCCCATCAACTATTTAAAAATGTTCAGTTCCATATGATCGCCACCTTGATTAAACATTAAGCCTTTTCCTTTTTTTCCACAGCTGGAGTCTGTAGAAAACTGTAGTCAGGAAGGCAGTATAGAACATTTCTTCTTTCTTCTTCCTCCTTTTCTTTTCCCTTTTCCTCTCTCTTCTTAAATTTTTGAAACCTGAGTGTTTAGGTAAAGAGAGGGAGAAGAAAGGGGGTAGGAAGTTCTTAATTGACTAGTACTTGGTACTGTCTTCTCACTCTCTGTGCCTGGCAAGGATTTAAAATTTATTCTCTCCTGGATGCTTTCATGGTTCGTTAGAGACTCTCCTATGTTGTTGATGAAAAGAGCTTTAACAATCCCCTCAGCTTGTCTTAATTTTAGACAGGTTTGTTTCTGACCTCCTTTTCCCTAGAAAATTTACTTTAGGAAACTTACCATTGTAAATTTTTTCTCTGTATCTTTAAGATGTAAATCTTCTCCCAGAAAGGTAATAATTAAAGGAAAAAAATTAGCACTCCTATCCCCCAGACTCTGTGGGAGGTGGTAGGAGCTTAACTTCAATAAGCACCGACTGACAAACATAAATGACCTAATCACATGACCAACTTCCTCCTATGTCCTCCAGTGCTTTCTCACTACACTCCAGTGCTTAAAAGTCTCCTGTCTTTTTTTTTTAGCAGACTTTTTCTCTATTGCAATAGTTTTGACCCCTTTTTCAATAGTCTTAAATAAAATCATCTTGCCATTTTTGAAAAGCATCAGTGCTATTTTTCTTTTACACTATGAATATCTCAACTGTAGTTTCTGGTACCAGAATGTATGAGTTTTTAATCTGGTTCATATCTTATGGCTCCTTCATCAGCCCTTAGGTGTCTCAGGGATATGGATTTGGTGATCTAGAGACAACATTAAACGGGATAAAGATTCCCTAGAGCAGTTCATCGGTTCTGAAATGAAGGTCATGGTACAACCCTCCTAAAGCACAAAGGCAGGGTTAAGATCCTGAAGATAGGCTTGGGCTGACATTGTATTATGACAGCAATGACACTTTTTACCTCAAAAAATCCAGCTGGGAGAATTTTAAACTTGGAATTTTGAGCCTTATACCTCCTGCCTTGCAATTCCTTAGTTTTTAAAGAGCTTCTGGCTTTATAAGAGCTGATAAAGCAGTACTGAGTACATCCCTTTAAATTGGTTGTACAATCTAAGGCTGTTCTAGTTAAAGAGGTCCACAATACTAATAAAGATCTATTTTTTTCCAGTTTAATATTTATGCTGTAGAAAATCCCATTTAGGTGGTCCTATAATGCACTTGTCAGAATATTCTTCCCCTCATTGTGGCTTAGGTAGACCAATTTGGATTGCAGGGAGCTAGTTTGACACTGCATATATGCAATCTAAAGAAATCCTGAAATAGCTAATGAAATGAATCCCAGCCAGAGTCCTTCATGGGGAACAAAAGAGCAAAGACAGATTACGTGGAAGTGTCTCATTCAAAGGGCAGGAGAGAGTGAGGTCATAAATTAAAAACACAATTTCAACTCTAAAATTCAAACATGGAAAAGCTTAAAGCAGTTAATGATTGAGGTACAAAGGAGGAGAGAAAGTATCAGCAGATATTCCCCTTTAAGATGACTGCAGGTATGTAGAAGACTGATTTAATTGAAATAAATAAAGCCACTATTTGTTAAATTTCTAATGTTCACCTGTAACGTTTCTAAAATTAAAGAAAAAAGCAGAAGATACAGAAGCTATTAGGTGCTAGTTACAGTGCACTGAAAATAAATCCATGCTACAGAAAAGAAGTCAAGACAGAGCTTATTAATTCCAGTGAGAGGCAGAGCTATTCAAACAACGTTATACCTGATAATCCAAAAAAAAAGTCCCAGATAACTGCATATTATGGCATCCAAATCTCATACAAAATGAAAAACATTTTTTTGTTTGATAGATTTTTCAAAGGTGTTATCTCAGCAAATATATCTACTTTGGTGTTTAAGTAGCTTGCAGTAACTGAGTTATTGCATGAATTTGGCAATGTACTGTTAAAATCAGCAACTTTAACCACACGTCTAGGGTTGAAAACAATGTCTGTCTGAGCTAAATTGGCTCATTTTAACTGCAATTTCTTTTTGAATTGAGACAATTTGAAGAACTATGTTCAATTGAAAACAGCCTCTGAAACAGCCTAAATAGAGTTGTTTGGACTGCCATTAAAAGGTTTTATAAAATATTTTTTTCTGTACAAAAGAAGACCCCTACTTTGAAACGTTTATTTATAGACACAGAATATGTTGAATTTTCCCGGGCATTTTTGAAAAACAAAAACTTTTTTTTTTCCAAAACTTACCAAATTCCTCAGGTTCTTTATGATTGTATTCTTTATCCTCAACTTGTTAACTAACTGAAAACATATTTCAAAAATTTACTTTTACTTTTGCAGTGCTTGAAACAAAAAACTTCTACATTACATTATTTACAGTTACGAGAATATGATAAAATGAAACTCATAAATTTTAGCACAATGTAATAATTTCAAAAATCAATATATTTAATATTAAAGATTTCTTAATGTCATACAGATACCTTTAATTGATGTTATATTAATTATTTTTATCTTCTCACTTTTCAATTTTTAATAATTTTATATTTACAACTATGTTGTAAAAATACAACATATTATATACTCACTTTGCCCAGTTTCCCAGGTGTTAGCATCTTATGTAACATCATACAGTTATCAAAATCAAGAAACTATGATAAATATAATACTATTATACAATCTACAGACATTATTTAAATTTTCTTCATGTAGAAGTCATTTAAATTTTCCTGATTTTCTACTGTAAAGCATGATGCATTTTGAAGTCATGTGTTTTTAGCTTCCTTTAACTAGAGCAAGTTGGTTCCTTAGTCTTGCTCTTTCATGATCTTGAAACTTTTGAAAAGTACTGATCTCATTTTGTTTTTAATGTCACTCAATTTGAATTTTTCTGATGTTTTCTTTGATTTGCTTTGCTTTTTTTGGAGACAGGGTCTCACTCTCCGGCTGGAGTGCAGTAGTGCAATTGTAACTCACTGTAATCCCGAACTCCTGGGCTCAAGAGATCCTCCCTCCTCAGCCTCCATAATAGCTGGAACCACAGCACACACCACCATACCCAGCCCCTGATGTTTTCTGAGTAATGAATTTGGGTTATACGTTTTTGGCAGGAATATCCCAAAAGTGATGCTTCCTTCTCAGTGCATCACTTAAAAGGTACATGGTGTTGGCTTCTCCCATTGCTAATGACGATAACTGATTACTTGGTTAAAATGGTGTCTGCTAGGTTTCTTCTAATTGAGAAGTCTATTGTGGACCATTAAACCATATAAATATCCTGTTTCTCACATGCCTTTGCCTGCTAATTTTGACTTCCATTTATGCTTCTTGTTTGGATCAATTATTACTGTGGTGTTACTAATAGTAATTTTTCCATTTTCATTATATTTATTAGTTGGGAGTTTACCATAAGATACAGTTTTCTGTCTTCCTTACTGTTTTGAGAGCCCCCAGCTAAACTGAGGTTCCAGTACCAGCTTGGCCAGCAACTTTTCCCCAAAAGGAAATGAAAGGAAACGGGATGTGAGTGTTTACTGCGTGCCTTTCACCAGACACTTACTTCTTTTACCTGGCGAATGGCCTAACACCTACTTGTCTGACCCACAACCAGGGGGTCCCTCATATGGGAAACTTATTTATACTGGCAGATGCTCTGTGGCTCTTTTCTGACCAGTGTTCAGTTTATGTCTCCCAGTCATCACTCTGGCACTGGGAACCTGATTTTGTGTTTTTCCATCTTCTGTAGAAAACCCAGCCTGCAGTAGCTCCTGATTCTTGAGATAAAAGGCACAAATTCAATACACTATCACAATAGAAAATAAGTTCAAAGATTTTTACTTACAGATTCTGAGCAAGGAGGGTACAGTGAGTTGGGTGGGCACTTTTCCATCCCCAGGTCACACGAGGCAGGCATGAAGAGCCAGGAGGAGAGAGAAGAGGGCATAGCAACTAGCAGTATATAGAAATGAATAATCTGTAGGTCGCTTTAGGTTTGTGGGTAAATGCCTGAAGAGTCTGTTTAAAGAAGCAGTGGGAATGCAGGAGCCCGGTCTGCTAGGCAGGAGAAATGCCACTAAGTTCTTATCTCTAACCACCAGTTTGAGCCATTTGGATGTGGTGTAAAATTGGAAACCATGGCAAGAGCAACTGAGCTCTGCTTCAGTTATGAGAGAGTTAAACTATATTCAAAATGGATGCCAAGGCAACACAAAATTAAAAGAATTCACTATACTTATGTATTTATGTTGGCAGGCACTCATGCAATTTTATTATTCAGTGAATTATAATCCATTACTATAATAATTTCTGTAGCTCAAATTGTACCAGATTTAGCCATCTGGTGTATCAATGAGTTTCTGTTATTTTTGAGCACCTTACTTTTTTGAGCAAAATAGAGTTAATATGGCAGACCAGAGGCTGCTATCTACAAGAAGTCCTATTTACATGGTTGGACCTTGTCTAGCATCTGGAAACTCGGATTTCTGGAGCATTCTCAGTATTTCCTGATAAAAAGGGATCACTGAACCTAAATTTTTTGTGCAAAAATATGTATTTTATGTCAAGCACTTGCTTTCCTTCTAGTGCCTGGAACTTTGCTACAATAGATGCATAGGAGTCCAACATGACCAAACCTCAAAACAAGCCAGGGCACCGACTCTCTAATGAGCTTCCTTGGTAGACAATGTTTCCCATGTGCTATCACAATTTGGTGCTGAAGAAAGTAAACTCATCCTGAGTGATTATACTGGGAAAACTCTTGGAAATTTGCACACTTGTTCCTCTGAACTTCACCCCATGTCCTTTTCCCTTTGCTGATTTTGTTCTGTATATTTTGGCTGCAATAACGTGAGTGTGACTATATGCTGATTCTGTGGGCCTTCAAGCAAATCACCAAAGCTGGGGGTGACCTTGAGACCCCAGGCACAATGCCCCATGCCCAGAATCAACTACTTTTCCAAAGAGCCCTGGTTACTTTCATTGGAAAATGGTATTCCAAAACCAATACCTGGGCACTAAGTATGCTCACTAGTACTGAGGTGTCATTGCTTCAGGGATCTCTCAGGGACAAAGCTGGGAAATAAAGATATAGCCTTGATTTCATACTGATACCTCCAATTCCAATCCAACACCACAAAGTTTATTCTGCCCTAAACACTTTACGTATTGTATTAGTTAGAGTTCTCCAGAGAGAAAGAACCAATAAGAGATAGATGATAGATAGATGATGATAGATGATGATAGATAGATAGATAGATAGATAGATAGATAGATAGATGATAGATAGATAGATAGATAGATAATAGATAAAGTGAGAGGGGACTTATTAAGGGAATCAGCTCACATGATTACGGAGGCTGAGAAGTCCTACAGTAGGCTCTCTGCAAGCTGGAGACCCAGGGAAAATGGCAGCTTGGGTCAGTTCAAGTCCAGAAGCCTCAGAACCAGGGAAGTCAATGGCATAACTCCCATTTCTATGCTGCAGGTTTTAGAACCTGGAGAACCTGCTGTTTCAAGTCCTCGAGCCCAAAGGCCAGAGAACCTGAAGTCTGATATCTAAAAACAGAAGAAGAGTGTCCCAGCTGCAAAAGAGAAGAAGCAAATTCACCTTTCCTCCACCTCCCCAATCAATTGGATGGTGCTTGCCCACACCGAGGGTGGATTTTCCCCACTCAGTTCACCCACTCACAGGCCAACCTCCTACAGAAATACTCCCACAGAAACACCCAGAAATAATGCTTTACCAGCTATTTAGGTATCCCTTAATCCATTCAAGTAGACACCTAAAATTAACTATCATGCTCATTTAGAACTCCTTCCTTTAACAGTGAGATACCTGGCTCTCATTATCCACAATACATTTATTTATTCGATGGTAAAAAATTTATAGTGAAAAACAAACACTATAAATAAGGTATGATATCTATAATTCTTTTTGTCTTTAGGCTTAGAGTATATCTTTGGAAAACTATTTTCCAAGTTACTTAAATTAGTCATTTTCTTTTTATTCCTTCATTGTTCTCATTCATTTGTAAGGCAGGTTCATTTGTTTCTGTTTGTATTTCCTTTTGCCCCCCACCCCGATATCTGTTAATTTTAATTTTTTCTTGAGTCTGTGAAACATGAACAGGATTCTAAAAGTCAGTTTACATATGAAAATGTATGTAAGCATGTGTAAAAATATGAAGAAGCATATGTAAACATGGTTAAATAAAAATATAGTCAGCCTGGTATCCATGGAGTCCACATTGGATGATTCAACCAACCAAGGATAGAAAATATTAGAGAAAAAAAAAGGATGGTGTGTCTGCACTGAATATATACAGAATTTTTTTCTTGTTTTATTTCCTAAACAGTGTAACAACTATTTACACAGTGTTTACATTGCATAAGATATTATAAGTAATGTTGAGATCATTTAAAGTATACAGGAGGATGTGTGTACAAGCAAATGCTATGTAATTTTATATAAGGGACTTGAGCAGCCTCAGATTTTGGTATCTGAGGGTGAATCCTTGAACTAATCCTCAATGGTTACCAAAGGACTACTGTATGTATAAATATACAGAAATGTATATTCAGAGAAATATCACTTCCGTCCATCCCTACTGTCCATTCTTTCCACCCATATTCACTCCCACCATAGGTAACAAATCTCAATTTCTGGTTTGCCCTACCTATGTTTTTTGCTTTTGCAAAAATGGGAAGATATATGTATGTTTTCTCATTTCTCCTTATTTCTAACATAAAGGGTACCATATGTTAAATTAAACTAAATTTGGGCTCAGGCTGCCTCTGTACCTTGAGTCCCTAGGTAACAAATTGCAACCTAGCTTAGAATGTAAACAAACTGAGCGTAACTTAAAGAATATTTTATAACAAACAGCTAGGTGTCAGTCCATCACAGCAGCTAACATTCTGCCAATCACATGCTGCCAACTAGTCAGACCATGTTCAAACAAGGTAAACGTAGAGCTGTCATCAATCAAGCTATTTCTATACCTCACTTCAATTTTCTGTCTATAAATACTGTCTGCCCATGTTGCTGAGTGGAGATCTCTGAACCTCTTCTGTTTCTGGTTCTAAGAGCTGCCTAATTCACAAGTCTGTATTATTCTGTTCTCATACTGCTATAAAAAAAATACCTGAGACTGGGTAATTTATAAAGGAAAGAGATTTAATTGACTCATTGTTCCGCATGTCTGGGGATACCGCAGGAAACTTGTAATCATGACAGAAGGGGGAGCAGGCCCATCTTACATGGCAGCAGGTGAGAGAGAGTGTAAGAGCAGGGAAAACTGCCTTATAAAACCATTAGATCTTGTAAGAACTCACCCACTATCATGAGAACAGCATGGGGAAACCTCCCCCATAATCTAATTACTTCCCACCAGGTCTCTCCCTAAACACCTGGGGATTACAATTCAAGATGAGATTCGGCTGGGCACACAAAGCCTAACCATATCATACTCTTTGCTCAAATAATTTATGTTAAATTTAACTTGTCAAAAGTTTTTCTTTTAACATGTACTATAGATTATTCCTTCGCACTTTGCTTTTTACACTTAAATGTATCCTGGAATTTATCCAATATCACTCCACAGAGGTCTTCCTCCAGCTGCAAGGTGCACCCTCATTCAACCATCCTCCTATGTTGGGTAACTGCAGGCAATACTGCAATTAATAACCTTATGCATATGTATTTTATTAATGTTGGAAATATATATTTAGAGTAATTCCCAGAAATGGACTTCTTCAGTCAAAAAGTTAAGTATGCATGCAATTTTTTAGATGTTGCCAAATTTCCCTCCTGGAGGCTGTGCCATTTTGCAATCCCAACAGCAATGTATATGTCCTGGTTCCCAAAAGCCTGACCAATTAATTGTGCTGTCATATTTTTAAGATTTATTTTTACCAAACTAACAGTGAGAAATCGTACCTCAATGTAATTTTAATTTGTATTCTTCAAATGATAAGTGATATTAAACAGATTTTCTTATGTTTAAGGACCATTGTTCTGTCTTTTTTGTAGAGTGTCTATACATGTAATTTTTCCAGTTTTTCTATTGGACATATAATCCTTTATCCTAAATTTTTAAGAGTTTTTAACATATTAGAGATATTCATCTTTTACGTGTGGTTTACATGCAAATATTTTCTCCAGGATCATCAACTCTCTTTTTAATTTGTTCATGATATTCTTTGCATACAAATAATTTTAATTTAATGTAGTCAAAGGTATCAATTTATTGCATCTGGATTTTGGATACAGTTTAAAAGCCTTTCCTGAACCTTAAAAAGTGACATGTACACGTTTTCCTCTATTACTTGTATAGTTTCAATTTTTTTTAACCTTTACATCCTTGATCCATTTGGAGTTTATTCTTGTGTATAGTTTAAGCTATATATCTAATTTTATATTTTTCCAAATGGTTATTCAGTTATCTCAATAGAATTTACCATAGTCTATCTTTCCTCCAGTGACTTGAGATGTCACTTTTATTAAATTTCTATATATGTTGTGTCTATTTTTAGATACTTTTTCCTGTCCTGTTCCTCTTATCTGTTTGTCTATTCATGAGCCAGTACCACACTGATTTAATTATAGTTGCTTCGTGGCATGTTTTAAATGTCTGGTAGGGCTGGTCCTCCCTCATAGTCTTACTTTTTTAATGTTTTCCTGGCCAATCTTGAAATTCTTGTTTGTTTGTTTGTTTTCTGTTTTGAGACGGAGTCTCGCTCTGTCACCCAGTGGCACAATCTCATCTCACTGCAAGCTCCACCTCCCGGGTTCATGCAATTCTTCTGCCTCAGCCTCCCGAGTAGCTGGGACTACAGGTTCCTGCCACCACCCCCGGCTAAATATTTTTGTATTTTTAGTAGAGACAGGGTTTCACCATGTTAGCCAGGAAGGTCTCAATCTCCTGACCTCGTGATCTGCCCGCCACAGCCTCCCAAAGTGCTGGGATTACAGGTGTGAGCCACCACGCCCAGCCATCTTGAAATTTTTTATATGAACTTTACAATTTTTCTAGCTCAACTAAAAGTCATTTGCTGGTATTTTTATTGAATTGTATTACAATTATACATTAACTTAGGGAAATGACTACTTTATGATATTGAGTCATCCTATCCAAGAACGGGAAATTTTCTTTTATGTGTTCAAATCTACTTCTGTGTCTTTTAAGAAAAATTCAGTCATACATACAAAACCATTTATATGTAGATTAACCAATCAAAGACACAAACTAAACTTATACATATGTCCAATCCATACCCCTTCCAGATATATTCTAAGACCCAGGGTATAACAGAAATCCATGAATGGGCTTCAAGACCATAATGGATACCATAAATTATATATAAAGTTTTATGTGTGTGTGTGTGTGTGTGTGTGTAGTTTAAACTGAATTTTTATTTTGTACTGTTTTCTCTGAGAGATCATTATAGTTTTTTTTTCCACATTCTTATCCAAATACAAACTTTCTGGAATGTGTGGTTACCCAACAATAGCAATCCTATGTTAACAAAGAAACAATACACATATGACTCTGTGTGTGTCTGTGTGCCTCCAAGTCTGATGAATCAAGAAGCAAATAATTCTTCTCCACCCAGAATTGAGCCAAGCAAAATGATAGAAGGGGATATAAAAATGATCCTTTTACTAAAAAAAAAACTACCTACTGTTTGGGACAAAAAACTAAAACTCTAAAATCAAATCAGGAAGCAGAAATGTCACCTACAAGCTAATTCAACACAGAAATCAATACAGAAGAGATCATTCCAACTTAGATTCTTTTCTATTTCCCCTAAGTGTTGGCTGGTCTGAGAAATAAAGGGAAAGAGTACAAAAGAGAGAAATTTTAAAGCTGGGCATCCGGGGGAGACATCACATGTCGGCAGGTTCTGTGATGCCCTCTAAGCTACAAAACCAACAAGTTTTTATTAGTGATTTTCAAAGGGGAGGGAGTGTATGAGTGTGGGTCACAGAGATCACATGCTTCACAAGGTAATAAAAGATTACAACGCAAATGGAGGCAGGGTGAGATCACAGGACCAGGGCAAAATTAAAATTGCTGATGAAGTTTTGGGTACACATTGTCATTGATAACATCTTATCAGGAGGCAGGGTTTGAGAGCAGACAACTGGTCTGAGTAAAATTTATTAGGTGGGAATTTCCTCGTCCTAATAGGCCTGGGAGCGCTACAGGAGACCGGAGCTTATTTCATCCCTTATCTACAACCATAAAAGACAGACATTCCCAGAGCGGCCATTTTAGAAACCTACCCATGGGAATGCATTCTCTTTCTCAGGGCTGCTCCTTGCTGAGAAAAGGAATTCAGAGCTATTTCTCCTATTTGCTTTTGAAAGAAAAGAAATATGGCTCTGTTCCGCCTGGCTCTCAGGCAGCCAGACCTAATGGTTATCTCCCTTGTTCCCTGAACATCGCTGTTATCCTGTTCTTTTTTCAAGGTGCCCAGATTTCATATTGTTTAAACACACATGCTTTACAAACAATTTGTGCAGTTAACGCAATCATCACAGGGTCCTGAGGCCACATACATCCTCAGCTTACGAAGATGATGGGATTAAGAGAGTAAAGACAGGCATAGGAAATCACAAGAGTATTGATTGGGGAAGTGATAAATGTCCATGAAATCTTCACAACTTATGTTCAGAGATTGCAGTAAAGACAGGTGTAAGAAATTATAAAAGTATTAATTTGGGAAACTAATAAATGCCTATGAAATCTTCACAATTTATGTTCTTCTGCCATGGCTTCAGCCAGTCATTCTGTTCAGGGTCCCTGACTTCCCACAACACTGTTTGGGGCAAAAAAATAAAACTCTAAAATCAAATAAAGAACCAGAACTGTCACCTACAATCTAATTCAACACAGAAATCAATAAAGAAGAGATCAACTCTGTCAGAATACCCTGTGTGCACAGAGATGCCTTAATGTAGCCTTCTCCATTTGGAAAGAGGAGAAGAGATTCTAGATAAGGTGATTGAATTATAAAAACATAATTACATTATTTCATAGTCGTAACATTTCCCATATTCAGGATTTTTATTTATTTATGGTGGTGATGAAGTTGAAGGTATGAAATGAAAGGTGAGTAATAATATTTCACTTTTTTAATAGAGCAATTGTCTTTATTTGATTACATTTTCCAAAGGCATGACAACTTGTGTTTGGCAGTATCTCTACCATGTGACCCTCTGTTGTTCTGTGTTTTTCTTCCCAGACTTGTACTCTACATCTTCTATTGTCTTTCTTCATTCACTTTCTCATTTGTCCCTTTGCATCTTTGTCCTCTCCAGGCTTATGCATATGCCTTCCACTAGAATTAAGAACACTGTTTATCCCCATTAAAGGTTTTAGCTTGAATAGTCCTTCTGATGATCTAGATCAGTGGTTCTTCATCTTGTTTGTGCACTAAAATTGCCGGAGCACTTTTTTAACAAATAGTGATGCCCGGGCCCAACCTCCAGAGATTCTGTTTAGTTGGTCTGATTGGGGGTCTAGCCATTGCTATAACTTATAATTCTCCCAAGTGAGCCTTAGATGCAGCTGGGATTAATAACTGACTCAGAGTTCCCACTCACTAACAAACTAGTTCTGGGCAAGAACCTGTAAGATCACTCATCCTAGACCAGGAGAGCACTCTCAGCCTGTATCTTTCACCAGCTGAATTTACAGTTACTTTTTCCTTTTACTTTGTAGTTCTGTTTGCTAATCAAGGAATTTTAGAGATGATTTAGCTCAGTTTTGTCATTCTGAAGAAAAATAATCTAAAGCTCACAGAGAGAGAAAAAAATCTTAGCAAAATGACACATCTTGTAAGTGAAGTACCAAGAAAGACTACACTATGTAATTGCCTTTAAAATATGGTTTTTATGTTTCAAGATAACCCTTGATACATGTTCAGTAGCTAGCTCTCTCTTGTCAAATTGGCATTTTACCTTCTGCTTTCCAGCTTGTATGTTTCCCACTCTATGACAATAAGATTATTAATTTTTGTTTGTTGGATTATAGTATTAAAATTGTGAGGTAATATTCCCCCTTTTATACCATAGCACAAATTCTTCCATATCACAAATTTTGACACTCCTAGCAACTTCACCCCCAAACTTTACCTCCATCTGAAAAATAAGAACACAAAGTCATTAAGCAAAGTCTTATCAGCCCAAAGGATCACCCGACAAATGATAAAACCTGAAATATATTGCTTTAAATTAATTACCTATATATGGAAACTCACCTGTATCAAACTTTTCTTAATTTAAAAAAAAACCAAAAGCAAAAGTACACCGTGAGCGCCATCTCCTGGAGACATCATGACAATTTGAGACGTGTCCTCCCTCACTACCGCACACAGTATTTAGCTTTTGTCCTTTATTTTATGTATTTGTTCATTTATTTACAATTTGCCCATAATATATTTGAGGTAGCTACCAAAATAAACAAATAATAGAAAACACTAAATTTAAAACCATGAGAATCAGAGGAATATACACTGGAAAGGAAGGTATGGGACAAGCAGCAGAAATTAAATACTGATAATCTGGGTTTCCACAGAGCAGCAAAGAAGGGGCTATACATTTAGTGAAGGGTTTTGGGAGGGTTGAATAATTAGTTTATTTTCTTATATGTTAACTTTGAGTTGTCTATAAGACATATGTGAGGAACTGTCAAGTATGTAGCTGAATATACAGCCCTAAAACTCAGGAAAGATCTGATGGAGAGATACAGATTTGAAGCTGATCAGCATGTAGTCACTGAGGTGCTGGGCCCCATGGGCATTTCCCAGAAGGAGGAGAAGGACACGCAACCCAGCGCAGAACCCTGAAGGATGTTAATATTTAGGAATGTTCAGTGTTTTTGTTGACAGCTATTGTGAAACCTTGCTGCTTGTCTTCTTAGTTTAAAATATTTAAACAAAAGACATACAGCAGAGGAGGTGCAGCATAGAGAACTTTATTGCAAAGGAGAAAGAAGACTCTGAAAGCAAGGTGTAGAATAGACAGTAAACTCTTCAAGACGATTCAGAGCTGGCTGCTCATAAGGGTGAGACAGTGTTGACTGTTTACCAGGGAAACTCCCTTTATGGGAGTCTTACATGATTATTTCTAAGGGGGTGGGAAGAGGTGTTACTGGTAAGCATGTTCTGGGTGCACATGTGTAGTAGTTGTACATGCTTGTTCATACATTGTATGTCTCCTTAGCTTCTTAAATCTCCACTTGGGTGTGTTTTTACTGTTACAATGAGCAGAGTCAGTCTGAGGCCCAGTAAAATCAAAGTGCGCATGCTCTCTGCAGAAAAATTCTCGATTAGATATAGCTTCACTTGAAAGAGCTTGACTACAATACAAATACTGGGGCTTATTGTGTTCCCTGTGCCATCACCATGGTTGCAGTGTCCCAAGCACATGGTTACTTTCCTGACTACCTTTGCTGCCTCATTTCTCCACTAAGAAATTTAGGGCCCATAGCAGGGAGGAGCCAAGATGGCCGAATAGGAACAGCTCCGGTCTACAGCTCCCAGCGTGAGCAATGCAGAAGACGGGTGATTTCTGCATTTCTATCTGAGGTACCGGGTTCATCTCACTAGGGAGTGCCAGATAGTGGGCACAGGACAGTGGGTGCAGCACACCTCACACCAGCCAAAGCAGGGCGAGGCATTGTCTCACTCGGGAAGTGCAAGGGATCAGGGAGTTCCCTTTCCTGGTCAAGGAAAGGGGTGACAGACGGCATCTGAAAAATCGGGCCACTCCCACCTGAATACTGCGCTTTTCCGACAGGCTTAGGAAACGGCGCACCAGGTGATTATATCCCACACATGGCTCAGAGGGTCCTACGCCCACAGAGTCTAGCTGATTGCTAGCACAGCAGTCTGAGATCAAACTGCAAGGCGGCAGCAAGGCTGGGGGAGGGGCACCCGCCATTGCCCAGGCTCGCTTAGGTAAACAAAGCAGCCTGGAAGCTGGAACTGGGTGGAGCCCACCACAGCTCAAGGAGGCCTGCCTGCCTCTGTAGGCTCCACCTCTGGGGGCAGGGCACAGACAAACAAAAAGACAGCAGTAACCTCTGCAGACTTAAATGTCCCTGTCTGACAGCTTTGAGGAGAGCAGTGTTTCTCCTAGCATGCAGCTGGAGATCTGAGAACAGGCAGACTGCCTCCTCAAGTGGGTCCCTGACCCCTGACCCCTGAGCAGCCAAACTGAGAGACACCCCCCAGTAGGGGCAGACTGACACTTCACACGGTCGGGTACTCCTCTGAGACAAAACTTCCAGAGGAATGATCAGACAGCAGCATTTGCGGATCATGAAAATCCGCGGTTCTGCAGACACCACTGCTGATACCCAGGCAAACAGGGTCTGGAGTGGACCCCTAGCAAATTCCAACAGACCTGCAGCTGAGGGTCCTGTCTGTTAGAAGGAAAACTAACAAACAGAAAGGACATCCACATCAAAAACCCATCAGTACATCACCATCATCAAAGACCAAAAGTAGATAAAACCACAAAGATGGGGAAAAAACAGAGCAGAAAAACTGGAAACTCTAAAAAGCAGAGTGCCACTCCTCCTCCAAAGGAACGCAGTTCCTCACCAGCAATGGAACAAAGCTGGATGGAGAATGACTTTGACGAGTTGAGAGAAGAAGGCTTCAGACGATCAAACTACTCCAAGCTACAGGAGGAAATTCAAACCAAAGGCAAAGAAGTTGAAAACTTTGAAAAAAATTTAGGCTTAAAGGAGCTGATGGAGCTGAAAGCCAAGGCTCGAGAACTACGTGAAGAATGCAGAAGCCTCAGGAGCCAATGCACTCAACTGGAAGAAAGGGTATCAGTGATGGAAGAGGAAATGAATGAAATGAAGCGAGAAGGGAAGTTTAGAGAAAAAAGAATAAAAAGAAACCAACAAAGCCTCCAAGAAATATGGGACTATGTGAAAAGACCAAATCTGCATCTGATTGGTGTACCTGAAAGTGACGGGGAGAATGGAACCAAGTTGGAAAACACTCTGCAGGATATTATCCAGGAGAACTTCCCCAATCTAGCAAGGCAGGCCAATGTTCAGATTCAGGAAATAGAGAGAACGCCACAAAGATACTCCTCGAGAAGAGCAACTCCAAGACACATAATTGTCAGATTCACCAAAGTTGAAGTGAAGGAAAAAATGTTAAGAGCAGCCAGAGAGAAAGTTCGGGTTACCCACAAAGGGAAGCCCATCCGAGTAACAGCGGATCTCTCAGCAGAAACTCTACAAGCCAGAAGAGAGTGGGGGCCAATATTCAACATTCTTAAAGAAAAGAATTTGCAACCCAGCATTTCATATCCAGCCAAACTAAGCTTCATAAGTGAAGGAGAAATAAAATACTTTACAGACAAGCAAATGCTGAGAGATTTTGTCACCACCAGGCCTGCCCTAAAAGAGCTCCTAAAGGAAGCACTAAACATGGAAAGGAACAACCAGTACCAGTTGCTGCAAAATCATGCCAAAATGTAAAGACCATCGAGAGTAGGAAGAAACTACATCAACTAATGAGCAAAATAACCAGCTAACATCATGACGACAGGATCAAATTCACACATAACAATATTAACTTTAAATACAAATGGACTAAATGTTCCAATTAAAAGACACAGACTGGCAAACTGGATAAAGAGTCAAGACCCATCAGTGTGCTGTATTCAGGAAACCCATCTCACGTGCAGAGACACACATAGGCTCAAAATAAAAGGATGGAGGAAGATCTACCAAGCAAATGGAAAACAAAAAAAGGCAGGGGTTGCAATCCTAGTCTCTGATAAAACAGACTTTAAACCAACAAAGATCAAAAGAGACAAAGAAGGCCATTACATAATGGTAAAGGGATCAATGCAACAAGAAGAGCTAACTATCCTAAATATAAATGCACCCAATACAGGAGCACCCAGATTCATAAAGCAAGTCCTGAGTGACCTACAAAGAGACTTAGACTCCCACACACTAATAATGGGAGACTTTAACACCCCACTGTCAACATTAGACAGATCAACGAGACAGAAAGTTAACAAGGATATCCAGGAATTGAACTCAGCTCTGCACCAAGCGGACCTAATAGACATCTACAGAACTCTCCACCCCAAATCAACAGAATATACATTTTTTTCAGCACCACACCACACCTATTCCAAAATTGACCACATACTTGGAAGTAAAGCACTCCTCAGCGAATGTAAAAGAACAGAAATTATAACAAACTGTCTCTCAGACCACAGTGCAATCAAACTACAATTCAGGATTAAGAAAATGACTCAAAACCACTCAACTACATGGAAACTGAACAACCTGCTCCTGAATGACTACTGGGTACATAACGAAATGAAGGCAGAAATAAAGATGTTCTTTGAAACCAACAAGAACAAAGACACAACATACCAGAATCTCTGGGACACATTCAAAGCAGTGTGTAGAGGGAAATTTATAGCACTAAATGCCCACAAGAGAAAGCAGGAAAGATCCAAAATTGACACCCTAACATCACAATTAAAAGAACTAGAAAAACAAGAGCAAACACATTCAAAAGCTAGCAGAAGGCAAGAAATAACTAAAATCAGAGCAGAACTGAAGGAAATAGAGACAAAAAAAAAACCCATCAAAAAATTAATGAATCCAGGAGCTGGTTTTTTGAAAGGATGAACAAAATTGATAGACCGCTAGCAAGACTAATAAAGAAAAAAAGAGAGAAAAATCAAATAGATGCAATAAAAAATGATAAAGGAGGTATCACCACCGATCCCACAGAAATTCAAACTACCGTCAGAAAATACTACAAACACCTCTATGCAAATAAACTAGAAAATCTAGAAGAAATGGATAAGTTCCTCGACACATACACTCTCCCAAGACTAAACCAGGAAGAAGTTGAATCTCTGAATAGACCAATAACAGGATCTGAAATTGTGGCAATAATCAATAGCTTACCAACCAAAAAGAGTCCAGGACCAGATGGATTCACAGCCGAATTCTACCAGAGGTACAAGGAGGAACTGGTACCATTCCTTCTGAAACTATTCCAATCAATAGAAAAAGAGGGAATCCTCCCTAACTCATTTTATGAGGCCAGCATCATCCTGATACCAAAGCAGGGCAGAGACACAACCAAAAAAGAGAATTTTAGACCAATATCCTTGATGAACATAGATGCAAAAATCCTCAATAAAATACGGGCAAACCGAATCCAGCAGCACATCAAAAAGCTTATCCACCATGATCAAGTGGGCTTCATCCCTGGGATGCAAGGCTGGTTCAATATACGCAAATCAATAAATGTAATCCAGCATATAAACAGAACCAAAGTCAAAAACCACATGATTATCTCAATAGATGCAGAAAAGGCCTTTGACAAAATTCAACAACGCTTCATTGTAAAAACTCTCAATAAATTAGGTATTGATGGGACATTTCTTAAAATAATAAGAGCTATCTATGACAAACCCACAGCCAATATCATACTGAATGGGCAAAAACTGGAAGCATTCCCTTTGAAAACTGGCACAAGACAGGGATGCCCTCTCTCACCACTCCTATTCAACATAGTGTTGGAAGTTCTGGCCAGGGCAATTAGGCAGGAAAAGGAAATAAAGGGTGTTCAATTAGGAAAAGAGGAAGTCAAATTGTCCCTGTTTGCAGACGACATGATTATATATCTAGAAAACCCCATCGTCTAAGCCCAAAATCTCCTTAAGCTGATAAGCAACTTCAGCAAAGTCTCAGGATACAAAATCAATGTACAAAAATCACAAGCATTCTTATACACCAATAACAGACAAACAGCCAAATCTTGAGTGAACTCCCATTCACAATTGCTTCAAAGAGAATAAAATACCTAGGAATCCAACTTACAAGGGATGTGAAGGACCTCTTCAAGGAGAACTACAAACCACTGCTCAAGGAAATAAAAGAGGATACAAACAAATGGAAGAACATTCCATGCTCATGGGTAGGAAGAATCAATATCATGAAAATGGCCATACTGCCCAAGGTAATTTATAGATTCAATGCCATCCCCATCAAGCTACCAATGACTTTCTTCACAGAATTGGAAAAAACTCCTTTAAAGTTCATATGGCACCAAAAAAGAGCCCGCATCGCCAAGTCAATCCTAAGCCAAAAGAACAAAGCTGGAGGGATCACGCTACCTGACTTCAAACTATACTACAAGGCTACAGTAACCAAAACAGCATGGTACTGGTACCAAAACAGAGATATAGATCAGTGGAACAGAACAGAGCCCTCAGAAATAACGCCGCATATCTACAACTATCTGATCTTTGACAAACCTGAGAAAAACAAGCAATGGGGAAAGGATTCCCTATTTAATAAATGGTGCTGGGAAAACTGGCTAGCCATATGGAGAAAGTTGAAACTGGATCCCTTCCTTACACCTTATACAAAAATTAATTCAAGATGGATTAAAGACTTAAACATTAGACCTAAAACCATAAAAACCCTAGAAGAAAACCTAGGCATTACCATTCAGGACATAAGCATGGGCAAGGACTTCATGTCTAAAACACCAAAAGCAATGGCAACAAAAGCCAAAATTGACAAATGGGATCTAATTAAACTAAAGAGCTTCTGCACAGCAAAAGAAACTACCATCAGAGTGAACAGGCAACCTACAGAATGGGAGAAAATTTTCTCAACCTACTCATCTGACAAAGGGCTAATATGCAGAATCTACAATGAACTCAAACAAATTTACAAGAAAAAAACAAACAACCCCATCAAAAAGTGGGCAAAGGATATGAACAGACACTTCTCAAAAGAAGGCATTTATGCAGCCAAAAGACACATGAAAAAATGCTCATCATCACTGGCCATCAGAGAAATGCAAATCAAAACCACAATGAGATACCATCTCACACCAGTTAGAATGGCAATCATTAAAAAGTCAGGAAACAACAGGTGCTGGAGAGGATGTGGAGAAATAGGAACACTTTTACACTGTTGGTGGGACTGTGAACTAGTTCAACCATTGTGGAAGTCAGTGTGGCGATTCCTCAGGGATCTAGAACTAGAAATACCATTTGACCCAGCCATCCCATTACTGGGTATATACCCAAAGGACTATAAATCATGCTGCTATAAAGACACATGCACACGTATGTTTATTGTGGCACTATTCACAATAGCAAAGACTTGGAACCAACCCAAATGTCCAACAATGATAGACTGGATTAAGAAAATGTGGTACATATACACCATGGAATACTATGCAGCCATAAAAAATGATGAGTTCATGTCCTTTGTAGGGACATGGATGAAATTGGAAATCATCATTCTCAGTAAACTATCGCAAGGACAAAAAACCAAACACCACATGTTCTCACTCATAGATGGGAATTGAACAATGAGAACACATGGACACAGGAAGGGGAACATCACACTCTGGGGACTGTTGTGGGGTGAGGGGAGTGGGGAGGGATAGCATTAGGAGATATACCTAATGCTAAATGATGAGTTAATGGGTGCAACACACCAGCATGGCACATGTATACATATGTAACTAACCTGCACATTGTGCACATGTACCCTATAACTTAAAGTATAATAATAATAATAATAATAAACAAAAAAGAAACAGAAATTTAGGGCCCATAATCATACAGGAGGTTGAGGAGCTAGGTTGTTACTCATTTTTTTTTTAGTTGTTTCCTACTAAGTGAGGCATTGTCCCTGCCAAGCCTGGGCCCTAGAGTTTTTTTTCTGTCTTGTCTAATGGGGTGTAAGCCATGTTGTCTGTGGGACTGGTGGGCAAGATGTGAGATGTTCTATTAGTAGTCAAAGGTTGGAAGCTTTGGAAAACCATCATGTGGACTTGGAATTGTGAGTGAGAGAGTAATAAAGTAGTTAGCATTTCAAACAAAGTTGGACCAAAAATTAAAGCTAAAAGTATGGTAATAATTGACACTACTAAAGGGAGCAGGGCAGACAACAGCTATTGTTTTTAAGTCTATGGAAGTTTTTAAAGATTTAATTTTGTCTGCTTGGATAATGATATTTTTAATATGTCTTTGGACCAAACTGGACTGATTAATGTAAAAAAAGTATTTTATTTTTTAGACACAAACATGTTTTTTCTTGTCTGGCTGTGAGAAGATGTAAGGCTCTTTAAGACTGCAGTAGCCAGAGAGTCTAGTTGTTGAAATCTAATGAAGCCCTTTGTAATTTGTCAGAGGACCACTGTGGTTTTTTGAGACAGTTTATGTTGAATTTTAAGGCTCCACCTCTCGTGGCTGACTTTGTTCATTTTAATAAAGCACTAAATAGCACTAAATCTATTTAGTGCCTTATAAATAGCACTAAATCTAAGGGAATAAGGATAGCACTAAATCTAAGGGAATAAGGGGTTTTATTCGGAGGTGGATCTTGTGGTGTTGGTATATGGGGAAAGGGAGAGATGCATTAGCCTGTGTGAAAATTAAAAAAGGTAAAATTTAAGTGATGGAGCATTGTCTCTTTCATTGTGGAGAAAATTGTAGATATGTCAAAGATTTATAAACTCCCCCCAATTTTTTGTGATGGTGAAATTTGTGCTGTAAAAGTATTTCTTATTAAAGTGGTAAAAGTAATAGAAGTTTGGCATCACTGGGTATATTAGAGGATGGTAGAGTTGGGTGGTTTTAATATATTTTTTAATAAGGTTTCCCTTTTCAGGTTTTAGCATAAGGTGTATAGATGACCCAGTGTCAAAGCTTTAGTTATATTGACTCTCTTGGAGTCTTTCTATGAAAGTAGTGGAAATGGCATGATTGTTGTAAAGGCAGAAGGGGAATTGTTCTGGGTAAAAGGGAAGGTAAGAAAGTAATTTTTTCTTTGGCAGAATGAAGTTATTATTAACAGTTAAAAGTAGAAGTTTGAACTGGCCATAGCCAGGTCCAAGGAAATCTCTTTGTATTGTTTGTTTGGCCAGATGTTTTAATTTTATGGGCAATGGGTTTGTTCCAGGAGGAATATAGAAATGTTGGCTCAGTCTTCTTGAGGGACAGATCTGGCATATTTTTAACTTCCAGTTGTCATGTAAAGTCAGCAAGGTTGGGTTAATTTTAATAAGCTAGTAGTATAGTTTATTATTTCTTTAGCAGATAAAGCCATTTTACTAAGAGTGCCTAGTGTATAATGAGTAAATAAGAGAAAAATAAAACATTACTTAGCTTTTAAGGCGATCTCACTGTGAGTTGTGTCTTCGAGTAGAAGCTTATGCTGAGGCAATATTAATTGTTTGATATTTTGGGTTTCGGCTGTTTTTTGGACAGAAGCTTTAGATCCATGAGTGCTTCAGGGAATAATTTGAAGTCTGTGTTGTGGGTTTCTGTGACAACTTAAAAGGGAGAATTATTAATTTTTGATAAATGTACCCAAAGCCCCATATTCCCATGTTTTACTACAGTAGAAGTTGGTCAGCTGTGAGGTGGAGTGAAAATCCTAGTTCGGGGTTTGCTATTAACATCGAAGACAGTGTCGTGTTTGGCAGACAGAGGCCCAGGGCAGAAAGTGAGGACTGACATGCTGGCCCCTGTGTTTAAAAGGAAATTGATATCTTTACCTGCCCCATCTAGGGTCACCCCAGGCTCCATTGCTGTGATTGAGACTGATTGCTGCATGAGAGCCATCGTTTGCTTTGGGCTTCTTCAGTCTTTGGCCAGGCACAATAAGGAATTAAGAGTCCCATCCTTGCTTTGGAGTTGGCGACACTCTTTCTTTCAGTGTTCTTTTTTGTCCCATTGTTGATAGACTCCAGAGGGTTTACAAGCCTGAAGGCCCTTGTTACTTATTTGGCTCCAGTGTCCAGGATTTTTATATAATAAATATGGCAATAGCCCCTTGGGTTTTGCCCAGGATAATCTGAAGGTGGGAGGCTTTTTATAGCAGGGGCCCACAATTGGGCCCGTCTTTTGTCTCTCTTCTTTTCCCTTTGATTTCTCTGTGACTTTTTCACTCTGTCTTGGTTACTGAAGACCTCAAAAGCTATATTTCATAGTTAATTTATTAGGGTTTTGGGACACATAGCTAGTTTTTGTGACTTTTTCCTAATATCTGGGGCAAACTAACTAACGAAGTAAGTTTCTAAGAGGATTTAGTCTATTTGTTACCTTTCTGAGAGAGAAGTTTGTTTTTTATTTTAGGTGGGTTACAGGATATCCAGCTACAAGTTGATTCAGCAGGACTAGGCTCTTAAGGGATTTTTTGATGAACAAGCTGATATGAAAGGAGTACATAGACTGTGTGTTAAGTGAGGAAGGACTCCTAGAAGGAGTAGAAGTTCGAGAGGTTTGAGGAGTAACCCTGGACTAGATTTTAAGGAAGGAATGTTGTCGGTGGGAGGCACTTTTTTTTAAAACATAGAGTCATTAATTATGTTACATGTTCCCAAACTCTTTTGAATAACATGGGCATAAAATATTTGATATTGGTCTTTAAGAGACTTGTCTTAGCACAGATCTGTTTGTTTAGCGGGAGGAATAATGTCAGGTTTTCCTGGGCCCTTGGGAAATTTCTTATCATCTTTCTTTCTTTTTATGAAAAGATCTGATTGTAAAACACTCTGGGGCCATGTTGTGTAAATGGGCCTAATCCATGGAGCATTTATTTATCTTTTTTCTCACTTTAGTCATTGCTAATCTTTCATCTGTCCTTAATGTTTTAGTTTTTGCCTTAAAATAACAGCTTGGAGGTGTAAGTGGCCATACGCTTTAGGCTTTTTAGGTTCCATAAAGGGAATATGGCAGAAAATGTGTTTTAACCAGCAATTAAAGTATTTTTTCCCATGTAAAGACAAAAGTCCCTCCACCCCAGCTGAAGGTAGAGGGGCCCTGACACACACAGCAGAAAGGATCTTTAGGACAATTTTCATCCATCTTATGGGTCAGAGATAAAAAGAAAGCAGATGAAAGTCTATGAATACAGATGAACCAAAAAGCAAGATAAGTTTTCACGGAAGGACAGAACTCAAGTGGGGTGAATTGCAAAGAAGTGCAAACGTAACAGGATGGTTGTTACTAGCAGGGTGAAATGAAGATCTTCAGACATTGCGCAGTCTGGGCCTGTTCATTTGTGTTGATACAACAAAACACCTGAGACTGGGTAATTTTAAAAGAATAGGAATTTATTTCTCACAGTTCTGGAGGCTGAAAGTCCAAGATGAAGGGATCTTTGGGTTTGGTGTCTGGTGAAGGCCCTGTCTCTGCTTCCAAGATGATACCTTGTTGCTGCATCTTCTGGAGGAGACAAATGTTGTGTCCTCACATGGTGTAAGGCAGAAGGGCAAAAAAAATTTAACATAAGAAAAAAGAGCATAAACTAGTACCCTCCAGCCCTTTAATAAAGCACTAATCCAATCATGAAGTCCTCCTGACTTATTCACTTTCCAAACAGCCTCACCTCTTAATACCACCACAATGTGGATATAGTTTCAACACATGAATTTGGGGGACATTGAGGCCAATGCAGTCAGTAAAAGGTAGCAATGTAATGAATGTTTCCTTTAAAGTCAAAACACCTGGTTTAAATCTCACCTCCTTTACTTACTAGGGTAGCATTTAAGTTACTCTAAAAGATTATTTTAAAACTTCTTTTGCATACAACCTCATTATGTTAAATAGACTGTTGAAATTTTTGTTATGTTTTGTTTTTAAATCTCTCAAGCTCTAATCCATGATTACTAAACACGTTGGAAGTGGCTTATCCAGACACATAAAGTCCTATAATCTGATCCAGGAGGAGTCTAGATTAAAAGCGGTTCAAAATAATTGTGGCTTCTCATTATCATTTTGTTTCTAAAGATGAATGCCAGCTGAGCTAACTGGCTCCCTATTCCTCTCCACTTGCCTTCCAGGCTGCAAAATCCTGGGTCATGAAAGAAGCAGAAACTTAAGCAATTTAGATGCCTCAACACTTTCCAACAGTCCTTCTTGGTCACCTTTTTTTTTAGCTGTAATACAATTTCCTAATCTTGAGGAGAAACATACAAAGAATTACCATGATTTTCTGGCTGCATCTTGTTTTCTTAGAATTACTTACACTGTTTTCCTTTCTTGCTTTTTTTTAAAAAATCTTTTTTGGTTATAAATGTTACTTATTTCAGCAAAAACCTCATTTCAGTTTTTTTCCCATTGTGAATCAGATGAACTTTTTCACTGAAACTGTTACATTGTCTCATTGAATTTCAGGTCACTTGCAATTTCTTTTTTTCTTAATTCTACAGAGAGGAAAAAGGCTGAACTCCTAAGAACTCTGACCTACTCTCACTCACATTCCCTTGATAGAGCTCAATTTCAGTGGAAAACCTCAAATATTATTTACGTTCAGAAGTGTGGCCAGAGGAAATATCTTCTATGGGGTCTGAACATTTGGCTAAATGGCTCTGGAACTCTTTATGACCAATGTCTTTTGTATTTTCTCTCTTAATTCTCTGTAAAATTTCTAACCAGATTTAGATGATAAGCTATAAGTTTCGCTAATTTATTGGAATTTTTGATGCCTTAAATATTTTTGTCTATTAGTATATATGTCATTTCTTTCCATCTGTGCCAACAGCATAGCCAGCTGCTGGTATTTCTTCCTGTCTAGGAAACTATAGAATTTTTTCTCTAGCATCTTCCATATGCTCATTTTGTGTAGATTTCTGTATCTATTTCAAATCTCTTTTGATTCAATTACCTGCTTAATAATACATCTCATCACTAAGGTGATGTGTGCTCTGAAATTTTTTATTCCATTTAGGGGTAATTTTTAATGTGGAATCATATTACATGAGCAGCCAGGGGATTGTACAGTCATGCACTGCACAATGATGTTTCTGTCAATGATGGATTGCATGTACAATGGTGGTTTCATAAGATGATAATGAAATTGAAAAATTCCTATCATCTCGTAACATCATAGCCATTGCAACCCATTACTCACATGTTTGTGGTAATGCTAGTATAAACAAATACTGTGCTGCCAGTCATATAAAAGTATAGCACATATAATTATGTACAGCACATAATAGTTGATACTGATGATAAATGACTGAGTTATGGGTTTCTGTATTTTCTATACTATACTTTTTATTGTAATTTTAGAATGTACTCCTTCTACTTAAAAAAAAAAAAGTTAACTGTAAAGTAACCTCAGGCAGGTCCTTCAGGAGGTATTACAGAAGGCATTGTTATCATAGGGGATGACAGCTCCATGGATGTTACTGCCCCTGAAGATTTTCCAGTGGGACAAGATGTGGAGGTGGAAGAGAGTATTGATGATTCTGATGTGATGACTAAGACACAGAGACAATACACTAGGCTAATGTATTGTCTCTGTGTCTTAGTTTTAAACAAAACTAGTTTACAAAGTAAAAAATAAAAATAAAAAAATTAAAAATAGAGAAAGCTTACAGAATAAGTATTAAAGAAAATGTAAAGAAAAATGTGTTTTAAACTAAATATTATTACAAAAGACCAAAAAAGTTTTAAAAATTAAAAATCTTATGAAGTAAAAATTTATAGTAAGCTAAGCTTATTATTGAAAACATATTTTTTATAAATTTAGTGTAGCCTAAGTATACAGTTTGTAAACTCTAGAGTAGTGTACAGTAATATCCTATGCCTTCACATTCATTCACCACTCACTCACTGACTCACCCAGAGCAACTTCCAGTCCTGCAATCTCAGTTTATGGTAAGTCCCCTATAGAGGTGTACCATTATTTTATCACTTATGCCATATTTTTACTGTCCCTTTTCTATATTTAGATATGTTTAGAGACATAAGTACCTACCATTGTGTTACAGTTGCCTATGGTACTCAGTACAGTAACATGCTACACAGATTTTTAGTCTAAGCATAATAGGCTACACCATATAGCTTAGGTATGTAGTAGGCTACACCATCTGAGTCTAAGTGCACTCTATGATGTTCACACTATGACTAAATCACCGAAGGACACGTTTCTCAGAATATATCCCTGTCAGTAAGTAACACATGACTGCATATGAATTCTTAATGTTGGTAAAAACCAAACTAACAGAAAGTACAACCAATTTAATAACCATAAGAAAGAAAAAACATATTAAAGATATTATGTTGAGATATCCTGTATAATATTGTGCCACTTGTTTTCTATCAATACTTTTAGTGAAAACAGGAGTTATATTTTTTTGAGTATAAAGTAATACACAGTAAAAATGAGTTAACAGGCTTTTTAAAAACATATTGGCTAGACATTTTTAAATTATTGAACATGTCAGTTTGAAAGATTTTTAGTGTGTTTCTGAAAATAATTATAAACGATGTGTAATGCTGTCAAATCATTTCTCATCAATGAAAAAGTAGAGAAGCAAATAGGCATAGAAGTACTAGTTAACTTGAAAACACAAAGTCAGAAGTTGAAAGTAAATTTGATAATTTTCAGAAGACAACAATGTATATTTTTCTCAGCTCTACCTAGGGACTTGAGAAATGTTCCCATTACACACAGGGAAGATAGTACAAGAATTAGCTAATCTTAGAATCATAATGTTACTGGTACAACAGATGGTTTAAATGGTATGACTCCATTATTTCATAACTGATGAAATGAGGGCTTATCTGAAATCATAGATTATTCAAAACCACAAATTGATTAATGCAGAGCCCAGATCAAACCATAATTCCTGCCTCCCAGATAAGTTTCCTTCCTGCTATGCTAGTATACCACCAACTGCCAATTTCTAGCAGCTGGGACTTCTCTGTTGCAGGGGTCCATGCCCTTCGTATAACTGTGACTAAGTAAAATCAGTCTCGTTCATTTCTGCTACCTTCCAGTTACCCCTCCCAGGTCCTTACCACCTAAACCCTTCTCTGCTATGATCCTCCTTCCTAGGATCACTCCTTCCCCACTGAAGCTCCCTTTTACCTGATCCTCTATTCGTCTAAAGTGGTAGCTCACAAATCTGATCCATTTATCAAGCTAATGTGCTCAGGAAGGAACCTAAATCAACTGTCCCATCTGTATGTGGTTCTACTGTGGCTTTCCTAGAGTAATACCCAACCTGTTATCATTTTAACTCCATGGCTAGCAAACAGCATATGGGATTATTTCGGGAAAAAAAAAACAAAAAAAAACATTTACAAGGTCCTTTTATTTTTTCATTTAGTCTGAAAATACCTGAATTCACTTTAATGGTCAATAGGTATACTCTTATAACTTAAATCCTGTTGCCTACTTTACTTAATAGAAAATATTTTCTGAAAAAGTATCATCGATTTTAACAAACATATTAATATATAGGCATATTTGAGAAGATTAATGCAGCTTTCTAACCTTTGATCCTAAAATTAGATCACTAATCATGTGTATTAGTCCATTTTCATGCTGCTGATAAAGACATACTTGAGACTGAGAAGAAAGAGAGGTTTAATTGGACTTACAGTTCCACATCTCTGGGGAGGCCTCAGAATCATGGTGAGAGGTGAAAGGCACTTCTTACATGATGGCACCAAGATTAAAAGCATGAGGAAGAAGCAAAAGCGGAAACCCCTGATAAACCCATCAGATCTCGTGAGACTTATTCACTATCACGAGAACAGCAGGGGAAGGACTGGACCCCATGATTCAATTACTGCCCCACCCCCCATCTTCTCCCTCCCACAACATGTGGGAATTCTGGGAGAAACAATTCACATGGAGATTTGGGTGGGGACATAGCCAAACTATATCATCATGTCTTGAACTCAGGCAGCACTAAAGATACAAATACTTATCATTGATACAACCCACTGAGAATTTCAGAATTAGGAAATTCAAACCATGTATATGTGGAAGGCAGTCCTGCAGCAGCTGAGTGGCAGAATTTGTTGTATGGGAGAACAGGTAGAGTCTTCCTGAAGCCCTGAGATTACACAGACTTCATATATGTACTAAGTCTGCCTTACTGAGTATTTCATATTCTATAAACATGAACAGAGACAAAATAAGGCTTTAAATAAATAGTTGTGAAGCCCTAATCATACACAGTCCTTTGAAGGCTTTAGCTTCAACACATAATGAAACTAACTAACAAGACATACTAGCTCCTTTATCTTGTTCATGTTCTCAGTAATGTTTTATTGGGCATAAGTTAGGATAAAATGTATCCAAACAGAAAAGGAAAAAAAAAAAAAAGAATAGAGCAGCAAAGTCATCCAATAATGGAGAAACAAAGAAAGGACAGAATGTCAACAGGCATCGTAAAGTTTCCTTTGGCACGTGTACAAAAAGTCATTGTTCCAGCCAGGCAACCATATGCCTATAATGTGTCAGAGTCGTTCTCTGGGCAGGAATCCAGGGCTCCAGCCTTCAACTCTCTAATGTGGATTAATAATTCATTGTGTTATCTGAAAGACTGCATAATATAACTAGTCAGCTGACCCATGAACAACAATTCCTCCCAAGTCACATACACAGTTTTCAATGTTACCATGCAAAACAAGTCTCCACTTTAATCTGCCCATTGTAACATCGATTCACTCAATGAGAATTGGGTAGAAAGATGCATCTACCAAAGGCGATTCAGCTATAGGTGCTGTGAGAGAGAAAGGCAAGAAAGAAAAGAAATGAAGGAGTTTGGAAGGTCAATATGTGCTTGATTCCTGCCATGTGCCAAGAAATATGCTGAGAACATACAATCCTCAGGACAATTCTGTGAGGCAGGTAATGGGAGTATTCCCATTGCAGAGATGAGGACATTAAGAATTTAGGGCTGGGCACAGTGGCTCATGTCTGTAATCGCAGCACTTTGGGAGGACAAGGCGGACAGATCACTTGAGGTCAGGAGTTTGAGACCAGCCTGGCCAACATGGCAAAACCCCGTCTCTACTAAAAATACAAAAAAAAAGAAAAAATTAGCCAGATGTGGTGGTGCATGCCTCCAATTCCAGCTACTCAGGGGGCTGAGGCACGAGAATTGCTTGAACCCAGGAGGCAGAGGTTGCATTGAGCCGAGATTGCACCACTGCAGTCCAGCCTAAGTGGCAGAGTGAGATTCTGTCTCAAAAATTAAAAAAAAAAAAATTTAGAAAAGCTAAGTACATTACCCACATTCATTAATCTAGTTGGAAGGACTCGAAATTCTTCAGAAAAATGATCAGCTAAAATGGTCAAAGAAACATACCTGGAAATAAAGAAAAAATAGCTCCAAGACTCCGAGATAACATATGAGCAGACATATATATTGTACAAATTGAATATACAAGCACTGAGAAAATTTAAAATGATAATATCCAAACAGTGTTAATAAAAACTAGTAAGAACACTTTATGGAGATGAAGCTTGACATTGCTCCAAAGCTTCTCAACATTTTAAATAATGTGTGGCTCTATATTTAAACACTGACCTAATTACTGAGGCTGAGAAATACCAGATGAGTGTGGAACTTTAAAGTACATGAGTTTTAACAGGAAGAGCTCCAGGCTGGCCAGCATAAAAGGTTATAGATAGCATCTCTACTTTGCGAGCAGGGAGGAAGGAAGCAGAGAAGACAGCTTCTTCCTCTTCTAGTGGAAATCTATCTGGATGGCTGACAGATCACATCTGTAACAAGAGGCATCTTTTACGTCTTTACCAAGCAAATAATTAAAATCCACACGTCCAATGCAGATATGTATCAGCATCACCCAATTAAAAATTTCATCAATACTCAGAGGGATTTTACTTCTGCCAAGACTTTCTTGGCTCTTTAGTATCTATTCTCCTTAGTTAAATGAACAATTTTAAAATTCTAGAATTACTGACTCACTTTTTTTTTAAGAACTGGCTACCATGAAGTTCATGAATAAGGCTCTTGAGACATGCGAAACACAAGTCATTTTTATTTTAACCTCTTATTGAAAACCTTGCACTTTCGGTATCATGAATTTTGATTTATTTATCTTGGTAGAGAAATGGCCTGGTGAACAGTGCATAATTTTTTGCCAAAATGACATTTGATTTCTTTCCATTGACTATGGAAACACTGCTGAGCGTGATTGAGGAAAAAAAAAGTGATTTGATTCTCTGGTCTCCAGTTTTCACATCTGTCATTTGAGGAGGCTAGAATCAATGATGTAGGTTTTTTTCCCAGATGTAACATTTCCAGATATTCTATAGATCAAGAAAGGTAAGAACTAAAAAGTATCCTTTGGATTTAGCAATTAAGCAGCCAGTGCTACCTTTGCAGAAAACAATTTCTATGAAGGAATTTGGGACAAGGGGTTAGAGTTAGGTGAGTAAGGGAGGACCAAGTTGAGATGAAAAGCCTTAAAGGATGCGTGGGGAGTGAGCAAGTGGAGAATTGGACACTTACCTTTACAATAGCTTGGTCTTGAGGGGAAAGAGAAAATGAGGATGGGTGGAAGGAAATATCCACTTGGTGGGATAGAGGAGATGGGTTGCTTGCCTGCACTTAAAGACAGGAGAAACTTTGGCACATTTACATGTTGATGGAACCTTCTAGAGCAGTGGTCCCCAACCTTTTTGGTACCAGGGACTGGTTTTGTGGAAGACAATTTTTTCATGGACAGGGGATGTGTGGGAGAGGGTAGTTTGGGTATGAAACTGTTCTGCCTCAGATCATCAGCCATTAGTTGAATTCTCCTAAGGAGCACGTACCCTAGATCCCTTGCGTGCACAGTTCACATTAGGGTTCACACTCCTTTGAGAATCTAATGCCTGCTGATCTGACAGGAGGCAGAGCTCAGGTGGGAATGCTCAGTAATGCTCACTCACCTGCCGCTCACCTCCTGCTGTGCGGCCTGGTTCCTAACAGGCCACTGACCGCTACTGGTTTGTGGCCTGGGGGCTGGGGACCCTTGTTCTAGAGAAAAACAAGTAGAAAGTATAAAAAAGTAAAGTCTTTGAAGAGACAGAAGTGGATGAGTTTCAAGGCATAAGTGCAAGGATTCATCTTGGAGAGAAGGAAATGATCAAACAGTTCAGAAAAATGGTTAACTCTCCTGAGAAGGAAGAGTAAAGAAAGGTTGAAATAGTACACCACATGAAAATAGAACTTAATAGAACTTCAAAAATCTCGTCCCTGGCCAGGCGCGGTGGCTCACGCCTGTAATCCTAGCACTTTGGGAGGCTGAGGTGGGAGGATCACCTGAGGTCAGGAGTTCAAGACCTGCTTGGCCAACATGGTGAAACCCCGTCTCCACTAAAAATACAAAAATTAGCTGGGCATGATGGGGCATGGCTGTAATCCCAGCTACTCAGGAGACTGAGGCAGGACAATTGCTTGAACCCGGGAGGCGGAAGTTGCAGTGAGCCAAGATCCGAGATCGCGCCATTGCACTCCAGCCTGGGTGACACAGCGAGACTCCATCTCAAAAAAAAAAAAAAAACTCATCCCTTTTTCATTACAAGGTTGACTCAGCACATTCAGGCAAAAAGCAACAGGATCTGAATATCTATGTCACATCTGAATGAATGCATACAGTTAGGTGGAATTAAAGTATGTTTCAATCTGCATTTAATGCCAGATATCTTTGTTTAATCTTTCTCTTAGAGTAATGCCCTCATGAATAACAAGGTCAGACATAGATCCTAAAATTGGTTATTAACTCTCTTTCTTCTATATTATAATCTCCTCCTTTTTAGATTTGATTTCATTTAAAGAAATTACAGAGTATTCTTCGGGGAAAGAACACTGGATAAATAAGTCAAATACGAGGGTACTTTAAGCTGCCATTTACGGTCTGTGAGGCTTTACAAATCAGTATAACAGCCTAGGCCTCAATTTTCTCATCTATAAGATGAGGGGGTGAACTTAGAGAATCGTATAAAGGCCTTTCAGATCTAAGAATTCTCTGACTCTAAATTTAAAAACATTTTCCAAAGAGTGAATAATCTGGTTTACACCAGGAAAATAAATAAATGAGATATTTTTCTTCGATTTTCACCTTGAAATTAGTGCTTACATTTTTTTAAAAGTTGAGGTTTCTTTTTTGAATAGCATTAATATTTCACTTAAAGTTTTTTCTATTAATGTTTAATTTTCTGTCTCAGGTGCTAGTCAAATACCATTAGCATCACTTTGTTCCTTTATATACTTAATATATCAAGCCTACTGTGTTTTCTTCTACTAAAATGGCAGAGCTTAATTCATGACATTAAAGGCCAGAAATATGATTCTTGTCAGTGAAAGTAAAATATTTTGTTGTTGTTGTTGTGCTTCTTCCATTCCTACAAGTACACTCAAAAGCAGTCCAAATCTTCAGAGAACCAAAAGTACTGATGAATTTAGAAGGATCTAAATTAGTCACATTCAAAAGTACTCATTTCTAAAATGGCTCAAGATATAGACAATCAGAATTTGGTAGATTATGCTTTATATTATTTTTAATTCAAATGGGAATTCATTTATTTTTCATCTACATGGGAAATAATATATACCTCTATTATTTTCTTAGATAAGATTTTTTAGTACAAAAAAAAACCCCAGAAATTAACTCAAATTAGCCCAAGTGAAAAATAGGGTGTGGTTAAAAGGCTACAATAGAATCTCATAGGGCCAGGTGCCGTGGCTCACGCCTGTAATCCCAGCACTTTGGGAAGCCAAGGCGGGCGGATCACGAGGTCAGGAGATGGAGACGATCCTGACTAACAGGGTGAAACCCCGTCTCTACTAAAAATACAAAAAATTAGCCGGATGTGGTGGCGGGCGCCTGTAATCCCAGCTACTCGGGAGGCTGAGGCAGGAGAATTCCGTGAACCCAGGAGGCAGAGCTTGCAGTGAGCCGAGATCGCGCCACTGCACTCCAGCTGGGCGACAGAGCGAGACTCCGTCTCAAAAATTAATTAGTTAATTAATTAATTAATTAAATTAAAAAATGGAATCTCATAGAAATGAAATAACAGGGTTGTCAACCAGAAAACAAAGTAAAAGCAGCTCACAGAAGTAGACCCACCCCAATATCTCTGGCGCACGGCACAACACTACAATAGGAAAAAACATACCATATGACAAAATATTTAAAAATGATAAATCTCAAGATACCAAATTGTTAAATAAAATATATTCCGTCCTCCTAATTGACAAACTGAAAACAACATTTTAAAAATGTAAACCTACGGTTTTTTATGTTTGAAAGTTGGCAAAATATCACAGATAAATTATTATTGTACATATCTGGGTATTTGGCTGATAGGCTATTCATGTTTGGATGACTAATGAAATAGACATATGTAAGCATAAATATTTATTTCACAAAATTTATTCCTGTTTCCATTTTAGCAAAATTACTGATATGTAATTATAGTAAAAATGTTCATTTAGTCTGTGTTTTATCAATATGAATGCTAATTTAACCAACATCTCTTAAGTTGCTGTAGTTATTAAATAATATATTTGTATATTTCAGTTTGGAGAAACTTTATTCTTATGAGGCAGTGGCCATAGGACGTGTCAACAACTCAAAAATGAAGCAAGATCCTTTGAGCTGGAGCTGCAAGAAAAAAAATGACACAGGCCGGGCAGGGTGGCTTATGCCTGTAATCCCAGCATTTTGGGAGGCCAAGGCAGGCGGATCACTTTCAGGAGTTCAAGACCAGCCTGGTCAACATGGTGAAACACCGTCTGTACTGAAAATACAAAAATTAGCTGGGTGTGGTGGCACGTGCCTATAATCCCAGCTACTTGGGAGGTTGAGGCACAGGACTCACTTGAACCCAGGAGGTGGAGGTTGGAGTGAGCCAAGATCATGCCACTGTACTCCAGCCTGGGCAACAGAGCAAGACTCCACATCAAAAAAAAAAGAAGCAGCAGCAGCAAGAATTTTATATGCCATAATTTATAATTTAATGGAATTGCATACGGAAACTATCATCCTACAGAAAATATTGTAAAGTATATTGATTTTATAAATATCTATCCTTAAAATTTATATTTCTATATTCACCTTCTCTGAAAACAATATCTAGGACCTCTCTGTTACATAAAGAATCTGTAGCATCGTGTTACAACTCACATTTTACAGATTTATAAATAATATGAATTGTTTAATATTGCAAAATGATCCTTTTCCACCATGCACAATGGTTGCAAATACTATGCCAATTTGTGAATACCTCTGAAATCCAAATTGGAGTATTAAAGAGAAACAAGAAAGTATACATTCTGCACTACTGAAAAATCACATTTTATCGTGCAAGATTGATTGCACTAAATCAAAAGAAAACATTTCACTAGTAAGTTAGTCTTTTACCTAAACCAAAAGCTTGTACTTAACCAAATTCACCCTGCACTCAAGCAATGCCCATCTCTGACATCAAAAAGGCACAACTTCAGCTGGACCCTGCTGCCTTTATTTCATGAACACAGGGCAAAAGACATGAAGAAGCATTTCCCTTATGACTGAATCATGTTAGCCACAAGAGTGGATGTTCAGAGTTCAGGGTCTTGCTGTGCCAGCATGGAGTACTGGCTTCCAAATGACAAAGGTACCCCTGTGTTCTTTATCTTTAGTAATTGATTTTCACATGTGAGTTTGTGATATGTGTGTGTTTGTGATTTTCCTGTGTGATTTGTGATATATACATATATATACATACATATACATATATGTGTGTGTGTGTCTGCACGCACTTTAAAGGACTTAGGGGAGAACTTGCTTGACTTGCCTAGGTCTAAAAGTGATCCCGCACATAAGAATTGGGATGTCTGGCAGAATACTGCTCTATTTCCCAATAAGCCACACCATCTTATTGTTGCTTCTCTGTATATTTGCTCTATTTTCTTGCTTCTTTCTATAAATTGGCTTTCCTATTTCTGGTTTCTAAGATGCCCAAAAAAAATTTCAGTTAGCTTGTTGCTTTGCCATACAATGGCTCTGACCCTACGCTACTAAATCATTCAGTTTAAGCTTCCATCCTCATTGTAAAAGGCTTGATCCCCCAGGCTTCTTACTCCAAATTCCCAGAAAAATAAAATAAAATCCGATTGGCCCAGGTTGTCTCAGATGTTTACCTCTGGGGGTCTTACCTCAGCTAGAACCAAGAAAAGCAAAATATCTAGTATAATGGCAAATTTATACATTAATATTTTTTAAAGTTGAAGTTGATGACCTGTTGGCCATTGGAATCTTCTTAGAACCCAGGAAAAATACTATTCAAAAACTACATATTTCATTTTGTGTCTTATTCTTTGAGAAGAAAATGTTTTAATATCAAGCAAATAATAAGATGGTAAACTTTTTAATAATCAATTTAACTACTGAAAATACCAGATGTCAAGGTGGTGATTTTGCTGTTCTGATTTTTATATTTCAAGTGGAGTATATTAAATAAAGAAGTGAATGAATGAGGAGTTCCTCTTATGTTCTATCAAATGTGTTAGACCACATAACACAAAGAGTGAGGCCTATGACTTCTAACAAGAATCGTGTGTCTCTAGATATGTCATTTAGTCTCATCTTTTTCCCAGAAAAAGACAAGCTGCTTTTCTTTCCTTAATATTTATTATCTCTGCCTAGACTACTCTTCCCAATAATTATTATCTCACTGTAGAGCCCATTTATTCTCAAACTCCTGGTCTGTGGTCAACCATGAATTTCCAAAGGCTGTATTAGTTCATTTTCACACTGCTATAAAGAACTATCTAAGACTGGGCAGTTTATAAAGAAAAGATTTTTAATTGACTCACAGCACCACATGGCTAGGGAGGATTCAGGAAACTTACAGTCATGGCAGAAGGTGAAGAGGAAGCAAGGCACGTCTTACATGGTGGCGAGAGAGAGAGAGAGCAAGTGAAGTGGGAAGTGCCACTTTTGAAACATCAGATTTTGTGAGAACTCACTATCACAAGAACAGCATGGGGGCAACTGCCCCTATGATCCAATACCCTCCCACCAGGTCCCTCCTCGACATGTGAGGATTACAAGTCAAGATAAGATTTGCGTGGGGACACAGAGTCAAGCCATATCAGAGGCCTTCCCTGACATCCTAGTGGCTACCTTGGGTACTTATTCTCTCATCTTTTAGTTCTTTCCTTTAAAATAGGTATCGAAATCTGCAATTACCTTATTTATCCAGTTATTTAGTTTGTCTTCTCCTCTCTAATGAAAACTCTACATCCCAATATCCACCTATTATCTCAATATCCACATATGATTTTGGTATATAATATGTCCTAATTATTATTTGTTCAGTGTATGAATTAATTATGAAATAAGAAGGCTAGCACTTTGGGAGACCAAAGGAGGCAAATTGTTTGAGGCCAGGAGTTTGAGACCAGCCTGGGAAACATAATGAAAGACCTTGTCTCTACAAAAAATTTTAAAAAGAAAATTAGACAGGCTTGTTGGCACATACCTGTAGTCCCAGCTACTCAGGAAACTAAGATGAGACTATCCCTTGAGCCCAGGAGGTAGAGGTTATAGTGAGCCAGGATTGCACCACCGCACTCCATCAAACCTGGACAACACAGCAAGACCCTGTCTAAAAAACAAAGACTGTATGACTCTAGTAGATCACAATACTAAACCAAAGTTGCAAGATATTAACAATGGCAGACAATCAAAATTGTGAAACTGTAATTTATATTTGCAGTGTAATTGTGGGAACAAAAGTGATACCAAGTGAATTGTGATATTTCATTGAAATAGATCATTGAATAAGAAGTTAAGATCTAATGTTGCATAATCAAGAGGTTATATTTCACAAGAAGTTCATTAAGTGTAGACCAATATCATGCAACTTACATTATGTAATATGTTTGAATTGTCTATGGATTCTGCTTACAAACTTATCATACAATAAATATTAATTCCTGAGTAGGATGGTACAGGGTCAATGCAATGCCACAATATGAAAATTAAAACCACTGATCTTTAAACTAGTTTTGGTTTTTTTTTAAATATAAGTAATTTTATTGATAAGGCTAAGTCAACTGACTGTTTCTGAATTATAGGAAAATTGCCTAGATGTAACAATTAGCAGGTCAAAGGGACTGAAGAGCTTTATAGCTCAAATTTTATGTTGCCCTACTGAAAGAGGTGATCTAATTTGCATTTATTCCAGGGAGAGAATTGTCAATAATTAGCAATCGGTTGACTAAAACTGAAAGGTGGTTTCCTGATTGATATTTTCATCATTTCTTATTATACTAATTTCCTTAATAGCCATCTTTGAAATTACAAGAGATGCTTGTAATACTCCCTGTTAAATGAGTTCTAAAAGCCTGTTTAAATGCCACTTTTAAATTTGTCAGTCATTGGTTTGTGGGACTGTCATATCTGCCATTGTATCTCCAAACCTTGCAGTGTCTAGCACATTTTAGGCAATTAATGTTTGCTGAATCGAATAGAAAGTGACTATGAAAATAAACAGATATAAAACAATATTTTTTCTGCAATACTATGAAGAACTTCAGTCTAAGCCTGAATAATTTTTCCAAATCAGTAAAACAAAATCCTCCAGTCAGTGGTTCAATATCATGTAAACAAAACAACTTGTTGAATTCTTTTTATTTTTCAACCAGTTCTTTGGACACAGTCTCCAACACAAATCAGTTATTTCATTTGATTGCTTTATTAAAATTTCAGAAATATTATAAAAGGACAAAAAAGCAAATGCTTTTTGTCTGAATAACTGGCTAATGGAATATTCAGTAAAAAATAGATTATACTTTGAAGATATCGTGGGCATTATGAAAAAGTTTAAAAACCCACACTTCATGAGGTTTGGGAGAACAGAGGGCAATTTGCCAGTACCTATGAAAATTACTAATATATTTTCTCTTTGACCTAGAAATTCCTCATCTTGGAATATAGAGATACTTGCACATGTGTGAAATGGAATATGTGTAAAAACTTTATTTAGTATAAATTAACAACACAATATGAGAAACAACCTAAATATCTATCAAAAAAGCAACTCATTAAATATATTACTGTGCATCTGTATAATGGAATATCTTACAGCCATTAAAGAAAAATAAGCAATGTGCAGAAAAGGTGTAATTAAGATGTAAAATATGTGTTTCCATTTACAAAAAGAGAGAAGAAAAAGGATAACTATGTGTGAGTGCTTATTTATACATGCATAAAAGTATCTCTGGCAATACACAGAGGAAACTGTATCTTGCTTTTCTGCCTGGAGAAAACTGAGTGGGATAGATGTAGGAGGAAGATTTTCTCTATATTCTCTTTTCTAGTTTTGAATTTTGAGCCATGTGACTATATTGCCTAAACAAAATAAATAAATGCATTTTTGAAACACAGAGAAATGAAATTTTTGTGAGCAATATCTTCCTCCTATCGTCTAAATTGCACTAATTTCCCCATAACCATTCCCTCATTTGATTCACTGACTTGCCATCACCATTGCCAACTTCTTAAAAATAAAACCCTAGGAATAAAAGATGGCAGGAGGAGAGAATATAAAATAGACATAGAGACAAGAAGAAAGAAAAGGAAAAAGAAAAGAAGGTGCAGAAAGAGTAAGAGAAAGGACAAGAGTAGGAGGAAGCAAAGGGAGAAGGAGAAGGGGAAGAAAACAAGAAGGGGTGGAAGGGAAAAGAGAGGAAGAAACAATATAGCACAGATAGCTTTGTACAAAGACAGAGAAATTCATTCCGATGTTTCTAGGCAGGATTTTGACAATAGTACTTTCAATATTCATCTCACTTTTCTTATTAATGCCTCAACGGCTCACACCTTTCACCTGAAAGTGTTATGTTGTTTTTCTTTCAAAGTCTCACAATGTATCCATGACATAGATATCCATGACTTAAGGACTTATCCTGAAGTCTGAAAAACAGTTGGCCAGAAAATAAACTCAAAAACATGTGCCATCCTGTCTGACTCTGTCCACCTTCTGCACATTCACCCATAAAACCATGCTTGATTTATGGGTTCAGATTAGCCAAGTAAGTAAAACAACAATTATTTGTTTGATTTAATTTGTCAGCTGATTGGTTGGTTGGTTTCTGGGTTTTTTTGTTTTTGTTTTTTGTTTTTAAGTTGTCTGACATTGATCTTTTCTAAAATTATTAATACTTAATAAATATACATATTTTGGGGGCATGTGTGCTAATTTAATACATTCTTACAACATGTAAATATCAGATTAGTGTAATTGGGATATTCATCACCTTAAGTATTTTGTCTTTATGTTAGAAACATTTGAATTAGTTTCTTCTAGCTATTATGAAATAGACAAGAGATTATTGTAAACTATAGTCACCCTACTTATCTACCAAAATGAGGAGAGGTTGATTCATGGGTACAAGTATACAGTGTAATAGAATAAATAAGATAGTGTTTGGTTAGTTTTGATTTCAGAAATATAGTAACTTGGTAGTTTTGGGTATTAAACTGGGCACCAATTCTGGTTCTGACACTAACATCTGTTGAGCATTACTAAGCACTAGCTATCCTGCCAGGCCCTAGTGATACACAAATGAATAAAGCAGCTTATCTTCTAAAAAGACAGAGAAACTGGAATGTAACTAACAGTAACATAATGTGATAAACATCACTGGCAGCACCATGTGCTATAAAGAGCTGAGAGGGAGAGCAAAGTTCTTCTCAGCTGGAGGAGGAGAGCCTAGGGTAGAGAGGCCACACTTTATAAAGAAAGTGATACTTGCTCTGTGTTAAAGGATAAGCAGATTTCTTTTTCGAGGCAGGAGAGGAGTAAAGGACATCTCAGGCAGAGTTTTGTAACTGTAAGTCACTTGACTTATGCCATGGTAGGACAAGATGTATGAAATCCCACAATACTAGCTGTAACTATATTCTTTTCTTCCCACTCAAGAAATTGTATTGAAATGCAAATGAATAAGAAGGAGGTTATTATTAGCAATAATGTCCTCTGCCTACCCCCCCCAAAAAGTATATTATCTACGAAACAATATTCACAGTCTGAAAGACATGAATCTTGACTTTGGTATTTGAAAACACTTCAACCAACGAATCTCTACGATTTCTCTACCCCTACGATATTAAGATTCAGATAAGAGAAGAATGTTTTATTTTATATTATTATAACTTCTTTCCCATAGCCATGCTCCCCCACTTCCAAACACTTATGTGTCCTGCAGATGCAACACAAATGCTGGCAAGAACCTCACTCAGGCAAGAGCGGGAGTCCACAAGTACTTTGTGACCTAAAACATAAATGGTGCTGAGAGCTTTGTTAGGTCAATGAATTACCAAAATCTCTACCATCAGAGACTGAAGTCTGGTGCTTGTGTTACACACGGGTCCTCAGGGACGGACACCAGAAAGAAAGAAAGATGTTCAGTTTCAGTTATAAGTGTTATTCATTAGCCATAATCACCTGGCCACGTAGGTCTGTTGTTAAAAATCTCAATAGCAGTAAAAAGAAGGAATGGTCCTAGTTTTAACTTCAACAGAGGAAGACAAATCTTTTGCCATTGACTCCTTCCAACCTGACGCAGCTTGCTTACATCTCCAAAAGAAATGGAGGGAGAGAATGTAAACAATTCCTTAAAGCCTATTTCCACGCTAGCAAAATGACTCAGAGGTTATACCAACAACTCAATGACTCATTCATAATTTGGGTGGAAAAAGGAGTTTGCAAACCACAATGTGTTCACCATGAAGTACAGAATCCTGGCAGAATTATCCCCAGACTGAAGTTATTTCTGTGTTGTCTTGCATTCCTTCATGGTCCCAAGGATGAATGTTTTTATAAACTCAATTTTAATTATATATACTGATTAGTGGTGGAGTGGGGATGATGGTAGAGTGATATGTTATTTCTTACAAAGCAGTTTCCTTGTTTTTTCTCTGGAGAATGTATTGCTTCTTAACTGAAACTTAGATTAATAATCAGACTCCTTAATGCCTTTTAACAGCTATCCCAGCAGGTCCTCCACGTACCTACAGCTGTTCTCCAGTTCAACCTCATCAACTTCCCAAGGAAATGTGCTTGGACTTGATGTTGAAACAGCACTTCTGGAATGCCATAATACAGAATGACATGACATATCACATCAAATAAGCGGCAGCTGAAAACAGTCCTATAAAAATGGGGCTAAGGGAGCCAGAATTATCCTGTTTTCTCACACCCTCACCAGACTTACAGCCTCAACTATTCACAAGTGTTCAAGTCCAGAAAGGCCTGTTCTGAGAGCAAATTATATCAAGGTAGGTATTTATATAGTCTTTACCGTATAATATGCATAATTTAGTATTATGTTTCCCATAACCTGTATTATAAAAACATTTTATGTAGCCTTATGGAAGCATGAGGTGTTCCATGTCAGTGAATTTTGCCAAAAAATAAAGCCTACCACTTAAAATACCAACAACTTTTTAAAAACATATACACAATTTTTAATGGACTTCTTTCTAAAAGAAATTACATCTCCCACTTATTAAGCAGTAGTTAGTGGATATTATCTAAATTTTCTTGCTGATTCAGAGTCTTCATTAAGAATAAATGTCATTAAGAACATATATAGATTAGATCTGTCCATCACTTATCTGCTCTTTTTGCCTACCTTCTAGTTTTTTGTTCCAAATTTGTTATTCATAAACGAATAGTTTTTTATACCTGTGTATCCAAAGACACATACACACACATTAAATCAAAAGTCAGTAAGCTTATCATTGTGGAATCAGTAATTGTTAAGGGCATGGATTTGGTGCAGAGATTTTATAACAATTGTTTAGGGTACTTAGGAGCTTTTCCCATATAATCCCAAATCTGGGCTGTGTTCCAAAGGGTTTAGGTTACTGGCAAGGTGTTAGTATAATTTTATGCTAAATATAAAAGCCTCTGCTCTTCAAACTTTTTGGCACATCTACAAAATGAAATAAAACCAAAAGTAAATGGTGCTCCTTTCTGATTCTGGGAAGACTTCCTTCCCTACATAACAATAAAGGATGCCTTAAATTAAAGTATCACTTTAGGTACTGAAGGTTAAACTATAATTCTTCTGCTTCCAGAGTGGATAAAAAATACGTTACATTATAACAGGTTGAAAATATTTGGTCTCCTATTCAACAATATTTAAATCTAGGAATTATTAACAAAACCTAATTTATTCTATCTGTAGGTTCAAAGGCAAAAGATAATTTCTAGATTATCATCTCCAAGGACATTTCTGATTTAAGCTGATTTTTAAATAGTATTTGAATAATCTGATTTTGAATATATTTGAATAATCTGATTTTGAATATATTTGAATAAGCTGATTTTTAGGTAAATATAGTAAGCATAAACTTCAGTAATCATTTCCAGGTTTTCTAATATTATACCAGAATCAGAAATATTACTTGTTTATTTATACTAAAACATGTTCCTAATTTATTTACCCTATTTCTAGCACAATAAATAATAACACTTAATAAACATCTAAATGTTCATCTGAAACAAATACTTAAAAAGCTTAACTAGTCATCTTCATCATAATTTCATCTTGTTCTCATGAAGCAACGTTGGCTCTGAAATACACACAGTCCAGTGCCAAATAATTGAATAGTCTACCTCTCAGAATTCTGAACACCATCATATTATTTTGTTTCATATTTTTATAGATGATTAGGTTAGATCTAAAAAGATGCTCTTGGAGATAGACTAAACCTTGTCTTACTGTATAGAGTAGCCATATATTCCCATTTGTCGAGGACAATCACTGTTTATACCAGTTATTAGAGTGTAATTTTAATAGTGCCTCCACTTCTCTCAAAATGTCCAGATTTAATTGATAAATTATATGGTCACTGTATTAGGTTAATTCAGAGACAGCACAAGAAATTGGAATGGTTTTGCTTTTTCAACCTAAACTCAAGCAACTTTGATGTTTATGAGGAGAGAGTAGAGGGGTCAGAAAAAAGTGGAAAAGGGCAGAAAGGTGGGTACAGAATGTTTGGCGTCTGCTCACAAAAAGCAAAAGCAAGTGCATATTAACGTTAGAAAGACTACTTTATCACCCAGCTTGACTCTTACCCACTTAGAAGCGGTAAACTGTGGCCTATTTTTCAAGAATCAAAATTGGGACACATATTTGTGAGAATTTGGGGAATAAATTCTTGAAGTTATACTCCACATTCATTTTTGTCAGCACCATTTTCCTTATAATATGTCTTTTTCTAATTGAAGGAAATGTGAACATTGAAAGGGAGATTATTACCTAGTTTCAGCTAAGGCTACTTACAGCTTTGAAAATAACCCCTGTACCTTTTGCTGACAATTTTTAATAACAATGACCAAAATACTACTTCTGCTGCTGCCGCTGCTGTGGTAACGATGATGATAATGATAGAAAAGTGAACAGACAACGCCTTCTAGTGATTCAATATGGTGGATAGCCAAATTCACATTTGAGAAAAATACTACAAAGAACATCCAGAGACTTGTGATTTAACTATGCCATCCATTAGTTGGATGAACTTGAACAAACTCAAAGTTAGTTAGAAACAATCTGTAAAACTCTATTTGTAAAATAGGAAGATTGATTTCTGGGAGTGGATCCAGCTCAATCTAGAAATTTCTTGAAGCTTATTTCAAAAAATATATACCAGCAAAAAATACACACATTCTGAGACCCTTGGCAAGATTAGCAGTCAGACTCCTTCACATCCAGCATATCACCTCTAAAATTTCCTCCTGGGTTTTGCTAAAGGCCCCTCCATTACAGAGAAAATTACACTAAAGATGTAATCATTCTCCACACAGGAGCTGCTTGGTTTATTTTTATTCCATTCAATCGTTCCTTTCTTTCCCCTTCATTGCAATTCCAAAGTGAGCCCAAATTCTCTGTTGTATATCATTCTACTAAAGCATAAGGTAGTTATTAAGTGTGATATTTTCTCTTCAGACTCCTTCCTGACCTTTGATCAGTCACCATCTCCAATTTAGATTTTACCTTCCTGAGGCAGAAACCGCATCTACACCGGGATATTCAGTAACATTGTGCCTGTTCTGAAAATGTACCTTCATTTCATTGGTATTCTAGATACATTCCCACATTTTAACTCTTCATGGTGTTATGCAAATTATATTAGTTGAACTAATTTTTTAAATTTAGGTTAAAATAACACATAACACAAAATTTACCATCTTAACCATTTTAAGGTATACATTTCAGTTGTGTTAAGAATATTCACATTGTTGAACAACAGATCTCCAAAACTTTCTCATCTTGCAAAACTGAAATTTTATGCTCATTAAACAACTCCCCATTTTTCCCTCCTCCAAGCCCCTGGTAACCATCATTCTACTTTCTGTTTCTATGAATTTGACTACTTTAGATACCTCACATAAGTAGGTATTTTTGATAACATCTGAACTAAATTTTATTATGTATATAGTTGTAAAAATGACTGTTATTTTATACCTTACTTATAAGGTATAAAATGTATAGTGACAACCCTTTAATCATTTCAAAATGACTTCCTATTCTTAAGCTCTTCTCTATTCAGTGTTTCCTTTGCTGTCACCCTGCTTCTCACACTCCCCACTCTTCCATCACTTTCAATCCTGGCCTCTAAAACCCTGTTTTATTGTAAACAAGCTCTTTATAGCTTCTTGTCTTAACTAAAATTTGACTTTCTTTGGAGGATCTCCCTCTCTCTACAGTCTTCTAATGGAGGCTATTTTTTATCTCATAATTCACATGACCCAAGTTCATGATGGTGGGGTGCAGAAAGAGGTATATTAGTTAACAGTCTTTGGTTGACAATAGAGATCCAAATTCAAATCTAGCTTAAGAAAAAAAGTTTAAAAGTTATTTATGGACTTACACAACTGGAGAGAAGAAAGAGGAATATTCTCAAAGGCACAAACAAATATAAATATGCCTCTAAATTTCAGCTATCACCTACACTTGTTTCTGCTTGAATTAATTTTCTCAAGATTCTTTTGCAGTCTTCTAGGCAATGGGCAATATGGCTGCTGCTAACATCAGAATCACATCATCTTTATCCTCCTCTTGAGGAGTGCATCTACAATGCAAAAGGATTCTAGTTGAAATAGCTTGGGTTACAAAACTATTCTTCAGTCCAATCACAACCTATGGGGCATATTGTACTATTGGCCCAGCCTAGCATATGATAAATATTCCACTGACATGAGGAACTACACACCAAAATGGACTATTCCTCCAAGACCACATGAAGTTCAGATCTCCAAAGAAAGACAAAATAGATTATCTACTAGACAAGAGGTGGCATTCTCCTAGCATGCCAGTTTTGAATAATTTCCTTTCTACGCTCCTCTAATAAAAGCAAACAAATCTCTCCTCTTTGAGGCAAGTTATCCAGCTCCTATTCTCTGCCATATACTGCCATTGGTCAAGACTTAACTTGGATGGTTCTGGCACCAGTAACTCACAATATTCCAACATCATGTTGTACAACTTTCATGTCCATTTGTATGACTCATCCAACAGCTGAAAGTCCTAGACTCACAGTTTCTTAATCTCCTAAAATCTAGAGATTTTAATTTTCTATTTTCTGAATTGTATTGACCACAGAACTCTTTCACTCCAAAACTGCAGATTTTTAATACTATCCTCTCTGGCTACAAACTCTAACTTTCCACCAATATGTCCATATGGACAGCCAATAGAAATATCAAACTCAATATGTCCAAAAGTTAACTCATCTCTCCCAAAGTAATATTTTAAAAATTGCTTCACTTCTTCTACTGTATTTCTGCCTTGTTGAGTAAGATCATCATTTGTAATGCTGAGGAAAGGAACTGCAGAATTATGTTTGACCCCTCTCTCACACCACAAAATCAGAACAGGACATAGACCATGGCTTCTACCTCATTAGCAGTTCTTTGATCCCTCCCTTTTTCTTCACCCCATCCCTCATGGCATAATCTTAGTTCAGGCTCTAATCAGTTATCAATTAGAATACTGTAACAGTCTTCACTCTTATCTCCTTTGAACCTACTTTCCACAGTGTTTTTAGAATGAGTTTCCTGAAATATGCCTGGCATCGTGCTTAAAGATGTAAATTGAAAACTACATGGTCATATCCTCTCTCTTAATAGTGCAGAAAATTGAAAGCAAGTGACTTACTTTTTAAAGAATGAACTCATGCCAACATGGATTACAGGAAAGAAGACAAGCCAGTGTTTTCTGGATAAGAAAGAAATCAATTTGCCTTTCCAGGACCCCTAAGAGCTCAGAAAAGGAATTGTCAGGTATGGTGGAAGGTAAGAGTGAAACATGGACTGAAAATCATGGGGATAAGTTGGAAGGATGTGTATGCAAAACACACACCATGCCAAAACACTGGCAGTCCTGGCTTTGCTCCTCACCATGGGAAGTGTCCAACCATGGGAAGTTAGTTACTTCTCTACAGTCATTGAAGGGCTGTTTGGTAATTTAAATGAAAAAATTATATAACTATGTTGAGAGGGTAAGTGAAGGATGACAAGACTGCTCTAAAACTACAAATCACCAGCTTTTACTACAGGAAGTAAATGGATAATATCCAAACTTAAATTCAAAATTATAAACATTTCATTTGAAGATGCAGTAATAACTACCTAAGAAAGAGCTAAAGGAGTTAAAAGTACTTTAGAAAAAAGTGCATTGTAAATTCATTGTATGTTTTAATCTAATAATAAAATATTAAAATTTTAAGTACATATCCAAAGTTATTGTTGACATTTTTAAAGTCTTTCAGTGACTGCCATTGTTTTCCAGATAAACAATGGCATCTTGATCTCTTCATGATCTCATTTATGATTACATCACCAGCTTCCTCTAATCCTTCTCTTTCCCAACAAATCTGTAATTCCTCAAATTTATTACACTTCTGTGTGGGGGGCAAGTGGGGGCTTCTGTAAATTTTTCCAAGCTGCTCCATCTTCATCCAATCCTACCTCTTGAACACTGGTTACTACCAGCCCTTCAAAATTCAGCTTCACCAGGAAACCTTCCCTAGACCATTCAGTCTGCATTAAATATACCTTCATTTTGCATCCATATTAACTCATACCTTTACTCACCCATCATTCATTTATCCAATAGATATGTATTGATTGATAGAATATAAGCTTCATAAGAGTATGAAACGCCAACTCAACAGGCATACTTAACAGTGACTACTCAAATATCATCTGAATGAATGCCAGGCACTCAGTCAGATTCATGCACCAAGAAAACCCTAGGTACATGAAAATGTCGCATCTGACTGAGGTTTACTGTAAGCTCAGTGAGAGTAAACTATTCTTTGTCTATGATTTCTGTCTAGCAGTCTCTAGCACATAGAAGTGTTCACTAAATGCATATTCATAGAATAATTATTATTCATGTCTCGGCATATTTTGAAAGAGCTGAGTAGTGGTATTTGTATTTTGTCAATTTAGCAAGCTGAACCTATGTTTCCAAGAGTTCCCTTCCTAGAGTGGTTCCAGCTGAAGGTTGGAAATTTGTGTGAGATTTGGAAGGTGAAGGTGAATATGCAGGCATTTTGTTCATTAAGTTGATGCAGGCATTGCTGCAGCCAGTGCACCTTGTCCTTGACCTGCTCATTCATTCCCCTGGCAAGAGGCAGCGGTGGTGCCACAGCACCTCTAGCTCCCACCTAATCTCCTCCTTCAGATTCTCCGAGTCTTAGGCCAGGTGTTCAACAACACGTGAAGGCACCAGCTTCATCTTCAGGTCACCCACATTGTCAGAGTCAGATGTCATGAGTCAAATGGGGTTTCACTTTGCCCAAAAGAGTTCTAGTTTATCCCCTCAGTTAACACTTTGTCCCTGTGGGCTCATATGCCTTAACTTATCCTACTTCAGGTCCAGATTTCTTTCCCAACTACTTGTCCTGATGACTTATAGTGTCTTAGGGCCCATCACCATAGGCAGGGGGGGCCTTTTGTAAATTACTTTACCAGTTCTCCATCACAATGATTAGTGAATTTTCTACGATCTCCAACCACAATTTTTTGGACCTTTGTGTCTCAAATCCTCCCACAGTTGTGTAAAGTCTTATTCCTATAATACATCTTCTATTTCATCATTCATAGTGATTCTCCTTCCCCAAACTGTAACTGAGACACCAGATTTGAGAGTATGTATGAAATTCTGAGAAGCTTTTATAGAAAAATAAAAGGTGTTTTTGAAAAGCAAAAGAATCAGATTTAGAGCAGATTTGTATATTCTCAGATGTGTTCAAAAAGTTTTGAATTGATTTGAAGTTGGTGAAATAGCAGGACCAATAAGCAAAGTGACATCCACAAATTTTAATGACTCTAATCCACCTAAGGGTGGCATTTATATGTATCCTTTTATCCCTTTCTAGATAAAATCCAAGAAACAGTAATCTAGGATAATTAAAATGGATTGAGGAATAAATCAATCATAAAATTTTTTTGACCTCACTGTGTCCAGAATTGGTTCCTTCCGGCGGGTTCTTGGTCTCGCTGACTTCAAGAATGAAGCCGTGGACCCTCGCAGTGAGCGTTACAGTTCTTAAAGATGGTGTATCCGCGGTGAAACCCCGTCTCTACTGAAAATACAAAAAATTAGCCAGGCATGGTGGCGGGTGCCTGTAGTCCCAGCTACTCGGGAGGCTTGAGGCAGGAGAATGGCGTGAACCCGGAAGGCGGAGGTTGCAGTGAGGTGAGATCGCACCACTGCACTCCAGCCTGGGCGACAGAGCGAGACTCTGTCTCAAAAAAAAAATAAAAAAAAAAACATGGCGTGTCCGGAGTTTGTTCCTTCAGATGTTCAGCTGTGTCTGGAGTTTCTTCCTTCTGGTGGGTTCATGGTCTTCCTGACTTCAGGGTGAAGCTGCAGACCTTTGCAGTGAGTGTTACAGCTCTTAAACGTGGCGTGTCCGGAGTTGTTTGTTCCTCCCAGTGGGTTCGTGGCCTTGCTGGTTTAGTGAAGCTGCAGACATTTTGTGGTGGGTGTTACAGTGCACAAAGGTAGTGCAGACCCAAAGAATGAGCAGCAGCAAGACTTATCACGAAGAGCAAAAGAACAAAGCTTCCACAGCGTGGAAGCACACCGAAGGGGGTTGCTGCTGTGGGCTCCCGTGGCCAGATTTTACTCTCTTATTTGGCCCCACCCACATCCTGCTGATTGGTCCACTTTACAGAGAGCTGATTGGTCTATTTACAGAGCAAGGACTGGTGCGTTTTTACAGAGTGCTGATTGGTGCCTTTACAAACCTTTAGCTAGACACAGAGCACTGATGGGTGCATTTACAATCCTTTAGCTAGACAGAAAAGTTCCCCAAGTCCCCACCCGACCCAGAAGCCCAGCCTGCTTCACCTCTCACCACCTCCAACCAAACATTGTATAAGATTTCAGTTCAAAATGGCAGATACAGTTTATTCATTCAGATTCTCTTTCTCTGTGGATCTGAATAAGACTATAATAAAGTATCATCAAAAATTATAAAAATACAATAATTAAAGGAACATGAGTAGGACAATCCCAATACAGCTACTTCAAAAAATTTCTAGAACCTAGAAATTGAGAAAGAATGCCATCTGCTGAAGCTGTAGCGCAGAATAAGAAACAAAAAGGTCTACAGTATATATGGGAAACAGCTTTCCCAACATAAATCTGGAGATGCTTCAGATCAGAGTCTGTAGGTGGAACAAAGGGAAAGAAATAGTGGAGCTAAAAACAGGGGGATTCCTTGAGGGCTTGCATACGAAATAGTCAGACTCCTGTCTTCTCATGCAAGATAACCTATAATCAGACATTTCACTCTGGTGCCAGAAAGGAAAGCCTTCCTCCTCCTGGTATTTGCCAAAAGACAGGTGGCTCATGTCCAGAATTCGCACTATACTCTAAAACCCCCAGTCCACAAATCTCTTTCACAAACAGAGCACACCATCAACTTTGCAATTCCCTTAGTCTTAGATACAAATGGACAATGAATGATCACCAGATAACTGAGTAAATGCTGCAGCATAACATCAAAAGACCAAGATAAGTAGAAAAATTGACTCCTACATAAAGAGATAACATTTAGGAAGCCAAAACAGTCTTATAAACAACTTTAATTAGAGTCCTTGAGTAGAAAATATTGTATCCAAAGATCAACATGAAGTTATGAATTAAAAAATAATTTCCCAAATCAAAAAATTAATTGGAAGTTTAAAAGATAAAATGCAGGCATTTTCCAAGGGTAAAAACAAAAGAAAACAAAAGCAATGAGAAAAAAATATGAAAAAAAAAGACAATCAAAATTGAGAATTTAGGAAGTCCAATTATTAGAAATTCTAAAGGGAAGAGAGGAAATTATCAAAGAACTAAAATAAGAAAATTCTCCAGATTTGAAAAGAGATGCGTATCTTTGTTCTGGTAGGGACTACCTGCTACCAAGTAGGATGAATTTTAAAAGAACCACACCAGGGCACATTACTATGATACTTCAGAACTCCAAGAGCTAAAAGACTAAAAGGTTCCAGAGACGGCTGGAAAAAGCAGATTACATACCCAGGAATGAGATCCAGAAACATCCCATTCTTTTTTGTCTGTTTGTTTGTTTTATTAGCAACACCAAAGAGTAGAACAGTGCCTTCAAGATTCTGCTTATTCACTTTAGAATTGTCTACCCAGCTGTCTAGTCCATTTTCTGCTGCTATAACAAAATGCCTAAGACTGTATCATTTATAAATAAAAGAAGTTTAGGCCGGGCGCAGTGGCTCACACCTGTAATCCCAGCACATTGGGAGGCAGAGGCGGGTGAATCACCTGAGGTCAGGAGTTCAAGACCAGCCTGGTCAACATGGTGAAATCCCCACTGTACTAAAAATACAAAAAATTAGCCAGGCGTGGTGGCAGGCAACTGTAGTCCCAGCTACTTGGGAGGCTGAGGCAAGAGAAAGGTGTGAACCCGAGAGGTGGAGCTTGCAGTGAGCCCAGATTGTGCCACTACACTCCAGCCTGGGCGACAGAGTGAGATTCCATCTCAAAAAAAAAAATAAAAGAAATTAGCTGGGCGTGATGGTGGCCACCTGTAATCCCAGCTACTCGGGAGGCTGAGGCAGGAGAATTGCTTGAACCCAGGAGGCAGAGGTTGCATGAGCCGAGATCATGCCACTGCACTCCAGCCTGGGCAACAGAGAGAAACTCTGTCAAAAACAAAAAAAAGAAGAAGAAATTTATTGGGCTCACAGTTCTGGAGGATGGAAAGGCCAAGATGGAGGAGCTACATCTGATGAGGGCCTTCTTGCTGCATCATCTCATGGGAGAAGTCAGAAGGGCAAGAGAGCAGGCATAAGAGAGCAAGAAAGGAAGGAAGCCAGACTTACCCTTTTTATCAAGAACTCGCAGCCAAGATAAATAACCATTCCCACAATAATGGTGTTAATCCATTCATGAGGGCAGAGCCTTAGTGACCTAATCACCTCTTACAGCTCCCACCTCACAACATTGTTAGATTAGGGATTAAGTTTTCAACACATGAACTTTGGGGGACACACTCAAACCATAGCATAAGCCAAACCATTAATCAAGGAAGACAGCATGGTACAGAACTTTTCAATCTGCAAGCACTGACAAATTGACCTCCCACACACCCTTCCTTAGGAAGTTACTTGAGGAATGATGACTTGTAAGTCGTTATCACTCATACCAAGACATCACCAGAAAGTATCTGGGGTTGATAAGTCAAGAAATAATATTGTATATGATTTATTTGAAGATACGGGACTAACCATCAGAATACCTAAAAACTGAACTTGTAAAAGTGGCAACTTCTGGAGAGTGATATCAGGTGTAGGGTAAACATGTCAGTACCATTTAACTTTTCTTTGCCATGTGCATATATTAATTCAAAGTGATTTTAATGTATTACCAGAGATAGTTAAAATTTTCTGTTTGATATTTCGTGATGTTAACTAGAAAGACTATGGTAGGCAGAATAGTGGCACCCTAATGTTGTCCACATCCTATGAATATGTTATCTTATGTAGCAAAGGAAACTTTGCAGATATAATTAAGGTAAAGGACTCTGAAGTGGGGAGAGTATCCTGGCTTATCCAGGTGGATTTAATGTAATCACAATGTCCTTAAAAGTGGAAGAGGGTGGCAGAGGCAAAGAGTCAGAGGGATCCAGGGTTGCTGACTTTGGAGATGGAAGGAGATGTCTAATAAATGTGGGAAGCTTCTAGAAGCTGGAAAATGAAACAAAGTGGACACTCCTCTAGAGACTCCAGAAAGAAATTCAGTCCCATTTACACCTTGATTTTAGCCCAGTGAGACCCATATCAGACTTCTATCCTACAGAATTGTAAGATGATACATTCTTGTGTTAAGTCACTGAGCTTTTAGTGATTTGCTACAGCAGCAAAGGAAAACTATTGCATAGACTTAAGAATTAATTCCTTTTGGTGTTGTCCCATCCTAGACTAAAGAAAATTATTTTCCTTTCACCTTTTTATAATCTAACCAAAACTTTAATAAACGATAGCAAGACAGACCTTTGCTTTTCCTGTTTTTTGGGGTAAACAGAATGAATACACTGGCTTGTCTTTCCTTTTACCCCTAATGTTTCTGATATTCCCTTTTCCGAGTCTCAGGTAAGTTACACCTGGGTATATTTAAGGATTAAGATGAGCTACTCCAAGTAGTAGAAGGCTTCATGCTTCAATATTTCAAAATATTTCCAGAAGCTATTCTTTGTGGAGTCATATGTTAGGGTTTTGCTTTTCTGTTCACATTTATGAAACACACACACATACAAAAGAAAACCAGTAAACTTTATAATTAAATTCCTTGCTGTAATCACTATTTTAAAAATACCATCCTTTAAATTACATCACCTACACTCTGTTATGCTATTAGTACATGTTAGTCTGTAACTTCAGGATAGTTCTTTAGTGTCACCAAGAAGGTTCATTGGATTTCAAATCTTACTGCTCTTCTATCTTCAAAATCCCAGAAAGGTTTGGTTTTTGTTTTTTGTTTTTTTAAAAAATAAGTATACTGTAGCCCACCAAATTGCGGATACTTTGATTTGTAACCCTGAGAGTGAGAATGAATTCATCCATTCATCTCTTTGTCAGTCTTTGGCACATAAAAGAGGCAGCACAGTGCAGTAGCAAAAGAACTAAACTGGGAGTCATGACGTCTAAATATAAAATTTAGGTAGCTCTAGGCAACCAATCAATTGTATGGCCTTAGACAAGTCACTTTATGATTCCAGAGCAAAAATTTTTCTTAAGCAATATAAGGTTTGACAAGATTAATAATGCTTTTCAAATTCTGATATCTACAATAGCCAATGGCAGGTCTGTGATCATGGAGCAGAGAAGGCTCTCTGTCACACCAAAATCCAACCAAAGGAATTAACCGGTCACCAGGTCCTTGTGCCATTCATAATTCAGCAACAACAATGTGTTTGATCCTCTGACTCTATCTTTTACTGGAGGCCTTTGCTGCTTCCATATTTACCTGGACACATTTTGTTCTCTCCAAACCCAAAAAACAATCGGTCAATGAAAACAATTTCTCAAGCAACTCTGATTTACTGAGCAGACTCAGATGAAGATATTCCAATTATTCATTCATTACAGTTTACCTTCCAATGACTTCTCCCTGCTCACATTTTTCAGAAGTTCCAAGTACGTATTTTCTCACTGACCTCATTTTGCAAGACAGACTATAATGTAATACAGACTATAATATTTTAGTTCTTTGAGCTCTTCATACCTTTTTTTAAAGTACTGGGTTATTCTAATAATATACTATAAATAAATGACCAAATATTTATGAAATAAGTTTAAAATATATTCAATAAGCAGAAAGGTGCCCATTGCCTATTTAAGCAATACTTTCTTGATGAATAAAAAGGTTTAAAAAATTATATTACAAATAGTGAAGGCTATCAAAACCTGTCCTAAAACAAACTACTTACATTCCAGATACACTCACTTCAAAATGGAAAGGCACAGTATACATAAGAATCAACATAGCCACAAAGTGCTCACTTTTTCTTAAATACATCTCAGCTAGAGGAGGTGAGAACAGCATAACCCAGGCAGAGGAAAAGGAACGTGTTCAGATCCCTGTTCATATTTTATTCTACAGACTTCGGTTGATTCAAAAATAGATTCAAATAGGGCCTTTGTTTTCTTATGGCCTGTTCACTAATGCTTCTTAGTAATGATCTTTAGCTTCTTATTTCACTTCTGATTTCAGTCTATGTCCATTCTCTTCTGTTTTCTCGGTTTCAGTTTCTCTGTCTACACAAACTGCTTACACATCTACCTCCTCTCCCATTTAGGTGTTTGTTTGTATTATCTACAGATCTCTTTTAACTAGATAAATTCCTTGGAACTGAAAAGAATGTTCCAGTACATCCAAGAATTCGTTAAAGAAACACCTAATACTGCAAAAATTAGACAGAAATCTTGCCGTCACAAAGCTCAGAATTTAGAGGAAACAAACAACAAAAATAATAATGTTTGTAAATGCTCTGCAGTGAGTTTTCAAGTACTGTGTCAATGTTTGGTACGTTCCCATAAACTGGTATAGGTAGATCAGGAAATTACACTTGGAGTAAGTCTTCCTGGTCGAAATACCTCATCTCCAAGCTACACCCCACCCTGCAGTTAGAAATATCACTATTCCACCTGTCTCCCAAGTTCCAAAATATACCAATAAGATCTGATGTGTCCTTCATTTTCCATTTATATTAATTGCCATATTGTTCACTTTCTACTATGAAAATACCATATGAAAATATGATGGAAATGGTTCAGAAGAAAGATTATTTCCTCTTCACTGATAAAAGTCTAAAATACTTAGGTTCAGTCTCTGTAAACTGCTTACATGAGATATATATATAAGATTGTAAATATATCCCCTAGTATATTATATTTAGCTGAATAGAGAAAGAAATGCAAAAAGGTTCCTTTAAAATAAGCCCATTAAGCAGCCTGCCTTGTTTTTTAATAAGCCAAATGCTCTATTTATATGTTCTAAACTGCAATTAACTCATTTAAAAGATTGTTTAGCATTTCAGGCAGTTTATCGCTATAATATTAAGTCTTTCTTGGTATCAATTTGGTTCCATTATAATGTGTCTATTTTTAGTGAAGTCACGATGAAACATTCTTTGTTGATCCTCTTTCCCAGAAGGCTGAATAATTTCATCTGATTGCCTAGGTCTTTTTTCCAAGCTTTAACATCCAGTAACAACATTTTCAGAAAGAAAAAAATGAAGTGATTAAATGAAAGAAAAAAATGAATCCACTTTTTCTATCATCACTACAGTTTTATTTCTCTAAATCAAAATCAAAATCTCAAATCAAAGCTTTAGGCATCTCGGAAGCTTTCGCTAAGCAATCCATTTGACAATGATATGTTTTCATTTAATTATCCTCTCACATAATTATATGGTTTTGGCATATATGTACTAATCTTCACCTTCTCTAAACTGAAATTCTCTTTGCCTCTCTACGAGGTAAAGCATGGACTTTGATCAAGATATACCTAGGTTCCAAGCCTGGTTCTGTCATTCCCAGGCTACATAAACTTGGGTAAGTTACTAAGCCTCCCTGAACCCTCTTCATCTATAACACAGAGACCGTAACACTTTATAGCAAGGTTTCTCAACGTTGGCGATGTTAACATTTTGTATCAGACAATTATTTGCTGTAAGGAGCTGTTCTGTGTATTGTAGTATATTTATCAGCATCTCTGATCTCTGCTCACTAGATGCCAGTACATCCTCTGGCCGTAAAAAACAAAATTCTCTCCAGACGTTGTCAAATGTTCCCTGGGGGGAAAATTGTTGAGAACCACTATTTGACAGGATTGTTGATTAGTCCTATCAAATAGTGGTTTAAATGTTTAAATATTTAGATGCTAATGTGTGTTAAATGAAATTATATACATCAATAATCTGGCACACTTTGACACATAATGTGTACAGAATAAATTTAACTGTTTTTATTAATAGACCTGAATTCTCAATAATAACAACCTTGTAGTGTATAAAAAGAAAGAATGAGAAATTACAGAAAATAAAAGACTTTATTGTCTGGGAAAGGTATAGTCATCATTCAGAAGAAAAATAATTTAGTGTTAGTTTGATTAGAATAAGAAGCTTTTGGTTGTACCTGTTTCAGGGACAGGGAAGGTGGGGAAAACCTAAATAACTTAAAGCATTCAATTCAGTAGATACCAATTTCCACACTGACTGGCATTTTATTTTTTAGTCTCATAAACATACAGCCACTGGAACATCAAACTAAATTCAAGCATTAATTTCCAAGTGTCTTATCTTGCAGAAAGGGTTCAGCATTGGGAGATACACAGGCCTGGATTCAAATCCCAGCTCTACATTTATTGCTCCAAGACAAGACGTTAGGAAAATGTCTAACTATTCTGACCCTCTTTCCGCATTTGCAAATTAGGAAATAATAATAAAAATTCCAGCTGATAATATTTTATGAGTAACCAGTGTGATAAGATGTGGAGGTGGAAGGCAATGATAGTGATGATCCCGACCCTGTGTAGGTCTGGGCTAATAAATGTGTTCGTGTCTTCATTTTTAAATTTTTTTTTAAATAAAAGAAATTAAAAATAGGAAAAAAATAGGAATAAAGGAAGAAAATACTTTTATATGACTGTACAATGTGTTTGTATTTTTGGCTATTATTACGAAAGAGTCAAAAGTTTTTTAAAATTAAGTTTATAAAATAAAAACGTTACAGTAAGTTAAGACTAATTTATTTCTGAAGAAATAAATTTTTTATGTAAGTGTAGTAAGCCTAAGTATACATTGGTTATAAAGTCTAGAATAGTATACAGTAATGTCGTAGGCCTTCACATTCATTTGCTACTCACTCATTGGCTCACCCAGAGCAACTTCAAGTTCTGCAAGTTCCATTCATGCTAAGTGTACTGTTTTTTATCTTTTATACTTTATTTTTACTATACTTTTCCTGTGTTTAGATATGTTTGGGTAGGCAAATACCATTGTGTTACAACTGCCTGCAGTATTCAACATAGTAACTTGCTGTACAGGTCTGTATCCTAGGAGCAATAGGCTATACCATACAGCCTAGGTGTGTAGTAGGCTATACCATCAAAGTTTGTGTAAGTACATGCTATGATGTTCACACAATGATGAAATCACCTTATAACATGTTTCTCAGAATGTATCTCTCTCATTAAGCAATGCATGACCATGTACTATTGTTATTATGATGATTATAAAATCTTTCTTCTCCTTCTTCTTGTCTTCCCTTCCTTTGCCTTCCCGTCAAATCCTGTAATATCACTTCTCCTTTCTGGCAGTAATAGCTTCCAAAGGCAGTGCTGTCAACTTTAGTCATTCATTAGATTGTCATTCAACATTCCATCATTTGGGGTAAGACAGCAATTAGGAACATAAGAACTTTATTTTCCAGCTGCCAAAATACAATTAATTGACTAATGTGTCCTTTTTCTTATTTGAAATGCAATAATTGTTAAACATTAAAATGTTTCCAACATTTTGAGTATTTTAAAATCCACAGAAAGCCTAAAGGAATAGTAGAATAAGTACTCAAATAACCTTTGCTAGACTAACTGGTTAACATTTTCTCCTTGCTCTCTTGATCTCTCTTCTCTCCCCACTCCTAAATACTTAAGCATGAATTTTCAAAATTAAAAACATTCTCTAATGTAACCACATTGCTGTTATCATACCTAAGAAAACATAACAATAAATAAATAGTATCATCTAGTATGCATCCATATTCAAATTTTTTCAATGGTCTCCAAAATGCCTTTAAAAGATGTTTTTATAGTAAATGTTCATATATTGCATTTATTTGACATGTCCATTTAAATTCTTTTGATTTAGAACATTCCCCCCGCCTTGTTTTTAATTACCCTGAGTTTTTTTTTTTTTTAATTTCAGGCCACTGTCTTCTAGATTTGATTCAACATAAATGTTTTGATAAAATTAGCACATGGATAATACTATGTGTTTCTTACTGCATCCCATCAGCAGGTTCACTATTGGTGATCTTAAGTTTGAGTGTGTGGCATGGTGGTGACCTCTAGATTGCTCCACTTAAAGGTACATTCTTTCCTTCGTAAGTAATCTGTGCTGTGATACTTTTAAGACCATGTGAATGTTCTGTTCATTACACCATTCACCAGACGGTTTTAGTAGCCACTGATGATCCATGTTTGAATCAATTATTATCCAGAGTATTGCAACAGGATCATTTTCTAATTACATCTATATGTTAACACATATTAGCTTGCACTGTTCTCCAAAGAAGAGTTCCCCCAATCCTTTCTCTTCTTCTAAGTAGCACGATGGATTATAATCATTATTATTATTACTCATTGTGTTATAATACATTACCATTACTCTTTTTGATGTATAAATTTTCCCAGTGTGGCCAGTGGGAGCCACATCAAGCCAGCTCCTTTTGAATACATTTTATGCATTCTGGGGCGGGATGTCCCAGGCTCTCCTAGGATCAGATGTTTCTCCAAGAATCCTTAGCTCTTTATTTTTTTTGTTTTTTTGTTTGTTTGAGACGAAGACTTGCTCTTGTCACCCAGGCTGGAGTGCAATGGCACGATCTCGGCTCACTGCCATCTCTGCCTCCCAGGTTCAAGCGATTCTTCTGCCTCAGCCTCCCAAGTAGCTGGGATTACAGGCACCTGCCACTGCACCCAGCTAATTTTTTTATTTTTAGTAGAGACGGGGTTTCACCATGTTGACCAGGCTGATCTCGAACTCCTGACCTCAGGCCATCTGCCTGCCTCAGCCTTCCAAAGTGCTGGGACAGGCATGAGCCACCACACCTGGCCGAATCCTTAGTTCTTTTGATAGAGAATGAATGGTAGGTGTGCTAGAGGAGTGTAACTGCTTCTAGGTCCTTTCAGGCAAACATTATTTTGTATATATTCTTAAGCCTACTATTAAACTTTGTTAATTTTCCACTGATCAGTCTATTCGTAGGAACTTTAGATACTTTAGTTTTATAATACATTTTAATATTCAATTTGGTCAGTTATTTATTTTTATTCTGTTGTGTTCACTAAATCTCACATTTTAATATAAGTTGGTCACGTTTTGGAGAAAAATAAAGATTAATTTAGAGATAATAACATAACTACATCACCACATTGGCATTACAATATCAACAATATATAAACAGTTATGACTCACCATTTATTCACAGATTATTCAAATGTTCCTCCTTGTCTTTTAATTAACTTTTGTAGTTTTACTATAATACTGTGGGCGTTGCCTTCACATTTTTTGTCAATTGTGATTATTTTACAATATATATTTTCATACAGTTTTCCATGAGATTCTTCTTAATTACATTTTAAATGGTTGTTGCTGACATGTAAACATATCAGTTTATTTCTTTATAGCAGCACACCATATGAATTATCTTATGTTCTGATAGTATTTTGAAATTCATTCTATTGAGTTTCCCAAGTAGACAACCACGTCACCTATAAGTGAATATGTTTTTCCTCCTCTTTTCTTCCGTTTATACATTTAATATTTAGAGTGCAGACAACTTAAAACTTCCTGCCTACAGAAAGATGAGAGTGCCAGGGGTTCTGGTAAGAAAAACAGAAAGGTAAAAACCATATCTTTATTAAGGTGGCCAGATAATTCCTGGAAAACTCATTCTAATATAAATTTAGAGGACTGAAACCTAGAACCCACTAGAAAAGGAGAGAATTTCCATGGAAAGGGCTTAATAAAGAGGTAAATTTGTGAACACTGGACTCATCTGGGCAACTGTAATTTATCTGCATATGACTTATTTTCCCATGAGATTCTTATGCTGGAGTAAAAGCAGACATCTTTTCCTCAACAATTAGCTTTCATGATTTAGATCACTCTAGGTTTTAAAAAGGGAGAGGTGGAGAACAGAATTTCCATTTCTTAGATTGAAAGAAAACAGAAAAAAATGCTTAGGAGATAGTTACAGAAATAACAAGTTGCACATATTTGGTGGTCTTCTGTTTAAAAGGGATCTGAGGGCCAGGCGCAGTGGCTCACGCCTGTGATCTCAGCATTTTGGGAGGCCAAGGTGGGCGGATCACCTGAGGTTAGGAGTTCCAGACCAGCCTGGCCAACATGGTGAAACCCGTCTCTACTAAAAATAAAAAAATTAGCCGGGTGTGGTGGTGCACTCCTGTAATCCCAGCTACTCTTGAGACTGAGACAGGACAATCACTTGAATCCGGGGGGTGGAGGTTGCAGTGAGCCAGGATCACACCACTGCACTCCAGCCTGGGCAACAAAGCAAGACCCCGTCTCGGGGAAAAAAAAAAGTGACCTGGGTTCATTGTATTGCATTTATAATAAACATGAAGGTTAGGCACGGCGCGGTGGCTCATGCCTGTAATCCCAGCGCTTTGGGAGGCTAAGGCGGGAGGATCACCTGAGGTCAGGAGTTCGAGACCAGCCTGGCCAACATGGTGAAACTCCGTCTCTACTAAAAATACAAAAAAAAATTAGCCAGGCATGGTGGTGCATGCCTGTAATCCCAGCTACTTGGGAGCTGAGGCAGGAGTATTGCTTCAACCCAGGAGGCGGAGGCTGCAGTGAGCTGAGATCGTGCCACTGCACTCCAGCCAAGCAACAAGAGTGAAAACTCTGTCTCCAAAAAAAAAAAAAAAAAAGAATGGAGGTTATTTCAGGGGGATATCAATTTGTTGAATAATATGCATATTTGGTTTTAATATACATATTAAATATACATATATACATATGCGTATATGTGCATGTATCTATGCACATGTGTATATATGCATGTATCTATGCATGTATGTGTATATATATATATATATACATATACATACAAATACAAAGTATTTATACTGTTGTTTCATGATCTGCCAATCCAGACATTTAAATGAGTTAACAAATCTTTGACAGAGATATGGTTTGAAATCATTTTGATAATTTAAATGATAAAGTTATTGCAAAAAGATCCACTTGTTTCCTGTTGAGAAAGAGGCTTCTAAAAATTATCTCAAACTGCAAATAGCCCTTAAAGCTTACTGATGTATTTCCATTAAATGTTGTAACTCTGAAATAGTCTTACTTGTATTTTAAAAGATAATTGGATAAGTTTATAATCAAATTCTCCCTTCTACATACTATGCAAGAAAGGCAAGCAAACTTGTTTAAGGAAAAAAATATAATTCTTATGCATAATTCTAAGAATCAAGTAAGACTGTGTTCTAGAGGAAACTAATAAAATGTTAGTTCTACTACCATGTGATTACAATAGGAAGAGTTCATCCTCCCAAAAAATTTTGCAAAAGAATAATCTAAAATACAGTAGGGACTAGAGAAAGAAGGTGGTCCAGGCATCTGAAAATGTATTCCATTTTCAATAAATTTATCTTAATATCTTAAATTTCATAGTACATTTTAATAAATATGCATAGAAATGATAAATTCCTTCATTTCTTTTATGCATAAAAAATATATACCTGTTAGTGGCTTATAAGACTATAGATTGGGAAACATTTTTTCTTTTAGTCAACAAAGATATATGTTTACTTATATAGGCTTTATGTGACACATAAAATCAAGAGATTGGAAGTGCAAATAGAGTAACTCTGAACTGAAATACATCAGGTCAAATTCCATCATTATATAACAGAATCACTCTAACTCAACCACACCTTAAAGTTGAAATAGGTAAAAGGTTTTACTAGAGTGGGTCTATAAAAATTAGCCAAAGTTCATTAATAACTTGGCTTACATATCTATTTTCATTTACAGATTGATTTTTCTTCAGTGGCAAAGGAAAAAATTCTCAACATTTAACCAACAAGAAAGAAAAGTGATAAAAAACTTTCGACAGTCTCAGATAAATACCATACAAGAAAAAAATGGAAAAAAAAAGGTTGTAACAACCAAATAGCTAGGGCTTAACTGCTTAGAAAGCAAGTTTATTTTTATCACAAGAGAGTAATTCATGTATGGGTCATTTGCAAATCTTTAACAGAGTATGGGAGAAAATATGGAAAAGAAGCTAGTAACTCTCAAATGTTCTCACATTCATGTGAGTCTGTTAGCTTTAAGGGGAGGATTACAAATGACCCACGTGAATAGAATGTAGATTATCTTTATTTCCTTAGCAGATTTTTCATTTTTTTGGGAGACATGTAGAAGTCCTCTATTCAGAAAAGGTTTTTGGATGTTGCATTGCCTATAGCAATATAAAACTGGTTGCTTACTTGAATTTTTCATCTCAATCTTTGTGAAAAATTAAATCTTTTATTAAGTAAATATTTTGTTCAAACTTTGCCTAAAATAGTCAAAATATAAATATTTGCTTCTAGGAGGGGCACAGTGGCTCATGGCTGTAATCTCAGCATTTTGAGAGGATGAGGTGAGCAGATTGTTTGAATTCAGGAGTTTGTGACCAGCCTAGGCAACATGACGAAACCCAGTCTCTACTAAAAATACAAAAATATTAGCTGGGTGTGGTGGCATGTGCCTGAGTTCCAGCTACTAGGGAGGCTGAGGTGGAAGGATCACCTGAGCTAGGGAGGTTGAGGCTGAAGTGAGCTGAGATCACAGCACTGCACTACAGCCTGGGCAACTGGAGTGAGACCCTGTCAAACAAATTAATTAATTAAATTAAATAATATAAAATAAAATATTTGCTTCTCATCTTTTTCACCCAGGGTAGCTGGAGTATGAGATGTGTTGAGATGAGTAATAAATTGGAGTCAGACTATAAAGGGCCTTGTGAACCATTCTAAAGAGTTGTGAAGGTAATGGACAGTGAGAGTGGAGAAAAGAGGACGTGTCTGAGGGACATTTCCCAAAGAGAACCACTGATCTTTGAAACTGATTAGATGTATTGAGTGAAGCTAAAGGGGTAGTAGAGAAAAAACTCCAAGAGGGATGGCTGGTGAAGCCTTTATCCAAGACTAAGAACACAAAAGCTGAAGCTTTTGGATGTCCTCTGAGTAGGTAAACAGGGGAAGAGAGGGAATACAGAGTGAAATAATGACTTCATTTTTAGAAACGTTGAGTTGACAGTGCCTGTGGAACAACGAGATGAAAACAGCTGATGGGATACTAGATTGTGAATCTAAGTTTGCAATGACAATAGTCATGGGTTTTTGTTTATTGCTAGATTCTGTGCTAAGCATTTTGCGCATTATAGCAGAAGTTGCTAACTCCTAAATATCTGTTCTCCCTCAACAACTACATTTATCTATACTAATCTCCTTCATCTATACTAATAGAACCCATGATTAGTGGCTGGATATAATTTTACTTGGAATCAAGACAATGCTTTCCAGCCTCCCCAGTGACTAAGTGCCACCATGCCACTAAGTTCTGACCAATGGGCTGGGGATGAAAGTGCAATTTCCAGGTACTGTTCTCAAGAAAGAACCTTCTTATCCTTCCAGGTGGCTAGAATGCAGACAATGACTAGACAGCTAGAATAGGCATATACATACTTCGGAATGTAAGTCATATACAATAAAGCATCCAGATGAGATAGAATCTGGATACCAGAAACTGAGTGGCGCCATGCCAGTCCAAGACATGTACTAGAAATTATTCATGAGAGAAAAATAATTTGTCTCTTCAGACCACTAATATTTGAATGTTCTGCCTTTTAAAAGAAAAACAAATTATAACTATGACACATATGTTATCTAATCCCCATAACAATACTAGTTGATGAATACTCTCATTATCTCACTTTAGAAACGAGGCAAGAAGAAGCTAGGATAGAGGTTCGCCCAAGGTCATACAAACAGAAAGCAGTGTGGCTAGCATTTAGTCAAAAAAATCTGAGGGCGGAGGCCACACTCATGATCACCAAACTTTAGGAAACTATCTAGCTCTCTGACCATTCCAAAGCAACCCCACACGTATGAAAATTTGTCTTTTAACTTTTTATTGAAGTATAATACATGTAGAAAAAAGTGCACTTTTATTTTTAAATGAGGAACATATTCAATCAAAGTGTTATTTTGTTTCCACCCTAAATTCTTCCTCATGTTTTACGTACTCATTTTCCCTTATCCGCAGATAAAGGCCAATAAGGCACAATCGTTTTCATGTTTATTTTATGACCTAGAAACATTATTAAAGTTCTCTGGCAACTTCCCTTTTGCAGGCTAAATATAACCCTGAGTCCTTATGCCTTTCTTTCAGTCTTAACATCCCAAACCCCTGAATTATTCCCACTGTAAATCTTTGCAGATTCTTTAATGCCTCTCAATCTTTTACCTAAGAACTATTTGTGGTTGCAAATTTAGCAGCATATGGGGCTTGAGAATGAGTTTTTTCACAGCACTTTCCATGTACCAGGCCAGGATTCATGCATTAGACTCCCCACCATATTTGAGAAGATTTAAATACTTGATAAGTTAAGAGGTTCTTTCTGTTTTTCAAGGACAAAGAGAGCTTTGTGTTATTGCTGAAACCTGACATGAATAACCTGAAAACAAAGGGTTTGTCAATTACAATCTATTCTTTATATTTTCAGAATTTGTTTTTGGCTAGCCATAATCCAGGAAAATTTACCTGTGGACAAGCAAGGCATGGGAAAGAGTAGCGTTGTAGTTCTCTTTCTGGGACAGCCCCAGTGGATCAGCAAACAGGAAGGGAAACACCATCCTAGAGAGGTAAATTCAGAGCAAGACGATTACTATGGGTTAGGTCTGAAAAGGAAGGAGCTGAGGCAAAACAGCTTGCTATTACAGACAGCCAAAAAAAAAAAACGGGCATCCAAAATGCTTAGATTCAAAAGAGAGATCCATGTTATTGTGAAATCCTAAAGGTGGTTTAAGAGAATTTAATTTATTTCTGGATATTCTCTTTTGAAGGCCAAATATAACCCTGAATCCTTACGCCTTTCTTTATAGTCTTAATATCCCAATGTTACTGGTGGCAGAGATCCAAGTTACCCTGAGTTACCAGCGGCGAATCCGTATGGGTCCATAGCAACTTCAGTCCTTGCCTCCTCAGAAGAAAGAACTCGACTGAGGGGCATAAAGCAGAAAAAGAGACCAAGGCAAATTTCAGAGCAGGAGTGGAAGTTTGTTAAAAAGTCTTTAGAACAGGAAAGAAAGGAAAATTCACTTGGAAGAAACCCAACCAGATGCCTGAAGTTCCAACAGAGAAAAAGAGCTAAAAGAGGGGTCTTTAGCCTTGATCCTAGGACTTTCATACGCTCTCCTCTTTCCCATGATTCTTCCCCCAGGGTGGGCTTCCCGCATGCGCAGTGCTTTCCTTACCCTTTGGACCTGGGCATGCCAAGCAGTACGTTTAGGAAGTTAAATGCAAGCCCATCTGAGGCTTTCTTCCCTTTTCCAGTGGCGTGTACCTGGATGTCATACTTTGCCATTTTTGTCTCTTAAAGTGCATCCCCACAAAGTTGCTTCTCCCTGGGGTCTGTATTCAATTAAGGTGTTGATGTTAACAGGTGTGGACCATCAGGAAATGGTCTCTCTGTTGCCGAACCATCACCAGACATTCCCGGTGGGTTGGGGGAGAGCCCTCTCCTGTCTGGGTCATGCCTATCTACCTGTAACATCAACACTAAATTATTCCCACTTTACAGCGGAAATCTTTAAGATTCTTCTCCCAATCTTTTACCTAAATACTGTCTGTGGTTGCAAATTTAGCAGTATATATGGCTTGACAATGAGTTTTTCACATTACCTTCTTTGTTTCAGAAAAGGAAAATGTCTTTTGGCACGGAGTCCTCTTAGAGGTAAAATTATTTTCAGTGGACTTTTGGAAGGTTCCAGAAATAAGGAAAATTAAAGGGAAGTTGAAATTCATCAACACCGTAAACTAATTTCAGAGAATAAAAAACCTTACAGGGAAATAAACAATAGGGCGTATTATTATATGCAAACAGATAAATAGTGCAGAAGATCTGCAAGTTCTGAGACACTATCATAAATTATATTTTGTTTATTTGTTTAATATAGGTGTGGGAAGATGAAATTTAGACTCAGCCTCGTCTCTACAAAAAATACGAAAACCTAGCTGGGTGTGGTGGTGCATGCCTGTGGTCCCAGCTTCTTGGTAGGCTGAGGTGGGAGGATTGCTTGAGCCCAAGAGGCAGAAGTTGCAGTGAGCTGTCATTGCACTACTGCACTCCAACCTGGACAACAGAGCAAGACTCCATCTCAAAAAAAAAAAAAAAAAAAAAAAAAAAAAAACAAAAAAAAAAAAAAAACACTTTAGACTCAAGAACTCTTGTGCTTCACACAATGAAAAAATTTCTCATTAACTCGTCATTTACATTAGGTATATAGTTAATGGGTGCAGCACACCAACATGGCACATATATACATATGTAACAAACCTGCATGTTGTGCACATGTACCCTAGAATTTAAAGTATAATTTTAAAAAAAAGAAGAAAACATTTCTCTAATAAATCGGAGCTACTGCAAATAAATTTTTAAAAAGACTATTAACCCAATGGAAAGGGATTCAAACAGATAGTCCAGAAAGCAAAAATAGTTCTTCACTATAAGAAATTCTCTATAATGCCCCACTGCACTCATAATACCATCAGATCATTGAAAATTAAAACTACAATTGATACTATTTTCACCCTACTAGATTGGCAAATATCAAAAAGCAGAATAAGATGTCTGTGGCAAGGGTGTATGGAAATAGGCCTTTTCCTAATTGCTGATAGGAGCACAAATTGATGCAGTTTCTTGGACAATTTGGCAATATCTATCAAAACTACAAATGTACACATCCTTTCACCCTACAACATAACAGCCTCACTTAAAATTTATCCTTAACATATATACTCCTACACGAGTAATGACTTATGTTTAAGGCTTTTATAGTGCAGCATTTTTTACCATGACAAAGGATTTAAAACCATTTCAATGCCTATCAGTAGGGACCTTGGTTAGATAAGTAATGATTCCCTCAATGTAGTACCATTAAGCAGTTTTTCAAAAAAAAATTGATAAAGAGTTATTTATGTATAGATCTGAAATAATTTCTACACAAAATTAATAAGTGAAAAAAATAAGGTGCAGAATAAAGTATACAGCATATTAGTATTGGCGTAAAAATGGTATAGGGGGCTTCTATTCACTTGCATATGGAATAAATACAAGCATATATTGTATAGAACATCTCTACATGAACAGCCAAGGAATTAATATTATACTAATAATATTATCCCAGAAGGAATATGGGTGGATGGAGGACAGATATTACAGGGAGGTTTTTCTCTGCCTAGCCTTTGTGCCTTATAAATGTTAAAGATATGAAAGTATTGCATATTTTCCAAATTAAATAAAAGCTAAATTTTAGAACAAAACTACACTTGTGCCCAGCCTCCCCTAGAGTTATTTTAATTCTTGTAATACTCCCTATTTTATAGAGTAATTTTAATTCTTGAAATTTCCCTATTTTATAATTTCTCTATCAGTAAATTATACTTCTTGCCTGCCACACATTATTACAGGGAACCAATGAGATAATGAATAGCAGGACACCTGCATAAGGTACTATACAAATGCAAAAGGAAATTGTGTCTATACAAACAGTATCGACTGACCCTGGATTTCTGCTAAGAAATATACACCTGGTATGCTAATACTTTTGTTGAAATCAATGCCGAAGGCTGAAAATGTAAGAATGTTGCACAAATTCTAACCCATTTATTTTCTAGTTGTTTATTCTAGCTCCTAATAATGATGTTTAACTTTTGTCACAAATAGGAATTCACTGTTACTCAATATTCAAAAATACTTATGTGTAACTCAAACCATTTAATGTACTAAGAAAGCTTGCAATCCCAAAGACCTCTACTGTATTTTCTTACAAGGGAGAGAACTTTTATAAAATAAGCAGTTATCCAAATCATGAGAATATATGCAATAAATGTAAATTTACATACATCTAATTTGTCTAAGGAGAGATAAAGATCCCATATATATTCTAGAATGGGAACGTTAGTAGGATTTCTTTGTCTGGCCAATGCCTATTGACTCACGATATCTGCTTGGATCACTCTAAATAGGATTCTGAGGTGAAGTCTGGATTTTGTGGGAAAGAATGTTGCAATAATTATGTGTACCACGTACGTGAGAGTGAGGGATGGTGAGAGGGGCCAGGAACAGTCGCACCTGCTTTATGTGTTTCCACACATTTCCCCTTCCTTCTTCCTTTCTGCCCTTCCTTGCCATATTTTTTCTATTCTACAAAAATGTTCCTGGGATTACATGACAGCAGGTTTAGGCAGCCTGGTATGGAGAAAGAAAGGGTGTTGCTTTCCTTGGAATTCCCAAGTGAGAGGAAAGGATGACACAATAAAAGAAGAGCTTACTGGGAGACCAGCTAGATGTTTTCAGCACTGGTTGTTGAATTAAAATGTGAGAGAATAGGAAAGACAAAACACAAGCTAATTCATGTCAGTATAACTAGATCATATTTACATATAATCTAATCAAGGAAGTTCAAGACCTGTCCAAACAGCAGCTCATTTAAATCAATATCAGATTCCACATTATGTGAATGATCTCTTTGTGCAAGTTTCTGTGCCAGGAGATAAAGGAGATCTCAACAGTATGTGTAACTCAAGTAAGTTTTCAATATGACAAAACATAAACATGAGATACTTTGAAAAACTCAGAATAGCAATAAAAGCATAGTGAACTGTTAAATGTGATGCACCAACAACTGGAATGCTTCAGCCAGGTACGTATAGTCAGACCCAGCTTTACAGAGTGTATCAATATGAACAGGCCTTGGAGAATGGGTAGGATTTGCTCAAGTAGGAGGGGTCCAAAGGAGCTTATTGAAGATAAGTAAAAGAAATAAGGTTGGAAAAACAGATCACTATTTGATCTTGATTGTTGAGCTAAGGAGCTTGGGTTTTCCACAATAGGTCATAAAAATCCTTTGAAGATTTTTAACCAAGGTAATGAAATCTTCAAAGTACTAGTTTAGGGAGGGTCACACAGATCAGAGGAGGATCAAGAAATTTGTTCTGGGTACATCAATTAGGTTGGTGATGGAATAGTCCTGGCTGAGGTGATAAATAGCACTGAAAATGGAAAGGAGACAACAGATTATGAAAATGCACTTAGAGAAATCTTGGAGAATAAAGTTAGACAGGACATAACAACTGCTGAATATGGGAGTTAAGAGATATTAAGGAGTCAAGGTTAGTATATTAGGAAAATAAGAAAACCCTAACAAAGCTCTCTCAACTGCAGTCAGGATCCCTCCCGCATGCACAAATACACTCAGTGCTTTTTGTCTGCTATAATATTTATTATTCAGTGTTGTGGTCACTGTTTACTTACCCATGTCCCTGACTTAACTGCAAACTGCTGAAACCTAAAGACCATGTTCTGGTTGTGGCATAGCTGGTACAAAAATGTTCATATGCATGCAAAATGAAATGAAGGAAGAGAGAAAGGGAAGGAAAGGAAGTATTTGTTTTAGAGGGAGAGATGAGAAATTGAATTTTATACATGGAGAGATAGAAGTAACAGTATATTATTCAAACTAATATATATTTTATTTAACCTTATTAATTTTTTCAAAGGTTACCTTTATTACTGTCCACTCAGTGCAACCCATAGTACTGCATACCCCAAACATATATTCTCAATACCAAGGTTCTACTAGAAGACCATCTCTTTCTAGTCATGACTCCCTGGTCCCATATGAGGAAAATTCATGTTGAGTATCCATAATCCAAATATCTGAAAGCTGAAGTGCTCCAAAATCTGAAACTTTTTGAGTAACAACATGATGCTCAAAGAAAATTCTCACTGGGGCATTTTGGCTTTGGATTTTCAGATTAGGGATGCTCAACTGGTAAATATAACACAAATATTTCAAAATCCAATAAAATCCAGAATCCCAAACACTCGTGGCCCAAAGCATTTCAGATAAGGAATACTCAACCTGTATTTACTTTACTAATGTGTTCAAAGGTTCCAGCAAGGCTTCTGGAAAGCTATTTAGTAACAATAACTAAAGCCTTAAAATGTGGATGTGTTTAATCCTCCAACTGAAGGTTAAGGAGTGCATTCTAGGTGAATAAATATAGTTGCTTGAAAAAGATGACTAAGGGAATGCTTACCACATAGAATTTCATAATAACAAAAGGTTCTGGGGATTGGCTAACTTAATTACAGAATATCTATGCAAAGGAATTCTTTATAATCATTACAAATGATGAGGTAGCAAACTATCAAATAAAAAGATGCTTTCTAATCAACGACAAGAACAAATTATAAATTACAAAAGGAACACAATATAATCTCCTTTTGGTGATACTATAATATTGTCAAAGGCTATACAGTAAAACATTAAGAGTAGACAGCTCTGGGTTGCCTACGTGGGTAGTATGTATTTGTTTTACTTTTTATTTTCTCTCCAGTTTCTTCAATAAGTAACTATATCTTTTGCAACAACCTATATTTTAAATATCAAGTGAACATAGACTTTGTTATATTTACTTTGTATGTCCAGACATAGTACAAGCATTACACAGAAGTGTTCAATAATTGTTGAATAAAGAAAATATATTAAATATATGTTACTATTTAGCTATAAGTCAAATATGATTAATATATAATATAAATATAATAAATATATTATTTAAGGCAAGAGTTACAGCAATCAATCGCAATTACAGAAAGTAGCAATATGTCACCAACATGACCAGTTTCTGAAGAAACATGTTCACACAGGTTGGGCCTGATAACTTGCAGCTAAAGGAAGAAAATTACTAGGTGGCTGGAAACAGAGCCAGTAGCTCAGCTAAGGAGGGCAATGAGTACACTGAGCTGCAAGAGCTACACCCTCACCTGAGGGTCTAGAAATCCAGGCTGTGGGCCAGTAAGACTGACTTAGCCTTCCTTCACCTGTCTTCGGAAATTTAAGTTAAAAAAAAAAAAACCTCCTCTTCTCTGAGCCCTTGCTATGGTCTGTATATTTGTGTCCCATTAAAATTTATATGTTGAAATCCTAACCCCCAAGGTGATGGTATCAGAAGGTGGGGTCTATAAGAAGTGATTAGATGAGGTTTGAGACTAGTTCCCTTATAAATCCGACCACAGAGAGATCCCTAGCCCATTTCAGCATCTGAGGACACAGCTAGAAGGTGCCATCTACAAACCAGGAAATGGGACCTCACTGGATACCAAATCCGATGCTGCTTTGCCCTTGGAACTCCCAGACTCCAAAATTGCGAGAAATAACATTTCTGTTGTCGATAAGCTACCCAGTTTATGGTACTTTGTTACAGCAGCCTCAACAGACTAAGACAGCCCTCATTAGTGGGTCCTTTCATGCAACCAATGTGGGTACTTGGAACCCTTCATTGGGCAGGTGACTTTTTTCAGAGAGGCAGTGTGGTCGGAAGGAGCTTTTGGATTTTAAAGAAGAAACAACTCTGCCACTAACAGTGCATGTGTACTTTAGTAAGCCACATTTTCTGGTTTTACCGGATAAGTATGAATTATAAAAATAGCCCTGTCATCACAAGATTGAGGATAAAATAAGAAAATGACTAAAAAAATTAAGAAATGCAATAACTAGGTGTTAAACTATAAAATATACTATTTGTACTCCTCGTGATTAATTAAGTTTTACCATAAAATCAGCCTCCACTATAATCCCAGCACTTTGGGAGGCCGAGACAGGGATCACTTGAGGTCAGGAGTTGGAGGCCAGCCTGACCAACATGATGAAATCTGTCTCTATTAAAAATACAAAAATTAGCTGGGCATGGTGGCAGGCACCTGTAATCCCAGCTACTCAGGAAGCTAAGGCAGGAAAATTGCTTGAATCCAGGAGGCGGAGGTTGCAGTGAGCCGAGATCGTGCCATTGCACTCCAGCCTAGGCGAGAGAGTGAGATTCTGTCTCAAAAAAATAAAAATAAAATAAAATAAATCAGCCTCCAGAGAAGATTGGATTTCATATCACAGTAGTGTAAGAGGAAAGATATTTCATTATGATGTTAATGTAGTTCCACTTGAGGCAGCAAACAAATCCCACTGGCCCCTACCTATCTACCTACCTCCATAGCAGACTATGAGACAAGAGACCAGGGTAAGGTTAACAAACAACCTCAATTGCTCTGTCCTGCTCTGTGTATTAATGACGTCAGTTGTTGGGCTCGTTTATGAGAATGGGACTTGGCAGTCCTTGCATGCTGACATCAAATCAGATCCCCCAAAAGCTGCACACCTACTGTGCTGTATACATCTCTCTCTATCCAGAACTTATCTTGCTCATAATGATTAAAAAATTAACACTTCAGCCTAAACTGTGATTTCAGTGAGGGCAAGATCCATGTACTCAGCTTTGGATCTTCAGTTCACATCAGAATAACTAGAAAGCAGTAGAGGCTTAATAAATGTGAGAAACAAGACAGGGTCCAAAAATTCATGAGACTTTATTTCCGTATCATAAACTGTATTTTTGACTGAGGTGTTTGTTCAGTTACCTTTATCTGCCTGCCATCACACCTCACTGCCAGATGAGGCTTTGAAAAATTAGGTGGATCTTTCCAAAGTATCCAGATTAGCAATCATGTTTAGTTACTTGTATATTTTTTCTATACAGAAAATATTAACATGTTTTGGGGATTCAGCAGGTACAAATGGACTGTTAAATAGAAGAACATATGCAAATGTATTTAAGACACTGCACTGAACCCAGCCAAGCTTTTTAAAATGATGATAACCATGAATAGGAGTGTTAACAACTGGAAGAGCAGGGTATGGTTTTGCTTAACTTCCTTGTCTAGTAACATGTACCAACAGTTGACAGGAATACTTGTTGCGTTACATACTCATTTTCATATTATCTAATTTCCAACATCTTTTATTCTCACATTGGTAACAGACAGCAACCCCTTCCACATAGCCATTTACTATTTTGTGAAGAAACCCAGAAGGAAGGATGGAATAAAATAAGTAAATGTGCAGAAAAAAATATGAAATGACTATGTATATTGTTGATTAAAATAAAATGCATAAGCCGGGTGTGGTGGCCCACGCCTGTAATCCCAGAACTTTGGGAGGCCAAGGTGGGCAGATCACAAGATCAGGAGATTGAGACCATCCTGGCTAACACGGTGAAACCCCAACTCTACTAAAATACAAAAAAAATTAGCTGAGCATTGTGGCACGCACCTGCAGTCCCAGCTACTCGGGAGACTGAGGCAGGAGAATCGCTTGAATCCAGGAGGTGGAGGTTGCAGTGAGCCAAGATCGTGCCACTGCACTCCAGCCTGGGTGACAGAGTGAGACTCCGTCTCAAAAAATAAAATAAAATAAAATAAATTCATGATAACAAAAGAAAGGGAGGGACTGGGGAGGAGTTGGGGGTAAGTTAGTATGCACTAGAAGAACTATAAACGAATTGATTTCTTTTCTTATCAAATATGTCAAATATGCTACTACAACTCATTCAAGATGACTTCACTATGATGTGAAGAGGTAGCACAGTGTAGCACTCACTGAAAGCTTTGGTGTCAAGTGGAAATGGCTTCATAAGCTTTGGCTTTAGATTTATTAGCTATAAGACTTTGGGCAAGTAATTTTTCTGAGCCTCAGTTTCAACATCTTTAAAGGGAGAGAGAGAACAGTTCTGTGAATTACTAATGCCAATGAATTACTAATGCAAAGTGCACAGCTATATGTAGATATTCAAATAAGTGGTATCTATTAACTGTGAAAGTCTCTCTTCACAAAGCTTCTATGTTACCAGTAAACCCCTAATGTAAGAAAGCATTATTATTCCAAATAAGCTACTTCCTTTGAAAACATAATGGAATTGACTGGGATGGGGAAAAAAATCTCCCTGGCAGACTCAGGGTGAGGCACTGGCAGACAGGCAGAAATTATACAAAAAGAGTGCTCCTGATCTGAATATTGCTCTAGGTGAAATTTTCTTTTTTAAGCAAATTCTTCCAAAGCAACTCATTACCTTTCATTTTCTTAATCTCTATGAATTAAAATAATGTATTCAATATCTGTTCCCTAGGAGCCCCTCTCCATGAAATCTCAGAAACAACCCTCAACGGAAGCAATGTTTCCTGATGAAAAATAGGAGCTCCAAGAAATTCTAGGGACAGAAAAGTAACAGAAGAGAAGGCCTGAAGTTAAAAATTAATAATTTTATGAGGGCACAAGAAGCCATGAGGAAGAGGTACAAAAGGAAAAGGAAGGAAACTCCTCATATCAACATGCCTCCCCATTAATTAAATTATCAGAAGAAGGAATAAAAGGAGTATGGTAAAAAGAAGAGCTTTGTAAAGATATACAATAGGAACAACAGGGCAGATTTCCAAGATGATCCCCTAACAGTGTCATATCCAAAAAAGTTTACATGCTCGTATATGATCTTTCTGCATTTAACCTCGAGCACTAATAGTCTCCTCCTGACAGTCCATTTGCCTTCCCTGATGTTTAAGCAACATACAGGAGTTCTTTAATTTGAAACTTTAGTATATAACAAAAGAAATTTAAAAAGAAGATGTAAGTAAAATAAATGAAACTATAAGTATATGCATACAAACATTTTATATCTTTAGTATGTAGGTATGGTTTTACTGCAGTCAATAAACCTCTCTCTCTTTGCCCTCCCCTCTACCACACACACTGGGATGAGCATTATTTTAGGTAAACTCAGAGTGTCAGTCCTACTTCTTAATTATCTTTACCTGTCCTTACTCAAACTATTCTCCTCTTGAATTCCAAACAATTAGATTGTGCAAACCTGAAACCACCTACACCCACACAGCTTATTGTCTACATGAATGTTACTTTACAATCTGACCATCTTCTTCAACATGGCTTTACTATTACAATGTCTTTATTTCCTTGGGGCAGGGCATCTTGTAATCATACATGAAGTATTATTCTTGTAATACTACAACTGTACTATTATTACAAGAAGCCCTGGCCCAGGGAGATAAAAGTTTACCATTTATTCTCAACACTTTTTTTGAAACCCTCACCTCAAAACCCTGTCCTTGGCTGGGCGTGGTGGCTCACACCTGTAATCCCAGCACTCTGGGAGGTTGAGGGGGGTGGATCACCTGAGGTCAGGAGTTCGAGACCAGCCTGGCCAATGTGGTGAAACTCCATCTCTACTAAAAATACAAAAATTATCTGGGCATGGTGGTGGGTGCCTGTAATCCCAGCTACTCCGGAGGCTGAGGCAGGAGAATTGCTTGAACCCAGGAGGCAGAGGTTGCAGTGAACCGAGATCGCACCATTGCACTCCAGCCTGGGAGAAAAGAGCAAAACTTCACCTCAAAACAACAACAACAACAACAAAACCTTGTCCTTGCTGCATCCACCAGTTATAAACCAATATCTCATAATCATTACCCAACTTTCATCAAGCCCTCATATTGAAAAACCCATCTTAAACCAGGCACCACAAACCTCATAAATAGCCCAACTTCACCCTCCCTCTCCAAGATTCTATTAAAACTTTTTCAAGGTAGAGAGCTCCCTTACCATGCTAAGCCACAAACTTAGCTTTGCCTTATCAAATTAGTTACTTAGGTGGTATTTTTAGGGAGCAAACATTCAACAACTGAAAGCCTTCTTGGATGGACGTCTTCCTTCTTAGTTAATGATTACAGTATATGAGAGATAAGTATGTGTGTATAATTTTATTCTTAATAAGAAAGGTTGGCCGGGTGCAGTGGCTCACACTTGTAATCCCAGCACTTTGGGAGGCCAAGGCAGGCAGATCACGAGGTCAGGAGATGGAGACCATCCTGGCTAACACGGTGAAACCCTGTCTCTACTAAAAATACAAAAAATTAGCCGGGAGTGGTGGCAGGTGCCTGTAGTCCCAGCTACTCTGGAGGCTGAGGCAGGAGAATGGCATGAACCCGGGAGGCAGAGCTTGCAATGAGCCGAGATCGCGCCACTGCACACCAGCCTGGGCGACAGAGCAAGACTCCGTCTCAGAAAAAGAAAGAAAGAAAGAAAGAAAGGTTTAGGCTGGGCACAGTGGTGGCTCACATCTGTAATCCCAGTACTTTGAGATGGCAAGGTGGGAGGATCACTTGAGTCCAGGACTTCCAGACTAGCCTGGGCAACATAGGGAGACCCTGTCTCCACAAAAAATGTAAAATAAAAAAAATAGCCAGGTGTGGTGGCATATGCCTGTTGTCCCAGCTACTTGGCAGGCCAAGGTAGAAGGATCACTTGAGTTCAGGAGGTCAAGGCTGTAGTGAGCCAAGATGGCACTACTGCACTCCAGCCTGGGAAGCAGAGGGAGACAGAGAGACTGTCTCAAAAAAAAAAAAAGAAAAGAAAAAAAAAAGAAAGGAAAAAGAAAAGTTTGTGGGTTTGTATATCTACTGCTAATATGACTGCTGTTTTCTCTATCACTACATTCATGTCTTGCCCAATTGAACTTCTCTTTAGCTGTCTTCTTAATGTTGTGTTCTCCATGCACCTGCCTTCTGTTCTTCTGGTATGCAATGAAAGATCTCAGGCTTGCCATCCATCTAAAAGACAACCTTGAACCTATGGCCACTAGGCAACAATTCATTAAAGATGATCGTGAGCCTCCGAAGGGCCCTTGTACTAATTCTCAAATTTCTCCATGGTCACACTGATGACCCTTGTTCCAGGGGTTGTACCAGTTTATAGTCAACTTGGCCAGTCAGTATTTATGCCACATGAACTATTACACCATTGTAGAGATGGTTTCCCAAACAGCTTCTTAGTCCCTGAGGTCAAAGATGCCTGTGTTTACCACAGATGAAAAACATCCCAAAGTATTCTTTGAATGGCTGCCCCCAGACCTAAGGAATCTCAATGATGCTGTTTCATTGTTGTTTCCTGTTTCTTACTTTTAAACTCCCTTTATCCTCATATCCACCAACTCTCAAATTTGCTGGGTTTACAGATGTACTTTTGCAACCTAATGCAATGTTGGGACTCATAAAACAAGACTCCACAATGAAAGCCTTGGAAGCAGCCTGAGAAACAAAAGTTTTTCTCTGACTTTCACCTCCCCTCTATCTCTCAGTCCCATTCCCCACCAGGCTAGCCACAGAAACTAGCATCCCTCTTCCCCAAGGCAGGCCATAGTCACCAAAACCCCTTTTCCTCAAAGCCAGCCAAAAACCTAAAACTATTACTCTAACTTTCCCTCTGCCTTTCTGTGTAAACACTGGCCATCAAGAAGTTATCCAACCTACCTTTTTTTGACTATGGTCATAAGATCCCCATTCCAGAGAGTGTCTGCTCCATACCCAGAAGAAGAGAATGTATGCTCAGGGAGGCCAAGAAGATTCTCGACAGACAGGCCTTGCTGAGTTTTCCCCACTCAGTCTGTTAGCCTTAGATCATACTCTTTTTTCCAATCACATTTGGACAAAATGTACAGACACAACTGTCCATACTTTGTTGAACCTAAGCAAAAGAATAGACAATTCCCCCTGTATCTTCAGGTCTTCACTCTGAGGGCCTCCATGTACACATTAATTTGTAAGCCTTTTCTCCAATTAATCTGCCTCTTGTCCATGATTTTCAGTGAACATTCACAGAGCAAAGAGGAAGGTTTTCCCTTGGCCCCGACAGCATACAGCTGCAAAGACCAGCAAGAAATGCTTTTAATCTTTTTATGTTCATAGAGACTCTAATGTGAGGATTTTTAATATAAAATGATGATGATCACTAAAGCTATCCTGCAGTTTTAAAATGAAGAATAGTTTTAGAAATATAGCAATGAAGCACGTAAAACAAAAAGAACAATGTGATGATAAAGCAAAAACAAAGGTTGGCATCATTGCTGGGGTAAGAATGGCACAGAATACTGATTTTTTAAATGAGACCAAAAAAAAGAATTAAAGGTGATATATACCATGAGCATTTTTCTTATACTTTGTCTTATGCCGAGTTTTTTTTGTTTGTCTGTTTGTTTACTTTTTTAAGTTAGTTTCACTCACATTCCGAAATGGTCTAACTAAGAGGCCACAATGAAAATATAAAAGAAACATGGAGAGAATAACAGATCATAGCTGCACTTTCTACTATGCTTTTCTAACTGTTCATTTATATTTTGTATGATTTCTCCTAAGAAAAATGGAAAACCATTTCAGAAAAAGAACCAAAAGAATGAGAAGATTTTTAGTAGTCTAACCCACTTGATAGAGAACTACTGTGAGGACAGTAGTGAGCCCAAACTTTTTATTGAATACTCCTCATTAAAAAATTTAATGTTTCATATGTATATATACACACACATAAATTTTATACATGTTCTATTATACTGTGTAATTTATAAAATATATAAGGTATACAAAATAGAAATTTTTAAATGCTGAAATTAAAAATACAGAAATGAAAGCTCTAATTTTTTTTTAATCCAAAAGATTTTCCTACACTCCCTGGGATGAATTCTAGGTTGGACGACAGATTTTCAAGATTTTCCTTGCATCCTTAAGAAAAGTTAGAATAAATAGAAGACTTGGGCCCTTGAAGTTTAATTTGCTATTTGAAAACAATTCAGGTTTAATATAGCAAGTTAGCATATACATGTTTGAATGACTACATTTATGGTGTTATGAAGAAGTGCTTTCCGTTGTCTAAATAGCAGTTATGGAGAAAGAGTGCATTTGTTTGTAATATCTGATAAATTGGGCCCAGGATTGAGTTTATTTAATGAAATAAAAACTCAAAATAAACATTAATCTAGTAGTACAAACATCTAGTATTTACTATTAAATGATCACGATCAGTTATTATTGATAATAATCATAAGTAGGCTTTATGAAGGCATAATAGATTATTATCATTTTAACTAGATTACACACTTCTTAAAGAGAGCATCTTATAACCCTTTATTTTCCCAGTGTAGGCATAGCAAGGTGCTCACAAAAATGTTTACATTATTTCCCTTCAATGTATTTGCTCAGGCACTTGGGCAACTAGATCAAACCTGGTTTGCAACAAGTTTGATGAACCTGCTACCTGACATTTCTGTCCCTCACATGAAAACTTCCTGACATTCCTGTCCCTGACATGAAAGTTTCTCTTAATTCACAGTCAACTTAGCTACCACAGATTGGAACGTGAGGGGCTGAAATAGGCAAGGAGACAGCGTGAGGAGGAGGTTGCCTTAGAAATAGAGGATCAGCCTCATTATGTCTATTCGCCAGAAGGAAAAAAAAAAATTCCCCAGAAAGCCTTTCATCAAGGGAGGATCTAAACTCTAACACAGAACTGTTATCTATCCGCACATGAATTTCGGGGGAAGGAGGAGAAAGAGGGAGGTAATCGGTATAATTCACCCCCGAGGCTCTTTCCAGTTCCAAGACTGATTCAAAATTGGAGAGAATGGTGGAACCAACACACCAACATTCTGAACCCCTTCCACTCTCTCAACCAAGGAAGGAAGGAAGGAAGGAAGGAAGGAAGGAAGGAAGGAAGGAAGGAGATAAAGAGGGAGGAAGGGAGAGAGAGAGGGAGGGAGGGATTGGAGGGGAGGGGAGGGGAGGGGAGGAAGTAGGGAATGAGGGAAGGGAGAAGAGGGGAGAGGTGAAGGGAGGGAGGGAAAAGATAGAAAAAGATAAACCCTGGCCCTTTATGTCACTCTCCATTTCTGGGATGACCTAGTTCTGCCAAAAGAAGAACCCAGCAGCGGGGTGTGCCAGGACGAGGTACTATTCTCCACCTGAGACCCCACAGTAGCTAGAACAAAGCATTTCCTCTTCTCCACACCCCAACCCAACCCAACTGGCCTGAAATCATTTCACAAATTCTGGGGGACATCGAATCTCTGTCCTTGGCCTTGAGTAAACCCAGAAAAGTAGATGGGCCAAGAAATAGATTGGAAAAGTGGATCAGGCCCCGCGGCAGCAATTTAGATGGAGGGTAACGCAGGGGCGGGCAGGCGTGGAGTCTCGAGTTTATTCTCTATGACTGGGACACAGCTGGCTTTGAATAAGAACATTAAGTATACAGCACCATATTTTGGTCTTGAGCCCAGCCTCCAGCCCGTGGCACTCAGCCATTCGTCTCCGCCAGCCAGGCCCTGGCCCTGATTGCCGCGATGCAGGGAATGCCCATCAACTTGCAGTCACACCTGTTAGGTGTTTCTCCACTCAGTGCCTCCGCCCAGCAAGCGCCCCCCGCACGACCGGAGCCCCTGTGTTGAGTGGGCGCACCGGGAGGAAGAAGCAGGGCCGGGCCTTCCCGAGCAGACCCTGTGGGACTCGGTGCGGCGGGCGGGCGCGTGGGGGCGGCCTGAGAAGGCGGGAGAGGTCGAGGCAGGCGGAGAGGGGCATTGGCAGGGCGGGGGCAGGGCCGCCGCTGCTCGCGTTACGTTCCCAGAGCCTGCAGCGGAGGCGCGGGGCTAAGCAGCGGAGGGGATGGGGCTTCCACAAGCTTCTGCATTTCCCCTCACAGCCCCGGCGCCGCCTCCCCTGGCTGGGCCGCGGTGCCCGTTAGGCCGCGCAGGGTGAGAGCTAGAGCGGGCGCGGGCGGGCGGCACCTCGCCCGGGACTGGAAGGGAGGGCGCAGCGGGGCCACGGCGGGGGGATTCCGCTAGCCGGGCGGCCCGCGAGTCCCCTGAGTGCATCAGCCCCCGCTGCCGCGGGACCGCGGCCGGGACGGAGCTCCCTGCGCGCCCCCCGGGGGCCGGCAGCGGCCAGGAGGCGGCGCGGGGCTCGGCCGCTCGGCCCTGCAGCTCCGCGCACCCGGCAGCGGCGGCGGTGCAGCCTCGGGCGTTCGGACAGCCTCCGAGCCCATGGCGGGGAGCGACGTGGACAGCGAGGGCCCCGCACGGAGGGGCGGCGCGGCGCGGCGTCCGGGGGCCCCTGGCGGGCCAGGAAGCGAGGCGGCAGCCGGCTGCCCGGAGCCGCTGTCCACTGCTGAAGCGCCGGCTGAGAGCGCCACGCTGCCCGCCTGGATGCGCCTCTACTTCTACGGGATGCACGGGATCACCCTGGACGTGCTGGTGTCCTCGGCCCGGCGCTTCGCCCGCAGCCCGGACCTGCGGATGCTAGGCTTCTCCTCGCCCTACCGCTGCCTGCTGCACTCGCTCACCCATTTCGCCCTGGAGAAGGTGTACCTGCAGCAGCGGCGCTGTCCCAACGCCTTCGTCTTCAATTTCCTCCTCTACCCCTCGGCCCACGTGGGGCTGCAGACCCTAGCGGGCCAGGCGCTACTACTCAGCCTGGGCGGCGGGGCGGGGGTCGCGGTGGCGCCAGGGGCGCTGGACCTGGCGCTGCAGTACGTGCTGGCGCTCTACCACTGCCAAGTGTTCCTGAAGCGCTTCCTGCGCTTGCGGTACGGGCGACAGAGGCGGCGGCAGCAGCAACAGCAGCAGCAGCAGCAGCAGCAGCAGCGGAGGGGCGCGCTCCCCGTCCCTCCCGGCGCCCGGGTCCCTACTGCGGCCGGAGCCCGGCGGCGACGACCCCGTGGCCCCAGGGGCGCCGGGGGAGCCCCCAGCCAGGGGCTGCCCGACCTACCCCGCTTTCTTTTCTTCGGAATGCACGGCTTTCTGGATGAGATCTTCTTCACCTTCTTCTTCAACGTACTGGGGCAGGGGGACGGGACAACCAGCGGCCACACGTCGCTCTGGTCCTTCTTTATGTACGGCAGCTGCAGTTTCGTGGTGGAAAAGCTCTACTTCCACCTCCACTACAGCCGCGGTTGGGGCACTTGGAAGCGGGTGCCCATCTACGTGATCTTCATCTACGTGTGGGAGCTGTCCTGGGGTCTGGGACTCCGCACGTGCGGGGCTTGTTCCTGGGACTATTCTCACTACCCGCTCAATTTTATGGGCCTCATCACCCTGATGTATTTACCTGGCTGGATATTCCTTAGTGTGTACCAGGACCTAATTTCCAACGTGTTGTGGAGGGTGCAGTACGTACCAGCTAACTAAAACCAAAAAAGAAAGAAAGAAAAGGAAAAAGTCACTGGATTCCCACGAATGGATGCGATTTATTTTTACACATTTAAAATGAAGTGGGTTTTTTAGTCCTTTAATTTTTATACGCTTTACTAAACTCTTCCAAATTGTTTTATTCCACCTTTTAGTTTTTCTATTTGAAACCCGTGTATAATATACTTTGAAACACTACTCGAAACATAATTCAAAGTACTTTATTTGCCAATGTTTTAAAACATTTACAAGCCCAAACGTTTACACGCCCAAACAGCAAAACCGTTATACCTTAACATCAGAATGATGTAGTAGTGTTTACCCATCTGGCAACAGATGAGTGACAGCTACTAATTTTTTTTTTTTTGGCGGGGGGGGATCTTTAAATCAGAGACCAGTGATTTTTACAAGATTTGGCTAAATTTTCTGATTCAGTGATTTGTTTTACTTTCTTTTTAATCTAATTTCATTTTAATTCCTTGCCATATTTACCAATGACTGAAGAAACTCAATGTCTTGTACTCTTGAGACTACAGTTAATAGCTCTTAAAGTGCCTCCGTCTAGCACACAAGTGAAAAGAGGCTGAAAAATGTGAAAGCACGTTCTATGAACAGATTTTTAAATGAGAGGTCTTTTCTAGCAACTCACACAGGTGACACTGTGTTAAGATATTTGATCTCCATCCTGGAAATGATTGCTTTCCAATGTGGGTAAGCCTTAAACAGCAGGTGTGTTAACGTTGATCAGATCCTGTGTTATCTATGGCTGTAAATTTTTGTTACTGTGCAATAATGTAAAATGTTTACCTTACATAGCCGAGGGCCAAGTGAAATTATATCACCTTCCACAGTGTTCTAACTCCAAGGACCCTTTTCTACATGGAACTTCAAGGGCAGAAACATTACCTTTGAATAAAATGAACCTGAATGTTCACTCTAATTACATTAAGCCTAATTGTTTTCTGTGAATACAGATATGTTTTCATTATATTTCTGCCATGGCTGTTTTTCCTTCTGGGCCCAGAGTCCTTGGGCCAGGCTTGATGTGGTAATGTGCATTATAAATCAATGGTAGCTTTGTGGTGACTTACTGTTAATGTCTGCAAGCTCTGAAGTTAAATGAGATGATGTAAACCATTTTAAGAAATTCATGCCTAATTAATAATGTATTTTGATGTTGTTTGCTGTTTTATTACATGTATAAAAGAGTAGAATTCAGTGCAGCTCAGCCAGGGATGACGAATATCCTCTCAGTTTTTATTACAAAGACAATCAGGAAAATTTCATGTATAGAAATGAGTGGTTTTCTATTCAAATTATCAGCGAGCCTATGCTGTAAAAAGGGACTTTTTTCTGTTTTCAAAAAATGTTTGCTACAGGAGTAGAAAATAATTTAAATTTGATTAACTTAGACATAGTTATGAGTGTTATATATTTTAAACCACTATCTGAGGTTGTAAGCTAAATTAAGAGTAATGAATGCTATATAATCAACCTCACCTGTGAAATGGACCATGCAAAACATTATTTTAGCCAAAATACTATACTCAAAGCTGAATAGAAACTTAAATATAAGCTAACTGTTTGCAGAGAGTTTCACTTAAGAAAAGTTCTCTATGACACTTGGTCAAGGATCAAAGATTTATGAAAACCCTGTGTAGAAAAAAGTATAAGCATAGTCACTCAAGTTAGGGAGATGCTGGACAGAATATTTGTAATTCAAATGTGACACATGTATCTGAGTTAAGTGTGACATCACACCACACACTCCAGCAAATACTTCACCAAATCCGAGATTTCTGAAATACTTGCTAAATGTACACATTTGCACTGTGCCCTTCACATGCTGCTCTCCAGCCCTTCTTACTTGCCTAACAGCATTCTTAGGGTCAGAAATCCATCAAGGAAGTAGGAAAGCATGCTGTTTTGTTTTGCTTTTAATGTTAATCCTATTTAAAGGAAAAGTCAAGGTTTTCATTCATTCAGTTCACTCAAGAGATACTTACTGAGCCTCCACTATTTGCCAGGCACTTGCCTGAACTCTGGATATAGCTGTGAACCAACACAGACAAAATCTCTGTCCTTGGGATGCTTACGTACTAGTGCTTTGATTTATGTAAGATTATACTTATTTGCAATAGGCTATGAGAGGCAATTTTTATGAGGGCTCTCATCAGGCCTGTTCCTGGAAAATCAATCCATCAATCTAAAACAAAAACCTGTTAGCAGTCTCTCTGCTAGTTCTACAAAGAGCTAGTTCTTATGTATTCAGGAAGTGATTAGCCTGTCTATTAACACAGCACCTCGCTTTAGGGCTTCTCATTCTGTGTTTACTCAGCTTCTTAAATGTGACATTTTGCTGCAACCTTTGATCCTTTAAGGAAAAAGCAGGGAAAAGAAGGAACCATCAGATCATTCAATTGTGTTACTAATTAGTAATTCAAATACAGAAATGAGACGGCAATGTGATGATAGTTAATATCTAATTAGCACTTACCACCTACAAGGAACTCTTCTAAGGGGTGTGTGTCTGTGTGTGTGTGTAAAGAAATATGTGAAAATATATATATGTATATATCTTAGGGGAATATATATATATTCATATATATCTCAGGGGAATACACATATTCATATATATATCTCAAGGGAATAGATATATATTTTATTTATATATATCATGTATATCTCTTAATATATATACATATGTGCACATATATTCACTTAAACCTCTAACAGCCCTACTTTTACAGATGAAGACAAGAAAACTCAAACCCAAATAGGTTAAGTAACTGCCCAAGTCATACAGCTACTGAGCATTCAGATTTGAATCCGTATATACTGGACTCCAGTGTCCATTCTTAACGTCAATACTGTCATGCCTTGATCTACTGACCACAGTGGATCTTCTATGGAGTTCATTTTACAATCCGTATTGCTCTTCCCTTCCACTATTATAGATGCAAGAGTAGCTGCAATAAAAGCCAGGCAATAGTGGCAAAAAGACTTTCACGCTGCCTTTTTATTCCATGGTATTAAATAACAAGGGAGCTAATAGCAGGATGCATAACTGACATCAGCCTAGTTCTTATCCCGAGATGATACATCTTTATATTTCAGTGATGCTGTGAAATACATTACCTTGCTTGAATTCAGATAATTTTGAGTTTATAAGAATAAGGCCAGGCGCGGTGGCTGACATCTGCCGTCCCAACGCTTTGGGAACCCAAGGCAGGAGAATCACTTGAGACCAAGAGTTCAAGACCAAACTGGCAACATAGCAAGTCCTCGTCTCTACAAAAAAATTAAAAAATAAATTAGCCAGATATAGTGCCACATGCCTGTAATCCTAGATACTTCAGAGGCTGAGGCAGGAGAATCACTTAAGCCTAAGAGTACAGGACTGCAGTGAGCTGTGATCACATCACTGCATTCCAGCCTGGGCAGCAGAGCAAGACCCTGTCTCTAAAATCAGAATAATATGCCAAAATGCAAGATACCTCATATCACAAGCTAGGAAAAATACATATAATTATTACTACACATTTAATATGGTACTCAGAATAAATGTCATTGTAAGAGCTAAGCAGCCAAAAATTAAAACTAAATCTTTAGAGACATTTATTCTGAGTTCTAGTAAACAACTTAGAGTAAGTATTAATAGAAAAACATAAATGTATTTATTTTTTTCTCCATGTTTAACTTATGCAATGCTGAAATGTCTTATTAGAAGTGCTTTAAATTTTAAATCAATTCTATTTGAGCTCTGAATCTAAAAAGGAATGTAACCTTTTGAGTTTTTCTTGTTAACAGTAAATACAGAAGTTCCTGTATCACACAAGGACTCCAATAAGATCGATCATCCATTTCAATATTTCCAACATTTTAATGATTCAGTGTACTTAACTATGAATACTTTATTATAAATATTTGATATTTCATGCTTCAGCTCAGCAAAACACAGGTTAGAAAAATATAACCTGTCTTTCATTGTTTAATCCTACCCCTTTGAATAAAAAGAATTTCTACTCTTGAAATAGTCTCCGTCGGCATGATGGACTTGGTTCTGCTTAAGAAAGACGGTGAATGAGAATTTTGATAGACTACTTTGGTTCGTTTCCTACTTCCAAAACCCATAAAAAAATCAGTATACTTGGAAAGGAAGCTACACTCACAATACAGAGTTAGAGTGATAAATAAGTAATTGTATTGTAGTATCTTAAAGCATTTTAATAAAATCAATTTTCCTTATATTAAAAGGCATTAAAATCTTTTACCTTTTATGTTAATTTTAAATACACTATCTTGAACAATGCTTAATGGAGCTAAGCTCCTTTACTGAAGGAAAGTAAGAAGAAAGTATATAGTTCCCACACCGCTATGCATCAAACACATGCTCAGCTTATACTGAAGAGAAAGATGGCAGCAAAAGATGATTCTGTTACATTTCCAGGGTGTTTTTAGTTTTTTTCCTATTCTTAGGCTTGGTACTGGAGCATCTAACAAAGATAGCAATTGTCTGTGTGGACCTCTATTCACTAGAATTAGCCTCATTCTCATTTTTAACATTGAGGCCTCAAGCCAGCCACCAGCAGCTGAAATTGTAAATTAACCTGTAATGTGGATAGAGAAATTTTTTATTGGAGACTTTTTTCTTTTAATGTAAAGAAAAACGTAGAGAATGGTTTCCTTAATTTCTAAATTATCTTTGCAAAAATCGTCAAGCAAATTACCAGACATCTGACAGAGAAACATGGATCCTTAACACGCACAAATGTTTAATTTTCATCTTACCTCTTAAAAATTCTACAAAATGCAAAAGTCACGTGAATCAACTTTCCCAACTAAAAAGAAAAATAAATAATATGTCTTTACCATGATTGAGGAAAATCAAGTGTTGAAAGAAATTGTGAAAGTTAATAACATCCAGCCTTCCACCCAAGGCAAGAATTTACACCTCTGAAAGATGGTTTCTCGGCTCAGCTTGTACTACTCAAGAAAGTATTAATTGTGTTTTTCACACAAAGGCTAAATGGGAGGAAAGCCGTTGGCAGCTGAGTTGATAAACCCCACTTTCAGTGAAGTAAGAAGGCTTCCAAAGTTTTTCGGAGCTAATATATGCTATTCATCCTGATTACTTACTACAATGAAACTTTTCTTAAGGAACGTTTTTCTCATTAAAAAAAAAAAAAAATCAGGCCAAGCACACTGGCTCATGTCCATAATTCCAACAATTTGGGAAGCTAAGATGGAAAGATCGCTTGAGACCAGAAGTTTGAGTCCAGCCTGAGCAACATAAGGAGACACAATCTGTACAAAAAAATCAAAGATTAGCCAGGCTCGGTGGCATATGCCTGTAGTTCCAGCTACTCAGGAGGCTTAAGTGGGAGGATCCCTTGAGCACAGAAGGTTAAGGCTGCAGTGAGCTTTGATGGACTCCAGCCTGGGTGACACAGTGAGACCCTGTATCAAAAAAAAAAAAAAAAAATCAGTGTTTCATTCTTTTGTCATGATACTTATGATCTCTTTATTTTCTTTATTGTAGCTTTTCAAATGATGCTTCATTCATGGAGTCTAAGCAGTAAGTCTTTGAGAGCTTTTAGCGTAATTATATTACTTCGGAAAATTAAAAAAATACATTGATTGCAGGTTTAGAAGACTAAATTCTAGACATTCTGCTTGAGTCGTTGGAGTCTCAACCTGGTTCAAGCCAAGAAAAGCCTTTGGCGAACTGCTCTGGTCAACCTACAGAACATCACCTGGTGAAGTTTCCTGGTAACTTACCCTCGCAGACCTAAACAGCTGTACCAAGAAAGAAATTGAGAGGCCATAGGTGTCACAGAGACAAGGAGCTAGCCAAAGAAGGGTGAAAGATTCCATCGATCATCCATCCAAGAAATTGTTCTTACCATATTAAGGAGAAAATTAGCTCCACTTTTCATGGGATTTCAACAGATGTTTATACTATATACAAGATATTTTATTAAAATATTAATATCCCTAACAAAAACAAAAGTAGCCTTATAGGATCTCAGATTCCAAACTTCAAATATTGAAAAGTCATTACTGGGGGAAAATAATATTGAGAACATGCAGAAAGTTTATATCATTTTGTTATGATTACCTACTAACTTTTAGGACAAAAACAAAATTAAATAGGCTCTTGTACACTTCTGAAGAAGAACTATTTTAGTCTAATTCTTTCCTTAGTAGCAATGAATGAAGAGGAAGAAAAAATAAATAAAAGAGTTCCCTGGTGTACGAGAGAGCAATCAGATTCCAAATACTTAAAAGCAAGAGTTTAATAAAATTCATCATAGTACTTACCCATAATGCTGATATTTAAAGCAAACAAAACAAAACAGAAACAAAAGAATAATTAAGGCAGAAACTGAAGATCAATTGAGAAGGATACTATTCGATAGCCATAGAGGGCACATGTGTTAATTTTCTATGGGTAAAATAATTGGAATATGTGAATGTTATTCTATATCTTTCTAGCAGATTTGCATTCCAAAGTAAATTTTGGGTTCAGGAAACACTGCACACCCTAGGTTTGACAGAATACCAAATGTATACTTTATTAATATTTATTTAGTGGAATTTCTGAGTTTATTTTTTGTGTAATGATGTTATTGGGCATGCTATGAAAGTTTTAATAATAGTGTTATTGAAGTGTCTACTCAGTGCATGAGTAAAGAGACCACAACTTATTGAAAATCTAAAATCACAGAACTTTAGAGCTTAAGAAGATAACTAATGGTCACCTAGTTCAACTCCCAGCCCATACGGTAATTCCTTCTAGATCATCTTGGACATGTGTCCATCCATCATCTTCATGATCACTTTCAATGACAGAGATCATTGTACTTACTCAGATCTCCCAAGAAAATGTGTTTCTTTGTTCTACAGCTTAGATTGTTAGAAAGGTCCAAACGATAAGACCACATCTGTAACTCAGTCATTTTTCGGAGTTTTCAATTCATGGACAAACCAAAAACCAAAGATTTTTTATTATTATTATACTTTAAGTTTTAGGGTACATGTGCACAACGTCAGGTTTGTTACATATGTATATATGTGCCATGTTGGTGTGCTGCACCCATTAACTTGACATTTAACATTAGATATATCTCCTAATGCTATCCCTCCCCCTCCCCCCACCCCACAACAGGCCCTGGTGTGTGATGTTCCCCTTCCTGTGTCCATGTGTTCTCATTGTTCAATTCCCACCTATGAGTGAGAACATGCGGTGTTTGGTTTTTTGTCCTTGAAATAGTTTGCTGAGAATGATGGTTTCCAGCTTCATCCATGTCCCTACAAAGGACATGAACTCATCTTTTTTATGGCTGCGTAGTATTCCATGGTGTATATGTGCCACATTTTCTTAATCCAGTCTATCATTGTTTGACATTTGGGTTGGTTCCAAGTCTTTGCTATTGTGAATAGTGCCACAATAAACATACGTGTGCATGTGTCTTTAGAGCAGCATGTTTTATAATCCACCAAAAACCAAAGATTTGAAGAAAGTTTCCAAGTGTGTCATAATTGTCTTACTCCAGGTTAAATATCCCAAAATATTGCAGCAATATGTAATAAAGTATAATGATGGAGCTATTTCCAACTTGGTCTAGAAATTTTATCTCTGCAAATAGGAAACAACATTACACACAATTGGCCATTTTTGCAGCTCAACTCTGCCATTGTTTCAGTTGAATTTTCATTTCTCGAAATACCCTAGGTCTCCTTCCAGTGAACTACCATTAAGCCAGCTGGTCCTCTTTATGCACTTATACATTCATATAAAGATAGTGGACATGGATCTCTGTTATTCCAATACTGCATGACTAGGACCTGAAAGTGAGTTAGAGAGAAGTGACAGCAAGTAGAGTGAAGAAGGGAAAAGTTACCCTTGAATTTACTCTTCATTTCTTTTGTTTCTTCTGTTTTCCTGCTCTCTTCTCCTGGGATTAGATGTAATGTCATTTTCCCTGTTTTCTCAACACTTAGTAAAGAACATAGCTAAGAGTAGATGCTCAGAAATTTTTTGTTGGTTCTGAATGTTTATGTCAGACATAATAGTGGAAGCAGAACTTAGAAATACTACCAGGTGGCATATGTGATTTCAATAGGACATTTATTTATAGAACATATACAAGAATCACCTTGTGCCTAGAAAAAGAGGTAGGAATTTTTTAATTTTTCATATTTTTCTCTACTCTGCTCAGCAGCTTCTTTACCCAGGCAAAAAGCTCAGTTAGCCCTCTAAGAGAGTTTAACTACATGGTGGACTTTTAAATTTGTAGGCTAGTCAAAGAACCTAGCTACCGTTAAAAACATTATTTCTGAACCATGAATTTAGAAAGAAAAACTGATGTTCATGTGAACTAGTTGGAAAGAGTATGTTTTATGATGTGACTCTTCTCTAAAGACTGATTTGCTCAGTTTGCAGCTATTTTTATTTTTTTATTTTTAAAAAGAGATTTTATTGTTTAGAACAGTTTCAGATTTGCAAGAAAACTGTGATGATAGTACACAGCTCTTACATACCCATTAACATCTTGCATTAGTATGAGTCTTTTGTTATTATTTAGGTACCTATATTACTAACAAGAGCCCGCACATTATTCAGATTACCTTAGTTTGTACCTAATGTCCTTTCCCAGGATTCCATTCAGGACAAAACATTATGTGTTCCTGAATGGAACAAGAAGAAAATGCTCATGACAATTATATTTCTCACTTCTGTAATTGTTTACATGGGCACAGCAGGTATTCATAACTACTTTCTTTCATTATTCATTTTGTATTCACTTTGTTTTCAGCAAATACTTCAGCTGATCGTAGTTCTTTACCTGGTGGTGTAAACCAAACCTTCATTCTGAAAGGTCTGGGTCATTACAGACCTGGATTGGACTGGACAGTTGCTATGGTTTTCCACTGACCTTAATCACTAGGCATAGTAATGCTAAGAGACTCCCTAAGGGATCTCCTGTATTCCAGACCTATTCTTTCTTACCTCCGTTGTGAAGCAGCAGTCCAAATTTCCCCCTGTTAGTCAGAATAAATCACCCCAGCTAGCACAGTAACTCCCTTTTTTGCCTGTTGATTCAGAGGCATGAGGAATCCAAAGTAACTGAGTGGCAGTCTTAACTTCCAGTTCAATAGAAGCATTGTTGTGTCTCCTGAAGGAAGCATTTCTCCCTTTGAATCTAAGACCTCTAGGCCAGTGGAGCATAAGGTCATGGGAACAGGAAGCAAAAACTTTGCTGGTGGGTCACCATGTGTAATCCAGGTCCACCCCTTGATTCTTGGACCCATGAATGCTGGCTATGGGAGAAATACTCATATAATTCATATGATGCTAAACCTTGTCCCAGCCCTGCAAGGCATTGTCATCCAGCTGGTGCTATAACTGAGTCTTCAAAAGGCCATTCCACCATTCTATCAAGCCAGCTGTTTCAAGATGGAGGAAAGTATGGTTAAACCAGTAAATTCCATGAGTGTGGACCCATTGTCATACTATATTTTCTCTGAAGTGAGTTCCTTGATCACAAGCAATGCGGTGAGGAATACCGGGACAATGGATAAGACATTCTGTAATTCCATGAATGGTAGTTTTGGCAGATGTATTGCATGCAGGAAACACAAATTTATATTCTCAGTGAGCATCTATTTCAATAAGGGCAAAATGCTGCCCCTTCCACGATGGAAGCAGCCCAGTGTAATCAACTTGCCATCATCTGGCTGGCTGATTGCTTTGGGGTATGGTGCTATACTGGGGACTCAATGTTGATCTCTGCTGCTGCCAAATTGGGTACTCAGCAGCAGGAGTAACCAGGCCTGCCTTGGTGAGTGGAAGTCTATGTTGCTTACCTCACGCATAACCTCCATTCCTACCATCATAGACATTTTTTCATGAGCCCACTGGGTGATGCCAGGGGTGGTGAGAGAAAGAGGCTTACTGGTATTCACAGAATGGGTTATCTTATTCAATTAATTATTAAAATTCTCCTCTGCTGATGTCATCCTTTGGTGTGTATTCACATGGGACTCAAATATCTTTAATTATTTTTGCCCTTTCAGTGAGTTTTATTCACATACCTCTTCCCCAAATTTTCTTGTTACCAATTTTCCAAATATATTCTTTCCAAGCCCCTGATCATCCAGCCAAATCACTGGCCACAGTCATGAATTGTTACATAATTACACATCTGGCCATTCCTTCTTCCAAACCAAGTGAACAACCAAGTACACTGCTCAAAGTTATGTGGAAGGATTTTTCTTCATCACTGTCCTTTCTTTCATACAGTCCTTACAGATAAATGTTGTATTGGAACAGTCATCCACTTTTGGGTGGTACCTACATATCATGCAGAACCATTTATAAACCAGGTCCAAGTCTTCTCTTCCTCTGTCAACTCATTATAAGGAAACCCCATGAAGCATAGGTAAAAGTTGGGAGAGAGGAGGCAGTGTAGCAGAAGTGGGCAACATGGGCATTTGAGCCACTTTATATAACTAACTTATGCCTTCAGGGCTTGCTCAGGCCCAATCACATATATATCATTTCCATCTGATAATGGAGTGCTGGTTTGCATGCCCAACTTTGTGGCTTGGTGGTCGGATAACACCCAGTTCATGATGGGCAGCTCAGGTCACATGGTAACTTGGTGAACCATGGTTAAGCATTCAGTATCTACTATGACACAGTAGCAGTAGCAGGCCAAGAGTTATTTCTAAAAAAAAAAAAAAAAAAAAAAAAAAAAAAAGTAGCTATCCATAGAGAATGGCTGGGATTTGCTCTACAATCCTAAGGCCCTACAGTACAATTCACCTATGGGGGCTTGCTTAAGGCTCCAAACAGCATCCCTATCTGCCATTGACATTTCAAACACCATTGGATCTGCAGTTGTCAATGACACCACAATCTCTGAGTCTCTCACCCATCTGACTGTATTTATTCCTGTATCTCTTGCAGGCTTCCTGTTTTCTTGTACTTTGGAAAGTCCTCAAGTCTCTGAGACTACATTCATTGACATTGAGTCCAGGAGGCCCAAAATATCACTGTGGCCCAAGCAGCTAAGCAGCTTACACAGCAACTCGTATTTGTTGCAAGACCTTCTTCTGTCTTGGGCCCCACTCAAAACTGGCAGCTTTTTAGGTCATTCAGTAAATGGGCCAGAGTAACATACTAGAATATGTGGAATACAAAGGGGGTCACTAGCTGTTGTGCCTCTTTTTGGTGTAGGAGTTGTAGACCAGATACAACAACTTATTCTTTACTTAGGAGAGAGATCTCAATATGCCCCACACCACTGGAACCCTAGAATTTTCAAGAGGGAGAAGGTGCCTAAATTTTGCTAGTTTTAATTTCTATCCTAAGGCACACAAATGGCCTTACCAACAAGTCTAGAGTATTTACTACTTCTTGATCCTAGGTCCAATGAGCAAAAGGTCACCAATGTAATGGACTAGTGTGATATCTAAGTCAATCAAAGAAAGGAAAGTCAATCAATATCCCTGACAACTAAATTATGACATAATGCTGGAGAATAAATATACTCATGAGATAAGACAGTGCAAGTATATTGCTGGCCTTGCCAGCTTAAAGCAAATTACTTCTGGTGTGTCTTATCAGCAAGTATGGATAAAAAGGCATTTGCCAGATCAACAGCTACATACCAGGTATCGGGGCTATGTTAATTTGCTAAAGCAATAAAACCACATCTAGTATAGCAGCTGCAATTAAAGTCACCACTTGGCTAAGTTTATGATAATCCACTGTCTTTCTCTAAGACCCATCTGTGTTTTACACAGGTCAAACTGAAGAGCTGAATGGGGATGTGGTGGAAATCACCACCCTGTGTCTTTCAAGTCCTCAATAATGGCACTAATCTCTGCAGTTCCTCCAAGGATATGGAATTGTTTTTGATTCACTATTTTTCTAGATAAACACAATTCTAATGACTTCCACTTGGCTTTTTCCACAGTAATAGCCCTTACTCAACAGGTCAGAGAACCAGTGAGGGGATTCTGCCAACTGATAAGTTTGTCTATTCCAATTATGCATTCTGGAACTGGGGAAATAATCACAGAATGTGTTCAGCAACCCCCTGGACCCCCTGTAAGATGGACCTGACCTAAAACTTTACTGGCCACCTGACCTCCATAAGCCTCTACTTTGGAGGGCCACAGTGACATTTTGAGTCTCCTGGACTCCATGTCAGTGAAGGTTGACTCAGAGACTTGAGAATTTCCCAAAGTAAGAGAAAACAGGAAGCCTGCAAGAAATACAGTAATAAATACAGTCAGATGGGCAAGACCAATAGAATGTAGTGTCACTGACAATGGAAGCATCTTAGTCCTTATGGGCTGCTGTAACAAAATTCCACAAACTGAGTAGCTTAACAAAATAACAAAAATGTATTTCTTGTAGCTCTGAAGGCTGTGAAGTTCAAGATCAAGGCGCTGGCAGATTTGGTATCTGGTGAAGGCCTATTTCCTGATTTATAGATGGCACTTTCTCGCTGTGTCCTCACATGGTGAAAGAGACAAGCAAGCTCTCTCAGGCTTCTTTTATAAGGGCGCTAATCTCATTCATGAGGGGTTCTCCCTTGTGATCTAATCACCTTCCATAGGCCACCTCCTAGTACCATCACACTGGGGACTAGGATTTCTACATATGAAGTTTGAAGGACACAAACATTCAGACCACAGCAAGAGGAGAGGAGGAAGAGGAGGGGCATGTGTTCATTATCATCAAATTTGGCATAAAATTAAAATAAGACCAAGGTCAATGACCATTATATTTCAGGATATTCAGAAAGGCAAAGTACAGAAATATATTGAGGAGTGTGACCTGAGAAAATGGTGACAATGGCATAAATGACTTGTTTGAAATTTTGATTATATAGTGGAAAAAAAGGATGGGGCCTGTAGCTCAACATGTGTGTGGAGTCAAGGAAGAATTTCTATATCCTAAATCGGGAGATTTGTGTGAATATAAATGCTGGTGAGAAAGAATGCAACCCAGTATAGAAGTTGAAGATACAAAAGATAAAAAGGACATAAAGTCTCACGGTTAAAGCATGCTTAAGAATAATTGATAGCTACCAACATTATTGAGAGTTTACAAGTTATCTTCTAAGCATAATTAGTTCTCATAGCAATCTGATGAGGTAGGCACTGTTATTATCTCCATTTTTCTATATGCTATAAATGGGACACAGGAGAACTGACTGTATTTCCCAAGGCCATAGGGGTAGAGTGAGGATTTGGACTCAGGCAGTCTGGATACCAAGCTGCATTCTCTAAACATCCACATTGACAGAAAAGCAACATAGGATTGAAAGGGGAAAAAGACATAAGGAGCTAGCACTGCACTGAATTTGCACGCTGCCCATCTTATACAATCCAATGCAGAACCCAGAGAAAGCTTCTGAAGTCAGCTCTACTCAAAGGGAATTTAAATCCGTAAGTATTTAAATAAATAAATCAGCAATGATTTGTTGAGCACCTGCTATATAACAGAAGCAGACACTAGGAATGCTCTAGGAATAAAAAACAAGCAAGTCTGACACGACACCTTGATTACCTACCTTATTGTATTAGTCGGCTCAGGCTGCCCTAACAAAAATACCATAGATTGAGTGGCTTAAACAACAGTAATTTTTTTTTCTCACTGTTCTGGAGGCTAGAGGCCCCAGATCAAGGTCCAGTAGAGTTGGTTTCTGGCGAAGCCGCTCTTTCTGGTTTGCAGACAGTCATCTTCTCTCTGGGTCCTCACATGGTGGAAAAAGATTGAGCTCCTCAGTGTCTCTCCTTATAAGGACACTAATCCTATCAGATCAGAACCCTGCTCTTATGGCCTCATTTAATCTTCATTGCTTCTACAAACGCCCTATGTCCGCATTCAGTCACATTGAAGGTTAGGGCTTCAACATATGGATTTGGAGGGAACACAATTCCATTTACAGCACTTTTAATTCCTTCTTTTAATTCCAACCAAGACCCTGTGTGATAATTGTTATTATCATTATTATTATTATCTACAACTCATGGATAAAGCCACTGAGACTTCCCCTGCCATACAGTTAGTAAGAGACAGGAATAACACTCCATTTCACCATTCTTGTTTGGCAACATTATATGTCCCTCAGAAAGTTCAGGGCTGTGTCACTAGGCAGGGGAAAAGAGCATCCAAAAAGAGAAAGAGGGAGCATCCTCTTAGTTTTATCCTTGGACTATGTTATATAATCTCATTGTCATTGCTTTTTTATTGTCTCTTGGGAGGAGCTCTATTTTGTCTATGCCTAATTTTAACCTTTCTTACAATTTGTACACAGATTGCTAAATCAGCCCCCTCCCCTGCCATTTTAATTTTTTCTTCTGAGTCTGTCTACTTTGTTACTCAGAAAATTAGCTCTCTGCAAACATCTAATCACAGACACTCTGTCTCCAGGCCTTTCTGAGAGCTGAGACAGAGGCCTTGGAGAGCAACTATACTCAGAGCCAATTTCCTTAATTTCATGGAACATGTTTTGAGATGAGAGTTTAAAATATTTGACCAATGATATTCAGGAGTACAAAATCAATTTTCAATGCATTATAAATGGTGTATCATAAATGGGTAACTACATTTCCATTAAGTTTATAGGGTATTTATTTTCATTTTGGAAGCATGAATTCCTAATTGTATTTCTAGATGATCTATAAATAACTCCAAATGTGCTTATCAATGTTTTGCTTTTTAGGGCATAAAATAGATAACACAGATAACAAGGTATTTGGCTTTCTTAGGCAAATGAATTATTTTTTTTTAGTCCAGATAATCTTATATTACTTTGGAAGCTGTGTGCAAATCAGGCAATTTAGATACAATGTCCGAGGGAAATAGTGTCCTTCTAAGGAACCACTGTTGGTAGTTTAAATGTTCAGTGTGTTCCTTCTCCAATTAAAGCACAACATAGTAAAGAGACACATCCCTGGTATCATTCTTTGTGTTAGAAATCATTAGCCTCTGAAAAAAAATGAAAATAGTTTGAGTGAAGAAAACTTTCTGTTGAAGCAATGAGGTGAATTTTATGAAGATAAATACATTTCAGATTTTTCAACTTTACCACACCAATTATATATTTGAGGAAATATAGGTACCTTAACATGGGTACCATATGAAGATAAAATAAATTCCAGATTTTTGACTTTACCACACAAATTACATATTTGAGATAATATGGGTATCTTAATGTTAAGGAATTCTGTTAGGGGTCAACCTGCACCCACATAGTTTAATGAGATCAAAACTCAAAATAGAAAAGGTGAGTGGCTGAAGTTAGCTATTCAAAATGGTCTTTATACAAAGCCACTTTGTTTTCCATTACCAAACTTTCTTGAATAGGCCCACTCACTACACCAGTTAAATGTTGATAGATAATTTGAAAATCGACTTTATACCACTTCTATCCAGAATATTATGTAATGACAAATGTCATTTGCACTATTTAATGTCCGCTAAACATATGTGGTAGCTGAACAGCTGGACTAGAGGTAGTCTACCTGAGGAGCTAAATCTTAAATTCTATTTAATTTTGACTAATTTAAAATGAAGTTATCACACGTAGCTAGTGGTTACTGTATTGAATTCTACAGCTCTAGTCTATATGTATTAGTTTGTCAGGGCTCTTAGAAAAAGTGACTCAAACTGGGTGGCTTAAAACACCAAAAATTACTATCTGACACTATTAGAGGTTAATAGTCTGAAATTTAGGTGTCAGTAGCGCCATGCTCTCTCTAAAGCCTGCAGGGGAGAATCCTTTCTGCCTCCTCTAGCCTCCGGTATTTACCAGCAATCACTGGTGTACCTTAGTTTGTAGATGTATCACTCCAATCTCTGCCTTCTTCATCACATGGTCATCTTCTCTCTGTCTGTTGCTGTGCTGAATGTTTGTGTCCCCACAAAATTCATATATTGAAATCTTAGTCCCCAATGTGATAGTATTAGCAGGTAGGGCCTCTGGGAAGTGATTAGGTCATGAGAGCAAAGCCCTCATGATTGGGACTAGTGCCCATCTGAAAGAGATCCCGGAGAACAGGTTCATCCCTTCCAGCATGTGAGGACACAGCAAAAAGACATAGTCTATCAGCCAGAAAGTGCCCTCAACCTGTGTGACCTCCTGTGTGACCTCATCTTAACTAATTACGTCTGCAACAATCCCATTCCCAAATAAGGTCACATACTGAGGTACTAGGGGTTAGGATTTCAACATATCTTTTAGGGAGACTTAATTCAGACCATAAACCCATACTTTTGAAAAATAAAAAACTGAAAAATAATGTGTTGTCTTAAGTTAATCATTACCATTAAGGCTACTGAAAGTGTACCACTTTTACTTGGGTCTATCATCACCTTAATTTTGACTTTAATTTGTAATCAAAATATTTCAGTTCAGTTTAAACAAAAGTAATTCAGAGGCCGGGCGCGGTGGCTCACGCCTGTAATCCCAGCACTTTGGGAGGCCAAGGCGGGTGGATCACGAGGTCAGGAGATCGAGACCATCCTGGCTAACACGGTGAAACCCCATCTCTACTAAAAAAAAATACAAAAAATTAGCCGGGCGTGGTAGCGGGCGCCTGTAGTCCCAGCTACTCGGGAGGCTGAGGCAGGAGAATGGCGTGAACCCGGGAGGCGGAGCTTGCAGTGAGCCGAGATCGCGCCACTGCACTCCAGCCTGGGCGACAGAGCGAGACTCCGTCTCAAAAAAAAAAAAAAAAAAAAAAAAAAAAAAAAAAAAAAAAAAAAGTAATTCAGAAAAGAATTTCAGAAAAAAAGGCATTTTAAATAACTTCAGATAACCCAGATTATTAGATAGTGTTTGGCATCTAAAAACCAAAAAAAAAGCAAGTATATAAGATTGCTATTAACTTAACAAACTTTTAAGTTGAAAACTGATTTAATTCCTTTCCTCTTGGATTTTTTGTGAACCTGTTGCTGCTTCTCCCTAAATCAGCACTTGGGAATAAAAAAGTTTGACATCCAAATAAATCTGAGAAACTGATTTTAAAAACATTCAAGACGTTTCCTTACTGTAGAACTTACCAGAAATCATGTTAGCTAATGCTCATTGTGAGCTTCCAAGAGCTTGATATAGCATACACTATTTCCCAAACTTTTTGAGTACAGAATAGATTTCTTGATTTTTTTTCATTTTGTCTTGTGTTTTGGCCTCTCACACAATATGCTCTGAGAAACATTCCCTAAATGTATCAACTAATCTTCTACCTATCCCATGTTTCACTGTAATCTTCCTACTCTTGGTAACTCTATAACAGCCCTTTTGCCTGTGACATAAACTTATTCAAAAAGTATCAAAATTGAAGAGCAAAAAAACCTATTCCTTCTTGCCTACTGTATATGGAACCAGTAATCAATTCTTATCACATCTTTGAAATTATAGTTTATATTCATTTCTTTTCATTCCCTCAGTCTTCAGAAGGAATAGACATCTAATGCAACAGTCTTATAGTGTATTAGTCCATTTTCACACTGCTTATAAAGATACTGCCTGAGAGTGGGTAATTTATAAATAAAAGAGATTTAATTGACTCACAGTTCTGCATGGCTCAGGAGGCCTCAGGAAACTTACAATCATGGCGGAAGGCAAAGGAGAAGCAAGCACCTTTTTCACAAGGCAGCAGGAGAGAGAGAGGGAGCAGTGGAAACACCAGATACTTATCACACGACCAGATCTTGTGAGAACTCACTATCACGAGAACAGAAAGGGGAAAATCCGCCTCCAGGATCCAATCATCTCTCACCAGGTCCCTCCCTTGACACATAGGGATTACAATTTGAGATGAGATTTGGGTGGGGACACAGAGCCAAATCATAAATCATGTAGTTTACGTTACTTGTGCCCATTTCTATGTAATTCAATCTGTCTGAACTAAACTTTAAATTACCATAGTCATCACATTGAAGAAGAAATTAAAGCAGCATTTTATCAAATTTTGTCTAGTAGAAAAATAATTAGATTAGCCACTATTAACTAACTGGTCATTAAATGCCTAAGATTGTGAATTATTGCTTTTTCAATTCTTGATTTATTCTCAAATTAAAGTAGAACAAAGGCAGCCTAATCATTTGGCTTGGAATCAAATACTTCCTAGGAAAGCTCTTAGAGGTCCAAACAGATTTTTCTGTCTGATTTTGACTTTTCTTCGTGGGAACTATCAGTGGTTACCACTTAAAATGATGAGCCTACCATTTCTTATCATGTCTTTTTTTATCACTTAAACTCCAGGGCTCCTCTGAAGCTGGCATTACTTGACAATCAGCTATGCTTGGATTCATTTCTCTAACTGTCCTCTTTTACAACTCGTTAACTGAATAAGTCTTCAAAGGATTTTAGTTGCCATGTCTTCAGAGTTGTTTTTCTCTTCTCCAGATAAAGAAAGGTCAGTTTGCCACAGTCAAATCATGTAGCTGTTTTTCCATGAAAGAAAATGTCTTTTTCAGGGCAAGTTACAGCAAGCCTACTTCTCACTAGAAAAATCGTATATATTTTATATAATCATATATTTTTATAATAATGATAATATTTGTATATATTGATATATTTTTATATAATGTATATGTGTATATCACAAAAACTTACCTTAGTAGCATTTCTGTTCCCCTCCAATAGTATTTTCTCCCCAAATATGCAAACATATTCCTGGGGATCCAATAGTTACTGTCAACTGAAATTAAGGCTGTTGAGATAGAAATAATTTCATAAAGATTTATTTATTTATTTATTTATTTATTTATTTATTTATTTTATTTTCTTGAGATGGAGTCCCACTCTGTCGCCCAGGCAGAGTGCAGTGGAGCAATTTCAGCTCACTGCAACCTCCGCCTCCTGGTTCAAGCAATTCTCCTGCCTCAGCCTCCTAAGTAACTGGGATTACTGGCACATATCACCATGCCCGGCTAATTTTTGTGTACTTTTAGTAGAGACAGGGTTTTGCCATGTTGACCAGGCTGTTCTCGAACTTCTGACCTCAAGTTATCCACCCACCTCGGCCTCCCAAAGTGCTGGGATTACAGGTGTGAGCCACCACACCCGGCCACATAAAGGTTTATTGGAAGCCAAATGTGAGGATTGACCCAGGAAGACACACCAGCAGAGCTGGGGGTGTTCCACAGCCTGTCACAAGGTGAAAGATATTTATAAGAAAGTTTTAGGCCAGATGCAGTGGCTGACACCTGTAATCTGAGCACTTTGGGAAGCCAAGGCGGGTGGATCACCAGACGTCAAGAGTTCCAGACCAGCCTGGACAACATGGTGAAACCCCATCTCTACTAAAAATACAAAAATTAGCCAGGTGTAGTGGTGGGCACCTGTAATTCTGTCTACTGGGGAGGCTGAGGCAGGAGAATGACTTGAACTCAGGAGGCGGAGGTTGCAGTGAGCCGAGATCAGGCCACTGCACTCCAACCTGGGTGACAGAGATTCTATCACCAGAAAAAAAAAAAAAAAAAGAAAGTTTTTTAAAAAAAGGGAGACTCCTCATAATGTAGTTGTCCCCTCTTCATTAGAGAGTACAATACAAAAGGCATAATCATCGGCTACAGACAACATCATATGAGTTAAAAATGTCTACATGTAGGACCATCAGCAGAACTTCATGCTTCAGCAAATCTTAAAATAAATCAGCATCCTATTTAGTGTCTGCAGGTTATACATTGATCAGTATAACCATTTGAGGAATTTATTATTTACTGAGAGACAGAATGTCACCATAGAGTCACAAGGCCTCCCCAAGATTGATTAATTTGGAAGTCTGCTTATTGTAAAATGTGATCTGAAGGTTGTCATTTCTCATTTCTAAGGTTTTTTTTGTTAATCTTTGCACTTTTATTTTATTGATGTAACTAAGTCCTGTATCTTATAATTTTGCATTACAATATTATTGCCCATGTTTATAATTTTAGTTATTATGGGGGTCGCTCTTGAGGCTGTGCCAAGTGAAAAGCTAATGACTTTAAGGTACACCAAATGAACTAAGGTTCATGACAGGAAAATTGATTTATCACAATGTACATGATATTACAGGGAAATTGAACCCAGATGAATGATTACCATACTCATTCTACAGGATGAATTGCCAAATCACTTCACTTTATTAGCACCAAAAATATTTTTCTGTTCTCAAATGTGGTAATAATTTAGATCACTAATCAAAGTAAGTTTAATTAACACTACATGCAAATTTATCTTCAACTAAACAAAAGAACAGCTTTTCAGAGTTGCCTCGTACCACCTCATTCAAATTGGCCTTTTTGATTACTCAGTGGATTTGGTTATCTTGAAGTAACAACATTATAAGCATCTCAAAGGCACCAATACTAGTGAATTGTGGAAATACAACATTTATGTGAACAGATGCATAGAAACAGATCAAACAGGGGACAATATCCGAAGCTACATCTTCCTACTCTACACCCAATATCTGTAATTGACTTTCAGCAAGCAATATCATCCATCATGTTAAATTAACATTATTGCTTTATGGCTTGCTTTATATTAATGTATAGATTCGTTTAAGTTTTATATTTGTGTAAGAGCTATAAACACAAGGTTTTGCCCGTTTCTATTATTTAAGCAAATTAATGATAGATATCATTTCCACAATAATTCTTTTCTCTTTAATGGGAGTATGTGACATAAATTTAGAAACAGTTTTGCAACTTTCAGTTTTTGATATAATCTGATTAGTGGAAGAGCTTCATAACCCCAAGCTGTGGCTGTATCAGAACAAAACTTTTAAACAACCCATTAAAATGTTTTCAAACTCGGCTACATCTGCATGCCTGGCATTTACTAGGCATTATAGAATACTCTTCTTAACACCACTGCATTTCTTATTCTCCTTATGAGACTAGGAGGAAATTGGAAAAGTGGAGATGAAAAGAATGAAGAAATGTAAACTGACTGAATAAGTCTGAAATTCAAACCCTCATACATTGTTAGAGTCTTCTGTATTCTGTATTCACGTAGTAAAGTCCTTAGGAGACCAAACTTTGAAATGAAAACAAAATTATGAATTTGAAGGAAATGAGTGTAAGTGCAGGTTTTAATATCAATGAATATGTGGAATAGAAACGAATGAGACCCTGAAAAGAAAGCCTGCCATTGTTCAGAAACAACAGGATATGTATTCCCCTATCTGATGGTGCCTTTTAGAGTCCCATAATCGCTTTCTTCTCTTTCTTGCTAGAGGCTTTCCTCTGTTGAAGGCCTTTTAACTCTCCCTGCTCCCTCCTGTGTCTTCTCTGTGGAATGTACTGACCTAGATGTGGTGCCAACCAGTTGGACACTAAGGTGATCCATTACTACTGATTAGTGAATGATCCACTCCCCTGGGATCAGTCCATGTTGGTATACAGATAAATTCAGATTTAATCTTATCTTTTTGTATTCATCCATCTTTGAATTCTCTCTTTATTGGCCAATGAAATAGTGATGCAAAATTTTCACACAGAGATTAAGTAGGTTAATTTAAAATTAAATATGTAAATATTTAAGCTGACTCTTTAATTCACTTCCCATTAAAAATTTGCTCTTAAATTAATGAAATCCATAGCTATGATTTATCAGGGATGAAAACTTATTTTATAAATCACAATAAAAAATGCCATTACTTTTTTTTTTTTTTTGAGACGGAGTTTCACTCTTTTTGCCCAGGCTGGAGTGGTGCAATGACACGATTTCGGCTCACTGCAACCTCCGCCTCCCGGGTTCAAGCGATTCTCCTGCCTCAGCCTCCCAAGTAGCTGGGATTACAGGAGCCTGCCACCACGCCCGGCTAATTTTTTGTATTTTTAGTAGAGACGGGGTTTCACCATGTTGGCCAGGATGGTCTCAATCTCTTGACCTCATGATCCGCCCACCTCGGCCTCCCAAAGTACTGGGATTACAGGATTACAGGCCGCGCCCGGCCGCCATTACCTTTTCCTAACATGTTTTCTCTGTTGTATATAAGACTGCACTTTCCCTCTTCCTTCCCATGGGCCAGATCTAATTTAATTTAAATACCAGCTGCTTCTTAATAGAAAATTTTAAGTATATTTTTACCTATTGGGGTGCATTAGGCCATTTCTGCATTGCTATAAAGAAATACCTGAGACGGGGTAATTTATAAAGAAAAGAATTTTAATTGGCTCATGCTTCTGCAGGCTGTACAGGCATGGTGCTGCCATCTGCTCAGCTTCTGGGGAGGCCTTAGGGAGCTTTTACTCGTGGCAGAAGGCAAAGTGGGAACAGGTGTTTCACATGGCAAAAGCAGGAGGAAGTGAGAGAGTGGGGAGGGGAGGTGCCACAGACTTTCAAACAACCAGATCTAGATCTCATGTGAACTCAAGAGTGAGAGCTCACTTATCACCAAGGAGATGGCACAAGCCATTCATGAGAGATCTACCCCCAAGATACAAACATCTCCCACCAGGCCCCACCTCCAACACTGGAGATCACATTTCAACATAAGATTTGGAGGAGACATCCAAACTATAATGGAGTCAGGAATCACTTTAGCTTCCATAAATACGCTCATTTATCTCAAAATTCTACACTTGTAAGACTTCTTTTAAAGTTTGATTAGAATTATACCATAATTCCAAATTGATTGATGGGAGTAGCTATGTATTGAGTATCCCCTCTGTACCTATAAGGGAATAAGAAACAGAATCCTTCACAAATTCTCTGTTTAACCAAGCATAGGGATAAACACTTAACTGGCATAGAGATGGAGCGTAATGGAATGTTCCAATCAGAAGCAAGGAGGTAGAATCAAGGTAGGAGTGGTGAAACCGGCGTAGGGGTCAGGCTATGAAGAGATATGTTTACCATGCTGAGGTCAAATTTATCCTGAGTATATTGGGTATTAATTGAAACAGGAAAGTGAACCATCTGTAACCAGATATGGTTTTAGAAAAATTATACCTATTAGTAGGGGGACATAGTAAATGAAAGAGAACCTGGGAAGTCACTGTAATATCGAAGTAAGAAATGCTGAGAGCCTCAGTTAAGCTTATGGCAGAAGAGAATGTTATTTGGAAAGTAGGCTCTGGAAACATCCTGGATATGGCAAAAGAGGCATAGGAAGTTTCACTCGCGTCTGTGTGAAGAGACCACCAAACAGGCTTTGTGTGAGCAATAACGCTTTTTAATCACCTGGGTGCAGGCAGGCTCAGTCCAAAAAGAGAGTCAGCGAAGGGAGATAGAGGTGGGGCCGTTTTATAAGATTTGAGTGGGTAGTGGAAAATTACAGTCAAAGGGGGTTGTTCTCTGGCAGGCAGGGGAGGGGGTCACAAGGTGCTCAGCGGGGGAGCTTTTGAGCCAGGATGAGCCAGGAGAAGAAATTTCACAAGGTAATGTCATCAGTTACGGCAGGGACCGGCCATTTTCACTTCTTTTATGGTGGAATGTCATCAGTTAAGGCAGGAACAGGCCATTTTCACTTCTTTTGTGATTCTTCAGTTACTTCAGGCCATCTGGATGTATACATGCAGGTCACAGGGGATATGATGGCTTAGCTTGGGCTCAGAGGCCTGACAGGAAGGGTTGTGACTTCAAGATTTTTAGCTTTAAGTATATGACAGATTAAACAGTGCATCATCCACATCCTGTTCCTTCTTTCTCGTTCTCTTCTTTTTTCACGTTTTTAGCTAGCTTCTTATCCTAAAACGTAGTATTGTCAAAGCTGATAGAATTACCTTATGTAAAAATATCTCATGACCTTTCTGATTCTATAGTATTAGATAGCTTGCATAAGTTATTTTTCTTGTATTTTATTTTAATAAACACTCACTTGGCCAGATGCTGGTTTGTCTCATCTTCTAAGGTGTTTTGTATATATTGTGTGATATTTAAAGACCAAGGGTCCCAGACAACCTGACAAGGTAGTGGTTGAGGGTGAGGTGCATTGGAGAAGCCCCTCAAGGTGTCACATTGGGCCACCTGAGATGACAAACCTGCTCCCTGGAGGGGCTTTGGGGCTGCCCATGGGGCTTTCCTTCACCCACTCCTGGCAAAGTACAGCTGTGCAAAAGATATTTTAATTAGCACAATAATCCTAATGTTTTCACACCAATTTAGAGCATAATTGAGAAAGACAAAGCAACTATTGGCAACTGCAAATTAAGTGGCTTCAGAGGTAATCTAAACATAAAGCAGGTCTGGGCAATTTTAGTCTCTCCCTAGGAGGACATAACAGAATTGAAAGATTGGTGCTGGCAAGTGCCAGGACCTGGGGTCAGAAAATAAGCACAAGCAGCGCTCCTGAGCAAGGTAAACAGACGGTTTGTGCCTCACCCTCTCTTATCCTCCCGCAGACTGCTGAAGACTATCTTTCAAAGTGTGTATTTTTAGCAAGACAGCTAAGACATCCCACCTAATTGCAGCTTGCAGGAAAGCACTGTGATCAGAGCTAAGTTATGGATACTTTTAGAGTAGGGCACAGAGGTGCTGGGTAAAGTCCCAAGTTTAATGGCTGAGAATCCTTCAGTGGATCTCTATTTTTTTAACCCCACCAAGCATGTATACTAGAGCCTGTTACAGACTAACCATGCTCAATTCATTCACCTACATGGGAGTTATGACAAGGGAGAGTCCTGGTACCTGGTACTTCCACATTGTCCAAACAAAAAGTGAAAAATCCGTTTAGCCATAGGCTGTAGAAGTGTAAACAAGAAGAAAAGATTTAGTAGTAGACTATTTCCTACTGGATTTACAGGTGTATATAAACACAATACATATAAATGTATAATAGTAACTTTCATGTTTTAGTCCAAGTTTTTTTTTTTATTACTTTGCATGGGATATTAAGTGATTTATACAGCTGAACTTTTACATTTTTTTCACAGACAAGCATATCTTAATTTGCTTAAAATTTTCAAACAGAAATTTGCAAGCCTTTTACCTTTTAAAATATCCTTGCTTTCTTCTTAGATATACTTATTATTCAGTGGCCCATAAGGAATGATTACATTCGCATGTTATAGTCATGTGTTTTTAAAATATGCCCTGCTATAAATGTAAAAAGTATGGATATAGTTTAACTCTAGGAATACTAATTTGGAATAAAACTGATCTGTGTATTTTTACCATTTAAATATAGATACGGTCTCAGAGCAAGATACTTTAGTGCTCTGTTTTAAGGTTCAAATAAATTAGTAAACTTTTATTTTTTATAACATTTCATTTCTCAAATGCATTTGCCATACATATGGCACAAAATTCAGAAACTATAAAGGAGAATGAGAAGAAAGCAAATAAAATCAAATTGAAATATTTTGACATATTATTGAAATATATTTAATACTGTATTAATATATGATTTTAATGCTTACATATTTTATGTAAGAATTTGTGGTTAGAACTGAGGAAACTGCTTACGCTTCAGCAAAAAGTAACTAATTGAGAAATCTTAAGGTTAGTTAATTTCTTAATTATTAGACATTTTAGTGGAGTTGCATGTCATTTATATATCTTGCTACTTAGGCATTGTAGTAGATTCAGTTATTATCAATAAGTATTGATTCCCTCCTTCCCCCCTACTACATGGGTGGACTGAATTTTCCTGCCTTTTGACTTTGGCTTTGGCCATGTGACTTGCTTTGATCAATGAGACATTAAGAGGAAGTAAGGATCAAAGTTTGAAAAGGAAAAGCACTGGCAAAATTGTTTGTTTTCCTGCACTCCTGCTATCCCCATGAGAACAGGACTGGGCTAGACTGGAGGTAAAAGGAACAGATCTGCCTCTAATGAGCTATGTCAGTCAAGCCCAGCCAAGCCTGGACACATGAGAAAAATTAAGGAAATGTTTCTGGAGGCACTGAATTTGGAGGTAGTTTGTTACACAGCATTATTTTGGCAATAGATAACCAATACAACCACCAATAGGAAATGCAATGAACAGACGGCCTGCGTTTCAGTTCCAGTTCTGTCATACACTAGCTGTATGACCTTTGCACATTTAATCTATTTGATCCCATATTCACAGCCTGTTCAATTTGCAGCATAAAAACAGTATGTTAGCTGGACGTGGTGACACCCACCTGTAGTCCCAGCTACTTGGGAGGCTGAAGTGCGAGAATCACTTGAGCTTAGGAGTTTGAGGCTGCAGTGAGCTGTGATTGTGCCACTGCAGTCCAGCCTGGGTGACAGGAAAAGACTTTTAAAAAAGGTGACAGAAAGAGAGATTGGGAGAGATTGAAAGACAGAGAGAGAGAGAGAGGAGGGAATGTTCCAGGAAGGTGGTTTCTCTAAGAGAAAAAATAACTTTGGACTAATTGGTAAGCTTAAGAATGTGGAAATTGGGACGTTAGGCTCCTGCACATACCGTTAGGAATGAGGCTGAATCCAGGGGGCTAAGCAGCAACAGCCCACAGGCTCCACTCCCACCTCCAGTGCACCTCACAAGGTAAGACCCACTGGCTTAGAATTCCAGCCAGCTATCAGGAGCACCATTGCACCTCCCTAAGAAGGAGCTCCCAGGGGGAGGGGCAGGCAGCCATCTTTGCAGTCCAGGCACTTTAGCCATTCCAGCCTTCAGGCTTTGGAGAATTGGAGCCAACCCAGGGAGGAAGGGATTCCCCAGCACAGCACAGCTGCTCTACCAAAAAGTGACCAGTCTGTTGCTTTAAGCGAGTGCCTGATCCCTTTCCTCCTCACTGGGCAGGACCTCCCAACCAGGGCCTCTAGCCACCCCCACCCAAGCTCTCTAACTGACAGAGATCTGAATTCCCCCTGGGACAGCACTCCCAGACAGAGGGGTGGGCCACCATCTTTGCTGTTTGGGTGACTTAGCCATTCCAACCTTTAGGCTTTGGAGTGTCTGAGTTAACCTGGGGTGGAAGGGATCCCCCAGCATAGCACAGACTCTACCAAAATGTAGCCAGACTGCTGCTTTAAGCAGGTGCCCAATCCCAGTCCTCCTTACTGGGTGGGACCTCCCAACCAGGGTCTCCAGACACTTCCTACAGGTGTCTTTGGGCTGGCAACAGGTTCATACCTTCCTGGGACAAAACTCCCAGAGGGAGGGACAGGCTGCCTTCTTTGTTGTTTTTTAGACTTCACTGGTGACACCTCTGGGTTCTGGAAAATCCAACGTGACCAGAGACTGGAGTGGGCCCCAAGCATACCGCAGCAGCCGTACAGAAAAGTGGTCAGCTGTTATGTGGGTACCTGTTCCCATATCTCCTCACCAGGCAGGTCCTCTAGGCCTGGGCCTCCAGCCACCACCTACCAGAGCTATTGAGCCAGCACCAACTCAGGAACTCCCTGGACAGAGCATCCAAGGGCAACTGAAAGCCTCTTGGCCCCTGCCTCTGCAGAAGAACTGCCCTTGCCACCTTTGGACTAACAAAGGCGCAAAGGCCCTTTGTGTCTTATCCACACCTCCAACAATCTGCAGTCAACCCAAAGAGAGAAGGCCAGTTCATCTCCCATGGGTGCCACACCCCCTACCACCCATGGCTCATCACCAGACAGGGAAACCCTGGCTTGGGTCCATAGCACAAACCCTCTATCCTGGACTGACTGCACTGAGTGATTGATGATCTGCATCTCTCTGGGGTGGGGCCCCCAGGAGTCAAGGAAATGACCCTTGGCCACAGCCACTACTAAGGTCCCTTGCTTTGCTGCCTCTAAGCTGGGGAAGGAACATAAACACTAAGATTGCCCTAGAGCTGCAGTGGGCAGCTCAGGAGTGCCAAGTCATGAACTAGAGCCAGCACTCAATGGGGAGAGGAATCCACACTTTCAGAGCACTGAGGGGTAACACAGCTGCAACTGTGAGGAAATATAGGGGAGCCACACAACAGAGCAAGAATCTACCAACTGACCAATAGGCCTAAGTGTCACCTGCTGGATCATACCCCAAAGCTTCCACACCAAAAATACCTTACTAACATACCCACCTCTGAAACCAGAGACAAGAAGTCAGCTTCAAATAAAGACCCTACATAAAGCCTCAGCCCAGTGAAAAGATCCAGAAGTCTATTGACTGTACTCAATCTACACTGCAGTTAAATGAACACTCACACACAGAGAAAGAATCAATGCCAGAACTCAGATAACTCAAATGGCCAGAGTGTCATATGTCCTCCAAATGACCACACCACTTCTCCAGCAAGAGTTCTTAACCAGGCCAAACTGGCTGGAATGGCAGAAATAGAATTTAGAATGTGGACAGGAACAAAAATCATCAAGATTCAGGAGGAGGATGGCAAAACCCAATCCAAGGAAAATAAAAATCACAATAAAGCAATGCAGGAGCTGAAAGACAAAATAGCCTGTATAAAAAAGAATCTAATGTATCTACAGAGCTGAATAACAGAATGCAAGAATTTCACAATGCAATCACAAGTATTAATGGCAGAATAAACCAAGCTGAGGACAGAATCTCAGAACTTGAAGACTGGTTCTCTGAAATAAGACAGTCAGACAAAATAAAGAAAAAATGTTAAAAAGGAATGAACAAAAACCTCCAAGAAGTATAGGATCATGTAAAGAGGCCAAATCTACTAATCAATGGCATCCCTGAAAGGGAAAGGAGGAAAGGAAACAACTTGGAAAGTATATTTCAGAATATAGCCCATGACAACTTCCCCAACCTTGCTAGATAGGCCAACAGTCAAATTCAGGAAATACAGAGAAATCCTGCAAGATTCTACACAAGAAGATTATCCCCAAGACATGTAATTGTCAGATTTTCCAAGGTCAAAATGAAAGAATGTTAAAGGCAGCTACAGAAAGAAAGGGCAGATCACCTACAAAGGAATCCCCATCAGGCTAACAGTGAAACTCTCAGCTGAAACCCTATAAGGTAGAAGAGATTGGGGCCCCATATTATTGGCCCCAAAGCTCCTTTAGCTGATAAAGAACTTCATCAAAGTTGCAGGATACAAAATCAATGTACAAAAATCACTAGCATTCCTATACACCAACAACAACCAAACTGAGAGCCAAATCAGAAAGGCAATCCCATTCAGAATTGCCACAAGAAAAATTAGATGCCCAGGAATACAGCTAACCAGGGAGGTGAAAGATCTCTGCAATGAGAATTACAAACATTATATTCAACAGTCTTAAAAAAAATCTTCAACCAAGAATTTCATATCCAGCCAAACTAAGCTTCCTAAGTGAAGGAGATATAAGATCCTTTGCAGATAAGCAAATGTTGAGGGATTTCATTACCACCAGACCTGCCTTACCAGAGATCTTGAAAGGGGCACTAAATATAGAAAGGAAAGGCTGCTACCAATACAAAAACATACTTAAACACACAGACCACTATCACTGTAAAGCAACCACACAAACAAGCCAACATATAACCAGCTAACAGCACAATGACAGGATCAAATCCATACATATCAATACTAAACTTGAATGTAAATGGACTAAATGACCCACTTAAGGGACAGAGTGGCAAGCTGGATGAAAAAGCAGGATCCAATGGTCTTCAAGAAACCCGTCTCACATATAGTGACGTTCACAGGCTCAAAATAAAGGGATGGATAAAAATGGAAAACAAAAAATCAGGTATTACAATCCTAATTTTAAACAAAACAGATTTCAAACCAACAAAGATCAAAAAAGACAAGGAACATTTTTTTCTCTTTGATCTCTGCAATGAGAATTACAGAACACTGCTCAAAGAAATAAGAGAAGACAAAAACAAATGGAAAAACATCCTATGCTCATGAATAGGAAGAATCAATATCATTAAAATGGCTATACTGTCCAAAGCAATTTACAGATTCAATGCTATTTCTATCAGACTACCAATGACATTCTTCACACCACTAGAAAAAATTATTTTAAAATTTTTATGGAATGAAGAAAGAGCCCCAATAGCCAAAGCAATCCTAAACAAAAAGAGCAAAGCTGGAAAAATCATGTTACCTGACTGCAAACTATACTACAAGGCTACAGTGACCAAAACAGCATGGTACTGGTACAAAAACAGACACATAGACCAATGAAACAGAATAGAGAGCACAGAAATAAGGCCACACATCTACAACCATCTGATCTTTGATAAAGCTGACAAAAAAAGCAATGGAGAAAGGATTCCCTATTCAATAAATGGTATTGGGATAACTAGCGAGCCATATGCAGAAGACTAAAGCTAGACCCCTTCCTTACACTACATACAAAAATTGACTCCAGATAGATTAAAGACCCAAAAGTAAAACCCCAAACTATAAAAACCCTAGAAGATGTATGTGAAAGCCTGGATGTCCAGGTAGAAGCCTGCTACAGAGGCAGAGCCCTCATGGAGAACCTCTACTACAGGAGTATGAAGGTGAAATGTGGGTTTGGAGCCCTCACACAGAGTCCCCACTGAAGCACTGCCTAGTGGAGCTGTGAGAAGGCCACAGTCCTCCAGACCCCAGAATGGTAGATACACTGACAGCCTGTACCATGAACCTGGAAAAGCCACAGGCACTAGCACTTGAGAGCAGCTGTGGAAGCTGTACCCTGAAAAACTTCAGGGAGAGAGCTTCCCAAGGCATTGGGAGCTCATCCCTTGCACCGGTATGCCCTGGATGTGAGACACAGAGTCAAAAGAGATTATTTTGGAGATTTAAAATTTAATGACTGCACTGCTGGCTTTCAGACCTTCATGGGGACTACAACCCCTTTGTTTGGACTGATTTCTCTCTTTTGGAATGAGAGTCTTTACTCAATGCCTGTACCTCCATTGTATCTTGCAAGTAACTAACTTGTTTTTTATTTTACATGCTCATAGGTGGAAGGGACTTTCCTTTTCTCAGATGAGAATTTTGATTGTAGAATTTTGAGTTAATGCTAAAATTAGTTCAGACTTTGAGGGACTGTTGAGAAGGAATGACTGCATTTTGCAATGTGAGAAGGAAATGAGATTCGGGAGGGGCCAGAGGTGGAATGACATGGTTTGGATTTCTATCCCCACCTAAATCTCATGTCGAATTGTAATCCCCAGTATTGGAGGTGGGTCCTGGTGGGAGGTGACTGAATCATGGGGATGGATTTCCTCTTTGGTGCTATTCTCATGACAGTAAGTGATCACAAGATTTGGTTGTTAAAAGTGTGTAGCACCTCCTCTCTCCCTCTCTTCTTTCTGCCCTGGCCATGTAAAATGTGCCTGCTTCCCCATCACCTTCTGTCATGATTGTAAATTATCTGAGGCCTCCCCAGTCATGTTTCCAGTACAGTCTGGGTAACCATGAGCCAATTAAACCTCTTTTCTTTATATATTATGCATTCTCAGGTATTTCTTTATAGCAGTGCAAAAACTGACTAATATTGTACCAATCAGGTAGTTTTTCAACCCACGCCCCTCTCCCTCCCTTCTCTAGTAGTCCACAATGCTCATCGTTCCCACATTTATGTCCATGTGTGCTCAATATTTAGCTCCCACTTACAAGTGAGAGCATACAGTATTTGGCTTTCCATTCCTGCATTAATTCACTTAGGATTATGGCCCCAGCTGCATCCATGTTACTGCAAAGGACACGATAGCATTCTTTTTATGGCTGCATCATATTTCATGGTGTATATGTACCACATTTTCTTTATCCAATACACCAAGTATGGGAACCCAGGTTGATTTTATGTTTTCACTATTGTGAATAGCATGGTAATAAGCACATGAGTGCATGTTTATTTGGTAGAATTATTTATTTTCCTTTGGATATATATCCAATAATGGAATTGCTGGGTTGAATAGTAGCTCTGTTTTTAGTTCTTTGAGAAATCTCCAAACTGTTTTCCACAGTAGCTAGTTTATATTCTCACCAAGAGAGTATAAGCATTCCCTTTTCTCCACAGCTTCACCAACATCTGGTTTTATTTTTTACTTTTTAATAATAGTCATTCTGCCTGGTGTGTGATGATGTCTCATTGTGGTTTGGATTTGCAATTCTTTGATGATTAGTGTTGATGCGAATTTTTTCGTATGTTTGTTGGCCAGTCGCATGTGTTCTTTTGAGAACTGCCTGTACATGTCCTTTGCCCATTTTTTAATGTGTTTGTTTTTTGCTTGTTGATTTAATTTCCTTATAGATTCTGCATATCAGACCTTTTTAAGGTGCATGGTTTACAAATATTTTCTACCATTCTATAGGTTGTCTGTTTCCTCTGTTAATAGTTTGTTTTGCTGTGCAGAAGCTCTTTAGTGTAATTAGGTCCCATTTGTTCATTTGTGGTTCTGTTGCAGTTGCTTTTGGAGACTTAGTTAAAAATTTATACCTGATTATCACCTACACCTAAGAAACCATCAGGATAAATCTTACTGTCCCCTAGATTCCTATATTCCTTGGTGACTCACAAGAAATCCAAGTTTCTAGGTCTTCCCTTATCTCCTGGATTCTTATCCTCATAAAGCTAGTCTGACTTCACCTTCTACCCATCCCTAACCTCCCAAGCCCTTTCACTGTACCCTTTGGAAGCCATAATTTGTCATCAGTAAAACTTCACAGATTCTCAAACTCTTCTTTGAATATTCTATGCCCCTTCTTGCTCCACTGAACTTGACTTTCCTCTAAAAACACAGCCTCCCCTGCAGCCATCTCAGGATGTGGCAGTTTTTCTGCGGCATTTCATGTGCCTCTTGGCTGAAAGTGTGGTAATAACCTCCCAGCCCTTTGTTCATATTTCCAAACCTTTGTTTCTTTTTCTTACCCATTTTATCAGCAACCTTGATGATTACGCCATCAGAGCAGCTTCCCATTCCCTCCTCTTGCTGTAGACATCTGCTGTCTTGCCAGGCTCCCCATCACCACCGTCAATGCTACTCAAGTCGCAAATCCTAGTGGTTATAACAGCCCCGTAACTAATACAACCAAGATCCTCACCTCTCTGTCTTTTGGCCTTTTAATGTCAGTAATCCTGTCCTCTTGCTAACATGATTACATCTTAGACCAGCTAGTCTCTCCCAAACTAATTTTCATCATCCCCTCTCTCTAGTTACCACCTCTTTTCTTCTTTTTTTCTTTAACTACTAATAATTGATCATTTATTATTGGGGCCTAAAAAATAAAAATGGGTCTTCAAAAACAGACTTTTATATATGGATATGCTCATATGTGGGGCCAGCTACATGGGTCTATGGCCTCTGCAGCAATCACAGTCCCATGTTTACACAGTCTCTATGCTTCATTTAATGCTCAGTTGTTACTGTCTTGAAATTATTTTATTTCATTTCTTTTTCTTTTTAGAGATGGGGTCTCACTATGTTGCTCCACCTAGAATGCAATGGCTATTCATAAGCATAATCACAACACACTACAGACTCAAACTCCTGGCCTCAAGTAATCCTTCTGCCTCAGCCTCCTAAGTAACTGAGATCACAGGCATACTCCAACATGCCCAGCTCTTGAAATTCCTAATAATGTTTGAATGAGTGGCCCTAAATTTTTCTTTTGCACTAAGCCCCACAAATTAGGTGACTGGTCCTGATACATGTGAGCATGAGAGGTATCACCTCTTATTTTTGCACCTCACTCCTCCAACCTAATTCTTGTCCTCACTCCATTCTACTCAGCTTGGATGACACGATCCATCATCATAATTAGTGCCTTGTATGCATTCCCTCACCACTCTTACTTGTCTCTCCCTCTTGTTATACATCATTTCCAAAATTTCAAACGTGGAGAAATCCACTGTCTGCTTATTTCATGCCTTCATTCGAGCAGCTAATGAGAGATAGAATGGAGCTCAGAGGCCTTATATTAAGTTTAAAACCAGACTGGGCCTCAACGCTGACAGGCAATACAAATAATTTTCCCTAGTCAAGTAGTTCTCTTACTATTTCACAGTTTCTCTTTTTCCCTCAGATTTCTGATACTGCTAGCCCCTTCTCACATCAAATGAAGACCTACTTCTTATGAACTGAGAAAATAGAAGCAATTAGATGCTTATAGTAAATAGAAGAATGACAGTAGAAGACGTCTCATCTACCTACCACCAAACTTTCAACCTCACTGCATCATGAATACAAATTCATGTATTCTGGCTTTTCTCCTATTTAAAGAGTAAACATCAGGGTTCCAATATAAGCCCAACCTCTCCTTGCACACTGCATCCAATCACTTCTTACATACTAAAGGATTTTGTACCTACATTAATCTCACTACTGCCTGCATCATCAAATTTCCTTCTCCATTGGATCATTCTTATCAGCCAACAAATGTACTTTAATAGCTCCCTCCCTTCTAAAACACACACACACACACACACACACACACACACACACAAAACAAAACTTCCCTGCCTTCACAAATCTCCTACAGCTTTTGTTTCTCTGCTAGCCTTCATAGCAAAACTCTCTGAAAAAGATTCCCACATATGCAGTCTTTACTTCCTCATTGTTCTTTTTCTCTTGAAGAAAAGTTTTGTCTCTACCACTCAAGGAAATTTTTCTTTTCACTGCCACAAGTGACCTCCAGTTGCCAAATCAGTGGTCAATCAGTCTCATCTTCCCTGACCCTGCAACAGGGCCAGCAGCGGCACTCAGCACTGTGCTCTCCTGTTCCTCCTTTTTGCAGATTTGCAACAGTTTGTACTTGACTGCAACTTTCTTTCCAATGTGTCCTAGAAGATCTTCCAGGTTTTTTTTTTCTTTTTTTTTTTTTTTTTTTTTTTTTTTTTTTTGAGACGGAGTCTCGCTCTGTCGCCCAGGCCAGACTGCGGACTGCAGTGGCGCAATCTCGGCTCACTGCAAGCTCCGCTTCCCGGGTTCACGCCATTCTCCTGCCTCAGCCTCCCGAGTAGCTGGGACTACAGGCGCCCGCCACCGCGCCCGGCTAATTTTTTGTATTTTTAGTAGAGACGGGGTTTCACCTTGTTAGCCAGGATGGTCTCGATCTCCTGACCTCATGATCCACCAGCCTCGGCCTCCCAAAGTGCTGGGATTACAGGCGTGAGCCACCGCGCCCGGCCCCCTTTTTTTCTTTTTAAAGCACACATATTACTCCTTTACTAAAACTTTGGCAATAACGCCTTCTTTTTTTTTTTTTTTTTTTTTTGTTCACTTAAAAATTTCTTACCAAGTCCTACAAGATCAGTCTGGGCTGTATGTCTTCTGTTGTCTCTGTGCAAAGTAATGATATAGGAGTTAAGAAGAAATCACTTAGGCAGAAGCAAGTGTATGGGGGTCCTCGGTAAGGCTTTTCTTTTTAATGAAAAGCAGCCCCAAATCATTTTCTAACAAAGAGCAGCCTACAAGCTGGGAGCTTTCAGGGACAAATGCCGAGAGGAACTATGGACTAGACTTTCCAAGATGGCGGCTCCCCGTTTCTTCCCTGCCAGCCACTTGTACCATACAAAGCAGACAAGATGGCACCGATCAACTGGAAAGCCCATTTGCATAATAAGATTAGGGTGGGGCAACCAGCCTTCCCTGAGCACTGTGTAAATGTCATACCTGATAGAACCAATCTGTGAGCCCTACATAAATCAGACACCGCCTCTTCAAAGTGGGCTATAAAATTCGGTGCATTTGCCACCGGCCGGACCTTTCCACTCGGAGACCCCTTCCTCTATAGAGAGAACTATTTCTCTTTCTCTTTTCTTCTACCTATTAAACCTCTGCCCCTAAACTCCTCATGTGTGTCCGTGTCCTGAAGTTTCCTAGCACACGACAATGAATCCCAGGGTACATACCCCGGACAAGGTAGCCACTTCGGCAACTTTTATCCCACTTCATCCAGCTTGCCTGCCCCTCCCCACTATGGCATAACTCACAGCACCCCTCCCCTACCCTCTTTGTTTATACTGATATTATGAAACACCGCATTGTATTGTGGTTAACATATATTGTGTGTGACTATTTGATGGATAGATTCATATTTGTTTCTCTAGGAGATAGTGAACATGTCCCCAAATGGGAACAACATCATCATTATCATCATTATTGCATTTTGCATCTCACAATTTCATCATCTAATGCTAGCGATTGGGCTTTTCTGTGGGAGGAGTTTCTGGCTTGTAACTTCAACTTATGTCTGGAAAGTCCCATTTCCCCTTAGAGTTCTCTGCTCACTGTTGCCATCCACATGTTAGTTTCAGAGTCAGGGCATATAGTTCTCCCTTTAGATATTCTGGTTCAGTATGCACCATCGTCTCTTCCCTTTGATACCCCTTAACACAAGTGAAATGAGGCCAGGATATTTAAATAAGACTTTGCCAGGGAGTAACAAAAGGGAAATTAATCCACGAAGTAACTTGAAACTATTTAATTTGAAATACAGGATACCACATGCTCTTTGAGCTCAAGGCTTTATTTCCATGTAAAGGGGCTGACTGGTAGCCCACATTCAAGAACTAAAGTCTAAATCTTTGCTTCCCTAAAAGGCTAGCCTAGAGAGGAAAAGGCCAAGTGTGGGGGCCAGAAATTCCTTCTCCAGCCTGACCAAGGCCAGTCTTTCTAGTCCCAGTTTCCTGCGTAAACCCTGTTCTCTTTAGGGATTAACATTAACCATGTTTATCCCTTTCAAGGGAGATTCCATCCCCTAAGCACCGGAGTGTGGCTTTACACTCTCCTTTCATCAGGGCATCCAGATTGGAAAAGAGGTAAATTCATATAATAATTTTAAAACAGGTTATGGAGTGAAATCCTGGATTCAAATCTTTACTCTGCCAAGTAACAACTATGTGATTTGGGGCAAGTTACTAAATCTCTCTGTGTGTTAGTGTCCTCTTTTGTAAAATAGCAATAATAGAACTTACCTCGGATGGGGTCCTGGTGAGGATGAAGTGAGATAATAGACATCAAACACTCGAAACAGTGCTTGAGGCATAGCAAGGACTCATCATTCTAACTAGCTGTAATGCAGAGATGCAGCTGCCATCCACTCAAAGGACGCACACAGGTGATCAGGAGCTCTGTTCTCTTGCAAGAATACTGAGCATGAAAGACAGAGTCAGAATATATCTGTTAACTTGAGAAGGAAAATGAAGGCAGAGCATTGCAGAACCTTGAAGGACAGATGAGGTGATCCCCACACTGCTCTGCAAACATGCATCTGGCAATGATGGCTCCCAGTTCTTTCATCCCCATCCCCTTGTCTCATTCCCACTTAAAATGGAAAGCTAAGGACCTTCCCTGCTTTACCAGGATCTTTTGAAGTGCAGATTTTACTCTAATCTTTAGTGGAGCTGTAGGGCTTCAGTCATTCATCTGCTCCCTTTATTATGCTACAGCATTTCTGATCAAACAGAATTTGAGAAGACAGAATCTGTCCTGTCAAACAGTAAACAAAGAAACTCTCATAATAGCCCAGTGTTGTCACATGGCCTCCAGCCTTAGGTGTCCTGGAATGCTCCAGATCTGTAGAAAGGCACTAAACCATCTTGAATGTAGAAAAGGGACAATGTAGGACAAATTTGTTAAATATATCTTTGCCTTATAGAGTCATGATTATACTGATGATTAAGGTTTTTTTTAAATGCTTTCATAGTATAGCCTGGGAGAGAGATCAGCAAACTTTCTGTAAAGGGCCAAATGGTAAATATTTTAGGCTCTGGGAGCCATACAGACTCTGTCTCAACTACTTCACTCTGCCATTGTAGGAGAAAGTAGTCACAGAAAATAGTTTGAATGGATGTTACAATAATATGTTACTTCAAAAGCAGGAGCCAGTTGGATTTGGCCCAAGGTCCATAATTTGCCAAACACTGGCCGGACATACTGTTTCTTAGACTTGCATTATATCCATAACACTTTCATGGTTTTTGCCAAATCTACGAACATATGTAATCTTATTTATTACAAAATTTAAGTTCACTCTATTTTTAAATGCATTTTAAAATAAAAAATATAATTATTAATATAAAACATAAGCTAGTTTACTTTTAATAAAAAGATAGGTTTAAAAACTGCATAAAAAGAAACCACACAATTAAAATGCTAATTAAAATTTGAAGATATTAATGCTTACAATATAATTATAGAATAATTTTATAATATAATATTAATATACTTATATAATATAATTATTATAGAACAATATTACAGAAGAATATTAAGTGCTTATATTATAATATGATAGAACCATATTGGGAGGATGGGAGTAGGAAAGTATAGAGATGATACACAGCATATGAGAGAGCTAAATCCTCATCTTTTATGGTATACAAAATACTAGAAAATGAATGGTTTCTAAAATGAAAAAATAAGAAATAGCACTATAAGCATATTATAATAGAAAAACAGAGGTAAATACCTGAAGAAACTTCTGAAATAATTTAAAATGATTGACTCTGAAAGTGGGAATTAGGAGGCAGCAGTTGAGAAGTCTAGCAAGTTACCGTATTTTCAGTCTTCTAGAACTATCTATCTGACTCTTAAAACTCTGATAAGTATAAAAATGAAATTTTAAAAAGCCAAGGGTGTTGAAAAGGGTGTTTCCTTTCAAAGAAGGAACACTTTTTAATATAAAGTTGACTTGAAGATATCTACCATAATTTTTTAATTATTGATTTTTCTGTTAGGTATTAAACAAAATTCCTCAAAAGAATTTTTGAAGAAGAAATAAGATTTATCACTTCAAGCAAAGCTGCTTAACAAAGCTAGTCCCATATTGGACCTTGCTTAACCCCTATGCTGTTCTCTGTATCTTAGCTACGGTGACGTTCTTTAAATCCCTCCTATCTGTGTTATCTCTACTGCTGTCAGAAGCATTGGAACCAGAGTGACTCCATCTTGAATAGGGCTGGGTAAAATGAGGCTGACACCTCCTGAGCTGCCCTCCCAGGAGGTTAAGCATTCTTAGTCACAGGATGAGATAGGAGGTTGGCACAAGATACAGGTCACAAAGATCCTGCTGATAAAACAGGATGATGTAAAGAAGCTAGCCAAAATTCATCAAAACCAAGATGCCTATGCAAGTGACTGCTGGTCATCCTCACTACTCATTATATGCTAATTATAATGCATTAGCCTTCTCAAAAATACTCCCACCAGCACCACGACAGTTTATAAAGGCCATAGCTAAGTCCGGAAATTACTCTATATAATCTAAAAGGAGAAGGAACCCTCAGTTCCAGGAAATCCTCTTCCCTTTCTTGGAAAACTCATGAATAATCCACCCCTTTTTTAGCATATAACCAAGGAATAACTATAAGTGTTGTGAACCTTGAATACCTGAGACAGGTCTCAGTTAATTTAGAGGTTTGTTTTGCTAAGGTTGAGAAGGCAGGCCGGTGACAGCCTCTAGAGTTCCTGACGACAGGTGCCCAAGGTGGCCAAAGCACAACTTGGTTTTATACATTTTAGGGAGACATGAGACATCAATCAACATATGTAAGATGAACACTGGTTTGGTCCAGAAATGTGGGACAACTCGAAGCTGGAAGAGGCCTTCCAAGTCACAGGTAGTTAAGAGACAAATGGTTGCGTTCTTTTTGAGTTTCTGATTAGCCTCTCCAAAAGAGACAATCAGATATGCATTTATCTCAGTGAGCCGAGGGATGACTTTGAACAGAATGGGAGTCAGGTTTATCCTATGCAGTTCCCAGCTTGACTTTTCCCTTTAGCTTAGTGATTTGGGGGCCCCAAGATGTATTTTCCTTTCACAGTGTACTCAGTCAAGCAGCCCATACCACTGATTTGCCTATGGAGTAACCATTCTTTTGTTTCTTTATTTCTCTAATAAACTTGCTTTTACTTTACTTTATCAACTTGCCCCGAAATCTTTCTTGTGCGAGGTTCAGGAACCATCTCTTGGAGTCTGAATCAGGACCCCTTTCCAGTAACACCACCATAGCACGTGCGTACACGCTATCCTGCCTATCTGGAATGCTGTCTTTGCCTTTTTTTTTTTTCTTTTTTTTGAGATGAAGTCTCGCTCTGTCACCCAGGCTGGAGTGCAGAGACAGGATCTCCGCTCACTGCAAGCTCCGCCTCCCAGGTTCACACCATTCTCCTGCCTCAGCCTCCTGAGTAGCTGGGATTACAGGCGCCTGCCACCAAGCCCTGATAATTTTTTGTACTTTTAGTAGAGATGGGGTGTCACCGTGTTAGCCAGGATGGTCTCGATCTCCTGACCTCATGATCTGCCCACCTCGGCCTCCCAAAGTGCTGGGATTACCGGCCTGAGCCATTGTGCCCGGCCTGCCTTTTAACCTGATTACACTTGACCCTTTATCTCTGAATTCTGGATCCACAGATTCAAGTAACCACAGATCAAAAATATTTGGAAAACAAAATCCCACAAAGTTCCATAAGCAAAACTTGAATGTGCTGCACACCAAGTACTACATCGAATACACAGGAATGAAGTGATGTGTAGGCATTGTATTGGTATTTTAAGTAATCTAGAGATGTTTTAAAGTATACGAGGGGGTGTGCGTTGCTTACATACAAATATTATGCCATTTTATATACGGGACTTGAGCATCCACAGATTTTGGTGTCCTTGGGAGTCTTGGAACTGATCATTTATGAATATCAAGAGACGACTTTAACTGTAACCCATCAGGGAAACCTTCCCCCAATAAGTCAAACCTCCTATTATAGCTGCTCATGGATCAGCAGGCCAGTCCTTGGAAGCACTTGTCACAAATGCCGTTTTATATTGGCTGGAAAATTATTGAATTATTTTCTGACTGCCTTGCTATATCATTTTCTCCTTGAAGTCTAAGGATCAGAAACTAACACAATACCTTGCCATCATAGCCACTAATAAATATTTATTACAGTGAATAAGTAAATGCAATACTGAAATTTTAAAATATATATATATATATATATATATATATATATCAATTAGCCAATTCTGGTTGTAACATTTTGTTTTCATAATATAAATCTGCATGTTATCCCTCAGAACTTATAAATTTGCATTCTGATAACTGATTAAAAGCAGCACTTTCTTAAAGAGAAATGTTCAACTGTTTTCAGGAAAGTCAGAGGCAGGGATTACTTCCTCAAGACATGGAGTAAAAGTGAGTGATTCTAAGTTTTAAGGTTTAGCTTTCTCCAAATCTTCCAAACATTTCCAGATATCACTTTCCAGATGTCAGGATTCCTTTCTTTCTTGGTCAATATCCTACATTTCATGAGACCTAGTTATAATATAAATTTAATAATTTAAAATATATACACAATTCTTAAAATAAAAAGTGTTTATGCTACTTCAATTTCGGGATCATGGCAGATGGGAGGCAGAACTGGATTGAAGCTCCAGACAGAGCTGCATGCGGAGACCATTAGCAAGATTAACCAAGAAAAGAAGAGAGAAAATCCAAATAACCTCACTAAGAAACGAAACAGGAGATGTTACAACTGACACCACTGAAATGCAAAAGATCATTTAAGGCTACTATGAACACCTTCAGTGACATAAACTAGAAAATCTAGATGAGATGGATAAATTCCTGGAAAAATACAACCCTCCTAGCTTAAATCAGGAAGAATTAGATACCCTGAACAGACCAAAAACAAGCAGCAAGATTGAAACGGTAATTTAAAAATTACCAACAAAAAAAAAGTCCAGGACCAGACGGATTCACAGCAGAATTCTACCAGACATTCAAAGAAGAATTGGTACCAATCCTTTTGACGCTATTCCACAAGACAGAGAAAGAAGGAATCCTCCCTAATTCATTCTATGAAGCCAGCATCACCCTAATACCAAAACCAGGAAAGGAGACAACCAAAAAAGAAAACTACAGACTGAGATCCTTGATGAACATAGATGCTAAAATCCTTAACAAAATACTAGCTGACCGAATCCAACAACATATCAAAAAGATAATCCACCATCATCAAGTGGGTTTCATACCAGGGATGCAGGGATGGTTTAACTCAAACAAATCGGGAAGAAAAAAACAAACAATCCCATTGAAAAGTGGGCTAAGGGCATGAACAGACAATTCTCAAAAGAAGATATACAAGTGGCCGACAAACATATGAAAAAATAATCAACATCACTAATGATCAGGGAAATGCAAATCAAAACCACAATGTGATACCACCTGACTCCTGCAAGAATGGCCATAATCAAAAAATCAAAAAATAGTATATGTTGGCATGGATGCAGTCATCAGGAAACACTTCTACACTGCTGGTGGGAATGTAAACTAGTACAGCCACTATGGAAAACAGTGTGGAGATTCCTTAAAGAACTAAAAGTAGAACTACCATTTGATCCAGCAATCCCACTACTGGGTATCTATCCAGAGGAAAAGAAGTCATTATTCAAAAAAGATACTTCCACACACATGTTTATAGCAGCACAATTCACAATTGCAAAATTGTGGAACCAACCCAAAAGCCCATTAACAAATGAGTGGATAAAGAAACTGTGGTATATATACATGATGGAATACTACTCAGCCATAAAAAGGAATGAATTAACAGCATTTGTGATGACCTGGATGAGATTAGAGACTATTATTCTAAGTGAAGTAACTCAGGAATGGAAAACCAAACATCATATGTTCTCACTGATATGTGGGAGCTAAGCTATGAGGACGCAAAGGCATAAGAATGATACAATGGACTTTGCAGACTTGGAGGGAAGAATGGCAGTGGGGGTGAGGGATAAGACTACAAATATTGTGCATTCTATACTGCTCAGGTGATGGATGCACCAAAATCTCACAAATAATCACTAAAGAACTTACTCATGTAACCAAATATCACCTGTACCCCAATAACTTATGGAAAAATAAAAAATATATAAAAAATGGCTAATTCTAAAAAATAAATAAATAAACATAACACCAAAGCCAGAAACTACACAGGAAAAGGTTGATCATGGCTCTGAGCTAATGTATCACTTTCCAAGTATTACTTTCTATGTAGGGCATAAGATCTGGAAGCCACGCATTTATTTTCCACTGAATTTTTTTCCCAATTTCTAAATGCTTAAATATCTGCCTATTCAAGGAAATAATAAGTAATTGTAAAAATACCCCAAATCTTGTCCAAAAAAAGTCTGGAAACACAGAGAATATGGTGTATTTTTAATATCATACTTTAGATTAACTATTGGATTTATTGCTTTAGAGACACTTACCTGAGATGGTATGTGGAAGTTGAAGGAAAATATATTGAGCATATCGTATCAAAATGTTACTAATACATTGTTTGAAAATAAATTAGTCCTATGTTTCTGACTTTTTAAACACTCTATGAAGTGTTGTTTTTAACTATAAAAAATGAAACAAGGCCAGTTGTGGTGGCTCACACTTGTAATCCCAGCACTTTGGGAGGCCAAGGTGAGCAGATCCCTTGAGGCCATGAGTTTGAGAAAAGCCTGGGCAACATGGCAAAAACCTGTCTCTCCAAAAATACAAAACTTAGAGGACGTGGTGGCACGTGCCTGTAATCCCAGCTACTCAGGAGGCTGAGGCATGAGAATTGCTTGAACCAAAAGATGGAGGCTGCAGTGAGCTGAGACCATGCCATTGCATTCCAGCCTGGGTGACACAGTGAGACCCTGTCTCAAAAAAAAAAAAAGGAACAACCTAAACGGTCAATAAAGAATTGTTAATAAATAAATTATTCATAATGAAATAAATAAATAAATACATTCCTGGAGAAGTGTTATAAACAATTGTTCTAGAAAGACTGCGGGTAACTTATTTTTTTTTAAGTTGAATTGATCTGTGATATGTAGGCATGATTGGACTGAAGCCATGGACCCCAAGGAGCAAGGCTCCATTGAAGCAAACAGTCCCTACAACTTTACATGATATAAGCATATCAAGAATCTTTACAGAATTTTTAAAAATCTGCGTCCTCAAAGGAATTTTTCCTTTAAAATGTAACAGTGTACCAAAGGAAACTGCAAAGCAATTTGTAAATATTACTCTATTTTTGGTGAACTAAATAAAATTATATATGTTTATTTATATGCTTAAAATGTAGTCCAAAAGAATTTTTTAATTTACTTATGTACTTCCACCCTGCTTACATTTGTTTCAGTATCTACTATTTTTATACTTAATTTTTAAACTAATGTTAAATCAAATTTAAATTAGTCATATACAAGCACCAAATGGTAAATTGTTTTTATAACAGCATAAACTTATGTGTTTTAATATCTACTCCATATTTCTACTAAATAAAATTTTAAGCCATAGCACACAACCAGAGAAGCCCAACAATTCAATCTTTCCCTTATCTGAGTTTTGTATTAATAGACTCTTTCTTATCTACGAAGAATGCCAGATGCATTCTTAGCAAAATAGCTAAGATTAGAATCGCAAAACATTAGTGTTTGGAAAGAACTAACAACACTCAGTAATTATTAAGTGTTTAGTATTTACCATTCATTGTTCTAAGAATTTTTAAATTATAAGTTATTTTGTCCCTAAAAACCTTATTGTTATCTAGTTTTACAGTTAAAGAAACTGAGAAACACAGTTTGTAAACCATAACCAAGGTCACAACTCCGCAGTGGTGGAGCGAAGGTTTGAACCAAGCAGATACAGTACTATTAACCACTCACCTACCAGCACTCATTCCAGGGTAATTTTTAGAGAGTTTAAACAATGGACTGAAATCATAATAGAGTCTATTTTATAGGGGTAGTTCTAGGTATTTGATGGCTTTTGGTTTTAATCATATTGAGTCAAAGTCTGCTTCCCTGTAATTTATACCAAGTGGTCTTAGTACCTCCATCTAGAAAAAATATAACAAGTCAGAGAATCGGTAGACAATGAGTTGAAAAAAAACCTTAACAGTTACATTGTCCAAATATCAAGTGCTTCCTCATCTAAATGGAATTTGAGGAGAGCTATCATATCTCTTGTACTATTCCTGTACTATTTCCCAAGTTTCTTTTTTCTAATTTTTTTTTTTTTTTTTGAGACAGAGTCTCACTCTGTCACCCAGGCTAGAGTGCAGTGGCACGATCTTGGCTCACTGCAACCTCTGCCTGCCAGGTTCAAGCAATTCTCCTGCCTCAGCCTCCCAAGTAGCTGGGATTACAGGCATGCGCCACCATGCCTGACTAATTTTTTGTATTTTTAGTAGAGACAGGGTTTCACCATGCTGGCCAGGCTGGTCTCGAACTCCTGACCTCGTGATACACCCATCTCGGCCTCCCAAAGTGCTGGAATTACAGGCGTGAGCCACTGTGACCAGCCGCTCTCTTTTCTAATTTTTTCAATCTGGCTCTTTGGGAACCAGATTGGGAACCACATTTAAGATGTACTTTGGGAACCACAGCAGTTTGTCAAAGTTTCTCTTGAGTTTTGATATGCAGAATTGAATATAACATTTTAGTATGAAATTTGTATACCACAGAATGAGAGATATTATATTATATGTGATATATAATGTAATTAAATTATAATATGGTAATAATATGGTTTGAAGGAGAAGATATCCCTGTTTTGCCCACATGTGTGTATCTCATACTAATGTTGGACTATTGCATTATGACACAGTTGTCCTAATGAGGCCACAGTGTATTGTAATGCCAACCACATGAGTAGAAATTGAGGTCTCACTGTAATGAAGTAGTCACTCCCAGTGCCAGTTATCCATGAAAAAGATAAATCCTGGGAATCGAATTATAACTTGGAAGAGAGTCTACAATGAGAAAAAAAAAAAAAGAATCATGTTCTTCACTCTACTCTGAGTCTTCAGAAGTGTTTGGAGGGCTCTGGGGTGATGGGGAAAATAGACACTGCACAAGGAGGCAGACCAGGTAGTTAACAAGGAGATATAACCCTCTCACTGGGCAGGGGTCACACCCACAGTGGACCCAGAGGACAGCTAGGGTTCTGTTATTAAGAAAAGCCATTCCCAGAAGCCAATTGTATATGATGCTTCTTATATAGAAATTCTCTCCATTTTCCTGAAGGCTTTAGTTAAATTATAGTCATAAGACTATCCAATCTGCTTAAATTATGGCTGTGCCAGAATAAGAATATACAGGGTGCAATTTGTTGGTGCCCATGAAGTTTCTTAAAAGGTAAGACAAGAGCTGTGAGGTCCAGCTGCCCCTCCCTATCTGGAGACTCTCTGTCCATGACCAAGCCTGGAGAATTGGAAAATTATTCTATTAAGGGAGCTGGCAAGTTTCCTTGTAGCATGCTAATACTTTTAGCTTTTCAACAATCACATTACACCTTATAATTACAGTAAACTTTAAATCAACTAAAATGCTCAAGACTTTTTCAGATATCTTAACTGTACATATACCATACTTTTCGAAATATATATATGTATATATATATATTTTTATATATATATATGTATATATATTTTTTTTTTTTTTTTTGAGAGGGAGTCTCGCTTTGTCGCCCAGGCTGGAGTGCAGTGGCGCGATCTCGGCTCACTGCAAGCTCCGCCTCCCGGGTTCACGCCATTCTCCTGCCTCAGCCTCCGGAGTAGCTGGGACTACAGGCGCCCGCCACCACGCCCGGCTAATTTTTTGTATTTTTAGTAGAGACGGGGTTTCACCGTGTTAGCCAGGAAGGTCTGGATCTCCTGACCTCGTGATCCGCCCGCCTTGGCCTCCCAAAGTGCTGGGATAACAGGCGTGAGCCACTGCACCCAACCTTGAATTATATTTTTAAACTAAATATGAGACTTCACAGTTTTCAATTACAGAAGGTTTGTTTTTGCCCTAATATCCCGGCATGCCAAGATCATATAGTCAAACTCCGTTTGAATTGTTTTAGTACTAGTGAGCCCTCCCAGCCTTGGCCATATTCAAGTTGGACAAACGTGTTATTAATAGATAAGGCCAAGGATATAACCTTGCTTTATTTATTTGCCCAGCCTTGAAACTTGAATTTGCTTACTATTAACTAGTACATATTTCATCATCAGGTACTCAAGGATATCACAGGAGGCTTGTCAAATGCCTTGCAGCACTTAAAATACACTATATTTATATCATCCCTGGATAACCTAGTGATTTTACTTGCAAAATAAAAACAAATAATTGGTTAATTTAGCTGTTATCAAGTCTATCTTATGGTTCTTGTAATCAACTTATTCTTTTTTAAAATACCAAACTATCTGCTTAATACTTGTTTTATACTTTTTGCCAAGAATCTATGCCAGCATTAATAGAATTCACATTTCCAATTTTCAAAAAATATGAAAAGCATTATTCCATCAATCCATTTTCTCCTTATGAAAGATAAAAAAAAAAAACAGCAACATACCAGGTATCTCTTCCATTAACTTCCCCTTTTGCTGGTTCTAGGTATTAGGCAACAGAAGCAGAATAATAGAGATGTAAGGCCAATTATCAGAGATGGGCTTCCTCTGTTCCAATAGTTTTCAAATATGAGTGACCATCAGAACTAAGTGGGGAGTGTTTTTTTTTAATTGTTGGCTGGCTTATTTTCATATACATTCCTTGGGCCCATTCCCCAGTATTCTGACACAACAGGTAAGAGGAAACTAGAAATCCCCAGGTAGTTCTGTTTAAGAGCCAGGTTTGGGGACTACCATGCTCATATCTATAATCTTTTCTTGGATATGATGGAACAAATTATTTTGATAGAGAAATAATTATTACTGTATTTCATAGATTCCAAGACACTTGTAATGCATTTTAATATTTTCTAAATGGGGACATATTTTACAATTGGTAATGTTAACAGTTTAATTGACAGCATCTTCTTTTGCTGTGCTTAAAATGATGGTTCATCTTACAGTTGATGGCGTATTTGATTCAATGACATATGGTTGGTACAAGTTGTCAATTAATTTCACTATATCTTATAGTCACAAACTTATCTTTAACCTTTAATCACGTGGCAGATAAATACATGCCTTTTGTCACAAGGTGGAATTAGTTGAGAATGCATAGGAGAAACTACACATTTCCTTAGGACTGCTGGAAAAATCAGCAATCATCTTTGTGTTGCAAGAAAAGCCAATAATATCTAGGTCTTTTTGGTAACAAAAATTGAGGGGAAAAAAAAGAAGACTTATTAGGAGTTATAGGCAATTCTAAGCTCTCAGCTTAATGTGGCCAAGAGAAAGCTTTTAGGAGTAATAACTCGCCTGTAATCTCAGCACTTTGGGAGGCTGAGGCAGGCGGATCACAAGGTCAGGAGTTCGAGACAAGCCTGGCCAACATGGTGAAACCCCGTCTCTACTAAAAATAAAAAAATTAGCTGGGTGTGGTGGTGGGCACCTTTAATCCCAGCTACTTGGGAGGCTGAGGCAGGAGAATCACTTGAAACTGGAAGGCAGAGGTAGCAGTGAGCCGAGATCGCACCACGGCACTCCAGCCTGGGTGACAGAGGAAGACACCATCTCAAAAAAATATTATTAATCAATTAGAGAGAATGACACTGCATTGCTACCCAGGAGCCTTTTATTTTCTTGCTTTCAGGAAAGCTTCCTTGAGGTGGAGGTAAAACTGGAAATGAAACTAATAAATAGGGGTCAGACTGTGATCCATGCCAGCACATAGGGGTAGGCTGCACGATGAACCATGTGTGACATAGTCATAGCAGGAAAAGAATTCAGGACTACCGATCTGGCCCAGTTAATTGTAAAAAAGAAGAAAATGAAGAAGAGTTGCAAAGCTGTTTAGTGGCAGAGCAGGAAGAGGAACCCAGGAGCATGGCTCTAAGTCCAGTGTTCTTCACATTATGTTACATTTCTTGACATCTAAGCAGAGTGTACAATTTCCATGAACCTTAGAAGTCAACACTTTTAAAAATGTTTACATTATTTCAATAATTTATGAAACTTACGTATCTTCCAGATATATGATGCTAACTACATTTCAGTGACTAGGCTGCTTCTTTTTTGTTTATATAGAAGTCCAGATTTTTTCAACAAAAATATGCTTTATCTTGGGAAAAATATTTGACCCTAAGCATTTATCCATTTTATTTCTTGACAATTATTCAAAAAGAAACAAAAGCAAAACAAAAATCAATAAAAGTCACTTTCTCAAGACCATAGTCAGACCTTGCTGTCGCCTTGGTTTAAGAATCATTAAAATTTAAGACTGGTTAGTCTGCATTAGCAGAAAATAAAAACTTTAGAGAAATCTTTTACCATAGATTTCAGATACTTACATAAGCAAAAAGATACAGTATAAGTGATGAAAAAGAACATTTTTCTCAGCTTTTACTTCCTGTGGTTAGTGTTATTTAAAACCAGTTGATTAAGATGATACTGAAGAACAATGGTCTTATCAGTAAGTGGCACTGGTTAAATTGGATATCTATATAGGAAAATAAATTAATTTTGACCCTATCTTCCATGATAAAAAAAAATTCTAGGTGTATTCCAGGTGTAAACATGAGAGGTAAAACAATAAGTCTTCTTGAGAATAGCATAGTGATATGGTTTGCCTGTGTCCCCACCCAAATCTCATCTTGAATTCCCATGTTTTGTGGAAGGGACCTGGTGGGAGGTAATTGAGTCATGGGGGCAGGTCTTTCCTGTGCTGTTCTTGTGGTAGTGAAGAAGTCACAGTGAGATCTGATGGTTTTATAAGGAGGAGTTTCCCTGCATAAGCTCTCTCTCTCTCTTTGCCTGCTGCCAGCCATGTAAGTCATGACTTGCTCCTCCTTGCCTTCCACCATGATTGTGAGGCCTCCTCAGCCATGTGGAACTGTAAATCCATTAAATCTCTTTCTTTTGTAAATTGCCCAGTCTCAGGTATGTCTTTACCAGAAACATGAAAATGGACTAATACACATAGTTATCCCCTAGATAGTATTAATGGCTTTGGTTTAAACAAAGATTTCTTAAGCAGGACATAAATATACTAGTCTTACAGAAAAACGCTGTTAAATCAGGCAACACTGACATTAAGAACTTGTCTTCCTTTCTTTTTAGGAAAAAAAAGGGGGATCTTCCTATGTTGCCTCGGCTGATCTTAAACTCCTGGCCTTAAGTCATCCTCCTGCCTTAGACCCCAAGTAACTGGAATACAACCATGTACCACTGCATATGGCAGAACTTTTGTTCTTTAACATAGACTATTAAGAGATAAAAAGTCAAGCTGCCAGAATGGGAGAAAATGTTGACTAGACATTTAAGTTGGACTAGTGTTGCTATGGGCATTCTTGAACCTCTTCTTTGGTGCGCATTCTATACATTTCTCTTAGGTATAACCTAGGAGTGGTTTATTATATAAATCATATATATGTGTGTGTGTGTGTGTGTGTGTGTTTGTATGCAACCAAATATTAAACAGCAATGAAGATGAACAAACTACCATCAAAACAGCATGAATGAACCTCACAAAAATAATGTTGCAGGGGGAAAGGCAGGCACAAAAGGGTGTATACTATTATGATTTTGTTTATATAAATTTATAAAACAAAAAATCTAGGGTAATAGAAGTCAGACAGTAATTACCTTTGATGGGGAGGGTGGTAACTGGGAAAGAATACAAAAAGATTTCAATGTAAAAATGCTTGAAACTGCAGATGTGTAATCTGTATACTTTATGTATGCTATACTTCAATAAGACTATTGTTATAAAAAGAATAAAATAAAAAACATTATAGTAATAATCATGAATTATAGAACTAATTGTGAATTAATAGAGTTGTGAACTGGAAATGATCCAAAATAATCAATAAATTTTAGCTAAAACAATTACTGAAGGTGACTCTACACATTTCTGGTTACAGAGGATATTTATTAGTATATTAATCTTATTCTAGATAAAATTTGTTTTATTTTGAAGTAATAAGTTTATCAGGTGGTAATTTTAATTTTTTAAATTTATTATTATTATTTTTCTTTTTTGAGATAGGGTCTCATTCTGTCACCCAGGCTGGAGTGCAGTGGTGCAATCATGGATCACTGCAACCTTGACCTCCCAGGCTCAAGTGATCCTCCCACCTCAGCCTCCTGAGTAGTTGGAATGACAAGTGTGTGCCACCATACCTGGCCAATTTTTTTTATTTTTTCTAAAGTTTGAGTCTTGCCATGTTGCCCAGGCTAGTCTCAAACTTCTGGGCTTAAGTGATCCTCCTACCTTGGCCTCCCAAAGTGCTGGTATTGCAGGTATGAGCCACTGCACCTGGCCTATCATTCTTATTTTTATTTAGTTTGCTTCTATAACATAAATTAATCTGGAGCAATTTGATGAATTGCAAATTTTCTTCAGAGTTGCTTTTTTCCTGGTTAATTCTCTAATATTAGTCTTTCAATAGAAATTACATTCTGTAGTTTTCTCTGATCATAAGGATAAAAAATTCAGTAGTTCATATGTTTAACAGACTATGGAACCTTTTAATCTCATTTTTCTAGAGAATACATACTTGCTATGGTCTATGTATTTCTGTCCTCGCAAAATTCATATGTTGAAATCCTAATCCCTAAGGTGAAAGTGGGCTTTTGGGGCACTTCTCTCATGAACAGAATGAATGTCTTTATAAAAGAGCTCCCAGAGAGCTGCCTTGCCCCCTTCTTCCATGTGAGGACACAACTAGAAGGTGCTGTCTATGAACCAAAAGAGGACCCTCTCCAGGATAGCATAGTGATATGGTTGGGTTGTGTCTCCACCCAAATCTCAAAGCACCTTGATCTTGGACTTCCCAGCCTCCAAAACTGAGACATAAATTTCTGTTGTTTAAAAGCTATCCCAATTTATGGTATGTTGTTAGAGCAGCCTGAATAGACCAAAACAGCACTACTATATCTACTTGATTTTGACAGACAAAGAAAGAAAGCAAAAATCTTCAAAATAGAAGTACTAGAGGCATGGAGACCAGGTTGGAGGCTGTGGCAGTCAGCCAGGCCAGAGAGCATAGTGACTCACACTAGCTTAGCAGCAGTGGAGGTGGTGAGAAGTGGTCAGATTCTGGACATATTTGAAGGCAGAGCCAACAGGATTTCTGATAAATTGAACATGTGGTGTCAGAGAGATGTCAGGAGTGACTTCAAGGACTCAGGCCTGAGCAATCAGAGGAGTTGCCATCAACTATGTGGGGAGAAAAAGTATGGGAATAGAAGGAGGATCAGGACATCAGGGCTCCAGGAAGCCTACAAGGAACCTAGCTTTGTGGAATGCTCTATTGATCTCAGACCAAAGAGGAGATCAACTAATAAATTATCAAATTAGAAATGATCACTGAGGAAGAAACACATCTGTCATCAAGACTGTTCCTCCTGTGGAGTAATTTTCTCAGGGGTTAGAATGTGGATAGCAGCTTCCTAAATACGGATGACATCCTTATCAAAATTTAGAAGGCGGGTTGCAACTTTTTCTACCCTCTGGAGACTGAGGCCTAAGGAGAATGAGTATCTTATCTAATAATAGTCAATAGTAATTTCCAGGTATCCTACTAATCCTAGAATAAACACATCTTTAATCTTAAAACACTTATTGTTTATCAAATGAGAATAGCAAGCTAGACACAGGACATTTGATTTGAAAAAATTCTTAGCAATGATAAAGCAGAAGTTATACATAAACTAAATTGGAAATTATCAGTTGCAATATTCCCAGTAATAATAATAAATTCAGTAATTAGTAATTTATCATTATTATTATGAAATACTTCTTCTATGCAAGGCATCACACTAAGTTCTCTTATGCTTTATCTCATGTAAACTTCATCACAATTTCCTGATTTTACAGATGAAAAAACCTTAGAGATGGGTTCACAGCTCAGAAGCGTGCATCCAGATCTTAAATCTACATCTGTCTGATTCCACAAACCATGCTAGCTAGTTATACTGCAAGAATAAGTTTAACAATTTAGAATTAGGTATGTCTCTATCTCTTCTTCTCATATTGCTTCATTTTGATATATATCTTCATTGGACGGACTTAGGAGTTTCCATAAACACATCTTAAAATAGAAAGCATTAATTTGAGTTGGCGGGGTCACTTTTCCAGTATCATGTGATAGCTACCAAAGGGCTGCTTTATCTTGAGCAGAGCCTCCTCATGACAGAATAGGGTAGAGGAGAGGGACTTTCTGGGAGACCTTGAGGTCCTATTCCAGAAAGTGACATTCTTTCATTCTTATTTTCTCATCTATTATTCATTATCTTAACTTGTCCTTACAATAATTACATGTGTTAGACTTTTATTAGCAATCTCATGTTAGAGAAGAAAATTGTTGCCATAAATATTGAGGTGATTTGCCTAGAGTCTGAGAGCATGTTGCTTCCATCTCTGGAACTAGAACAGTTAGATTTATTTTTTAAGTGAGCTGTGCATTATTTTTCTCCTTAAAAGCAGATTTATTAAGTTTTATTTTATATGTAATAAAATTCATCCATTCTAAATGTATAATTCAATGAGTTTTGTTAAATGTGTATGGCTGTGTGACCATCACCACAATTAAGAAACAAAACAGCTCCTTCTTACCCTCTATAGTCAATCTCCCCTCCTGACTCCCAGCACCTGGAAACCACTCATCCACTTTCTGTCACTAGAGATATGTCTTTTCTAGAATTTCATATAAATACAATCCCATATTCTATAATTTTTTGTGTCTGCCTTCCTTTGATTGCCATAATGCTTTGGATATTTACCCATATTATTATATGTATCAGAAGTTTGTTCTTTCTTATTGGCTGAAGAGTATTCCCTTGTGTGGACGTACCACAACTTGCTTATACGTTCATCAGTTAAGGGACATCTGGGTTGTTTAGAGTTGTTTGCTGTTATGCATAAAGCATAACATAACATAAATTAATATGAACATTCACAACAAGTCTTTGTGGGGACATGTTTTTTGACTTTTTCCTCGGTAAATGCCTAGGAGTGGAAAGGCTGGATTGTATGGTAAATATATGTTTAACTTCATAAGAAACTGCCAGGTTTCTAAAGTGGTGGTAACATTTTAAATTCCCACCAACAGAGTGTGAGAGTTCTGGTTGTTCTATACTTTCACCATCATTTTGTATTTTAGCCATTATGGACAAGTTACTTAATGCCCTCTAGGCCTGGTTTCCTCATCTTTAAATTGCAGCTGATAATAGTACCAACCTCATAGGATGGTTGTGAGGATTAAATAAGTTAAACATATTCATATGTCACACCACTGCATTTCAGTCAATGAAAGACTGCATATACAAGAAGGTTCCATAAAATTATAATGGAGCATATATAGAAACCTGATATATGGCACTGGATATTGGCATTGCAGACCAAGGTGTGGAAAAGACTGATATTCAGAAGTGGCATTGGAACATTTGGTTTTTTATATTAAAAAAACATGTAAATACAAATATGAGCTGGGTGCAAAGGCTCATACCTGTAATCTTAGAGCTTTGGAAGGTGGAGGCAAAAAATCCCTTGAGGCCAGGAGTTTAAGACCTGTCTGGGCAAAAGAGCAAGTCCCTGTCTCTACAAAAAAGTAAAGAACAATTAGCCAGGAGTGATGGCACACACCTGTATTCCTAGCTACTTGGGAGGCTAAGGCAGGAGGATTGCTTGAGCCCAGGAGTTCAACACTTCAGTGAGCTATGATTGTGCCACTGCACACCAACCTGGGTGACATAGCAAGACCTTGTCTCTAAATAAGTAAAAGCAAATATACATACCATCTAGGTTTGTGTAAGTACATCCTATGAGGTTCACACCATGACAAAATCTCCTAATGATGCATTTCTCAAAATGTATTCCTGTTGTTGAGTGACTCATGACTGTATGTGCAACATTTAGAACAATGTCTGGGGCTTGGTAAATGTTTAATAAAGATTAGCTGGTTTTTTTGTTATTGTTGTTACTGTTATTATTATCTTAACTCAAAAAGGAATTGAAAACTTTTGCTATGTGGTCACACTGTAAATAATCTTCCTAGAGATGTGAGACTTGTTGCAACTGTTTTATAACACTAGTGGGGAGAGTGTAATAAAGAATGGTTTGGGAGCATATCCACTTCTTCCATCCCCACATACCCCAGATACCAAATCCATTGGCAACGAGCAAGATGGTGGTTGACCTGGTTTCCATATGAAGAAGCGGGAAACTCATTTAACGATTCACACACAAAGGCAATACAATTTTGGGACTGGAGTTTAAGATAAAAGACAGAGAAGGAGGAGAAAAGCACTTCAAGATAGATGCTCCAAGGACAAGAGGGGAAGGAAGACTTAGGGAGTAGAAGCAAGTCAGTCAGTCATGGACAGCTCTGGGAATGATGGTTAGAATGAGGAGAACACAGGTAGAATGGAAAGGATTTCACAAGCAATATCTAGACCCAACTAAAGAGAAGATCAAATTAGCACTACAGAATTAAATCAGATTTGAGAAGGGGTAACCTGGTAGCTTTTGTAGGCTGAAGATAGAATCTTTCTATAATTTCTCCACACTGAGAATTATAAACTCCATTATACCCCCAAGAAAGCCAGCAAATATTTCTACAGACAAAATAGTAAAACCCTCATGAGGGATAGATCACATCTACATCAGGGAAAGAATGTGAGTCCAAGTCTTTGGCGAATAACTTCCCACTCTTACCCTTGGCATGGTAGTCTCTAAGCATCATAGTCTGTATGATCTTAAGCCACATACCTACCCACTTCGACCTTCCTACCTTGACTCCTAGGCCAATCAAATCTCCTCCTCCATCTTTCTAGATCTATTTCTGATGGATTTTTCTATCCCACTCTCCCCATCCTCATCACTTCTACATTCAGCCTCAGTCTCTCTCTCTACCTGCTGCTTATCTTGACACATGGCTTTTGATCTCTGCTTTTTCCTCTTCACCTACACTGGCCCATCCTCATCCCACCCCATTATCTGAGCCTCTTCAGTCTAAGGAAAGGCACAAGGCATACATTTAGCATCCTTGTCTGCTGAACTGTATTATCATCACTGTGAAAAACACCGACTGCACTGCCAAGTCCCCCTGTGCTCATCTCCTTGACTTTGTTGAGCTAACAGGGCTTGGCTTCACATCAAGCTCAGTTCTTGTTTTGGTCTTCTCTGGCACTCCCCCTCTCTCTCTGTGACCTTAAGTCAAATAGATGTTTTACCACTTGCTTGGAGGCAGATAAAAAATGTCCTACTTCATGGGAGAGTTGTGAGGACTAATTAAAAGCTCCTGAGGTATTTTGAGAACTTGCTTCGTTCTTAGGAAACTTAAGTTCTTGACAGCCTGGCTGCACAGGTTCCTTATAAACATGTCTGGGTTTTAGGTGCAACTTCCTCAAGCTAGGAATGGACTAAAATGAAACTGCAGTGTGACCAGCCATCAATTCAAATGCAACCCTAATGCAAGTATCCATTTGTATAGCACCCCTTTTTGTGTTCAAAGTGATTCAGATATAAATATTTTCTTTATTCTGATTTCCTCATTTAGAGGCTTTCATGTGGGAGACCCAATGGTTACTACATGCAAGAGTATGTAGTAATACTTTTTTATGGTAAAGAAAGTAATCTTGGAGAAAGGTTTCAGGCCAAAGTGTCTCTTCTGTTACTTGGCTGAATGAAATCCCTTGCTAATTTATATCTACAAATATGCCTTTGAAGTGACAACAATCTAGCTCAAAATATATAGTATAATCAAAATGTGGGTGAGGGATACTAAAAAAAGCAGATGATGCCACCCAGAAAGTCCATCTGTGTGACTTTCAATGTAACTATCTTAAGCAGGAAGATAGTTCTGCCACCACTGTGGCAGGAAGCCTCAGACAGTGTTTTAGAATCAGAATCAGAAAGGAGTCCAGGGGATTTACAGGGCTGTGGACAATAGCATCCTTAGCCCTAATCTTCCTGAGAGTAGTGGAGTGGTGGGCAAGCCCCATTTTCTGCTCTGTCCCAATTTACTCTACCATGCTACTTCACAGAATCAACCTAAATAAATAAAAATGGCAGAAATCAACACTCCCTTTCTATAACCTTAAGCCAGATGGATAATTTTACAGGAAAAGATATGAAGGAGGAAATTCAAAAATATAAACAACAGATAAATCAAGCTCGATCCAGCTGCAGTCATTTCCCCCAGGCGGAACAGGCTCCTCCATTGGTTGTAGCCTGACAGGATTCCTCAGAAAAGGAACAGCACGTGTTTGTATGGACCCCAGAAAAGAACCATGCCCCGACGCTATCAGCGTCTTTTAAAAGAATTTGTTTTATTATTTGGTGTTCTTTTTCTTTCTCTCCTCTCTGTGTTTCGTTTCCTGATCATACAAGTGAAACTCAAGGCAGTTACAATACACTTTCATGCCACACAGATGTATCAGGGGTACTACTGAGTTGGTGCAAAAGTTACTGTGGTTTTGGCCATTACTTTTAATGGCCAAAAGTATTTTACTCAGGCCTGACAATAACTCACTAGTCCCTCAAATTCCTTCTCCCAGACAAGCAGGGTCCTACACCCCTGGGCTCTAGCTGAAGCTGTTTCCTCAATTCCAGGTCAAGTGGAGGCATGTATTACTTGCACTCAGACTGAGGTGTGTGCAGCCAGCAGGGCAGGATGATCTGAGAAGCAGCTTCATGGAAAGAAGCCAATGGGATGTGAGCAGATCATCCACGGGAGGCATCAACCTGAGGGGCAGAGCATGAAGTTCACCGAATACAATTGAAAATCAGTCACCAGGGGAAATTTAAAACACAGCAGAGAGGAAAAAATCTGATTTCAGTCCCAACTCTCTTACTGCTATCTGTGTCATCGTGGCTATGTCACTTAGCATATCTAAGCCTCAATTTCCTCATCATGGACATAATGACAGCTTCTATCTCAAGTATTATGAGGAACAAATGTGAGGGTGCATGCAAAGCACTTATTAGAATACTTGACATAAAGTAGAGGTTCCTTATATTTCATCTACTAGAATTACTACTATTATTGTTATTGTTACTCACCCTTAACGAAGAGGGAGTGGCTGTATCCATATTTAGAGGGCATTCGTGTATTTAGCGTGGCAAAGAGGGATTAAACTAATCTTAAGTGGGTAAACGAAAGATGCCTAGCACATGTTGACCCCGACTGCTCTCCCATATTAAAAATGAGAAAACAGAGGCAAAAAGAGATTAAATAATTTGTCCAGGATCAAAGAAATAAATAGTAGAGTTAAAATTCAAGCCTGAGCAGTTAGCTCTGTCTCGATAGCTAAACATTTCCCACGTAACTCTTTAGTTTCTTAGTGTCACCCACACTCCCCGACATTTCCCAGATTATGACATCTCCCTTTTTAGTTTCTGCCTGGAATATCCTTTCTCCTCTTCTCGACTTAATAAACTTCTACTCCACCTTGAAGCTGCAGCTCAAGTGTTATCTACTGGGTCCTTGTGAAGCCTTTTCTAAGGCCACCAGGAAAGGAGGTTTCTCCTTTCATTGGGCTCACATGGATCTTTGTCATCACATTGAATTTGGGGTTCAGTTGAAGGGGCTGTCCACTCCTTTACAGCAGGGATCTTAGCCTGATGTCTGCGGAAGGGGATCAAAGGGAGGTCTGTGAATCAGGCATGTGGATATGTACCTGATGCACACATACACTCACAAACAGAAATGCACACGGATATGCAGCAGTGATTTTTATTTTATTTACCCAAATCGTCTTGCTGTACACATTATTTTCATGTCTATTATGGGCTGCTCCTGTAGACAAGCACTGTATACTCATCAGTGTTGTCATGATATGTCAGAACAGCTTCCCACTGGTAGGAATTAGTGAATCTGTGTCCTGCGATGATGATAATGAGCATCTATCTTTACTTTAGAACTGGCTTAAGTTATAAAAATGTCACAAGCAAAAAAAAAACCTAACAAAAAATATCAAATATCCTTTGGCTTTTCTTTCTACTATGTGTGATAGAATACCAAAGCCCATGTGCTTTGTTTATGACAACATTCTTGCTAATGAGAAGAGTATTAAGCCAAAAATGCTGAAGTGGCATCTCATACTTTTTGTTCCAAAAATATATTAGCATAGATCTGTTTTAAGAAGGGAAGGCTGGAGTTGAAAAGGCAAAACGTTGCCAAAATTTGATCTGACTTGACACTAGGCAGCAGCATACTGTCAAAATAGAAACAAGTTAATTGGTAAAAGCCATGTACCCCAGAAATAATTTAGTGTGTGGTTTGAAGCAGAAGAAGCAGGTAAAAGTAGTGCTTATATAAAATGAAATTATCGGCCAAGCATGGTGGCTCACTTCTATAATCACGATACTTTGGGAGGCCGAGGCACAAGGGTCACTTGAGGTTAGGAGTTCGAGAAGAGCCTGGGCAACATATCTCTACCAAACATACAAAGAGTTACCTGGGTATGGTGGCACGTGCTTGTGGTCTCAGCTCCTCCACATAGGCTGAGGTGGGAAGATCCTTTGAGCTCAGGAGGCAGAGGTTGCAGTGAGCCGAGATCATGCCACTACACTCCAGCCTGGGTAAAGATTGAGACCCTATCTCAAAAAATAAACAAAATAAAATAATTCCATGATGATTGGCTTTTTAAAATTAGTATTTTGAGACATGTGATGAAGGAATTAGAAGATCCTTTATGCAGCCAGCTGATGCCTTCAAAGATGATTTCCTATTTAGCAAGTCCTTTTTGAAATTTAAAATCCATCAATATCTTTGGAATGTTGATAAGTTTCTGTTACATATAAGCCTCACTGGACACTTTGTGAACAAACAAAACACCTGTGGTGCAGAGTAGCACATCTTGGAGTTTCACAGTTTTAGAGGATGAAGTGTCTTTATGCAGTGTGATCTGACTCACTGCTTTCTATGGTCCTGCTTGTCTATAGCAAAGTGTCAACTAATGCTAGGACCTTGAATCATTGCCTTTTGAATATGTTTTCACAGAAAATGAAAGCAGAATATGAACTTTTTTTTTAACAAATCCGTGATATAGAAATATGCAGACAACCCTCAGCATAACTCTTTTTAAAGTACTTCTGCTCAGACAACCCTTAAATTGAAACATGGGCTCTTAATCCTTACTTTGCTGACATCAACAACCTCCCCTTGCTGAAGATGAAACTCAGTGATGTGAAGCCAATGATAGTCTTGAAATATTTTGTTGTTCCCTTGTCACAAGCCCATTGTCTCATCTGTGAGCTTGAACTGATTCTATTTGCTACAACATGCTGTTGTGAGCACAGCTTTTTAGAATGTTACCATCAAAACAGAAAGTCTACAGGAAAGTGAACATACTGCCATCTCAAAAACCATTCTCCAATTTCAGATTTCATTCAAAATAAGGAAGAGGCTGGGTGTGGTGGCTCATACCTGTAATCCCAGCACTTTGGGAGGCCAAGGCGGGTGGATCACTTAAGGTCAGGAGTTCAGGACCAGCCTGGACAACATGGTGAAGCCCCATATCTACTAAAAATACAAAAATTAGCTGGGCGTGGTGGTGCACGCCCCTAATCCCAGCTACTTGGGGTGCTAAGGCAGGAGAATTGCTTGAATCTAGGAGACAGAGGTTGCAGTGAGCCAAGATCATGCCATTGCACTCCAGCCTGGTCAACAAGAGTGAAACTCCATCTCCAAAAAAAAGAAGAAAAAAAAAGATAAGGAAGAGATGCTTTCCCATTGAAATTTATTTTTGAGCAAAACCAAAATTTATTTTTATTTACACGATATGGATTTCTTTTGTCTTCCCCCAATTTTTAAGCATATTGCCTGAAATTATTTTTCCATGCTAAAATTGATGGAAAAGGCATAATTCTTTATAAATGGCATTTTGATCCAATGCAATAAAATAAGCTGTGTACATAATTTTTCTTATAATCTTATATAAATATCTTCTGGAAGAAAATTGATAGGCTTCATCAGATTCCCAAAGCCTCCATGATGTCAAAAAGGTTAAGGATAATACCATGAAAATCTGATTATCTTGAGGGAAGGTCTATCTTTGTAACTTGCCTTCTCCCCACAGCATCTAGGAGAGTGACTGCACTTAATACCCAAGGATGTTGGTGATGATAGTCATGGTTTTTTCATTTCCTAAAGGATATTGATCATGAGACAGAGTTAGCTGAGTAAACAGAAACATATATGGATTTTAATTTTAAAACTGAGTTCAAAACTGTATTCCTTAAAAAGTGAAGGAAGAAAACCTCTTTATTTAATATCTTATGAATTGGAAAAGGAATACCAGACTGGGAGGACGTAGAACAAAAATGTATTTCCTTTGTTTGCTACCACAAAATTATGGAATAGAATATGTTTCTTTACTTGTAATGCATGCATTCATATACTGGATTCATCTAAGTTAAAGTCTTTATTAATTAAAATAAACATTCTAAGGGTACTGATTTTGTTATGGACTGAACTGTGTTCTTTCAAAATTCATATGTTGAAGTTCTTAAACCCTAGTGCCTTACTATAATAATAATAATAATTATTATTATTATTATTTGTAGAGATGGGATCTCACTGTGTTGTCCAGGCTGGCCTTAAACTCCTGGTCTTGAGCAATCCTCCTGTCTTGTCCTCCCAAACTCTGGGATAACAAGCATTAGCCACTGCACCCAGCCTTAAACTCTAGTATCTTAGAATGTGACCTTATTTGAAGACAGGATCTTTAAGAGGTAATTAAGTGAAAATGAGGTCTTTAGAGTATTCTCCAATCCAACATGACTGGTGTCCTTATAAGGGGAAGAAACAAGGTCACAGACAGAAACATATGGAAGACACAAGGAGAAGATAGTCACCTGTAAGCCAAGGGAAGAGGCCTGAAACACATTTTTCCCTCATGACTCTCAGAAGAAACCAATTCTGCTAATACCTTGATCCCAGACTTCCAGCCTCCACTGTAAGAAAACCATAAGAAAATTAATTTCTGTTGTTTAAGCCACCTAGTCTGTGGCACTTTGTTATAGCATCACTAGCAAACTAATGGAGATATACAGAATAAATACCAGGAGACTCCATGTAAAGAAAGTGAACCCGGACTAAAGGACTTAAGGAAACACTAAGCTGGGGCATAGAAGAAGATATAATTTATTAATTCCTACGACCACCACTCTAGGAAAAAGAGAAACCTCTCTTAAAATACAGAGCTAGCTCTGAGGTTCCAAGTTTTCAGTGCCTTCACCATACATCAAAGCTATTAGATATACTATCCAAAACAATCTACAGATTTGATGCAATCCCTATCAAAATACCAATGTCATTTTTCACATAAGTAGAAGAAAAAATCTTAAAATCTGGGTGAGTCAAAAAAAAAAAAGAGCCCAAATAGCCAAAACAATCCTGAGCAAAAGGAACAAAGCTGGAGGCATCACACTACCTGACTTCAAAATACACTACAAGGTTATAGTAACCAAAAGAGAGAGCATGGTATTGGTATAAAAACAGACACATAGACCAACAAAACAGGACAGAGAACCCAGAAATAAATCCATGTTTCTATGGCCAACTGATTTTTGACAAAGGTGCCAAGAACATATATTGGGGAAAAGACACCCTTTTCAATAAATGGTGCTGGGAGAACTGGATACCCATATGCAGAAGAACGAGAATGTACCCCTATCTCTCAACATATACAAAAATCAACTCAAGATATATTAAAGACTCAAACATAAGACCCCAAACTATAAAAATACTAGCATAAAACATAGGGGAAATGCTTCACTACATTGGCCTGGGTACAGAATTTATGGCTAAGACCTCAAAAACACAAGCAACAAAACCAAAAATAGACAAATGGGACTACGTTAAATGAAAGTCTTCTGTACAGCAAAGTCAACAACCAACAGAGTGAAGAGATAACCTGCTGAGTGAGAGAAAATATTTGTAAACAGTTCATCTGGCTAGGGACTAATATCCAGAATATATAAGGAACTCAAACAACTCAACAGTAAAAAACCAAATAATCCCATTTTAAAAATGGGCACTCCAACCTTGGTTTGCATCTTGACCCTAGCCTTTGTTTTCTAGTGGTTTACTTTGGGAAAGTTGGTCAGAGTAAGGTCTCAGTTTCTTCAGATAATAACAGTGTCACCATCACAGGGTATTATGGAGATTAAATGAGAAAATGCCTATAATTTCTTAACACAGGCCTGGCCCAGAGCAAGTAATCAAAAAATATGAGCTGAAATAAAAATAACAACAATGTTAGCATATGGTGCTTACTATGTACCAAGTACTGATCAAAGAGCTTACACATATGAATTCATTTCATTCTCACACAGATGAGGAAACAAAGGCACGGACAAGTTATGTAACCTGCTCAAGCTTACACAGCCAATGAATGATGGGCCTAGAAGTCAAACTCAGGTAGTCTGGCTCTAGAAACCATATTTTCAAACTATTAGACATACTATCTCTCTCTATTATTATCCATTGTTAAAGACACTGCCCTTATCTTTTTCTTGAGCTTTGAAATAACATGGCTTTGAAAAAAAAAATTGTCAAGATACCCTACAGGCACCTCAAATACAACATGCTCAAAACCTAATCCCCCAAACCTGCTTCTCCACCTGTGCTCCTTTCTCAAGACTCGATGACATTGTCCTAACAAGGAACTTAGTGTCAGATTGAGGTTAGGAGGCAAGACTTTACTCCAGACCAGACTGAAGATTGGCTGAAACATGAAAGAGGCACCAAAAGCAATTCTCCATAAGACACGCCTGCCAGCGTCATGACAGTTTTCAATTGCCATGGCAACACCTGGAAGTTGCCTTCTCTTTCCATGCCAATAGCTCAGACGTTACCACCCCTTTTCTAGAAATTTCTGAATAACCTGCTCTCAGTTTGCGTATAATTATAAGTGGGTGTATATATGACTGCAGAACTGCCCCTCAGCAGCTACTCTCAAGCCCTGCTCTGCAGCAGCAGTCATGAAGCTCTAACACTGCCACCTCAGTAAAGCTATTTTCTTCTGCCTCTGGGTCACTCTTGAATTCTTTCCTGAGCAAAGCCAAGAACCTTCCTAGGCTAAGCCCCAATTTTGGGGCTTATCTTCCCTGCAAAAAATTAGGTTCCTTGCTTTCCCTTGACCCTCCCACATCCAATCATCCAAGTATTGATTTCTAATTCTATCCTTTTCTCTCTATCCCTAATACTTTCCTAATTCAAGACTTTATCCTCCCTGGCCTAGATAATGGCAATAGCCTTCTAACTAGTTTTCCTGCCTCCAGACTCAAAGACCCAATTTCTCCACAATGTACTTTCTCTGCAGATTTAAAATACAAATCTGACCATTTCAATCCAGGCTAAAGGATTAACTGCTGTTTCACTAACATCACCCAGAAGACACTTCATATCTGACACCTACCTTTCCAGCCCCAAATCCCATCTCCCACCACATCCCCCTTCCTTCTTGCATTTTAGCAGTCTCCAGAGGCTCTCACACTCTCCCCATCTCTCTCACACACACATGCATACACCCACACATGTGCACACATGCACACACACACGCACATACACCATGCTGTTTCACAAATACTATATTGGAGTCTACTTTTTAAAATTATCAGCATACCTACTAAGAATATATAAAACAATCACAGGGAATATCTAATCACTTAATTTCCTACCCTACCATTTCCCTCACTGACAAAATAACCACAAAATTAATTTACTTGTAGAAAAAAAGTTTAAATCAGTTTTATAAGTACATTTTTAAAATTATCTTTCAAGGACACAGAAGAACTTGCAGACAATCACAAAACAGCAACATTATGCATATAGTGATTTTAGCATTGTAATACCAGATTTATCTGAAATATAAGCTGACTGATTTCCTTCAGGATACGTACTGTGACTAGCACTGTGACTAGCTATTATTTCTGTTTGCTGAAACAAAAAGGCTTCAAGGACACAGAAATGTTACTGTTGAAGAAGCACAGGGGACTTGATGCCATTATCTTACTGCCCCCTGCTGCCATTATTGTATGTTATAAACGAGGCCCAGGAAATTCTAAAGTGATGCAAACTTCTAATAACCTAAGCTTCCTCTTTTCTCAATTGCCAGTGTCTCCTTTAATCCATAAAAGCCATATTGAAAGTATATAAATAATTAACAGACGGCCCTTGATAACCTATTCCCTACGATATAGCACTCAGAAAAAAATTGTATTTTTTTTGCTTCAACCTTCCAGTTCCAGGGTATATGTGCAGGATGTGCAGTTTTGTTACATAGGTAGATGTGTGCCATGGTTGTTTGCTGCACAGATCAATCCATCACCTGGGTATTAAGTCCAGCATCCATTAGCTATTCTTCTTAATGCTCTCCCCCTATACAGGCCCAGTGTGTGTTGTTTTTCCCAGTGTGTCCATGTGTTCTCATTGTTCAGCTCCCATTTGTAAGAAGAACATGTGGTGTTTGGTTTTCTGTTACTGTGTTAGTTTGCTGAGGATAACAGCTTCCAGCTCCATCCATGTCCCTGCAAAGGACATAATCTCATTCTTTTTTATAGCTTCATAGTATTCCATGGTGTATATGTACCACATTTTCTTTATCTAGTCTATCATTGATAGGCATTTAGGTTGATTACGTCTTTGCTATTGTGAATAAGGCTGCAATGAACGTACATGTGCATGTGTCTTTATAATAGAATGATTTATATTCCTTTGGATATATACCCAGTAATGGGATTGCTGGGTCAAATATTATTTCTGTTTCTAGATCTTTGAGGAATAGCCACATTGTCTTTCGCAGTGGTTGAACTAATTTGCACACTCCCCAACAGTGTAAACATGTTCCTTTTTCTCTGCAACCTCACCAGCATCTGTTGTTTCTTGACTTTTTAATAATTGCCATTCTGACTGGTGTGAGCTGGTATCTCATTGTGGTTTTGATTTTCGTTTCTCTAATGATCAGTGATGTTGAGCTTTTTTTCATTTGTTTGTTGGCCACATGAATGTCTTCTTTCAAGAAATATCTGTTCATATCCTTTGCCCACTTCTTAATGGGGTTGTTTGTTTTTTTCTTGTGTATTTGTGTAAGTTCCTTGTAGACTACAGATATTAGATCTTTGTCAGATGGTCAGATTACAAAACTTTTCTCCCATTCTGCTAGGTTGTTCCTTTGATGATAGTTTCTTTTGCTGTTCAGAAGCTCTTTAGTTTAATTAGATCGCACTTGTCAATATTGTTAAAATGGCCATATCGCCCAAAGTAATTTATAGATGCAATGTTATTCCCATTAAACTATCATTGACATTTGTCACAGAATTAGAAAAAACTATTTTAAAATTCACAAGGAATGGAAAAAGAGCCCAAACAGGCAAGACAATCCTAAACAAAAAGAGCGAAGCTGGAGGCAATACCCTATCTGATTTCAAACTATACAACAAGGCTACAGTAACCAAAATAGCATTGCACTGGTACAAAATAAACACATAGATCAATGGAACGGAATAGAGAACTCAGAAATAAGACCACGCATCTGCAGCCATCTGATCTTCAACAAACCTGACAAAAATTAGCAATGGGGAAAGGATTCCCTATTTCATAAATGGTACTGGGAGAACTGGGTAGCCATATGCAGAAAATTGAAACTGGACCCCCTTCCTTATACTTTATACAAAAATTAACTTAAGATGAATTAAAGACTTACATGTAAAACCCAAAACTATAAAAACCCTAGAAGAAAATCTAGACAATACCATTCAGGGCATAGGCAAGGGCAAAGATATCATGACGAAAATGCCAAAAGCGATTGCAACAAAAGAAAAATTCTTCATGATGGATGGATACCCATGGTCAGAAGCTATTCTGAAGCCTGGAGTGAAAAGGAATAGGAACTAGTTCCCTTGTGTTATAATGTTACTTGACTTCACATCCTTGCAGGAGCAGTATTGTATAATGGTGGAATACACAGGCTTGGGAGTCAAAGCCACCCACTCCGATCTTCTTTCAGCCTCTAGGACTTATTAGCTGTCTGACCCAGGGCAAGTCACTTATCTAAGGTGTAGTTATTTCAACTGGAAAAAAAATAATTAAATCAGAAGTTGTATGTAAAGCATATGATTGTTGTATAATAAACAGAAGCTCTTCTTATTTATGAAGAATTGTGAAGTGGTGATTAACAATTTCAGTCAGACTAATTGTCAGCATCATGTGGAAACAGAACATCACTAAAAGTATTTGTCACTAAAGTCAACTCTAACTATTCAAGGATTAAGGTTTCCTACAGGATACAAAAATTATATATTTATTTTTGGCTGCTCAGCCCTTAAAAACATTTGTATAATACATATTACAGTTTTAACAGTTTTTCCTGCTTTTACAAAGTGATAAGCACAGTATATTAAACCCAGAAATGTCTTTACCTCCAGTCTTTAATTAAAACCTAGTAGTGCCGCATGTGGTGGGTCACACTTGTGGTCACACCTGCACTTTCAGCTACTAAGGAGGCTGAGGTGGGAGGATCAGTTGAACTCAGGAGTTTAAGGTTACAATGAGCTATCACCATGCTAGTGCATCCCAGCCTAAGCAACAGAGTCAAATGGCAAGATACCTTGTCTCTTAAAAACTAAAAATTTTTAAAAAGTCAAAAATTTAAAACCTAGCAGAGAAAAATAAAATTATTTATAATGATATAGTCTAAAAATTACATAATTGTATATTTATCCTTTTCCTTATATCTATTATCTAGGATTAGCAAATTAGAATAAAAGAAGTGATATGTGATACATAATAAAAATTATGTATTCCACCTACTACTTTGAGGTTTATTATTAAATATATCCTGTATTGAAATGATTAGAAACCAAATAAATGAGCAAAGTTATATTAGCATAATGTTTTAAACATTTATAGAGTCTAATTACAGATGTAATGCATCAGTGATAATATAAAGACCTTCATGGAGGTCCCAATATTTTTCTGATAATTGACATGTACATCTAATATAGTATTTTTAAAAAATGGCACATAGTGCTTAAATTAGATAATTTGTAGTTTTCAGTCAAATTAAAGATGTTATAAATACATTTTACTTAATATACTGTCTTATAAAATAAAAATATTAAGTCAATTTTATATTTCAAATATAAACCTTAAATCATTTAATAGAGGAAAAATTTTGGAAAATAGATACATTCTCCAAATAAATAATCATTGCTATGTATTGAGCACCTACCATTCTTATAACAAGCACTGTACTAGCTAACTTTTGTTTACTTTCTCTAGTCTTCTAAACAATTGACCTTCTATTTGAGGAAATAAACTCAGAGAGGTTAAGTAAGTTTCCCAAAGTCAGCAGCTTACAAATTGCTAAACTGGGATTAGCTTGCTCTTCTCCCTATATCCTGCTACAAGAATTGGGCTTCCCATGAAAAACTTTTGAATTGGGCTCATGAACTTTTGAATTTTATTTAAATGATATTTCTTATAAAAAAGTAATTTGCCAAAACTTTGTATAGCCTTATGCCCTTATAAAAGCAATGAGAGTCAGCAGATAGATGAATTTGTAATTCCTTGTAACTGATGTACTTTAAAAATATAATGATGATTATCATAGACAAATGCCACATATAAAATATAAAGAGATAAAAAATATCCTTTTTAATGCTAATCTTTGGTTCCTCTTTTCACACTATAATCTATTGGTATCTAAAAAGCCATATCTTAAATTTTAGAAATGGCAACAGTCTACTAAAATCGAATTTAAGTATAAATGAGAAAACAAAGTTTACTCTGAAAAAAAATAAAAGATACCCATAATAAACTATGAAAAAAATGTCAACATTACTGATTAGAAACCAAGTTAAAACAAGATGTCATTTTCACCTATCAGGTGAACAATGACTGCAGAATTGTATAAAGACCAGTGTTGTTCATCTCTATTAGTGAGATCATTAATTGGAACAAAATTTTTTGAAAGATAATTTTGCAATATCTATCTAAATTAAAATGTATATACCCTTCACATCAGCAATTCCATTTCATCCTGGCAAAAGTATGCCAAGGTATATATGTACATGATATTAACTATAAAATTTTTGGTCGAGAAAAAAGTTTCCATAAAATAAATATTCACTAACAAGAACTTTCCTTTAAAATTGTCATATAGTGGTATCATGGCATGATGTGGTCAGTACAAAAATGTACTGATATGGACAAACACCCAAAATATATTGCTATATGGAAAGCAAGTTATCAAAAATTATGGCACCAGAGCCCAATGTGTTATTTGTGTATATATACACACACATTTGCTTCCATATTATTAGCAAATTTACAGAATTATGTACAAAAAAACTGAAACCAGAAGTTGCCACTTGTAGAAGGAAGACACAAGGAAACTTCTAGTTTTCCACTTAGTATTATTTCATAATGAGCAGCAATGACTTTATAGAATAAAAAAAAATTTTACAACTCAAAATTGATCAAAGACTTAAATGTTAAGACCTGAAGCTATAAAACTACTGGAAGAAAATATTGAGAAAACATTACAGGACATTGGTCAAGGCAAAGATTTTATGGGTAAAACTATGAAAGTACAGGTAACAAAAACAAAAATAGGCAAATGGGACTATAACAAACTAAAAAGCTTCTGCATGGCAAAGGAAAAGCAATGAACAGAGTAAAGCAAAAATCTGTAGAATGGGAGAAAATATTTGGAAACTATGCATCTGACAATTGATTAATATATAAAATATACAAGGAACTCAAACAATTCAACAGCAAAAAACAACCTAATCAAAAAATTGCTGAAGGATCTGAGTAGACAGCTGTCAAAACATACAAGTGACCAAGGGGTCTATGAAAAAAATACTCATCTTTACTAATCATCAGGGAAACGCAAATCAAAACCACAATAAGATATCCTTCACCCCAGTTAGAATTGCTGTTATCAAAAGACAAAAAACAGCAAGCACTGGCAAGGATGTGGGAAAAGGGAACTCTTGGTGAGAATGTAAATTAGTCCAGCCATTATGAAAAACAGTATGGAGGTTTCTTAGAAAACTAAAAATAGAACTACCATAGTGATATGCTTTGGCTGTGAGCCCACTCAAATCTCATCTTGATTTGTAGCTCCCATAATTCCCACGTGTTGTGGGAGGGATCGAGTGGGAGATAATTGAATCACGGTGACAGATTTCCCCCCTACTGTTCTCGTGGTAGTGAATAAGTCTCTCAAGACCTGATGATTTCATAAGGGGTTTCCCCTTTCCCTTGTCTCTCATTGTCTCTTGCTGCTACCATGTAAGAAGTGGCTTTCGCCTTTCACCATGATTGTGAGACCTCCCCAGCCATGCGGAACTAAGAATCCATTAAACTTCTTTTCCTTTATAAATTACCTAGTCTTGGATATGTCTTAATCAGCAGCGTGAAAATGGACTAATACACATAGGATACAGCAATACATATAGGATACAGCAAAGGAAAAAAATCAGTATATATCAAAGAGATATCTGCATCCCGTGTTTATTGCAGCACTATTCACAATGGCCAAGGTATGGAGTCAGTCTAAATGTCCATCAACAGATGAATGGATTAAAAAAATGTGGTGTATATACACAACGGAATACTACTCAGTCATAAGAAAAATGGAGTCATTTTGTTTGTTGCAACAACATGGATGGAACTAGAGGCCATTATCTTATGGGAAATAAGGCAAGCACAGAAAGACAAGCATCTCATGTTCTCACTCATATGTGAGAGCTAAAAAAATTGAAATCACAGAGAGAGGAATTATTGTTATGATTATTAGAGAGTAGGAAGGATGGGAGGAGAGAAGGATAGGGAGAGGCCAGATAATGGGTACAATACAGCTAAAGGGGAGGAATAAATCCTAGTGTTCTATAGCACTGGGGGGTGACTATAATTAGCAATAACATTGCATATGTTCAAAAAGCTAGAAGAGAGAATCTTACATGTTCCCAACACAAAGAAATGTTTGAGGTACTGGTTATCCTTATTACCATGATCATTACACATTGTATGCATGTATCAAAATATTACTCTCTACCCCATAAATATGTACAATTAGTACATGTCAACTAAAATTAAAAGAGAAAAAAATAAAAAAGATTTTAAGATAACATAATGTAAAAGACTATACAAGTGGTTCAATTTTAAAAACTTCAACCTTAAAAATGTATAATAATTTTTTTAATTTTTAAAAAATGCATAATAATAATTTGAATTATTTTTATTGCTTTTTAGAGCTCAGTCTCATTTCAGATATTAAACAAAGCTTAAACATAAAGAAATGAGATCTGTAACAAGTAAAACATTTTCCTTTTTTTTCACGGAAAATGTAATGCCGCAAAAAAATTAAGATCCTAATGACTTGTGCCATAATTTGAGAGTACCTAGCCGAATGGATTTGGAATATGTGGTTTCATCTCTTTTTGTTTCTAGGGGGGTATGGGGAAAGGAAGGAGGCGGTAGTAATATTTGTACAGGTCAGACTAGGTAAGGAATTTAGGTACAACTGCTCTGCGCTTTAAAAGAGAGTCGAAGGTTAATTGTATACACTGAAAGTATTCCTTTCGATCCTGTGCAAATTAGAGTCTTCAGTGGCACCAGAGAAAGCAAAAAAATACTAATTCTTTTCCCTTATCTCTTCCCTCCTTTTGTTTTCTTCTTTTCCACCCAAACTTTTTCCTTCTCCCTCTCTCTCTTGATTCTGAGCAGAGGAGAAATAGAAATATCCAAGCACTCTACATGTTACTGATGGCTTGTATTGAAAGGGTTTTCACTTTCGAGTTCTTAAACATTCTATATCAAGTTTTATTTTATCAAAATGTCAGTATCTTGTGCAGAATGATAGTGTTAAAACAATCCTGGCAGTTTTGCAAGTGAAACAGATAATATGAGTTTCTGTACTCTAAACTGCAGAATTTACATAAGCTATTGACTCCTGGAATACAAATCCCTGAACTCATGGTTGAGAATTCATACAATATAGCAGTGTTTGTCAAGTTCAAAGAAAATCGTCATTTCCTAGGTATAGTTATTCAGAAAGAACTTTCCAAAAATGATCTTTCAACAAGAGCTGTTCTTTTCAAAGATTTAATTAGTCGAAAAAGCACACTTTAAGATGGACATATTGTTCATTTCAGCTAACCTGCGCAATTACAAACTCGCTACAGAAGAAATGATAAGAAACAAAATACTAACAATGAACATTGTGGCAGATAGTGTGGAGGGTGAAGCATTGTAGAAAATTTGAGGTTCTTCTGTCTCCATGGGAGGTTTTAGAAAAGCATCTATACAGACACCATCAGCAATACACACATCAACAGCATCAGTGTCTTTTACATCAGCTTTCTCCTTACAACTCAAGGTGCTATAACAGCTGCAATAAAATTTTTCAGAAAATTGCTCCAGGTCTTCAAGTGTCGGTTTTCCACGTACTGTGAACTTTCCACCTTTCTCAAGTTGAATAGCAAAATTATCTGGGTTGAGGTGAAGATAGTCACTTGAATTCCAGTTTTTCCTTATACACACTCCTTGCTCCTGGCAAAGCACTTGGCTACACATTTTGGCTGCTAGTGTGACGTTGATTATGTAAGGATTCAGTATAGTCTCCATGTAATTGTCTAGGAGCAAGCAAGATTTCTGTAAAATTATTATAAGACAGTCAGAATATCAAAGGACAAGTTAGTTCAAATGCGAATTAATTTAGTGTATTAAGCAATTTTTTTACAGAAGAATGAAAACCAGAGATAGCAAGAAGTAGAAGATAATTTCTTTTTTACCTTAACCAACAAGATTATTCCAACTGCTTTTTGTAAGACTTATAAGTTTCACATGCCACTTCATTCCACTGAATAATTGACTAATTGAGGCTTAGTATTCCTTACCCTTGCTCGTCCTCTGTAATTCATAACATAATCAGGGGATAGAATGCTACAGCTGTTAAAGTGTGTTAGAGTATGTTCTCTAGGACATTTGCCCTGATTGGAGTCCCAGTTCCATTGGTGACTAGCTGTAGGAACTTGGGAATTTCTTAAGCTTTCTAAGTCTTAGTTTCCTATCTGGGTGACTTTGGGCAAATTGATTAACTTGATTATGCTTCAGCTTTACCATCTGGAAAATAAGGATAATTATGATGCCTACCTCATAAAGTTGTTATAAAAATAGATAAAAAAGAAAAATACATATAAATGTGCTTAACACAGGGGCCTACCATATCTTCAGTTGACCCTCAATAAATTATAAATAAATGTAAGAAGCACCACATTTGTCAGACAATTTTTTTTTTTTTCCTGAGACAAAGTCTTACTCTGTTGCCCAGGCTGGAGTACAGTGGTGCAGTCTTGGCTCACTGCACCTTTGATCTCCTGGGTTCAAGCAATCCTCCTGCCTTGGCCCCCTGAGTAGCTGGAACTATAGGCACATGCCACGAGATCTGTCTAATTTTGGTTTTCTTTTGTGGTAGAAGTGAGGTCTTACTATGTTGCCCAGGCTGGTCTTGAACTCTTGGGCTCAAGCAATCCTCCCACCCCATCCTTCCACAGTGTTGGGATTACAGGCATGATCCACCATGCCTCACCTGCCAGACAAGTTTAAATAGCATGGAAAAGGATGGCTTATAAATTGCTGGCTCGAATACATTAAACGGGTTCAACTGACTATACTTTCTATTAAATGTTATATATAGTCAAGTTATGGGTAAATAATGACAACTCTTTTACAAATTTGGCAGAGTATGAGCGATGACTAACTAAAATGATTCATCTTCATCTTGAGACTGGTATGTTCTAAACCCTGGACACTGTCCTTTGAGAAATATTGAAGTTGATCACTTTTTTTCATAATCAACAGTTCCATTGAGTGAGGTGGTTGTGCTAATACTTTATCAGGCCAAAGGAAGTGGCAGTGGTAGATATGCAGGCATGTGAAGGAATCTTGGCAGCTTCCATCTGAATATATTTCTTTTCATCTTCCTTGAGATGATGCCATCTATTGTTGGCAGAATAACTGATACCCAAAAATGTCTGCATCCTAATTCCCTGGAACCTGTGACAATGTGAACTTATGTGACAAAAGAGACTTTGCAGATGTGATTAAGGAATGGATCTTCAGAAGGGGAGATTATCCTGAATTATCAAGATGGACTCAATGTAATTACATGAGTCCTTGAAAGTATAGAAACTTTTCAAGCAGGGTTAGAAAGATAAACTGAAGGAAGGAGAGATTCAAAGTGTAAGAGAGATTCAACCCACCTTGGCTGACTTTAAGAAAGAAGAGGGCCATGAGCTAAGGAATGTACTGGCCTCTAAAAGCTGGAAATAGCCATTTGCCAGTAGCCAGCCAGATAATGGGGATCTCATTGCTATAAGCACAAGAAAGTGAATCTGCCAACAACCCAAATGAGAAAGTATCTTCTCCTAGAAAGGAATTCAGCCCTGCTGTCACTTTGATTTTATTCCATTGAAACCCATATTGGACTTCTTCTGATCTGAGAACTACAAGATAACAAATTTCTTCTGTTTTTTTAACCCACTAAGTCTGTTGTAATTTTTATGAAAGCAATAGAAAACTAATACACCATCCATCTTCGTAACAATCCAATATTTTTGAATGGTGTTTTGAATGAAATTCAACTTCTTCTCTTGACTTGTGCACAGTGTGACATTGTATAACCCTTGCTTCCTCTTGTACAACCTTCCCACATCCATTCTACCTTAGATATAGTAGCTATTTCACTAGCACGGCAGGTTCATTTCAAACTGCATTTACTGTTCCCACTGCTTGGAATGGTCTTTCCTCTAATTTTTAACACAATTGACTTCATCTTGTCATTCTGATGGCAGCTTTAAATTAGACAATGCCCTTCTCTGATAACTTCCTTGTTAAACTCTCCATATCTCTGTTTAAATTCTCTGTATAGCACTTACCATATCAAATATGTCTCTTACTTGTGTACTTTTTAAGTACTCATAAGTTCCAAGAGTACATAGACTTTGTCAATATTCTTCAACACTATGTTCCCAATATAAGGGACATGAGAATTTATACCAAGTTCAAATAACATTGCAGTTGCTTTCTCAACTCCACAGAGACAAGGGTTACACAAAGAGTAGTAAAAGGATGAGAATGGCTTGAGAATCATTAACCTGCATACTTTGTAGTCTATGGAAATACATTAAAATTGGCTCTCTAATAGGTAAGACCTGGTTCTTATCATTTGTATATATATCCATAGTGTAAATACTCCTGCCATGGCCAATTTCAAGCTACCTCCCAAACATTACTGAATGCAGATCTGGGAATCAAGTACACCACCATTACACATTATGGTACCATGGTGTGAAGTAGCACATTATTACATAGTATTTCCATTTATAAAGATGCAAAAGATGTAAATAATCTCAAGAGCATGGATCATGGTAAAATGAGGTAAAATAATTGGTATATTGAAATGTGTCACCTGTTTTTAACATAATTTTTTATTGTAAGTTTTTATCATTTAATTTTTAATAATGGCAGTGATTAACAACTGGTTCACAAAATCCCTGAATATTTAACAATTAGGTCTCAGCTGGGAGCAGTAGGGCTGGCTCTGTCACACCACCAGATATAATAAAATGGAACGAAAAGAAATGGCTCATTTGCATTTGTTTTATGTCAGTTCCAGTAACTGCAAGTAAACTTGCAATTATCGGTTTCTTAAGTTGTCAATGAATCAGAGAAAACATAACATGTAATCCATGACTATTGATTACAAATGGCATAGAAAAAAGGGGAAGTAATGATAGATCTATTATTTAAAATGATCAGAAGTTGAGAAAGATAGCAGAAATATATACAACAGAGTCTATAGGGAACAATTTTGGGACAATGCCATTAAGGAGAAAATAATCATATAAAAGTTGAAGGACTGTCTCTGGTATGGATAATACTGAAGATGATTTGAGAGACATAGTAGTAGAATTTGAATCTAAGCTTAAAGTGCCATTAAAAAACAAGCATGACACTTAAATAGTATGTCATGTCAACCTATTCATTGAGGAATGCCTGATTCACTCCTCCTCAGAGTAAGAGTGGAGCTTTCAGTTTTTTTAAAAAGAAAAGAAAATAGTATGGAGAATTTATAAATATTTATAAGTTTTTAAATAATAGGACATTTGAGAAGGGAGTTTATGGATTTGGGGAAACAACTAATAAAAATTAAGAATTTACTAAAGAAAATTATCATTTTACAATGATTTTCTGACACATAAAATACTTTACCAAGGGCCATATACCTTCTTCTGAACTTATATTTTTTGTTATTTCTTTATATTAGAGATCAAATTAAAGACAAAAGAGTTATGCAAAATAGGCAGATGGGCTCAGATTACCTTAAAAAATTCTCATAAATGTAACTGCTGTTGAGTATTTTTAAATAAAGACTATGTCATGTCTATTCTATCCAAAGAATAAGAGATGAATATAATGCTTCTCAAAGGCTTTCTTAGACTACTAGAGTATAGACTATTCGCTGAGGTCCTGAGATAGGACCCTTGGGCCATGAGCTTCATCTGGCATTCTTCATGGCATGTTCATCATTGGTATTTCCACAACCACCAGAGAAGAAAAAATTCAGCTTCAACTCAGCAATGTCCATACAACAGCTTTCCTATTGAGTCAACAAGGTTGATGAGGTGGGGGATAAAGATCTGATATAGAGAATTAAACAAGAGTAAAGGAACAAGGACCTATCTTCTGACACAAAACACCATGCCATAAAATTGAGATTGTAGTCCTGTTTTTGCTTCTTAATAGTCATGTAGCCTAGAGAAATTCAATTATTCACTAAATTTCTATTTCCCCACTGGAAAATGGGTATACTATTTTCTGCCTTACAACCACCACACAAATGTATTTTGATTCAGCCAGTATTAATTGAGCACCTATTACTACATGCCAAGCATAGTACTACTTATTTTCTTATTTAATACCAAAACAATCCCCAAAAACATTAAACATAGAAATATTTTCACCTATTTTCTACCAATTCAACTTACCATACTTCGCATTATACTGAGGGTTCCCCATATTACAATTCCAGAAGCACCCAGAGCAACAGTTTCGCCAAATGTATACACAAGTTCATCCTGGAAAATGTGACAGAAAGAGTTAGCAGATAAAAATGAAATGAAAGTGCTATACATAGGACAGCAACGCAAAAGCTAAGCATGCTGACCCAATAATAATAATTTTAATATTTCCCCACTATTTCTATCTCTTACACAGCCATTGCCTTACTATAAAACAAATAAGATACTATTATTGTTTCAATCACTTCTATTGAAAAGAGACGAGGCCTAAGAAAGAAAAAAAAAAGAAACTGAGTTCATACACTGTCTATACTACCTAATTCTCCCGGCTTACTAAGAGATAAAGAGATTACATTAAAGATTAAGCGTATTCTTGTTTTGCATTCATATAATAATGTTGATCTACTTGTGTACACATTCCTGACTAATATTAAAAGCTAGATTTCACTCCCTTCAAAAATAATATTAAATTTCAATCAACATCTTTTGTGAATTTCATTTCCTAGCCCTCATACCCTGATTTACTTACTTGAGAAAGGAATTTCAAAACTTGATCAGTAAAAACTATGCGGGTATATGCAAAAACCGGAAGTGGACTTTTTGCATCAGGTATTTTGGAAACTCTGATGGCTTCCCGAACTCGATTGCGCACATAGAGTGTAGCAGCTACAGGAGACTGCTGAGTGTTCAAATAAATGGATGGGTAAAGAGCAGTGCTTTCATTCCACAACCAGCTGAGATCATCATTTCTTTTTATTTCTACATTGAAGCAACTTCCATTGTAACCGGGTTTCTTATAGTGATGGTTGTAACAATCCGGAAAAAGATAATAACCCCACAAGTGATTTGGCCGAAGTAATTTTCCCAATTTTATAGTCTCTACCAGGAAATCCTTCCCTGCCTTTTCAAATTCTTGTTTTGCTTTCTCAGTGGCCTCTGTGAGACTAAGTTGTACATTTTGTTGCTGAACCAATTCAATAGACCTATTCTTGTAAACATCTTTAGGTTTCCAGTTTCTTGCCCAAGTGGGTCTCCATTCTTCCCAGTCAATAACAGCCATTCCCAAATTGTCTACTGGCATATAAAATGTAATGTCTTTCTTAGCTTTGTCCAGATGGTCTTGTAAGGAAATCTTCTGGGGGATTCCTCCATTCACAGTTACTCCTGTGATTGAATCTATGTAAGGATAGTAGCCAAGTCTATCAACATAAAATATTGTAACACCTTGCCCGGTGGCGTTTATTCGGGGGCTTCCTATGAAAGAGAAGAGGCTCATATCTAGTGGCTCATCAAATTTTCCAAGACAAAATTCACTTGGGGCATTCCAGGCCCAGAGGAAAGGCACATTTGGAATAACAGGAGGTGCTCTGAAATTCAGAGTCAAGCAACATGGAATCAGAAGGAAGGTGAAAACTATCTGGGATACTCCACTTGATTTAACAAAGCTTCTGAAAAAGATGTGCTTGAATTTTAGCACTCCCATTGTAAAGAGTAATGACTATGAAAACATTTATTTCTTCCTACACACTTTGGTTTACCCAATATCTGATGCAAAGTATGAGCACAGATGAAAGGGAATGGAATGAATTCACTTTGATGGATAAAGAGGTATAATGATTAAGTTACATTTAAATATTATTATTCTTGTTTCATGTTTCAGGATTGTTTTTCAAGTTGCATCACCTATAACTGAAAAAGAAATACAGAATACATTGTTATGATGCATTTCATAATAAAGAATGTAAGCTTCACCAAGTTCTCAACTTTAAGTGCAGGGGGTTTAATTTCATTTTAGAAGATGGAGGATCTACTCCTGTGTTTGAATCTATGAAATTATTTCCTCTCATGTATGATACAAACTCTATACTAGTTAACATTTTTCTCATCTTCCCAAATCACTACTGGGCCTACAGAGAGGAGAATGTAGCTATTTTCCTTTTGCCTTTCTGGTTGTACAGAATGCTGTACCAAGCAATGCCTTAGCAAAATCCCATTGAAGGAAAATAAATTCCAAGTTGATCCTCTCATTCTGTTTCTTGCTTCTTGAAAGACCACTTTCTAGCGGTCTGCCATATACTAAAACAACCTTTCATAGAATTGTGAAATTTCATTTTTCTCTTTCTTTCTTTTTTTCTCTTTTTTCACTTTTTTTTTTTTTTTCAAAGGGGAGCAAACTCACTTCTGCCAGAAGTAGTAAATCAACAGTTTGGTTGAATTTATTGAATCAACCAAAAACTTCTACCAAACAAGCTGAAAGGCTCCTTGGTACGCTGCTCGATCACATCTTACAATAATGTACTCCCATGCCTAAAGTTAATAAAACATTTTACTACTTTGTATTTTCTACTAAAAGGATCAGTTCTAGCCTAACTTAAGAAAAGCAATATGTAGATTTTCATCTTTTTATAGCATTTGATAAGTAAGATTGTGTTGTGATTCTGATTGTGACAAAGTGAAGTGTTGTAGCACATACTTTAGCTGTATTAAACCACAAAAGTGGTACAATAAAATGGTCTGGGCAAAGGTCAAGAAATTAAATTATGTATATACTCAGCATTTAGTATTTGCAAAAATTACCTGCAAGAAGATATAGTTAAATGTTCTGTGATTCTAGGAGGGAATTGGAAACTTTCTTTTTAATTAGATTAGTAGTACACTGCTATATGAAATTATAACAAGAATTATACTATTCTTCCCAGGAACATGTGTCCTTACCATAGCAAATTATCCAGTCATTCCCATTGCTGAAAAATAAATGACTCTAAAGAGATCACCATAGTCAGAATAAAATAAAATCATAAGGACTATTATAGTCTCATGTTTTGAAGATAATGAATTTTCCCTCATGTTTAGAACATATAAAGTAGCTAAATATTCTTGTAGTTTAAATATTTATAAACTTCTTTATTCAGGACCTAGATAATCTTCACCTAAAATAATATTAGGGGGAAAAACTAATTGCTTTTAAATACCAACCATCAATACTAATGCCTGAATGGCAGGGACAGGGAAAAGGAAATGGAATAAAGGATTAGCTTTCCCTGTATCTCAGGGAAGGAGTAAGCTAACCTTATTGAAATTAACATTTAAATCTATTTCCACGTGTTCATTTTATGTAAGAAAAAGATGGGGAGCTGGGCATGATGGCTCATGCCTGTAATCCGAGCACTTTGGAAGGCCAAGGCAGGTGGATCACCTGAGGTCAGGAGTTTGAGACCAGCCTGACCAACGTGGTGAAACCTCATCTCCACTAGAAATACAAAAATTAGCCAAGCATGGTGGTAGGCTTCTGTAATCCCAGCTACTCAGGAGCCTGAGGCAGGAGAATCACTTGAACCTGGGAGGCAGAGGTTGCAGGGAGCTGAGATAGCACCACTGTACTTCAGCCTTGGTGACAGAATGAGACTCTGTCTCAAGAAAGAAAGGAAAAAGAAAAAGAAAAACATGGGGCAGAATGAGCCTATTGAGAACGTCTCTACCCATAGAAGTCTTCAAAAAAGAATGGACACTTCTATGCTTGAAATTTTACTCAATGAAATATTTTTCCTCAGCATAAATCTAATGCAAAGCCTTGGAACAGAGAATTGGCACAAAATTGAGGATTAGACCTAGAAGTTAGCATCAAGAATAACGTCTTCTTTTTGTTTGAAGTATCTAATAGAGAACTTTACCTGTTTACAGAGAAAAGCTGACATTTGCCTAGACAGACTAAGTTATTAGACAGACTAATTTATGACTAAGACCCCAAAAGCAAATGCAACAAAAACAAAAATGGAACAAACTGGACTTTATTAAACTAAAAAGCATCTGCACAGCAAAAGAGATCATCAACAGAGTAAACAGACAACCTACAGAATGGGACAAAATGTTTGCTAATTGTGCCTATGACAAAGGATTAATACCCAGAATCTATGAGGAACTCAAACGAAATTGAAGAAGAAAACAAACAACCCAATTAAAAAGTGGGCAAAGGACACTAACAGGCATTTTTCAAAAGAAGACATACAAGAGGCCAATAAATGTATGAGAAAATGCTCAACATCACTAACTACCAGAGAAATGCAAGTCTAAACTGCAATGAGATATCATCTTACACCAGTCAGAATGGCTATTACTAAAAAGTCAAAAAAAATGTTGTCATGGATGCAGAAAAAAGGACACACTTATACACTTCTGGTGGAAATGTAAATTAGTACAACCTCTAGGGAAAACAGCATGGAGATTTCCCAAAGGACTAAAAATAGAACTACCAATCATCCTCGCAATCCCACTATTGGCTATCTACTCAAAGGAAAAGAAATCGTTATATAAAAAAGACAGCTTCACTCAAATCTTCATTGTAGCACTATTCACAAGAGCAAAGTCATGGAATCAACCTAAGTGTTCCTCATTGGTGGATTGGAAAAAGAAAATTTGGTATATATACACTATGGAATACTATGCAGCCATAAAAAAATAATAAAATCATGCCCTTTGAAGCAACATGGATAGAGCTGGAGGTCATTATCCTAAATGAACTAACTCAGACACAGAAAAATACTGCATGTTCTCACTTTTAAATGAGAACTAAACAATGAGTACTCATGGACATAAAGATGGAAGCAGTAGACACTGGGCACTCTGAAAGGGAGCAGGTTGGGAGGGGGATGAGGATTGAAAAATTACCTATTGGGTACATTGGTCACAATCTGGGTGATGGGTACACTAGAAGCCCAAACCCTACCATTATGCAATATATTCATGTTACACACTTGAACATGTAACCCTTAATCTAAAATAAAATTAAATTTAAATGTCTTTTAATGAAAAAGATACTATTACAAAATAAAAAATAAATACATAGGTACCCTAATAGAGAACCTTATCCTCCCGGAAAATCTTAACTAATTTAACCCCAGGTAATAATGCCTGACCTTATCTCTCCACTAGTATTCCTAAGCTCTATATTCAATTTACACCTATTAAAGTTGCATTTTTAAGTGTCTTCCTTGCTCATTGTGCAGATAATTCCTTCTTAAAGCACTTCTGCTAAGTCTTTGCTATCCCCCAAACCCAAACAATGACACTTACCCAGAAGTCTGCTTTCAAAATCCAGCCACCCAATGTCTCTTCAGTAGTTATCAAGGCAAGAAGTTGGCTGGTCTCAATGTCTTCCTAGAGCATTGGCTAGTCATTAGCATCCCTTTGAAAAAAAAAAAAGATTATTTTCTCTCAAAATAGATTTAGAAACTTAAAATTCTGAATATATCTAAAATTCTACTTAAGCTCTTATTCCTGTTGTAAAGGCGTTTTATCACTGGAACACATGCTAGCTAAATCCTTTGAACTAGGAATCCCTTGTCTAAGGATAAGTTCAAAATGATTTTGTAATAAAAATTATGTAGCTACGTGTAGATATTCACATGTGTAGTATTCACCACTATGTATTGTAGCATCTATGAAATGAAAAAAAATAAAAAGCAAATTCAATACCCAATTGATAAGCAATACCAATGATAAGAAATGCTTAAATACGGTATTTCATCCTGAAAGAATGTATGCAGATATCAGAACTAGTTACAAAGATAATGATGCAACATGTAAATAAGTTTGCCTAAAATACAAAGTGAAATAAAATACAAAAATACACACAGTTGAAGTATACAAAAACATGTAAGTGCATGCTTAAGGAATTAAAAATATTCAAAAATATGAAAGAATATTTGTATTTTCTGAGTGTCCATTATGTATTTCTGATCTTCTAATTTTCTTTCATCCAACTATCATACTGTTTCTCAAATAAAAAGTGGAAACAAATACAATTTTAATGTTAGAAAATAGTTTGCCAGAACAAACTTGAATCTCAGCTTCCCTTCAGTGAGGAAAGACAAATAACCATAAACCTCTCCACACATTATCTACCAGGATGCTTGTACAGGGGATTCTTGTTCTTGTACAAGGAAGAGGAGTTGATGATTGAGAAATTTTTTTTCAAATAAATTTTACTGAGTATATTTAAGGTATACAACATGATGTTATGGGAAGATTAGGATTTTTGAGGTAAGGAGAGGAGAGTATCAGACAGGAAAAAAAAAAAAAAAGAGCCAAATTTCTTGGCTTAGTCCTCAGCTCTTCTTTTCCACAACAAACGCTTTATTTCCATGATAAATGCTTTCTCTCTAGAGAATCATAACAGATATAGAAGTCAGTCAAGACACTGCCTTCAGAATCTACCTTTTGGAATTCCCATTTCCTGTGAGTTTATGTATATATTATCTCAATGGAATTAAGAACTGAATTTAGATACAATCCTCTTACCATTAAAATTGTTATAGATTTTGAATATAAATTATTATCATAAATATTTTTAAAAATTCAGAAATATGGACAAATATTGAAAAAGGCAAGACTATAACTTTGGTGAAAGCAAACCATAACATTACCAAAGGGGGAGGACCAAAGGGAGTCCCAAATCTAAGTCATTCACAAGGCACCTCCTCAGTCTCCATTTCTCTACAGACCTCACTCAAAACTACTAAACTTTGTTACAATACTGAAAATGGCCTCCAGCCTCAGGAAGCCTCAGGATACTGAGATAATTTTAGTGTTCTAAATTACTTCTGTACATAATGTGGGAATCATTCTTTAACATGAAAAATGAAAAGCAAATTTCCACATGAGCGGTAGGCCCCAAGTTGATTGCCCTCGTATCCTCATCACATTTGGTAGGTTGTGTGGCATTTCCAAGGTACATAGTTCATAAGTCCAACCCAAAGGCTGACTAATACCTCCAGTTACAAGTAACAGTGACTCCAAGCTAAGAATTTTAAGGAAACTTTTAAGAGACCAGCGTAATATCCCTGAAAGCACATATTTTCTCCTAAAGCAAAAATATTTACAAGTATTTTCACGAATGAAAGGAGCTTTTGTGTAAGATTTTTTTTCTAAGAAACTTCTTAAACTATTGTTTTTTATAAATATATTGACCAGAAATAGATAACTTGATTCAACAAGATAAGTTAATCCCATTTTAGGTGAAATTTCATCAACTCTTTTTTCCTTCCCCTTTATTATTATTGTCAAATTATTCCTCTCCTTTGGTTCTTTCCAGCCTCGTCTTAACTTTCCCAGTGTCACCCAGATATGTTTTGAACAAGCCAGAGATTCTTGAGGCTGAAGAAACTGCTCAAAATGTGGCACATTACAGAACTTTTTATCTTTTTTTACAAAACAGTACCTGCTTTTTCCTACTAAGCTATGCAGTAGAAAGAACAAAGGCAACTTACTTTTAAAGTAAAAACTGAAAAGTTTTCCTTTAAGATGTGACTAGGTCAGAAGTCACTCCAATCTATTAGCTCTGCAGTATTTAACCTGTTGGGTGAGAAAAGACAGCCCTTTGCCCAGTCAATTAAAGGAAGATTTAATCTTTTGAAATGTTAGTGTGTGAACCTGTCTGTGTGTGTGTGTGTGTGTGTGTGTGTGTGTGTGTGTGTGTGGTGTTTTAATCTCAGCAAATTCAATCTTTGAGACACAATCTCAGTCTGTTGCCTAGGCTGGAGTGCAGTGGCACCATCTTAGCTCACTACAACCTCCAACTCCCAAGCTCAAGTGATCCTCCCACTTCAGCCTCCCAAGTAGTTGGGACTACAGGCGCACACCACCAAACCTGGATAATTTTTAAAATTTTTTATAGAGATGGGGTTTTGTTATGACATCCAGGCTGGTCTGGAACTCCTGGGCTGAAGTGATCTCGCCACGTCGACCTCCCAAACTGCTGGGATTACAGGCTTGAGCCATGCACCTGGACTTATTGCTCAGCATTTGGTTAAATTAATAACATATTTCTCTAGTGTAATACAAATGAAGCATATACTTCATGGAACAGTTTTCAAGAAAATACAGCATTTATTATAAAAGAAAAATAATTTCTCCTTTAAAAATTAACAAAACAAATTAAAATTAACATTTTCAAAATGATAAAACAGGTTGGATATTTTTTATGATAGAAAAATACTACTTTTATGAGTTTTCAAAGGAAAATAAATCTTGAGACCACAAAATCACTAAGCCAAGGGAAACGTCAACCTAGAAACTATGTCAGGCAAACCTGCTTCCCATTTTATTCCTAAATAAGCTAGCTACAAATTCAAAAAAGCTACACACCTACCAAACAATTTGCCCACAAGGAAATGCCTCCTGGACAAAGGACAGACAGAACTCAAAGTCATCCCACTGAGGCTCACCTGAGACATGCGTATCTGATTGCTTCCTCTACCTTATTGTTTATATAAAAATGCAGATTCACTGAACCAGACTAAATTTTGTATGCAGTGGAAGGCTGATCAAGGACTCAAAAGAAGGCAACCTTTTGTCTCTTATCTACTTATAATTTGGAAGCCCCCCACCTCAAGTTGTCCTGCCCTGCTGGACCAAACCAATGTATATCTTACACATACTGACTGATGTCTCATGTCTCTCTCAAATGCATAAAAGCAAGCTGTACCCTAACCTACTTGAGGACATTTGTCAGGACCTCATGAAGCTGTGTCACAGGCACGTCCTTAACCTTGGCAAAATAAACTTTCTAAATGTATTAAGACATATCTCAGATACCTTTTGGTTTACAATTTGGTGACCAATGGAAGGGACTCTGCATGGAGGTAGCTCCTGGACCTTTGACAGATCTCCAACTGGGCTTGGTACCAGCTTGAGCTTCTATGGCCCAAACCAACAGGACGATTTGCTGAGGCCTGGAAGCTTCCCTCCCTCCAGAGAATCCCCAATCACCCAAAATTTGGTTGAGATCTAACGTTTATTTTGCTGTGCAACTCTTTTTCTGAGTTTTACTTGCTTCCAACAAGGAAGGCAAGTTTTTCTGCTTTCATGACAATGGAAGGCAGGTAAATCCTCTCTGTAATTTGAGCTCACTTCCAACAGGGAATTCCAGTTTGAATTTTTTCCTGCTTCTAGGATGGTAGAGAGCTGTCTTCAGCCTGAGACCCACTCCTTGGTAAGTAGCTGAATTGGGATTTTGTCTTGGATAAAGTTGTGATTAACAGTCAGCTGGTCTTAATTCTCCTTACCATTAGAGTGTTCAGTAATCATACTGTTGGGGTTTTTTGTTGTTTGTTCTGGTCTTTCTCTCTGGTCCCAGAGTTGACCAACTCTACCTGACTTGGTCAAATCTGAATAAGAATTACAAATTATGGGGAACAAGGTCTGTCTGAATTAGCTGAAATTCCTCATAGCTACAAAAGAAAGGGGAAAAAAAAAACAGGGGCTTGGTTTCTGTGTTTGCTTTCTGTCTTAAAAAACAACTGTTCTTTCATTTACTTTTCTTCACCCTATTCCTTCCTCCCCTTTCACCATCTTCAATACCAGGGAAAATCTAAAGAGGCTTCTAATGACTCAAACCCCCTAAAGAACTCAGAACACAGGCACCTCTTGCCCCTTTTTGGGGTGTTCTGTTTTCTTTGTAGAGTTTCAAGAGTGATGGGCAGATTCTTCTTAGGTCTAAAGGTCTGCTCTCCTGTATTTGCATAACCTGACCTCTTTGGCTTTAGAGGGTACCAAAGATTACCTTGTACTGAGAGAGGATTTGACCTTGGCATGTGTAATGGTGGACAAAAACTAACAAAGTTAAAGCTGGCTGAGGACAGTTACTGGAAGTGTTCTTCACTTTTTTTTTTCCTCCTAGGAAGCTGTTGTTTAGTATCCTAATTCTAATTCAGAGGTGCATTCTGAAGAATCTTCTTCATTGCCTTTCCTCCCAAAATTAACCTCCCAAAATGTTAAAAGAAGAATACTTTTTGTCTAATTCAAACTTTTTTAAAGGTTATGTATAAAACAAGGTAAGAGTAACCTGGAAATAAGAGAGATGTAAAGAAAGTTATAGAAATAAAGAGGTATTTTTGGTAAGAAAGCTTAAAGAAAAATAATTTTACATGCAAAAGAATCTTATATGGTAAATTTTTGTCCTAAAATAAAATGACTGGTTGTTAAAGAAAGAGGGATGTTCAGGACAACCATGCCCAATGTCTGTGTAAGTCATAATAAGAAGGTTTATGAAAAGAAAAAAAAATTTTATATGATCAAGTTGTCTATATTTAATATTTTTAAAACCCCACTTATACACTAAATAATTGGTTAGAATAATGAGATTTTCTTAAGGTATTGCTTTACTCTTAATAAAATTACAGGACTTTATAATTTTTTTATGCAAAGTTCAACTTTTACTGTGTCTCATTGTTTTCAGGTTTCTCTCCCCTTTTAAAAGGACTGAAATTATAGCTCTGTCCTTCAATTCATTTTCAGCTACTGTAAGTTTTTTCTTTGGGTCATAATTGTTTTGGCCTGATGCTAATAATGTTTTATCTTGAAGGTCTAAAGGAAATGTTTTCTTCCAACATAATATTCTGTGCTCTTGGCTTTAAATTGCTCAGGAAGCACCTCCTATGGCTAATTAATTCAAGTGCCATTCTCATTAGGTCTGACGTGAGGATTATCTAAATGAACTTCCCACAGGGAGCAGCAGTCACATTGCAGAAGTTCTTTTCTTTTGCCTTTTGGTAACTGGGCCTAACAAACAGATTTTACATTTTATCAAAATAATTTCTGTGTCATTATTACTAAGTTTGGGTTTGCTTAGGAAAAAAACTGAGATTAAATTTTTATTTAATTAAGGTTATTACATCCGTGTAACTTTCTGCAGGTGCTTTTACAGTCCTTGTGTCATTGAGTACAGGGCTTTGACTTCTGAGTCTAAAAAGGACCCCAAATCTTGCTAAATCTTAAAAACCGACAGCAGTTAAAGCCTCATTTTCAGACCCAGTAGAAGATGCCAATCAAAATAAACTGTGTTCATGAGATACAGGGCCAGAAACTAAAACTATTCAATTCAAGGCCCAGGGACTATAGCAGAAGAGCTAGGCATGTGAGATCATAAGGGCTGATTTTGAGAAAAAATAAGTTCAGTTTCTCTATAAATTAACCATTAATGTTGAAGGCACGCTGAAGCAAGACCAGAATATGGACTCCTGTGTTAGATTAACAAGGTTTTCTTGGAGAATTAACCCACTTCTTAATAAAAGGTTATAAAGGTTATAAAAAGGCTTATGGAAATTATATCTTATGGTCAAGATAATTAAAGTTTTACAGGCAGTTTATAAGATTTGAGAGACATATTTAACTGACTTCATTCTGTCTTTATTAAGGCTTATTGTTTGGTCTCCTCTCTCAAAGATAAAGGTTTCTGCTTTCGTTTTTTTAATCTTTGAGTTATCACTTTGGCTAAATAAATGACTTACTTTACAATGACTGTAATCCTATTTTGTGATATCAAGGGTTCTAAACATTTTATATTTGAAACACTTTCCAAAATCAAATTCTAATTTTGGTCCTCATAAATTTATTGATATTAGTTCCCTAAAGTTTATAAGAGATATTTGGTTTATTTGATATAATAAAATCATACAGGAAGTATTGTCAAATATGAAAAAATGTTTAACCTTCTTTGAATTATATTTACATAAATGTGTAATTAGTTTGTGTTCCAAAATTGTATGAAATTCCTGTGCTTCTAATACATCTTAGCATATGTTATCAGTAATAATTATGATTATTATGTGAAATTGTTGTATGCCACAGAAGTAACCAATTTTCTTGTAAATTGTGTATTTAACTATGACTGTTCTAAGACTTTTGTCATCTGCAGTTTTATTTTTATCCTTTTCAAAAGGTGGCATTATAACCAGCATAGGATTCTGACGGGTGCACTTGAAGGCAGGTTTCTGATAACTTTGGAGATTGTGACACTAGAATAGAGGGAAAACTTCCAAGATTCTTAAAGAGAGCTGAAATGTTCATGAATATCAAGCAGAACAGGAGTTAACTGCATAGACTAAACCGCATGGAAGACTGAAATAAATCCTTTTATTACTTTTTGCTTAAAATGTTGCTGATCCTTTGTTTATCAGAGGTAAGAAAAACTTTTCTTTTGAAATATTTACAGCTTTTAATAATTGAGTAAAGTATACTCCTACAAACAAAATTTGGAGCATATTTCTCTCTACATGATTTCTCCAAAATTTGGAAACTAGTTGCAAGTATGCTTAACTTATAGCAATATAGTTATTTGCATAAGTGTAATAAGAATTTGTTTTCTTTTGTAACAGGACATAATTGTAGACACTAGTTATTTTACCAAGGTTTTTTACTGGAATGGAATTCTTTCAGATACAGACTCCTTTAAGGAATCAAAGTTGAATTAAAGAGGCAATAAAAGCCCCTTCAGAAAGCTGATCTTATATCTTGTCTACACAGTCCCTGCACAGGTTGCTGACCTGTGGTAAGTAAAGAATGTCACTTTCTGACAGTCCCAGGAGCCCCAAGGTTCCTTGGGACCTTGAGGTGAGGAATTCACTCCATTAATACAGGTATCTGCAGGCACAGGCTGGGCTTAAGGCATTAAAGTCAAATCTGAGAATCCTTATGGAATAAAGTTTCAGCAAAGCCAATTTTTTAAAAAAGAAACAATTATTCTTGCTGATTTTATGCATATACTATGGCCAAGTATAATAAGACTAAAACTTATTTTGCAGCTGAATTTGTCCTTTGACTTGTCTTTAGTGAAAATAGGACTGGAGAAAGAAAAAATGTGTTTCAAACTATCTCAGAGACCTTTGTTTTAAGCTACAGTTTAGAAAAAAGGTCTCTGAGGCAGTAAATAACTGTAGTACACCTGTTGTTAGATTCTAGTCTTGCCGAATATTTTTCAATTTTTATTATTTGGACTGAACTTATAGTTTGGACTGAATTCTAAAATTTTTCCTGACTACCAGTCTACAAAATAATCTATTAAATTTTTTCTTCTATTCCTCTTTTTCCCCATTTTTCCTGATTTGAAATCACTAAAAATTAAGCTGTGCTTTTTTAAAGTCCTGCAAACTGAAGCTAGACAACTTAAACTTTAGAAGAAAATAACAGCAACCTATTTACATACATAAACCACTTTCATACCAGCCTACTGATTCATAGACTTCAGAGTAATAGTGCCTATATCAATTTTCCAGTATTGCTCACTTCTTCGTTTGTTGTTGTTTTTCTCCCTTCCTCTCCCTATTTTCTTTCTGTAGAATGTGAGATTTCACAACCTGCTAAAAATGAGCTTTACTAATAATGTGGGACCTACCTGTCTAGGAATAAACTGCCCTAGCCACAAGGGATGAGACAAAACCTGACACCAGGGACCCATTTTCTTCTAAAATGCTTTTCCTGAAAGACTTTTAAAAGAAAAGGGGAGAATGTGAAAGAAAAATAAACCTTAGGACGCCCAAATCACTAAGCCAAGGAAAAAGTCAACCTGGGAACTATGTCAGGCAAACCTGCTTCCCATTTTATTCCTAAATGAGCTAGATACAAAGGTAAAAAGCTACATACCTCCCGCACAATTTGCCCACAAGGGAATTCCTTGTGAACAAAGGACAGACAGAACTCAAAGTCAGCCCACTGAGGCTCACCTGAGACATGCATATCTGATTGCTTCCTCTGTCCTATTGTTTATGTAAAAATGCAGATTTACTGAGCCAGACTAAATTGTATATTCAATGGAAAGCTGATCAAGGACTCAGAAGAATGCCACCTTTTGTCTCTTATCTACTTATGACCTGGTAGCTCCCACCTCAAGTTGTCCCGCCCTGCCACACCAAACCAATGTACATCTTACACATATTGATTAATGTCTCACATCTCCTTAAAATGTATAAAAGCAAGCTGCACCCCGACCAACTTGGGAACACATTGTCAGGACCTCCTGAGGCTGTGTCACAGGTGTGTCCATAGCCTTAGCAAAATAAATTTTCTAAATGTTTTGAGACCTGTCTCAGATACCTTTTGGTTTACAGAATCCTGCTTTTTAAGATGGGAAGAGAGAGAGGAGGGAGAAAAAGAAGAGCCAAATAAATAATGAAATCCTTCAAGAGCAGTTCCCAAAATAAAATTTTATTTAATTACTCTTTTGAAACATAGAGATATAACTCACACATGTCCAATTTGTACAGTAAACTTGTCCTATTGTAATGGTGTAATTAGGAATTAATATATGTAAGAGACTAGAAAATCACAATCATTAAACATGAATTGGAAATATTGAATCCTTCAGCATTGACTCAATATTTAACATGAATTGGAAATATTGAATTCTTCAGCATTGACTCAATATTTACATTGATGTGTTATAAGAAATATTAGTACTTTCACATTTTAAAAATGCATTATAGGTTCAAGCACCACCATAGCTCATGGCTGTAATTCCAGAGATTTGAGATGCCAACGTGGAAGGATCACTTGAGGCCAGGAGTTTGAGGCCAGTCTGGGCAACATAGGAAGACCCCCATGTTTAAAAAAATAGAAAATAAAAAAGTTAGCTGGGCATGGTGGTATGAGCTTGTAGTACCAGCTACTGGGGAGGTTATGGTTGGAGAATCATTCTAAGCCAGGAATTTAAAGCTGCAGTGAGCTGTGACTGCACCACCACACCCCAGCCCGGATGACAAAGTGAGGCCCCATCTCTTAAAATTAAAAAAAAAAAAAAGCATGGTAAGTCAATACTAATTATGTTGTATTAAAAATAAGAAAATAATTCATCTTATTCTTGGAAGATAATTCCTTTGGGGAAAAAAATGTGAATAACATTTTATGTCCAAAATATCTTTGTAGGTCTCAGAGCTTATTAAAGAATGCATATAATACACCTTTAATTTTAGGATTAGTTTATTGTTCAATTTTCAGAGCCACTCATCAATTGGTACCCAATTGATGCATGCTAAGTGAGTTAATTAGTAAATTATATAAATGAACTTGATATACTTTAAATTTCACTAAACTCAAAATTATGACCAATGGTGACACTTTAAAATGAAGATGTTCAAACACAAACTAAATCCACCAATCAGAAGCCACAGTGCAGTCAAAAAAAAAAGAAGTAAGCAGTAATTACAGCAGTGAAAACAGATTTAATTCAGAAAAAAACAATTGCAATAGGGGAAACAAAACCTCAGTATAATACTGGGCTCAATTCCAAAAACAACAAGGAAAAGTGATAATTTGTAGCCAACGGCAGGGTGGGGATCAGCAGGATAGAAAATTACTAAGAGGAAAGATCTCAGGTAAGGCAGGTTCTGGTGAAAACAACCTAACAGTACTCTTACTGAAGGCTGGCCGGGGTGATCAGACATCTCCTGGGGGGTGACGGAGGATGAGGAACCCCCAAGAGTAATCTGAAATAGAAGATGGGGAATTCTTGCTAAACTGACTTGCAGGTTCTTGCTAGAACTGGACTCTGAAAGGAAGGACACCCAAGCCCAGAGTCTGAAACTTAGACAAAAATAATGCACAAATGAGCCTGATTAGAGTTTGATTAGCAGAAAATCTTTGTCTCTCCTCTTGTGCATGCTAAATTAGTTAATTAGTTAATTAACTAAACGAATTTGATGTCCTTTGAGTTTAAGTAAACTCAAAATTATGGCTGATGATGAAACTTAAAGTCAAAATATTCAAAGAAAAACCAAGCATGTCATCCAGAAGCCACAGAACACAAGCATTATTCAGAAGACTAGTATGTCTTTCGTAGGCAAGCGTAAGGCTGACGCACCCAGATATGATTGAAATGAAGTAATTGAATAAAGACTTGAGGCCGGACACAGTGGCTCACGCCTGTAATCCGAGCACTTTAGGAAGGCCGAGGCGGGCAGATCACGAGGTCAGGAGTTGGAGACCATCCTGGCTAACATGGTGAAACCCCGTCTCTACTAAAAATACAAAAAATTAGCCGGGCATGATGGCGGGCGCCTGTAGTCCCAGGTACTCGGGAGGCTGAGGCAGGAGAATGGCGTGAACCCGGGAGGCGGAGCTTGCAGTGAGCCGAGATCGCACCACTGCACTCCAGCCTGGGCGACAGAGCAAGACCCTGTCTCAAAAAAAAAAAAAAAAAAGACTTGAAGATCATCTAAATGCGAGATGCTAATTAAAAACATAATAGCTTTGCTGAGGATGCTCTCTTCAAATGTCTCTTTTTAAACCCCAGGCTGAGATCAGTGATAATTGATTTTCAGTCAATCCAACATCCCACTATAAAAAAAAACCTAGGACCAATCCCGGTTCTGCGATTACAGTGGTTCAGCTGCCTAGCACTAAGGCAAAGGGCTCAGTACCAAGTTAGGCTGAAGTTTAAGAAGAATGACAAACACCTTTATTATTACTGGTGCATTACGTAATGAAGTTCACAAAAGTATAATAACCATAATGAGGGCTATGGGTTTGCAATTAACCGTCTATTAGCAATAACCAGTGTTTCTCTTCTCTCGACCAGTCAGATGACTTTTGGGTTTTATTTCTATGATTTGCCAAAGTCATAGTTACTAAATCTTCTACATATGGGATTGTATTAAAGATCCAAATAGCCACTACAGTCAAACACAAACAGAAAACACCTTTGTCCAAAGGCAATAGGGACCCAATCACATCAATTGTAACTAAGCACATTAACCAATGCTGAAGATAAATGCCAATAAATATATATTAGCTCACCTTCAAAAGATAATGCAACAAGTATGTTTCCTCTTATCTATTTAAGGCATCTGATGCCTATAGAGATATCAAGCCTCTAAATGGAGCACTTAGGATGCAGACTGAATTTTTCCTTAGGATAGGTGACTTGTTTAAAAATCTTATCAGAGTGGTAAGTGGCTTATTATTTATCTTCCTAAAAAGCTATGTCTTGAAGTCTACCTTAAGAATACACATTTTCTACAGCCAGGCATGGTGGTATGTGTCTGTAGTCCCAGTTGCTTGGAAAGCTGAAGCCAGAGAATCACTTGAGGCCAGGAGTTTGAGACTGCACTGTGCCCATATCATGCCTGTGAACAGCCACTGTACTCTAGCCTGGGCAACACAGTGAGACTCCATCTCTTTAAGGAAAAAAAAAAAAAAAGCACATTTTGTGACAGCAAAACTATAACTAAAGTCTTAGGCAATCAAACATCTTCCCAGCACCAACTGCCACCATTCTTTCTAACTAATGTGATATGGTACAAGATTTGAATATACTTGTGCCACAAAACAACACTAGAAACATTTATTAATGTCTTTCTTGACAATGACTTTTTTTCTGTCTTCTCACATTCACTTTTTACCTTTTACTTTCTATCCTTACTGTCTTCCATCTGCCCATGGGAGGTGGAAGCTGATGAAACACATGTCTAAAAAGACTAAGGAACTCAGATCCAGAAAAGAATTGAGGCTTTATTTCCATTTGTAGTTCTATTATACCAAAGCTGGAAGATCCAAATTATTCAATCTTTAAGCATCACTTAACTCTTTAAAAATACATCAGTAATTCCTAAATCTATCTAAATTCCACGAATGCTGGGATAATGAGTAAAATGATACCTATGAAGCGTCTTTTTTTTTTTTTTTTTTTTTGAGATGGAGTCTCTGTTGCCCAGGCTGGAGTGCAGTGGCGCGATCTCGGCTCACTGCAAGCTCCGCCTCCCGGGTTCAATCCATTCTCCTGCCTCAGCCTCCCGAGTAGCTGGGACTACAGGCGCCCGCCACCATGCCCGGCTAATTTTTTGTATTTTTAGTAGAGACGGGATTTCACCATGTTATCCAGGATGGTCTCGATCTCCTGACTTTGTGATCCGCCCGCCTTGGCCTCCCAAAATGCTGGGATTACAGGCGTGAGCCACCGCGCCCGGCCTGAAGTGTTTTTTTAAGAAGCTATGTGACTCTAAAGTGTAGAGTTATTTCCCCTGGACTACCAACATTATTAAATATTGCTTATTATGGCTCATTTGAATTTATTCCGAACTATGAGAAAGGTAACTGTAATAGGTGTGGAGAGGATTCCTTTTGACATTTTGGGAGCCATAAAAGCCAATGTATGCAATTAGATTAGGGGTATCTCTATAAAAATTTAGAGATTGTAAACCCCTAGCCTAAGAACATTAAAGAAATATTTGCCATGGATACTGATTTAGACAATACAGAGATGCTTGGGGGTAATAACAATAATCTAAGTCTTCTGTAAAGAATGTGGTTAATAAGAAAGGTGAGGTGGGAGGAGGAAGAGTTATACATAGCAAAATTCATTTCAAATTGTAGAAACTCAGAGCAAGTTGTATTTACAATTGTCCCTTTATCTCCACCAATAAACTGAGACACTGCTGGTGTTTTGCCTCCATAGAGATCACATGCTTCTCATTAAAAGGGAAATTGGAGAGCTAAAACAACACTTCTGCAGCAGAATTCAGTCAGCCCCTCCACTCTGAGACCATCTCTAGCTAAAATCTATTTAGAAAGAGCATTACAGAGTGAAACCATTCCCATAAACTTTATAGAATTTATCAGGGAAGAAGGGAGGGGGAGAACTAAGATAAACCAAGCCTGCAGCACACTCAGCATTAAACATTAGGTTAGCTTGCTCTCTGACCCACTTCCTTATACTGTTTCCCTGTTGCTGCAGAATCACGTAGACTGCTATAAGATTGCAATTCCCCCTAACTGCTCTACATGACAACTTGAACATTACTAAATGTAAGTTTTCCCTTTGAGATGTTTTTTAAGTCCTGTGTACCAGTGAAACTACTGATACCAGCTGGTCTGAGGGACCCCATGAGGAGCTAACTCGTCTCCTTTTACCAAAGAATAAAATTTCCACATCCTAATGACTTCATCCCTCTTACCCCAACCAATCAATAACCCTAATCTTCCAGCCCGTTGTCCTCCACAATCCCCTTAAAAACCTCATCCCAGGAATCCTTGAAGAGATGGATTTGAGAGTCTCCTCCCATCCCCTAACCTGGCTGCCCTGCAATCAATAAACTCTTTCTCTGCTGCAAACACTGCTGTCTCAGTGCATTGCACTGTTACTGTGCAGCAGGCATATGAACTTGTTAGTCTTACAACAAAGCCACAACTAAATTTCACTTAAGTAGTCCAATTCATTTTAAGCACAACAGAGAGTAGTTGAGAACACAGTAATACAAGAAAATGATATTAAGTAAGCCTATACCTAGCATTTTTTTCCAGACTGAAGGTCACAACCTATAGTGAGTCATAAAGTAAATTTAATTGCTTGTAATAAGCCTTTAAAAAAAACCCATAAAATAGACTATAATAGTGTAGAATAGGATAGGATAAAATAGGTTAGGATAGAATAAGAAGTACCAGAGTGTCATTGCATGAATAAGGGTGAGTATTGTTTTATGAACCTTTTCTATCAGTTATATATTTGTATGTGTATGTCTACTGAGTAACAGCATAAAATGTATTTTTTAACTGTGGAATGGATTAAATCACTTGAATACCCAAAAACTTTGGAGGCTGACACACTTGGGTTTTAAATCCTAAGGGCAGCCACTTTCTAATTAACTAGCCTTAGTAAGTTACTTAATCTCTTTAATCTCTTCAGCAACAAGAATAGAATTCTTATCTGTCTGAGAATTCCTTAAGCAATGTCTGTAAATACCTAAACTACTGGACTAAGTAATTTAGTTTTCTAGATTAGGATCAACAGGCCTAGAATCTGGTTTCTCAATGTAGTAGCAATGTGATCTTGCCCAAACTATTTCACTTCACTGTGCTTTAGTTTTGTTTGTATTTTAAACTGTAAAATATGGGCAATAAAGCAACTATCTCATAGGTCCCTTGTGAAATTTTGATGAAATAATGTATATAAAACACTTAGCACAATGCTTATGAAAGGATTCAGGACATGCTACCCCAAAATATGCCACTTTGGCATATTAGTTATTTTGAGTTGAGAGTGATTGAAGATGCAAGAAGGGCACTCTGCTTTCTTCCTTCCTGCCGAAAACAAGACATAAAATTTCCCATGTACAGGCACCCTCCCTGTATTAGGAAGAAGACAACATTCTCTTTTTAAATCTTTAATTGACAAATAATAATTTTACCTATTTATAGGGTACGGTGTGTGTTTCAATACACGTATACAATGCATAATAACCAAATAAGGGTAATTAGCATATCTGTCATCTAATTCATCATTCATATTATGAACAATCAAAATCTTCTAGCTATTTGAAAGCATACAATAAATTATTGTTAACTATAGTCACAATAAATTGTTAATTATAATGCTATAAAACACTGGAACTTATTCCTCCTGTCATGCTGTAATTTTGTATCCATTTACCAACCTCTGCCTATTCCCCCTCCCTCCTCTTCCCAGCTTCTAGTAATCACTATTCTACTCTCTGCCTCTATAAGATCAACGTTTCCAGCTTCCACATATAAGTGAGAACATGTAGTATTTATCTTTCTGTGCTTAGCTTATTTCACTTAATGTCCTCCAGGCTCATCCATGTTGTAGCAAATGACAGGATTTTATCCTTTTTATGGCTGAATTGTATTCCATTAGGTTTATATACCATATTTTCTTTATCCATTCATCCACTGATGGATGCTTAGCTTAATTCCATATCTTAGCTGTTGTGAGTAGTGTCACAATAAACATGAGAGTGCAGATATCTCTTTAACACACTGATTTCCTTTCCTTTGGATATATAACCAGTAGTGGGAGTTCTGGGTAATATGATAGTTCCATTTTTTAGTTTTTCGAGGAAACTCCTACTGTTTTCCATAATGGCTATACTAATTTATATTCCCATCAACAAGGTGTGAGTTCTCTTTTCTCCATATCCTCACCAGCATTTGTTATTTTGTGTCTTTTTGATAATGGCCATTCTAACTGGAGTGAGATGATATCTAATTATGATTTTGATTTGCACTTTCCTGATGATTAGCAATGTTGAGCATTTTTTATATACAGTTATGCATCCCTTAATAACAAGGATATGTTATTTAAAATGCATTTGTAGGTTATTTCATCATTGTGGGAACATCATAGAGTGTACTTATACAAACCTAGATGATATAGCCTATTACACACCTAAACTATGTGGTATAACTTATTGTTCCTAGATTATACATCTGTACAACATGTTATTGTACTGAATACTGTAGGGAATTGTAACACAATGGTAGGTATTCATGTGTCTAAACAAACATACCTAAACATAGAAAAGAAGTAATGTGTTGCACTATGACAGTACAATGACTATAACATCATTAGATGATAGGAATTTTGCAGCTCCACTATAATCGTATGGGACCACCATGGTATATATATATATGGTCTATCATTGACCAAAACATTATTATACAGAGTATGACTGTACTTCTTGGCCATTTGTATGTCTTCTTTTGAGAAATGTCTATTCAGATTCTTTGCCCACTTTTTAATCAAATGATGTATGTATTTATTTTTCATTGATGAGTTGTTTGAGTTCCTTGTATATTCCAGATGTTAATCCCTTGTTGGGTGAATAGTTTGCAAACCCTTTCTCATAAGAAGAGAACATTCTTATGAAGACTGGGAGTCAGTGCTCAAATGGATCTGTACAAACAATCCTATTAAATAATTCTTATCTTCCATTAGTTCCCCAATACATTTCCTAGTCATTTTCCACAAATTACTACTCCTAGAAGGTTAAACCCCTTTCCCATTTTGTCACTTCTCCACAATTTAACATTTTTGTTTTAAAAGTATGTAAGCTTGCTATCCTAATTGTTTCTTTGGGTTTTCATTTTTGTCTATGAAGGCTTCAATGTGCATGTAAAAATAATAAATAAAAATTGTTTGCTAGTCTCAATAACACAGGAACAGAAAACAAAACACCCCATGTTCTCGCTTATAAGTGGGAGTTGAACAATGAGAACACATGGTCACAGGGAGGGGAACATCACACACCAGGGCCTGTCAGGGGTCGGGGGCAAGGAGGGGGAGAGCAATAGGACAAATACCTAATGCACGCGAGGCTTAAAACCTAGATAACAGGTTGATAGGTGAAGCAAACCGCCATGGCACATGTATACCTATGTAACAAACCTACACATTCTGCACATGTATCCTGGAACTTAAAGTAAATTTAAAAAAAAAAAAATAAAATAAATAATATTTTAAAAATTGTTTGCTATTCTCCTGTTAATCTATGTTTTTGTCACTTCAATTCATGAGCCTCAGCCACAGAACTTCAGGAAGTAGAGGAAGGTTACTTTTCTTTCCCTACAGTTCTGGCAATGAGATTGGGATATCATTGGCTGGGACACCCTGCGCACTCCAGAGGTTACCATTGAGATCTTGGGAGCACCCAGCAAAGTTAGCCAAAGGTAAACATTTTTACCACATCAACCTCCTAATCTCTGCCTGTAGCATCTGGTCAAATGAAAATGGCAAGAGACTATCCTTGTCTTTCCCTTTTCAAATTCAGATTAGCAGGAGAAACCATTTGTGTGAACGAGTTCTTTGGGTATAGATACTCATTATTTTTTGCATATGACCAATCAGAGTTTAATTTCTTTAAGCTACATTTTGCCACAAGCAAAGAGATGGCAAATCAGTTTACTGTTCATCATTTTATACAAGTAAAGAAGGTGAGATTAGGGTCTTGTACACTTTTTCTGGTCCATGTGCAGAGTAATGGTTCAACCAGCTCTGTGGTTCCCAGTAGATTTGTAATGGTTCACGTTCTCTTTATTCATCTTCATAGGCAGTTAGAAACAGATTCACATGAAGGTTATGAAATACAGTATGGTTACCATCTCCTCAAGGAAAAGATTTGGATCTAATGCAGAGATGGGGGTAAGGAATCAACTCAGGTCTCCTGTGCTCTCCACGATGCAACTTCAAGAAAACAATTATCATGCTCACTCCCACCCGAGGAAGCACAACAAAATAGGTGAGGGTCTTCCACATACTAGCTGAGCCCTCCTAGCCATAGATACCACTTGACGTGGCTGCTCCAATTTGGGATTGGACTGACCCCACAGCCGAGGAACCCAGAATGCAGCTGCCACTGCCATTTTCAACCTGGACTCCTTGTGATTTTTATTTGAAGTACTCTTGGTTTTAATTCGTCCTTTCTCTCCCAGAGATGGTCATTGTTTTCCTATGTCTCTGTCTTTTGTGTCATTTTTCATATGGAAGGGAATCACAGGGTAGCACACAGGCATATGTCCTATAGGCATGTTGTTAAAACTGGCTTTATAGACTGATGGGTTTACTGTCCTCATTGGGCTGGAGTTTGGACAAACTTTGCTGTGGGTCATCAATTTTTTAAAAAAGATGAGATTCTCCTTTCATCGCTTTTTATGTTCTGAGATCTCGGCTTGTAACCAGTGAGGATATGTTCTTTGATTTCTGTCAGCTGAGGGGTACAGGTTGTCAGGGATGCATCAAGTGGCTACCATAAGGCTAGGAACACTAGACATTGGAGGGTATGCTGAAAAATCAATTGGAAAAAAGCAGACTAATTGGAAAAAAAGGCATGCAAGTCTATTCAATGTGTATATACAGGAGCCTTCAGAATGAAGTCCCAAAGACAGAGGGGAAATTGTCTATTTTTACGCTTCAGTTCAGCAAAGTATGAAGAGCCATATGGAAATATGACTGGACAAAAAGGGTAGGATCTAATGCTAATAGCCTGAGGGAAAGAAATCCAGTCAGGCCTACCTGTCTAAATTCTTCTTGGCCTCTCTGTGCATGCATTCCTTCCTTCTAGGTATGGGACAGGAACCTCTCTGGAATGGGGGTCTTACGACCTACAGTCAAACAAGGTAGGTCACATAATTTCTTTATGGCCTGTTTTTATATAGAAAGGCAGAGGGAAAGTTAGAGTAATATTTTTAGGTTTTATGGCTGACTTTTGGAAAAAAGGGGTTCTGGTATCTATGACCTGCCCAGGGGAAAAGAAATTCTAGTTTTTATGGCTAGCCTTGGAGGCAAATGGGACTGAGAGGCAGGAGGGCAGAAGAAGGTCAGATAAAAACTTTTGCTTCTGAGGCCTTCATTATGGGGTATTACTTTCTAGGCCCCAACAACATGAAGTGTGCAAGCAGCATCCTCATTGTCCAACCTTGCCAGCTTTCAGGGGAGTTTGTTTTAATGAGGGGTCAGTATGGCAGACGCAGTTGAGAGTAGTGACTTAAGAACACCCTGACAATGACCCTGTGGTGTAAGAATCCAGGAGTGGCCAACCCAGAGTTTCACTCCTTAGCTACGAAGGACATCTGAACCCCTGACCCATCCCTTAGAATATAGGCCATACAGGGGATCGAGTCCCTTTGTTTTGGGTTAGATGGAGCTTGCTAGGTGGTGGGTGCTAAGTAAAAATGTTATCTAATCTGCATGCTTTTTACAAATGGGAGCAGTTCTCCCGTCCAGTTCTCCACGACCAGACCATCCTTGTATGTAAGTTCCCCCAGTAAATCCTATGTCTCATTTGCTCTCAAGGTCCCAGTCTATAAGGAGTCTTTGTTTTCTCTACCCTTGTTGCTTTGCCAGTGCTGGGAAGTCCCATCCAGTTTCACCTGTCCAATATCACAGATTAGAGAGTCTGTAATTGGGTGCATCTCACTTGTGTATGACACCAGAGACATTAATTTTCACAATCATTATTCTTACAATGTTTGTGAAATGAGAGTCTTTTCATGTGTGACAATGAGAGTCTTTGCTTTCTTAGGATATTTTTGGGAGTGGCTTTTTGGATCATGGGAGCTGCATCTTCTGCACCTCTTTGGCGATACCTCTTGAACTCATGATAAAAATGTATTCTAAGCCTGGAAAGTTACCTCCAGGTTTTTTCATGAAAAGATTTATTGGATTGAGTTACTGTTAGAATGGATATATGCTTGGAGATCCTACTTACAATGGCCAAATGATGAATCCATGGATTTGGAAAAACTTTTATATTTGAAAAGATTTTTAGAGAACTCTCATCCTGAACAAATGGCTTTTTGGTACCTATGGGGAGATGAAATTGGAAGTAGGACAAAAAAAGAGCATTTTGGCTAGGCTTAGGGATTCCCTCAAGATTAAGAATAGAAATCAGACTTATAACAAAAGTTAAAAATCCACATCTACTGTACATGTCCCTTTCCCCTTTACTCTCAATTCCAAACTATCCCTGACCTTCCAGAAGATATTTTGAATCTCCAGACCCTGACTTACGTTTCTCTCCCTGAAATCCAGCCCAGCCTCCTAAGCAAATTCCTTTAATCCCTGAAGCTCCTCTGACTCCTCAAAAAAAAAAAAAAAAAAAATCCCTAAACACCCAGCTTCCTTCTTTAAATTCTTTTTCCCTGCAAGAATGGCAGAAAGCACTCTGGCCTAATCTCCAGGCCAAGGAATACAAGTTACTTATGTAAATGCTGATAGTCAGAAAATAACTTTGTCAGAGGCCCCAGGGATACACAGCAGGGCTCATTTCAATGTCCCTTATAATTCCATCTACTTTCTTGGTCGATATAATCAGACCCCATCAGCTGCAAGTCTTCCCATGAAATTCCTTTTGTGGATGTATCCTTAATACCCACAACAAAGAATTCATGTCCTCTGGACAACAGCAGATCTTTTAAAATAAAAAAGCCCTTTTACACCCCACCCCACCCCCAAAACACACACCTTTCAGAAGATCCTATTAAACTTAGAGAGAAGTTAGAAAAGTTAGTGACAATATACAACTCCCCTCATAGTGATTTTGATTGGCTCTTCCTACCCAGGGTGATACTGTAGTTACCAGACAAGCCAGACAACCCCCTAGGAACAACTACCTCTCCCAGGTAACAAACACACATAAAGAAAACAGGTAGCCAGAACTTCTCCCAGGCCTTCCTGCAAATGACCAGGAAATGACTCAGCTGGCAGCTGATATTTAGGGCCTCATAAAAGTGATAGTAGAGACCTTTCCTACCAAGGTGAATTGGTCTAAGGTTGAAAAGTACACTCAGAAAGAAGGGGATGCCAAGGTTTTTGTGGAATGCTGTATACAGACTTTCCAAAGGCATGCTGCATTAACCTCAAAGCCCCAGAATATAAAAATCTTATTATTTCCACCTTTATTGGAAATCCTGTCTAGAATACGGAAGCAAATCCAAAGTAGCTTTTTTGTCTGGGCAGGACAGTCTCTTCAACATTATGATTGAAGCTTCTACCCAATTCTTTGAAAAAAGGCTCGCAGGAAAACAGGAGGGGGAAAAATTAACATCAATTGTCCTTGCTTTGCAAATTTAGTCTTTATAAAAACACACCTATGACTCTAGGGTTAATTCAAATCCCACCCATTTCTCTTACCAACCACAAAGCCTCCCCTATTCATTTCAAGATGTTTGCAGTCACTATATACAAACCTAGACATTGAAAAAAACAATTGTCCTGCACTTGAAAGAAAGGAAAGCTTAAACAATCTCTCCAGACCCCAACTTCCTCAGAGGACCCATTTTCCTCTTTGTGAGAGAGGAAGTATATCCTCCATCCTTAAAATAGAAGATCAAGAACTGGATTTTTCAGTTGACACTGATGTGACTTTCTCTACTTCTGGCTCAAAGTATTCATCTCTATCATCTCTAATTCTATTCAGCTGTTGGAATTCCAGGGAAGCCTGTTTCGTCGCCTACATCTTAGGCCACCCCAATATTTGTGGGCCCTCTTAACATCCATCATGCCTTTCTAGTTTCTGACTTCTTACTGGCAAACCTTTTAGGCAGAGGTTTGTTATGTAAATTTAATGCCACCATAGAGTATAATTATAAAGATGTTTTTTATTTTCCTACCTTCAGACCAAACCTCAAGCTTCCTACCTTCCCTAATGGAAACCCATATCAATCTAAAATCTTCTGAAGAGGATGCAGTCTTAAAAGACATCCCAATTAGTATCTGGGCCTCACATATAAATGAGATTGGATAGCTACTGAGTGCACAGTCAATGGGCGTTACCTGGAAAAGTAATTAGCCTTTCCTGTAAGTAGCGCAGTACTCTCAAGATGAAAAATAAGGAATTGAACCTACAATAAACTATTTTATAGCAGGGTTTTTTTATACCTTCTTACCCTGCAATACCCTAATCTTGCCAATAATAAAAGTAAAATTTGATTTAGATGGGAATCAAATCCATAGATCTGTACAAGGTCTAAGAGCCATGAACTCTTACAATGCGCCGTCACCCCATAATTCCTAATCCAGCCACTATTCTGACCTCAATTCCTGCTGATGCAGTCTGGTTTATAGTAATTAACCTCTGGTCAGCTTTCTTTTTAATTCCATTACTCTGGGACTCAAAATTTATCTTTGCATTTATGTTTAGAGGAAGACAATCAACATAGATGCATACCTCATAGATATTATGCGTTCCCTTCAATATTTTTCTAAGTCTGTAAAACCAATTTCGACCCTGTAGCTTTTACTCAAGGCTTCACTCTTGTTCAATACATTAATAACCTCTTTCTTTATAACCAAACTAAACAGGGTGCTCTTATAGACTCCCTCGTTCTCCTAAAAGAACTAGCTGAATGAGGCCTTAAATCCTTCATATCTAAACATCAGTGGATGCAAACGACTGTTACCTGCTAAGAACATGAGATATCTCAGGGCACTAAAAACAGCACAAAATGCTTTGAATCAGCCTTGCCCATCTTTCTCCCAAAACCAAAAAGCAGCTGCATAAATTCCTAGGGACAGCTAGCTATTGTCATCAATGAGTTCCTACTTTTGCTGCCCATGCTAAATCGCTATAGATGCCCTCCTTCCGATGCTACTTCAGAGTTCATTTCCTAGCTCTTGGAGCCATTGAACTCCTGCAAAGCCTTAAAATGAGCACTTCTCACATAGCCAGCTCTTGGCTTACCCAACTTTGGCAAACCTTTTCACCTATATTGCCATGAAAAGAATAGGATTGTTTTGGGTATTCAAAACAACCTCTTGCCTCTTGGATATGAGGACTAAGCTCTGATTTTTTATCTTACCCAAATTCCTACCTAAGAGGTCTAGGGAGTCATGCCCTACAAACAATAAATTCTCATCAGATGGGTTTTATTGGACCCTACATATTGTGGCTTACTTTTCAATCTGACTGGCATAATATTATGAGACAAGGAAAAAAATATTTAACCCCAAGATCTATTTCCTTGCCATACCTTAAAATTGCCCTGCAGTGTCTCATGGGAAGAATCCACATCCTATAGAGAATCCCCTTCCCCTTTGTTTTCTTTCCTTCCTTCCCAGATCCAGAAGATAATCAACTAAGAGCCAGGCACACTTTTAAGTCCTATAAAAAAACTATTTACAACCTGGTCTCTCTAAAATCTCCTATCTAAGAGCTTCCTCTGCACAATAAAACTTGGTCTCCATAATCCTTTATCTTTAACCTGAACATTCCTTTCTATCGATCCCAGGTCTTCAGACAACCTCAACCAATTGTCAGCCAGAAAATCTTTAAACTTATCTATAAGCTAGAAGCCCCCACTCTGAGTTGTCCCGCCTTTCTAAACCAAACCAATGTATTTCTTAAACGTATTTGACTAATGTCTCATGCCTTCCTAAAACACATAAAACCAAACTGTACCCCGACCACCTTGGACACATGTTCTCAGGACCTCCTAAGGGCTGTGTCACGGGGCCATAATCACTCATATTTGGCTCAGAATAATTCTCTTCAAATATTTTACAGAGTTTGACTCTTTTCATCAACAGGTATGTCCTATACTATATTTCTGGTAAACCAAAAAGTATCAGAGACAGGTCTCAATCAATTTAGAAGTTTATTTTGCCAAAGTTAAGGATAAGCCCAGAACAAATAAACATGGAGTCACAGAAACAGTCTGTGGTCCGTGCCTTTTTCTAAAAATGAATTTGAGGGCCTCGGTATTTAAAGGGGAAAAGCAGGCCGGCGGGGAAAGAAGGAGGGTATGATAATCCACATGTTGCAAGGGAAAAGAAGTAGGTAGGGGAATAGTCAATTATGTATTCATCCAGTGCTCAGTAAATCTGCACTTTACATAAGATAAGGTGAACACAGAGTAACTACCTGTGGAGTTAACATTTTATCTCTAGCTATCTGCTTAGGAACAAGAGAAAAGGCAGTTTCTTGCACAACTCACATTTCAGCTTAATTTTTTTTTCCTTTTGGCATGATGAATTGGGGTTCTGAGTTTTTATTTTCCTTTCACATTCTCAAGTCAATTAGACCCTATGGCATCAGGCATGTCCCCATTCCTGTATGAAGTAGTCACAGCTGGTGCCTTAATTGGCAAATTCAGTATTCTTACATTAGGTTCCCTCCTTTACCTCCACGTTCCCCATTCTCCCATTCTGTGTCCATTCTCTTATGACTTAATAAGACACAGCACCTCGCAACACAGTAGCAGACCACCTATACACAGGTCTTATTAACCAATCCCTCCATTGTAATGCCTTTTTTTTTTTTTTTGTGACAGAGTCTCACTCTGTCACCCAGGATGGAGTGTAGTGGCATGATCTCGGCTCACTAAAACCGCCATCTGCCAGGTTCATGCAACACCATGATAGTGGTAAAGAAATTAACGACTGAGGTTATTCCTCATTTTGGCATTTCTTTATAGATTGAATCAGACCAAGGAACTCATTTTTTAGTAGAAATAAACCACTCACTCACAAAATCTCTGGATTACTCATTAAAACTTCTTACTTCATACCATCCTCAATCATCAGGTCAAGTGGAACATAAAAATCTAGACATAAAAAGAACTTATAGGAAAAAATCCATCAAGCCAACTCTTTCAACCAGGAGATCAGGTATACATCAAGATTTTTAGAAAAAGCTTGTACTGTTACCTTGCTAGGAAGGACCTTATGAGGTGCTGCTAACCACCTACACTGCTATCATACTTTCTGAATTTATGTGAGCCACATCAAGGTGGAGCCAGTCATCACTCTCAGGACAACTGGAAGACCATCCCTACAGGTGACCTCATAGTAAGGATTTCAGAGCCAAGGCTCTAGAAGCAAGATGACACCACAAAGCAAACAGCTTTCCTCAAGATCACAGATAAAAAACTTTGCTTTCATCTATTTTCCCCCTTTAAGTTTCTTTCCTCCCTGGTGTGGGGAGGGGAGTAGAGGGGGGATCTTTTTCAACAAAACCTCCCATTTATTGAGAAGCTGACTGGAGATTACTTGTCTCAATCTATCCTATTCTCTCTCTGATCCTCCACTGTGGGCTTTCTTTCAAATGCTGCCTCTTTCATATTAACCTCACTCTTTTCTTCATAGGTTAAACACAAACCTGACACCACCCTTGCACCAGTTTCCCAAACCTTGGTCATGTCAGCTAAACAATATAATTATTGCTTATGTCAACATCTGATAGCATGAACAAACCTGAATTAGTTTTTATTCCTGTCCATGGGGTACCAGGTGGACCAACTATGGAAGATAAATGAATGAAAGAGTATGGTATCCATGGTCAGAAAAACAATGTCACTCTACTTTTCCTTCTGGTGAGTTCACTGGGCAAGGAAAAACCTCTATGTAAGCTCAAGAATTGTCCCTTGCTCAAATAAAGACATTGGAAGAAAAAGACTTTTCCAATTAAAAACAAATATGGTACTGATCTCTTCCCAAGTAACAATCCAAGACAATATTGCAATCAAACCCTGTAGTTTGACTCCATACACCACATCCTCAAACCCATCATGGAGGTCATAATGAGGCAGGAGAATAGGGTTGGGAGACAGGGAGCCTGAGGACAAATTGGCTGACTTCTTGGAATTGGACCAAAAGGAAAACCCCACCTCTCCATGCCCAGGTGAAAAGGGACCAGAGTTCCTGACCTCTACAAAACCCTCCTCCCCTACCTCACGAACGAGAAATGCCTCTGACTGGTTGTGGCCCAAGCCTCCACTTCAGCCTCTGATTGGTTGCAGGCCAACCTCCACTTCAGCTTCTGATTGGTCACAGGCCAAGCCTCCACTTCAGCCTCTGATTGGTCTCAAACCAAGCCTCCACTTCAGTGTCTGATTGGTCACAGGTCAATCCTTCATTTGCGTAGGGTGTAACCAATTGGAGGTCTCTAAAGGGTACCTAGGGGTGTTAACCAAATTCTTTTAGTTTAATTTAAAACCCTGAAGAACATTGCAGTCAGGCTCTTGAGCCACTTGCTCAAGCTTGCTCCTACTCTGTGGAGGCTACTTTCACTTCAATAAATCTGTGCTTTTGTTGCTTCGTTCTTTTGTTGCTTTGTTTGTGCGTTTTGTTCAATTCTTTGTTCAACACTCCAAGAACCTGGAAAACTCACAGTCAGGACTTTCTATCCGGTGACAATAAGTGATTCTAGAACTACCTTTTATAGCACAAACTTTTGCCAAATCACCAAATGTGTTGGCTGGTTCATAGGCCACTCTTGCACAACCTGGGTGGGATAGCTCGGCTGCTCTCCTGATTAGGCTCCTTAGCACCAGAAATTGTATATAAATAGATCAAAAATCTGGATTAACTTGGTCAGGTGACAAAATCAAGCCTTTTAGCTGCCAAAGCCAGATTGCAGTTCTCCTATGTCAAATGTTTCACAACATTTTCTGCTTCTACAAACTGACAGAGGCACGTGAAAATGAAGGTGTGGAGACATCAATATGACCAATAACAAAAGTTGTGGAACACACTAGATCTTGGGAATTACAGGTTCCACTTTTTGTTCATGAACAACACTGGTCATTCTATCTTGTGTGGTTGATGAAAATGCTGCCTCTTTGTGAATCAGTTGGGACAAACGTTATCTGATTTATACCTTTGAACAAAAAAGATTAATATTCTCCATAAGATAATGAGGCTCAACCATTTGATTAGACTGACCTATTCCCAGAGTTGGGAGATTGGTTTAATGGGATATGGAGAAATGTGCTTAGATTTGCACTTTTCTGCTTATTTATTCTCATTCTGATCTACATATTCTTCTTTTGAAGATCTATCACTCAGCTGCTAAACTGATTCTTCTCTCCACAGCCACTAATTCAGATTTTATTATGAGAAACTTATGGTAAAGTTTCAGATGGGGGAAATGAAGGAATTCAAAATATGCTACCCCAAAATATGCTACTTTGGCATGTTGATTATTTTTATTATTTTACTTTATTTTTTGAGACAGAGTCTTACTTTATTGCGCAGGCTGGAGTGCAGTGGTGCAATCTTGGCTCACCACAACCTCCACGTCCTGGATTCAAGCGATTCTCCTGCCTCAAGCTCCCAGGTAGCTGGGATTACAGGCAGGCACCACTGGACCCAGCTAAATTTTGTATTCTTAGTAGAGACGGGGTTTCGCCATGTTGGCCAGGCTTGTCTTGAACTCCTGACCTCAGGTGATCCACCCGCCTAGGCCTCCCAAAGTGCTGGGATTACAGGCGTGAGCCACTGTGCCCAGCCCAGCATGTTGATTATTTTAGGCTGAAGGTGATTGAGCAACAGCAGAGGCAGGAAGGACTCTCTGACTTTCCTCTTTCTGCCTCAGGTATGACATAAAATTTTCCATGTGAAAGAGGCTCTCCCTGTTTTAGGAAGAGAACATTCTTATCACTGGAGACTGGGGGTCAATACTGAAATGGATCGGTACAAACAAAACTACTAAAATCTTCCTTATCTTCCATTAGATTTCCCTGTGTATTTTCTAGTCACTTTCCCACAAATTACTGCCTCTAGAAGCTTAAACTCTTTTCCTTTGTTTTATCATTTCCCCACAATTTAGCTTTCTTTGTTTAAAACGTATATAAGCCCTTGGCCTGAGTTGCTTCTTTGGCTTTTCATTTTTCTTATAAAGGCTTCAATGTGCAGTAAAAATATTAAATATAATGTATATGCTTTTATTTTCTTAATCTGTCTTTTGTCAGCTCAATTCATGGGCCCCAGCCCCAGAACTTAGAGAGTAATTTGTTGTCTTTATACCTGGCAAAAAGAAGGTATTCCATAAATGTAAGTTGTTCCTGTTATTATTATTAATAATATTGTCCCTTGCGACCATCCACTCCCGTATGAAAGGCAGTAAAAATTATCAAAAAAGAAGGGCCACGCCCAGGACCATTTAATGATTCACAGAACTGCTAACATTAAAACTTTCCCAAGAAGTTAAGAGACAAAAAGTAACCAAAATATGCGAGCTATGAAGGAATTGTTCTGGTGGAAATGAAGCACTCATCAAATTTATACTGCAGTGGAGTCAGATCTGATGATGGTGCTGTGCCTCAGTGATGGTGAGTATCACTACATATGTGCTTCTGAGAAGGAACCTACTCAAGAAAGTCTTCATGGATCTTGATTCTATCAGCATGTCAGACTGACTCAAGCCTTAGTGTACATTGCATTATTTTGACTACCTCTTTGCAACTTTGTGAAGGAGTCAACTAAACATACACTCCATTCAAACTCAGACGTCAAGCTTTCTTCCCTCAACCCAGTTGAAATATTTTTCTGACTTATAAAGTGTGACTTACCTGGAAAGTTTTCAGTCTTTTAAATTGAATTAATGGAATAAGTACATAACATTTAAATAAGTGACATTCAAAACAAATAGTGGCAAAACACATTATTAATATAGAATCCAGATATTTTTGCAGTTTTTGGTAGTTATACATTAGTCTGACCAAACAGGCTGATTGTACTTTCATTGCACAAAAGGGGAGGAAGAACAGTTACCAAAAATCAAACAAGCAATAATTAACAAGATTACTTCTCAGTACCAAACTCAAACCAACTTACTTTAGCTATTAACATGTTTGTTACGTCAACAAGTTACGAGCAACATTAATAACCAATATTGCTTTTATTGCTATTATTAAATAATACATCTAGCATATAACGCATATCATAAATGTATGGCACATGTCCTCCAAAAAGAAAATTAACTGCAACTTCAGCTTTTTAATGACATTATAAAGATGTATTAATATTTGTACTTCTCTCTGCCCCCCTACACCATCCCATGATAACCTAAGCATATTAACACTTATGAATGAGAAGACCAGGTAATTGTGTTTGCCTCCTCACCAAGAACAGAGGAAAATAGGAGTGCTCTATGATTCTCACCTGAGACAAGAGAAACAGGAACTCAATGCTAAAGCAACAGGTGACTGAGCATCTGGGTAGTTGATGACAAGGTAGGAGTGTCCCTGAGACTCATCAACTAGGAAAAGGCACAGGAAAAGAAGGAACTTTGAGGGAAATCAGCTATAAATGATACCCAATAAGGCCAGGCATGGTGGTGGCTCACACCTGTAATCCCAGCACTTTGGGAGGCTGAGGCAGGAGGATCACTTGAGGTCAGTAGTTCGAGACCAGCTTGGCCAACATTGTGAAACCCCATGTAAGAACTTAGAAGTTCTTACAAATACAAAAATTAGACAGTCATGGTGGCACATGCCTGTAATCTCAGCTATTCAGGAAGCTGAGGCAGGAGAATCTCTTGAACCAGGGAGGTGGAGGTTGCAGTGAGGTGAGATCTCACCACTGTGCTCCAGCCTGGGCAACAGTGCAAGACTCTGTCTTAAAAAACAAATGAACAAACGAAAAGAACCTAAGAATATTTATTAGGATTGGGGGCTGTTCCACTTCAGAATTTTTGAAGAGTTTGGACCAAACATGAGGTTGGGAGATGGAGACAAGTTCTTTATAAAATCTACCCTTTTGCTTAAAAACAAAACAAAAGAACCAGAGCAAATAGCAAAATAACTTTAGAGGGTTAAACAGAAACTTCAAAAGGCACATACTCAGTTGTAAAGATAATTATAGAGCAGTGAGTCTCCCAAGGTTGCATGTAATTAGTACTTTAGCTACTTAATGACTGTTTATGGCTGACAAAAAATATTGTTGTTATTCACTTGTGTGTGGCTTATTTGCTCTTAACATGCAACAGCTACAATTTCAAAAACTTAAGCTGCAAGTAATATTTATTGATGGCCTAAACTGTTTTAACCAAACATGTGATATTTGTTATAATTTTAAATGTTAAAATCAAAACAGCAAGACTTTCATTAAAATTTCATTGAGACAGGTTAACATTAAAGCAATTTCTACCAAATCTCTAAAATCAGCCAATCAACAACTGATTTTGAAGTGATCTACCAATTTTCCATAGAATTAAGCAATTAATTATTGCATTTAAACATTGCAGCAACACTCTGGGGTAAGAATTATCATACTCATTTGTGAAATGAGAAAATAAGCATTAGAAAAAATTTGATAACTTGCCCACCAGTCCAAAGCTACAAAACCCAGTTCTAGCTAATTCTAAGGTTGCTCTTTACCCTGTCCTCTAGTGGACAAATTACCATCTTATAAAGATAAAAATATTAAGCAAACACAGACATTTTCTAGAGAAGGGAGAAAATATTTTAATTGTCTGATACAGTACGCAGATAATGGAAATCTTTCTGCTTGTATAATTAACCATCATATTTTGCTGATAGAATCAACCTCACTTTTTCAAAAAAGGAATTAAAGCTCACAGTCTAAATATCTTCAAAGTTAAACATTCAGTTAGATCCCAGTGTAGTACTGTTTTCTCAAAACCAGTGATTGAGATAACTTTAACAAAATGGTTGCCTCATTTCTTAATTTTTTTCACTCAACCATTGTTTTTTGTTCATTTACTCCAAATAATTAGAGGTGTCAGTCTGGCAATTATGTTTCATGTTTTGACTTAATTTACTCAATTTTGATCAGGAAAATGTAAGTGCTGTATTCATATTTACTAACTTCTCACATCATGGGATGGAAGAACTTAGAAGTCCTTTAAACTAAGAAACAAACGTTTTACCTAAGTTAAAGCTGAATTTGAATTATTTATGAGATCTTTTATCACCTGGTTATAGTACTTTCTAACCTGGCCAAGTGATTAACTGAAGGCCAGACTTGTTATAAAACTTCCTCAGAAAAACACAATGAAGAGTGGGTGACGTCTGCCTCCACTCATACTGGCCTACAAATTGTGATATAAAGCACAAATGAGGGGGCCGGGCTAGGTGGCTCACACCTGTAATCCCAGCACTTTGGGAGGCCAAGGTGGGTGGATCACAAGGTCAGGAGTTTGAGACCAGCCTGGCCAACATGGTGAAACCCTGTCTCTACTGAAAATACAAAAAATTAGCCGGGCGTGGTGGTGCATGCCTGTAGTCCCAGCTACTCAGGAGGTTGAGGCAGGAGAATCGCTTGTACCCTGGAGGCAGAGGTTGGGGAGATCACACCATTGTCCAGCCTGGGTGACAGAGCAAGACTCCATCTCAAAAAGCAAGACTCCGTCTCAAAAAAAAAAAAAAAAAAAAAGCACAAATGAGTAACCAGGACAAAGGGCACTAGCTTTGATCTAGTTGGAGTCCTAAATCTAAAGAGAGAGTTGAATAGTCACCACCATTTTTACTTTTCTTTCTTTCCTTCACTCTCTTATTTTTCTCCCTCTCACTCTACATATATCAACACATTTAATTCTAATACTACTCCATCAGGTAGGCACACCTATTATCCCCATTTAACAGATACCACTCAACTTTATACCCCCAGACCAAGCAAGTTTCAGTCTCATCCCTTGGATTCAGATTTCAGAGCCATATCTACTCCATTGGCAAAGCCCTAGAGGGCGTTAGTTCAGCGGTTCAGATGAGGAAAATAAACCAGTGGGGGTGAGGCCACGTGAGTTCTTCAGTTCAAGAAATGTGTTCCATCGAAATGCTGGCTTGAGAGATGTTTCTGGCCATCTTCAAAGAGATAAAGTTTCAGAATCTGAGGGAGAGAAAATTCTAGAAAGTGCCACAAGGGGTGTGGCTGGAACCAAGGACTCAAACCGTAGGTTTGGCTAAAACCAATCTGTGCCCAGGACCCTCGGTCTCCTGTGGCGTCGCCGTCCACAGTCAAGGGCAGCCCTGGCCGCCCCTGAGCAATGGAAAACGGTGTTACCAGAAGGAACGGAGGTTGGTTGTTACCCACCTCAACTCTGCCCCCTTCTATATTCCCAATGGCAACACTGGGGAATATCCATTATTTTTATCATATGTCTATTTAAATCTGCTGGTACCTCCATTGCCTCCCTTCCTCATCCGGCAATAATAATGCCGTGGACTTCCCATCGTCCCTCGTGCGCCTGCGCCGCAGGGTTTGCTGCAACCTGCTGCTTCTCAGTGCTCGGACTGTTCTGATGCCTTCAGTTCTCCTCTGTGTTTTCACTTCTCTGCTTTTTTGCTTCTCTGTAGTACACTTGCAAGTACTCGGCCTGCTTTGATTTTGATTCTGGTTTCGCCTCTGTACTTAAGAATCTTAATTTTAGGAATCTTCTTGACTATAATCTCTACAACCCACGTAAGACTCCTCACTCTATAGCCAAGGTCTAGCATCCATCCATTAAATTAAGTTAATTAATTAAATTACTTGTTAGCAATTAATTACATTCTACCAAATTATTCGATCTTTCCTGGCCCAAAACCGCAGTTAAAATGTACTTCTCTCTTGCTCCAGTTCCTTAGCTAATTTACTTCTATGCAGATTGTCATGCTGTAATAGCTTATATTACATATTTATACTTACATAAGCATATAAATATATTTATATTATATATTACCATAATCATGTTAATGCATTTTAATAGACTGTCTCTATATTTTCACTGATTGCCTAAGTGAGAATGTCAGATATTACAGAAGGATATTGAGGAAATGTTCTAGGGTCATGGAGCATCTCAACTTATGCCATAGGTGCCAACTACTTAATTTATTGATGTGGCAATTTAACAAATGTTAATGGAGAATTAATTCCATGCCAAACCCTGGGCATAAAGGATACTGTAATAAGCCACATGGAGCCAGTCCTGTTCTCATGGAGCCTGCGTTCTAGTGGGAGGAAACAGACAAACAAGTAATAAACAATTTCAGGGCGACAGCTGATATTGCAGAATTTTTTTTAATGACAGAGAAAGCAATCAGGGTTGAAAAGGTATATAAGGTCCATTTTATAGTGTAATAGATGATGCTGACTCTTAAAGAGATTGCATCCAGTTAGCACTTCCTTCAAAAATTGAGTACTTACTTTCTTACACTCAAGCAAACACTGTATTGCAATACTTTGTAAAGTCTTTGTCAACCAGAGTAATGTAAAAATGGTATCTCATTGTCATTTTAATCATAATTGATTTTCAGAAAATTTGAGTCATTCATATTGTCTTTGCTGATTTTCGGTCATTTTGAATTGGTTGCTTAAGAGCTCTTTATGTAACAGAAGAAATTATACTTTGTTACAGGTTCCAAATATGTTTTTCTAGTTTGTATTTGGATTTGCCCATGATACCATTTTCACGCAAAAGGTAACCTCCTTTATTTTTTATATACAATTTGTTTCTAAATATTTGGAGAGTAAATTGGACTTAGGTCAGTTTCCCCAAGAGCAGATCCTTCGATGAGATTTCATGTGCAAATGATTTATTAAGAAAGTTTTCTCAGGAAAAAATTCAAGAGAATGAGAAAAGTAGGACAGAGAAGGAGATGAAGCCAAGAAAGTGTGTAATTTTATGTAAAGGCCTTTAGAGGGCAGCTTTAACTTCATCATTCAGGGGATCCAATTAAGGACTGCAAGAGGCAAAACCACACTGAATGGGAGGGAGGGAGAAAGGGAAGCACCCTGAACCTGGGGAAAGGAATTTACAACAAACAATAAAAGAGGACTTCGGGGATCTGCCTGGGCACTAAAGTGTCCCTTAACAAGGGGTGGGGCAAGGGTCAATGAAAGGAAAGAATAGGGAAGTTCAAACTCAGCATTTGATTTTAATGTGGAAATCTCTTCTTACTTGTTTGTGCTTAATTATTAAACTACGTAGCAGAAGGAATCCACCCAGTCAGGAAAATTTAGTCCACCCTAACCTAGTCACTCATGATTAGTCAAGTATAATTGTTTCCTTCTCTCCCTCAACTCTTTCTGGATATTCATAGTCAGGTCTGAGGGTACCAAAGTAATTGAGAAAGTCAGTTTTCAGTAAGTTGAAGGCCAAGTCAGTAACTATAGATGTAGATCTTGGGGGCCTATGAAAAGAGGTAACAGATTGAAAAGAGAACACTTGGTTTTGGTTAAGGAACACAGAATTTAGTCTTGCACTATTAATAATAAAGGACATCCTTGCCCTATTTCTGGTGTAACTAGAAAATAATCCCTGATACTGACTCTTTAGCATCTCAGAGTATTACCTTCTTGGAGAATACATAGGTTCCACTAAATACATTTTTAATTTTATTTCTTTCTTAATCTTCTTGTGAAGTAAAATTTTTATCTTCTAAGGTAAATATCAAGCTGAAAAAATCAATTCAATACATGTTTTCTAACACTTGAAGAGACAGTTTGCACAGTCTGTGGGTTTCTAAAATCTTCCATGAAGGGTACATGGAGCTTATCCGGTCTGGTACTAGGGCAACTAGAAACAGTAATTGCTATGGCACTGTGGCTTCTATCAGCAGCATAAACACATCAGGTTACCAATGTCCAATGACGAAGGGTCATTTAGTATGAAAGGTAGCTTAGCTCAGTGACTTTTGGGTTGATGTTTTTCTTAACTGAAGTTTATGTATGTTCATGTGACTTTCATTGGACCTTCTCATGGAGAAGTTTTAAGCAATGACTTGGTAAATGCCAGTATCTTTCTAAGATAGTGTAGTCACATTGAAATTGTTATCCCCTGGGTTTGAAAAACGTAAGTCAAACGTAAGTCATATGGCTGAACTATTCACATCAGTTGGAGATTACCACCAAATGTTCCCTGACATCATATTTGTCAGACACTTTTAAAAGTCCATGCCAAGTCTATATTACTTTCTGATAAATCACAACTTAGTAAATAATATACTTGTGCCTGGCACCAGAAAGCAAAAAAAATTTTGTGGTCACTAGTTCTAGTTCACCACTGCTTATCACTTCATTTGAATTCAACAAATATTTAGAGAACACTAGATAGGAACATATTGGCAGGAGAATGGCATAACTGATTATATAATTATATGCAAAAATGTTATTATGAAACAGATATTGGTAGACTGATGTTCTAACATTTGAATTGTCAGAAGGTAATATTCTAAGACTATATATTTCTATGTGTAATTGTCATGGGACTGTTTTATCTTTTCTTTCAGGGATGTCAAATATATTAAAAAACCAAAATGAACTATCACATCATATCTGATTATCTAACTTTAATAATAAAAATACAATCATGTAAAACTTCACATGAAAACAACATGACCTACCATGGATTTTCCCTTCCATTTCTTTTCTTTTTTTCTTTTTTTTTTTTTTTTTTTGAGACAGAATCTCGCTCTGTCACCCAAGCTGGAGTGCAGTGGCACAATCTAGGCTCACTGCAACCTCTGCCTCCAGGGTTCAAGTGATTCTCCTGCCTCAGCCTCCTGAGTAGCTGGGATTACAGGCATGCACCACCACGCCGGCTAATTTTTGTATTTTTATTAGAGACGGGGTTTCACCATGTTGGTCAGGCTGGTCTCGAACTCCTGACCTCGTGATCCGCCCACCTCAGCCTCCCAAAATGCTGGGATTACAGGCGTGAGCCACTGCACCCAGCCCATTCCCTTCCATTTCCTATAAATCAGTTCCTAAACTTACATTTAAAAAAATTAATCACCCTTTCACCTCTGCTCACATTGTATTTCACTCATACTTCTTTTATAGAACTTGTCATAATACTCTACTTTGAATTACCTGCCTTTTTACATGATGATAGAATCCTTTAGAGAAGAAATCTTATTAATCATTGCAACCTTCACAGTACCAAATATATTCCACATACACAGTCAATTCTTCACAATGTTTGTTGAATTAAACTGATTGGTCTTCTATTCATTAAACAAATATTTATTAGAGCGTTGGTTAAGTGCAACTCTTTGGGCAGGAGACAAACAAGATGAATGACATTCTTCTCACGCTTGAGTATTGTTGGGTTGTTAGAACACATATAAAAAATAACTATGGAACAAGACAAAATTTGATTTTTAAATAAAACTATAAATTAAAATTAAGCAATATGCTAAATAAATCCCCAGATTGGGGGCTGAGGCAAGAGGATCACTTGAGCCACAGGTTCGAGACCAGCCTAGGCAACATAGTGAGACCTCAACTCTAGTAAAAAATTAGCTAGTCATGGTGGTGGTGCACACCGGTATTCCCAGCTACTTGGGAGGCTGAGGAGGGAGGCTTGCTTGTGCCAGGGAGTTTGAGGCTGCAGTAAGCCGAGACTGCACCATTGCACTTCAGCCTGGACAACAGAGCTAGACCTTGTCTTAAAAAAAATAAAAAACAGTAATTTTAAAAGGCTAGACATCAAAAATCAAGGTGTCAACAGAACCACAATCCTTGCGGAGGCTCTAGGGGAGAATCTGTTCTTTGTTTCTTCCAGTTTCTGGTGCCATCAGCACTCTGGCTTGTGGTGGCTGCAGCTTCCTCTGCTCTGTTTTCATATCTCCTCTTATCTATGTGTCCCTAAACTCCCTCTGACTTTCTTTCCCAAGGATACATGTGATTTCATTCAGGGTCCTCCCAGATAATCAGGAAAAACCCTTCATCTCAAGAAACTTAATCACATCTTTTGCCATACAATAATACTAATGGGCTGCAGGAATTAGGGTGCAAGCATTTCCTTCTTGGGCCTACCATTCACCCCACTATACAAAACAACAAAGACACCCATCTTATAGATTATTTACTATGTCACGTGGCTAATTAATTGTGGAATTTAGCATTGAGCTCAAATCCTGGTTTCATCTTTCATCACTATAGGGTGTATCATAACAGGAAACAAAGATGAGAAAAAAAACAGGTAAGGCACAAAAAGAGAATAGAGGAGAAATAAGGATGTGAAAAACAAAATTAAGTTGCAGACTTGAGATTCTGGACAGTAAGCAGAAAAAAATATTGCTGTGGAAAATGTCAACAAGTGAGCCCAAGGACAATTGGCAATTAATTTTTCTTTGTCACCACACCTCCAAGTGGCTTAGTGCTCCAGGCCTGGAACTGTCTACAGTTGAAATAATTCCACTTACTTACAATAATTGGTACAGTGCCTTGCAAATATTGTTTCATCATTGGAAGGCACCATAGTTATGGGCCCTCTGACATTTTTTTAAGCTTAAGTTCTATAAGGCCTTGTTGATTTGGTATTTTATAAACCTTGCAAATAGTTAAACCTTGCCAGATGACTAACACTCCCAGGTAAATGGTAAACAATATGGCTCTCATTTTTTCTACTTCTTGTCCGACATTGTCCTATTGAGAAAGACCACTGTCTTTAGGCCAGCTCCTCACAACCTTGCTGCACTTTAGAGTCGTCTGGGGGAGTTTGTTTATTTCTTAATTTATTTTGAGACAGGGTCTTGCTCTGTTGCTCAGGCTGGAGTGCAGTGGCACAAAGAAGGCTCATGGAGGCCTCAACTTCCTGGGCTCAAAGGATCCTCCCACCTCAGCCTCCCAGGTAGCTGGGACCATGGGTGCGTGCCATCACGTCTAGCTAATTTTTTACATTTTTTGTGGAGATGGGGTCTTGCTATGTTGCCCAGGCTGGTCTCAAGCTTCTGGGCTCAGGCAATCCTCCCACCTTGGCTTCCCAAGGTTCTGGGATTGCGAGCATGAGCCACTGCGCCCCGCCTCACCAAAGGAACTTTAAAAAAACATAATATTCTTGCCCACCTCAGACAATTAAGGAGCCAGAGGGTGGGGCCTGAGAAAAGGGGTCCTCAAATGTTTTTACTTCTATTTTTTTTATTTTCAAATTCACATTTTAAAATGGGCATATAAAATTTTGTGTTTAAAGAGATAAAGGATTAAAATTCTAGCATATTGTAAATACTGACTTAAAAAGATAAAAGTCACATCACTTTTGAAATGTGTATAATAGGTTCTAAATACCATAGTTAACATACTTCTTATCATTGCGAAATTCCCCACCTTTCTATTCCACACTTTCCACAGAATTTTATCCTACTAATATATTTTCATGCTTGCATGTCTTTTATTTATTACCCTATCATATAACTCTTCTGGAGCAAGAATACCTATATAAATTTGGATTTAACTTTTAAGATTTCCTGTGTCCTCAGGCTCTAAGTACTTAAAATTTCTGGATAGTGTGATCATTGTAATTGCTATTGAATGCACTTGATAAAAGCAATATTAATATATTGTAATGTGGTGGGGGGTATAAAAACCAAATTTCTACCAGCGAAAGAATAAAGTAAATAAGATGTATTTCTATGATGGAATGCTCAGCAATAAAAAGTCAGGAACTACTTATATATACATTAGCATGAATAAATTTCAAAACTGTTGTGCTAAAAGAAGCCAGACATAAAAGAGTATATACTATAAGATTCCATTTATATTAAAATATTAGAACATGAAAACCAAACATTAGTGGCAAAAAGCAGACTGCTAGTTCCCTGGGACTGGTGTAGATGGAGTGACAGACTGCAAAGTGTTGTGAGGAAACTCTTAGGGACGATGGAGATGCTCTGTAACTTGAGTGTGGTGGTGAGTTCACAGTATGATCACTTATCAAAATTCATTGACTTGTACAGTTTGAATGAATATGGCTTATTGTACATAAATTACACTTCAATAAAGTTATATGTTTTAGGTTTTTATAATATTAAATAGAAAGTGAAATTGTATTGGAAATATGCAGAGGAATAAATCTTTACTCAAAACAAAATAAATAAATAAATAAATAAATCCCCAGATTGGAGAGATGGCATACAAATCAAACAGTAAATAAAGGTTTCAAGGAAAAAAAAATAGCAATTTTGATTTCAACAGAGATGGAAGTGGTGTTGGGGATTAGGAAGGGGTAGTCCTGGGAAACATTTTATTGGAGTCCAGGAAAATAGTGCAGTATTTGAATAATGAAATACAAGGCTGGAAAGATAGCTGGAATCAAATTGTGGAGGCTTTGGACAATAAGATAAGGAGTTTTTCCTTTATCTGACATGCAAGTGGCATTATAAACCAAAAATCGCACTGATTGAAATTAACCTTTAGGGAAACTAATTTGATATCAGTATGTAGTATCTTTGGTACAATCAAGAGACAATCCACTCCAACCACCTGGGGTTCTTATCCCTCAAAGAGGAAGTGACAGGATTTTTAAAAAAGACAACGGCAGATAATAGGGTAAAAACTCATTTTTATTTCATACATTAAGAGACATTCACTGTTACTGACTAAAATCATAAGGAGAGCTTTGAATTACAAAAATCAAATGCTGATAAAGACAGTGACTAAAAATTGAAAGCAGCAAAGAAATAATGGGATCTGAAACAGAAAGGAGAAACAGAAAGCCTGCCTCACCTTTTTATAAAAAGAAGCCACATTGTACTTCTCAGAAGGTGGATCCCAATTTCATGAATAAAATGCTAATGACAAGAAATCCTAAATGATATAAAAGAGACTCAGCCAAATAGTAAAAGATCTATCTACAAAACAGTAAAAGTTGTAATCTATAATGACTCCAAGAAGCTACTAGATCTTACTGTTGTGTTGTGTTTTTTTTTTTTTCTGTAAAGGTCAAAACATTTTGCATTAAGTGCATTTTTTCATATTATAATCTTTGTGATGTGGTTAACCATGGGTGATATTCCAGCTAGGAGCAGGCTGTGAGATAATTTACCAAACTAAATACCTAAACTCAATCTGACTGTTATCATGATTCTGGGCTGCATTAATAAAGCCTATTTTTGGCAAATTGGGCTCTCAGTCTAACAACTCCTCTAGTGCTCTGCCCACCCCCCACAAAAAGGTTTCTTTAGTCTGGCATTACATTTCCACTTGGATGGGCTTCAGGAGGGTCTATTCATGCCCTTATATTACATGCATAGATGTGCATTTTCCTAGGAAGAGTGTGTCATATTTTAGGTATGTCTGGCAGAAGAATAGTTAAGAATTCTTGATGTAGAATTAAGCTGGAAGAGAGAGACATCTGACAGCCAACTCCAGTGTTAGATTACTTTAGAAAAAAATGATTTCCCTTGTATTCTTGCATTGATTTTGAACTCCATTCCTGAACAGACTTGTTTTTCTGAAAAATAAAATATGCTCGGCTGGGCATGGTGGTTCATGCCTATAAATCCCAGCACTTTTTGAGGTTGAGGCAGGAGGATTTCTTTAGCCCAGGAATTTGAGGCCAGCCTGGGTAACATGGCGAGACCTCATGTCTACTAAAAGTAAATAAAATTAGCTGTGGATGGTGGTGTGCACCTGTGGTCCCAGCTACTTGGGAGGCTGAGGTGGGAGGATGGCTTGAATCCAGGAGGTTGAAGCTGTAGTGAACTGTAATTGTGCCACTCTACTCCAGCCTGGGTGACAGAGGAGATTCTGCCAAAAGAAAAGAAAACAAACGGCCGGGCGCGGTGGCTCACGCCTGTAATCCCAGCACTTTGGGAGGCCGAGGCGGGCGGATCACGAGGTCAGGAGATCGAGACCATCCCGGCTAAAACGGTGAAACCCCGTCTCTACTAAAAATACAAAAAATTAGCCGGGCGTAGTGGCGGGCGCCTGTAGTCCCAGCTACTTGGGAGGCTGAGGCAGGAGAATGGCGTGAACCCGGGAGGCGGAGCTTGCAGTGAGCCGAGATTCCGCCACTGCACTCCAGCCTGGGCGACAGAGCGAGACTCCGTCTCAAAAAAAAAAAAAAAAAAAAAAAAAAAAAAAAAAAAAAAAAAGAAAGAAAACAAACAAACAAACAAAAACCCAGGTAACCCAGGAGTGAAGCCAGATCAAGTTTAAAAGAAATGCATGCATGTGTTATATTGACTGAAATTGTATGAATGCACAGTGAACCTGTTGCAATTTTCCTTACTGCAAATTCCTACTACAGCCATTCTGTAACTACTCTTTCAATGATAGGCTAATACAATGTTGCTTTTAGCGAGACATAGTCAGGACAACAATTCCCAAATTTAAATTTTTTAAAGCCAACACTCTATTTATTTCTCAGATGGTAACAGTGACAAATGTAAAGATCTCAATTCTCCTATTGGAAGTTGTATTTTGTGATCAGCCCTGGTACTCTGATGCACAGATGTTTCCAGTTTGAGGAGAAATGGCTGCTCTGTCTGTGGGAAGATTCTTTAGACCAGAAATTCTCAAACTTTAAACTGTCTACAGATTACCTGAGCTTTTGCAAAACGCAGATTCTGATTCAGGAAGTCTGGACTAGAGCCTAAGAGTCTGTATTTCTTCTCCTTCTTCCTTCTTCTTCTTCTTTTCTTTAAACAGTCTCACTCTGTTGCCCAGGCCAGAGTGCAGTGGAGTGATCTCAACTCACTGCAACCTCTGCCTCCCAGGTAGCTGAAATTACAGGCGTGGGCCACCATGCCTGGCTAATTTTTGTATTATTATTAGAGACAGGGTTTCACCATGTTAGGCAGGCTGGTCTCGAACTCCTGGTCTCAAGTGATTCGCCTGCCTCAGCCTCCCAAAGTGCTGGGATTACAGGCGTAAGCCATCGCGCCCGGCCAAGAGTCTGTATTTCTAACAGGCTCCCAGATGATGCTGAAGCTGTTGTCCCAAGACCACACTCTAAGTAACAAGATTCTAGATTAAACTTTCAGGATGCATTAAACTCTTCTTTGCTGTTGTTCTATACTCTCTTGTAATCTGTTTAAAGCCATATGGATTGTGCTGCAGTGTAGCCAGTAACTGAGACTGTCCAGGAAAATAAGAGCACAGACTATTTCTTAACCCTATAATCACTTGAGAAACATAACACAAACAAAAATATACCAGTGCCCTGGCCTCACATCACATCCAGTAAATCAAGTATTTCTTGAAGTGATGTTTAGAGTTTCTTTTTTTTTTTGAACAGCTATATTAAGATATAATTTGCATATCATACAATTCAGTCATTGAATTGTACAACTCAATACTTTTCAGTACATTCATAAATTTTTGCAACAATCATTACAATAGATTTTAGAGCATTTTGATGACCTCAAAAATAAATTCTGTATCTTTTAACTATCACCTTCCTACCCCACATAACCCTCAGCCCTAAACAATCACTAATCTGTCTCTAGAGATTTGCCTATTTTAGATATCCCCTAAAAAGAGAATTGTACACTGTGTGGTCTTTCATGACTGGTTTCTTTCACTTAGCATAATGTTTTCACATTCCTTTCATGTTGTGAAGGGAAGTTTAAATTTTTCTCCTGATGGTTTGTTAATTTGAATCTACAGCACATACTGATTAATAGACAGTGGAAAAGCATACAAATATATTATGTGCACATGCATGCACTGGAGTCATACAAAATATAAAAACTCAAAGAAAGTCAAATGGTTGACACTTTCATACCACCTTGAGGTTGTGGAAAGAATAGGGGCTCAGGAGCATGGCAAAATAGGTTTGGGAGGAAAGGAAACAGAAAGACCTGGCTAGAAAAGGTTGCCTTGTTATTTAGATGAAGCCTCATATGTAGGAGCCCTCAGAGAAAATAGCGGGTAGCCAGTAGTAAATGTTTCTGCCAGACGTTTTAAAAAAAATTGAGATGGGATCTCACTATATTTCTCACAGTGGTCACAAACCCCTGGGCTCTACTGATTCTCCTGCCTCAGCCTCCTGAATATCTGGGACTACATGCACAGGCCACCACATCTGGCTCCATCAGACTTTTAAAGGAGTCAGATTATCAGTTAAATTTTCCTAGGTCTGGACAAAGGAAGTTTCAGAAAAAGCTTTGTTTGTATCTGTTGTTTACTTCACTCTAGCTCCTCTACAGATGTAAATCTCCCCCCACTAAAGATAACTTTGCAGGACTACTTTTGCCAGTAGGTCCTCTGAACAGCCATCTCAAAATATTTCAAAAGAAGTATATTTTGGAGTGAAACCTTTTGGTTTCCTTTAGTCCACCCTTTGAAATTTTACTTCCGTAAAGTTTCACGTATTAAAAGTCAAGTTGATAGCTTTGGTGAGATTTTGGTTAGAGGTTGTCAGATAAGAGATTGGCAAAGGAGGATAACAGAACTTGGATGTTTGCTTCTCTAAATCTCATGTTGAATTGTAATCCTAATGCAGATGCCTGTGCCATGCTTGTATAACCTGCAAAACTGTGAGCCAGTTAAACTTCTTTTCTTTGTAAATTACCAACTCTCAGGTATTCCTTTATGGCAATGCAAGAACGGCTTATGATATGGTTTGGATCTGTGTCCCTACCAAAATCTCATGTTGAATTGTAATCCCAGTGTTGGAGGTGGAGCCTGGTGGTAGATGATTGGGTCATGGGGGTGCATTCTTCATGAATGGTTTAGCACCATCCCCTGAGTATGGTTCTCATGATGGAGTTCTCATATCTGGTTGTTTAAAAGTGTGTGGCACCTCCTCATCTATCTCTTCCTGCTGCTCTGGCCATGTGAGGTATGGGCTCCCTTTTACCTTTCAAGATGATTGTAAGTTTCCTCAGGCTTCCCCAGAAAGCAACATCATGCTTTCTGCACAGCCTACAGAACTGTGAGCCAATTAAACTTCTTTATATCTCAGGTATTTATTTATAGCAGTGTGAGAACTGACTAATACAGAAAATTAATACCAAGGAGTGGGACATAACTGTAAAGATACCTGAAAATATGGAGGTGACTTTAGAACTGGGTAACAGGCAGAGGTTGGAACAGTGCGGAGGGCTTGGAAGAAGACAGGAAGATGAGGGGAAGCGTGGAACTTCCTAGAGATTTGTTGAATGGTTTTGACCAAAATGCTGATAGTGATATGAACAGTAAAGTCCAGGCTGAGGAAGTCTCAGATGGAAATGAGAAACTTATTGGGAACTGGAGCAAAGATTATTTTTGCTATGTGTTAGCAAAGAACATGGTGGCATTGTGCCCCTGCTGTAGGGATCTGTGAAACTTTGAACTTGACAGTGATGATTTAGGGAATCTGACAGAAAAAATTTTTAAGTAGCAAAGCATTCAAGATGCTGCTTCTAACAACATATGCTCATATGTGTGAGCAAAGAAATAACCTGAAACTGGAAGTTATATTTAAAATAGAAACAGAGTGTAAAAGTTTGGAAAATTTGCAGCCTGGCCAGGTGGTAGAAAAGAAAAGCCCATTTTAAGGGAAGGAAGTCAAGCAGGCTGTAGAAATTTGCATAACTAAAAGGAAGGCAAGTGCTAATTGCCAAGACAATGGGGAGAAGACCTGGAAGGCATCTCAGAGAATTTTGAGGTAGCCACTGCTATCACAGGCCCAGAGGCCTAGGAGGGAAGAATGGTTTTGTGGGCCAAGCCTAAGGCCCCACTACCTACCCTGTGCAGGCTCAGGAGACCACTCTGCATCCTGGCTGCTCCAGTTCCAGCCATGGCTCAAAGAGGTTCAGGTACAGTTGGGCCACTTCTTCAGAGGGTGAAAGCCATAAACTTTGGCAGCTTCCACATGGTGTTAAGCCTGTGGGTACACAGAGTGCAAAAGTTGAGGCTTGGGAGCTACTGCCTACATTTCAGAGGATGTATAAAAAAGCCTGGGTGTTAAGACAGAAGCCTGCTGCAGGGATGGAGCCCTTAGGAAGAACCTCTACTAGGTTGTGTGGAGGGGAAATGAGCGGTTGGAGCTGTGAGAAGAGGGCCACCACAGCCTCCAGACCCCAGAATGGTAGATCCACTGGCAGCTTGCACCATGTGCCCAGAAAAGCCACAGGCACTCAACACTAGCCTTTGAGAGCAACCATGGGAGCTAAACCCTACAAAGCCACAGGGGCAGAGCTGCCCAAGACCTTGGGAGCCCACCCCTTGCATCTGTGTGTCCTGAATATGGGATGTGCAGTCAAAGGAAATTACTTTGAACCTTTAAGATTTAATGACTGCCCTGCTGGATTTTGGACTTGCATGAGATCTGCAGCCCCCTTTGTTTGGCCAATTTCTCCCTTTTGGAATGAGATTATTTTCCCAATGCCTATACCCCCATTGTATCTTGGGTGTAACTAACTTGTTTTTTATCTTACTGGCTCATCAGCAGAAGGGACTAGCTTTGTCTCAGATGAGACTTTGGACTTTGGACTTTTGAATTAATGCTGGAATGAGTTATGACTTTGGGGGATGTTGGGATTTTACGAAGTGAAAAGGACATGAGATTTGGCAGCAACCAAGGTGGAATGATATGGTTTGGATCTGTGTCTCCACCCAAATCTCATGTGAAATTGTAATCCCCAATGTTGGAGGTGGAACCTGGTGGGAGTTGATTAGATCATGGGGGTGCATCCTTCATGAGTGGTTTAGCACCATCCCTTTGGTGCTATTCTCATGATGGAGTTCTCATGAAATCTGGTTGTTTAAAAGTGTGTGGCATCTCCCTACCTTTCTCTTCCTCCTGCTCTGGCCATGTGAAGTGTGGGCTCCTTTTCACCTTTCATCATTATTGTAAGTTTCCTGAAGCTTCCTCAGAAGCCAAACAGATGCCAGCATTATGTTTCCTGTACAGCCTGTGGAACTGTGAGCTGATTAAACCTATTTTTCTTTATAAATTACCTAGTCTCAGGTATTTCTTTATAGCAATGGGAGAATGGACTAATACAGCCTATCACAGAAATTTGGTACTGAGGAGTGGGGAACTGCTACAAACATACCTAAAAATATGGAAGCATCTTTAGAACTGGGTAATAAACAGTGGTTGGCAGAGTTTGGAGAGCTCAGAGAAGACAGGAACATGATGGAAAGTTTGGAACTTCTTAGAGACTGGTTAAATGGTTTTGACCAAAATGCTGATGCTGATATGGACAGTGAAGTCCAGGCTGACAAGGTCTCAGATGAAAATAAGGAACTTACTGGGAAATGGAGCAAAGGTCAGCTATGGTATGTCTTAGCAAAAAGCTTTGCTGCATTCTACTCATGCCTAGGGATCTGTAGAAGTTTGAACTTAAGAATGATGACTTAGGGTATCTGGTGGAAGAAATTTCTAAACAGAAAAGCATTCAAGATATGACCTACTTCTAACAACATATGCTCAGATGCAGGAGCAAAGAAATGCCTAAAAGTTTGAATTTATATTTAAAGGGGAAGCAGAGTGTAAAAGTTTGGAAAATTTGCTGGCTGGCCATGTGGCAGAGTAAAACAAAAAGCATTAACAGGAGAGGAAATCAGGCAAGCTTTGGAGCAACCAGTTGCTAGAGATTTGCGTGACTAAAAGAAGCCAAGTGTTAACAGACAAGACAATGGGAAAAGGCCTTGAAAGTATTTCAGAGATTTTCTAGGCAGCCCCTCCCATCACTGTCTCAGAGGCTTAGGAGGACTGAATGGTTTTGTGGGCTGGCCCTGGGGTACTACCACCCTGCACCACCACAGCAGGCTGCTTCTTGCATCCTGAAGCCTTGGGTCAAAAGGCCCCAGGTATAGCATGGACCACAGCTCTGGAAGGTGCAAGCTGTCAGCCTTGGCAGTTTTCATATGATGTTAATAGGAACTCAGAATACAAGAGTGAAGGAGCATTGGCAGCCTCCACATAGATTTCAGAGGATGTAAAAAAAAAAACAAACCTGGGTTTCCAGGAAGAAACCTGTTGCAGGGGCATAGCCTTCATAGAAATACTCTACAAGGGTGGTGCCAAGGGGAAAGATAGGGTTGCAGCCCCCACACAGAGTCCCCAATGGGGCACTGGCTAGTGGAACTATGGGAGGTGGGCTGTCACCTTCCAGACCCTAGAATAATAGATCCAACAGCAGCTTGCATCCTGAGCCTAGAAAAGCCAAGAAGTAGAGCTGCCCAAGGCATTGGGAGCCCACCTCTTGCACCACTGTGCACTGGATGTGAGACATGGAGTCATAGAAGGCTATTTTGGAGCTTTAAGATTTAATGATTGCTCTGCTGGGTTTCAGACTTCTGTGAAGCCTGTAGCTCCTTTCTTTTGGCCAATTTCTTCCTTTTAGAATGGTAATGTTTACCCAATGCCCATATCGCCATTGTATCTTGAAAGTAAAATACTCGTTTTTTGTTTGTTTGTTTGTTTTATTTACAGATGCATAGGTGGAAGGAACATGCCTTGAGTCTCAGATGAGATTTTGGACTTCAGACTTTTGAGTTAATGCGGGGATGAGTTAAGACTTTGGAGGGCTATTGAGAAGGAATGATTGTATTTTGAAATGTCATAAAGACTTGAGATTTGAGGGCCTAGGGCAGAATGATATAGTTTGGATGTTATCCTTTCTAAATCTCATATTGAATTATAATCACCAATGTTGGAGGTGGGGCCTTTTGGGAAGTGATTGGATCACTGGGGCAGATTTCTCATTATTAGCTTGGCACCATCCTCTTGGTTCTGTCCTTGCACTACTGAGTGAGTTCTCATGAGATCTGGATGTTTAAAAGAGTGTGGCATCTTCCCCCTTACTCTCTTGCTCCTTCTCTTGCCCTGTGATGTGCCTGCTCCTGCTTCACCTTCTGCCATAAGTAAAAACTCCCTAAGGCCTCCCCAGAAGCCAAGGAGATGCCAGTGCCATGTACAGCCTGCAACACTGTTGGCCAAATAAACCTCTTTTCTTTATAAATTACCCAATCTCAGATATTCCTTTAAAGCAATGCAAAAGCACCCTAGCACACGGGAGACAATATAGAACCAGTTGAAAGAACAAATTGAACTACATGATCTGAGATCTTGAATCAGTCTCTTAGTTCTGAGAATAATTTTCTTAAACAGCTGTGTCTCATTTTAGATGATGATGTTATAGGTAGGTTTCTATTAAAGTAAGGCCTCTATATTGTGTAGGCAAACAAGTATTAAGTTCAGAGACATTTTTATGGATGCAAAAGATAAAGATAGTTGTCTGGAGTGGTTTATGAGCTAGTTTTTTTTTTTAATCAGAAGCATTTTTAGTTAAAGTTGCAATCTGGCAGAGTTATTTAAATTGTAGTTTGGATCAGGTGTGTCAGTGAAATTCTTTAGGAGTCCCTATTTTATAGGCATGAAGGACATCTGTCTATATAGGTTACTAGAGTGATTTCTCCCAAAGTTCATATCAAGTTGTGCAGCTTTAGTTTGTAGGGCTATAACAAAAACACATTTTTAAATTTCTAGTGATTTTAGGTCAGAAATGTGGAAGAAAAATTGGAAATGTAGGTCTGGAGAGTCAAAACCAAATATACGAAAGAAGTAAAAATCTAAAATTTAGACCAGACTGTAGGTAAATAATAAAAACTTACAAATTACAGATGGGGATAGAAGCTAATAACAGGTGTATGATAGTTTCTTTTATTTATTTATTTATTTTGAGATGGAGTTTTGCTCTTGTCACCCAGGCTGGAGTACAATGGCACGATCTCGGCTCACTGCAACCTCTGTCTCCATGGTTCAAGTGATTCTCCTGCCTCAGCCTCTCCAGTAGCTGGAATTACAGGCACCCACCACCACGCCCAGCTAATTTTTGCATTATTAGTAGAGGCGGGGTTTCACCATGTTGGCCAGGCTGGTCTCAAACTCCTGACCTCAGGTGGTCCACTCACCTTGGCCTTATAGTTTTATTTTGAAACATAATTTTTCTCACTCTAGTTTCCCATTTCTACAAAAGATAAATCATAGTAGAACCAATTTATTTGTAAAGTAAATTTTAGTCTTATTATACTTGCCTTGATTATTTGCATAAAGTGTAGTAAGAATAATATTTGGCCAAATTGGCTCTTTGTACATTGGGTTTACTGAAACTTTCACAAAGAATCTCAGATTAGACTTTTAAAAGCCTCTCAAGGTTATGAAGCTAAGCCAAGAATTTACCATCAGACTATGCATATAATACCTGTATCAGTTGAATTAATTTATCTCTCTTCTTTAGGTCTCCAAAGTAGCTTGGGTTTTCTGGGCCTGTCAGAAAACATTCTTTACTCAGCACAGGTCAAGAACCCTATAAAGAAACTGTGTACACAAGGTACCCGCCCAGTATTTTTCTAAGTATATTGGTTTTATAAAGTCAACCTCAATCCCTGAAAACATTCTGATCATATCTAAAAATATGACATTCCAATCAAAGCCTCAGTAAAATAAATAGTCTTGTTACAAAATAAAAGAGATTCTTATTGAATTTTTGCCAATAACTATATTTCCACAAATAAGAGTACTCATGAATAGTCTCTGAATTCTAGAAAAATCAGATAGAAAGTTAAATATTTTAACCTTTCTCATAAAAGTATATTTTATTTACCCAGTTGCTGTAAGCTATAAATAGCTTAAGAGAAAAAAAGTTTTCTTGACCCTAGAAAACAAAACAAAAAGAATCAGCATGTTTTAAATAAAAGGAAGTCATCAAAATTATATTAGTCTATCATCAGTTCATTTTCATGTACTTAATTATTGTTCTGCTCGATGTTGAGTTAGCAATCTTCATGAACCCATCAATCAGTATTTTTTAAAGTCAAGTTTTGGAAGTTTTTAAGTAGTCCAATGGTATAATTTCCAATGTTATCAGAAACCTGTAACCAAAAATACTTGTCAGGGCTCTTTCCATAAATTTCCTTGAAGAAAAAGCAAGTATTAAACTGTATCCAATTATAAACCACTTTTCTTTTTTTTTTATTATTATACTTTAAGTTTTAGGGTACATGTGACAATGCGCAGGTTAGTTACATATGTATACATGTGACATGCTGGTATGCTGCACCCACTAACTCATCATCTAGCATTAGGTGTATCCCCCAGTGCTATCCCTCCCTGCTCCCCCCACCCCACAACAGTCCCCAGAGTGTGATGCTCCCCTTCCTGTGTCCATGTGTTCTCATTGTTCAATTCCCACCTATGAGTGAGAATATGCAGTGTTTGGTTTTTTGTTCTTGCGACAGTTTACTGAGAATGATGATTTCCAATTTCATCCATGTCCCTACAAAGGACATGAACTCATCATTTTTTATGGCTGCATAGTATTCCATGGTGTATATGTGCCACATTTTCTTAATCCAGTCTATCATTGTTGGACATTTGGGTTGGTTCCAAGTCTTTGCTATTGTGAGTAGTGCCACAATAAACATACGTGTGCATGTGTCTTTATAGCAGCATGATTTATAGTCCTTTGGGTATATACCCAGTAATGGGATGGCTGGGTCAAATGGTATTTCTAGTTCTAGATCCCTGAGGAATCGCCACACTGACTTCCACAAGGGTTGAACTAGTTTACAGTCCCACCAACAGTGTAAAAGTGTTCCTATTTCTCCACATCCTCTCCAGCACCTGTTGTTTCCTGACTTTTTAAGGATTGCCATTCTAACTGATATGAGATGGTATCTCATTGTGGTTTTGATTTGCATTTCTCTGATGGCCAGAGATGGTGAGCATTTTTTCATGTGTTTTTTGGCTGCATAAATGTCTTCTTTTGGGAAGGGTCTGTTCACGTCCTTCGCCCACTTTTTGATGGGGTTATTTGTTTTTTTCTTGTAAATTTGTTTGAGTTCATTGTAGATTCTGCATATTAGCCCTTTGTCAGATGAGTAGGTTGCAAAAATTTTCTCCCATTTTGTGGGTTGCCTGTTCACTCTGATGGTAGTTTCTTTTGCTGTGCAGAAGCTCTTTAGTTTAATTAGATCCCATTTGTCAATTTTGGCTTTTGTTGCCATTGCTTTTGGTGTTTTAGACATGAAGTCCTTGCCCGTGCCTATGTCCTGAATGGTAATGCCTAGGTTTTCTTGTAGGGTTTTTATGGTTTTAGGTCTAATGTTTAAGTATTTAATCCATCTTGAGTTGATTTTTGTATAAGGTGTAAGTAAGGGATCCAGTTTCAACTTTCTACATATGGCTAGCCAGTTTTCCCAACACCATTTATTAAATAGGGAATCCTTTCCCCATTGCTTGTTTTTCTCAGGTTTGTCAAAGATCAGATAGTTGTAGATATGTGGCATTATTTCTGAGGGCTCTGTTCTGTTCCACTGGTCTATATCTCTGTTTTGGTACCAGTACCATGCTGTTTTGGTTACTGTAGCCTTGTAGTATAGTTTGAAGTCAGGTAGCATGATGCCTCCAGCTTTGTTCTTTTGGCTTAGGATTTACTTGGCGATGCGGGCTCTTTTTTGGTTCCATATGAACTTTAAAGTAGTTTTTTCCAATTCTGTGAAGAAAGTCATTGGTAGCTTGATGGGGATGGCATTGAATCTATAAATTACCTTGAGCAGTATGGCCATTTTCACGATATTCATTCTTCCTACCCATGAGCATGGAATGTTCTTCCATTTCTTTGTATCCTCTTTTATTTCATTGAGCAGTGGTTTGTAGTTCTCCTTGAAGAGGTCCTTCATGTCCCTTGTAAGGTAGATTCCTAGGTATTTTATTCTCTTTGAAGCAATTGTGAATGGGAGATCACTCATGATTTGGCTCTCTGTTTGTCTGTTATTGGTGTATAAGAATGCTTGTGATTTTTGTACATTGATTTTGTATCCTGAGACTTTGCTGAAGTTGCTTATCAGCTTAAGGAGATTTTGGGCTGAGACAATGGGGTTTTCTAGATATACAATCATGTGGTCTGCAAACAGGGACAGTTTGACTTCCTCTTTTCCTAATTGAATACTCTTTATTTCCTTCTCCTGCCTAATTGCCCTGGCCAGAACTTCCAACACTACGTTGAATAGGAGTGGTGACAGAGGGCATCCCTGTCTTGTGCCAGTTTTCAAAGGGAATGCTTCCAGTTTTGGCCCATTCAGTATGATATTGGCTGTGGGTTTGTCATAGATAGCTCTTATTATTTTGAGATACGTCCCATCAATACCTAATTTATTAAGAGTTTTTAGCATGAAGGGTTATTGAATTTTGTCAAAGGCCTTTTCTGCATCTATTGCGATAACCATGTGGTTTTTGTCTTTGGTTCTGTTTATATGCTGGATTACATTTATTGATTTGCATATATTGAACCAGCCTTGCATCCCAGGGATGAAGCCCACTCGATCATGGTGGATAAGCTTTTTGATGTGCTGCTGGATTCGGTCTGCCAGTATTTTATTGAGGATTTTTGCATCTATGTTCATCAAGGATATTGGTCTAAAATTCTCTTTTTTGGTCGTGTCTCTGCCCGGCTTTGGTATCAGGATGATGCTGGCCTCATAAAATGAGTTAGGGAGGATTCCCTCTTTTTCTATTGATTGGAATAGTTTCAGAAGGAATGGTACCAGTTCCTCCTTGTACCTCTGGTAGAATTCGGCTGTGAATCCATCTGGTCCTGGACTCTTTTTGGTTGGTAAGCTATTGATTATTGCCACAATTTCAGCTCCTGTTATTGGTCTATTCAGAGATTCAACTTCTTCCTGGTTTAGTCTTGGGAGAGTGTATGTGTTGAGGAATTTATCCATTTCTTCTAGATTTTCTAGTTTATTTGCGTAGAGGTGTTTGTAGTATTCTCTCATGGTAGTTTGTATTTCTGTGGGATCGGTGGTGATATCCCCTTTATCATTTTTTATTGCGTCTATTTGATTCTTCTCTCTATTTTTCTTTATTAGTCTTCTTAGTGGTCTATCAATTTTGTTGATCCTTTCAAAAAACCAGCTCCTGGATTCACTAATTTTTTGAAGGGTTTTTCGTGTCTCTATTTCCTTCAGTTCTGCTCTGATTTTAGTTATTTCTTGCCTTCTGCTAGCTTTTGAATGTGTTTGCTCTTGCTTTTCTAGTTCTTTTAATTGTGATGTTAGGGTGTCAATTTTGGATCTTCCCTGCTTTCTCTTGTGGGCATTTAGTGCTATAAATTTCCCTCTACACACTGCTTTGAATGTGTCCCAGAGATTCTGGTATGTTGTGTCTTTGTTCTCGGTGGTTTCAAAGAACATCTTTATTTCTGCCTTCATTTCATTATGTATCCAGTAGTCATTCAGGAGCAGGTTGTTCAGTTTCCATGTAGTTGAGCGGTTTTGAGTGAGTTTCTTAATCCTGAGTTCTAGTTTGATTGCACTGTGGTCTGAGAGATAGTTTGTTATAATTTCTGTTCTTTTACATTTGCTGAGGAGAGCTTTACTTCCAACTACGGGGTCAATTTTGGAATAGGTGTGGTGTGTTGCTGAAAAAAATGTATATTCTGCTGATTTGGGAGAGTTCTTTAGATGTCTATTAGGTCCACTTGGTGCAGAGCTGAGTTCAATTCCTGGGTATCCTTGTTGACTTTCTGTCTCATTGATCTGTCTAATGCTGACAGTGCGGTGTGAAAGTTTCCCATTATTAATGTGTGGGAATCTAAGTCTCTTTGTAAGTCACTCAGGACTTGCTTTATGAATCTCGGTGCTCCTGTATTGGTTGCATATATATTTAGGATAGTTAGCTCTTCTTGTTGAATTGATCCCTTTACCATTATGTAATGGCCTTCTTTGTCTCTTTTGATCTTTGTTGGTTTAAAGTCTGTTTTATCAGAGACTAGGATTGCAACCCCTGCCTTTTTTTGTTTTCCATTTGCTTGGTAGATCTTCCTCCATCCTTTTATTTTGAGCCTATGTGTGTCTCTGCATGTGAGATGGGTTTCCTGAATACAACACACTGATGGGTCTTGACTCTTTATACAGTTTGCCAGTCTGTGTCTTTTAATTGGAGAATTTAGTCCATTTACATTTAAGGTTAATATTGTTATGTGTGAATTTGAACCTGTCATTATGATGTTAGCTGGATATTTTGCTCGTTAGTTGATGCAGTTTCTTCCTAGTCTCGATGGTCTTTACATTTTGGCATGATTTTGCAGCGGCTGGTACCGGTTGTTCCTTTCCATGTTTAACGCTTCCTTCAGGAGCTCTTTTAGGGCAGGCCTGGTGGTGACAAAATCTCTCAGCATTTGCTTGTCTGTAAAGGATTTTATTTCTCCTTCACTTATGAAGCTTAGTTTGGCTGGATATGAAATTCTGGGTTGCAAATTCTTTTCTTTAAGAATGTTGAATATTGGCCCCCACTCTCTTCTGGCTTGTAGAGTTTCTGCTGAGACATCAGCTGTTAGTCTGATGGGCTTCCCTTTGAGGGTAACCTGACCTTTCTCTCTGGCTGCCCTTAACATTTTTTCCTTCGTTTCAACTTTGGTGAATCTGACAATTATGTGTCTTGGAGTTGCTCTTCTCAAGGAGTATCTTTGTGGCGTTCTCTCTATTTCCTGAATCTGAATGTTGGCCTGCCTTGCTAGATTGGGGAAGTTCTGGGTAATATCCTGCAGAGTGTTTTCCAACTTGGTTCCATTCTCCCCGTCACTTTCAGGTACACCAATCAGATGTAGATTTGGTCTTTTCACATAGTCCCATATTTCTTGGAGGCTTTGTTCATTTCTTTTTATTCTTTTTTCTCTAAACTTCCCTTCTCGCTTCATTTCATTCATTTCACCTTCCATCGCTGATACCCTTTCTTCCAGTTGATCACATCGGCTCCTGAGGCTTCTGCATTCTTCATGTAGTTCTCGAGCCTTGGCTTTCAGCTCCATCAGCTCCTTTAAGCACTTCTCTGTATTGGTTATTCTAGTTATACATTCGTCTAAATTTTTTTCAAAGTTTTTAACTTCTTTGCCTTTGGTTTGAATTTCCTCTGGTAGCTCGTAGTTTGATCATCTGAAGCCTTCTTCTCTCAATTCGTCAAAGTCATTCTCTGTCCAGCTTTGTTCCATTGCTGGTGAGGAACTGCAATCCTTTGGAGGAGGAGAGGTGCTCTGCTTTTTAGAGTTTCCAGTTTTTCTGCTCTGTTTTTTCCCCATCTTTGTGGTTTTATCTACTTTTGATCTTTGATGATGGTGATGTACAGATGGGTTTTTGGTGTGGATGTCCTTTCTGTTTGTTAGTTTTCCTTTTAACAGACGGGACCCTCAGCTGCAGGTCTGTTGGAGTTTGCTAGAGGTCCACTCCGGACCCTGTTTGCCTGGGTATCAGCGGCGGTGTCTGCAGAACAGTGGTTTTTTCGTGAACTGCGAATGCTGCTGTCTGATCGTTCCTCTGGAAGTTTTGTCTCAGAGGAGTACCCGCCCGTGTGAGGTATCAGTCTGCCCCTACTGGGGGGTGCCTCCCAGTTAGGCTGCTCAGGGGTCAGGGGTCAGGGACCCACTTGAGGAGGCAGTCTGCCCATTCTCAGATCTCCAGCTGAGTGCTGGGAGCACCACTGCTCTCTTCAAAGCTGTCAGACAGGGACATTTAAGTCTGCAGCGGTTACTGCTGTCTTTTTGTTTGTCTGTGCCCTGCCCCCAGAGGTGGAGCCTATAAAGGCAGGCAGGCCTTCTTGAGCTGTGGTGGGCTCCACCCAGTTGGAGCTTCCCAGCTGCTTTGTTTACCTAAGCAAGGCTAGGCAATGGCGGGCACCCCTCCCCCAGCCTCACTGCCGCCTTGCAGTTTGATCTCAGATTGCTGTGCTAGCAATCAGTGAGACTCCATGGGTGTAGGACCCTCCGAGCCAGGTGCAGGATATAATCTCCTGGTGCGCCGTTTTTTAAGCCTGTCGGAAAAGCGCAGTATTCGGGTGGGAGTGATCCGATTTTCCAGGTGCTGTCTGTCACCCCTTTCTTTGACTAGGAAAGGGAACTCCCTGACCTTTTGCACTTCCTGAGTGAGGCAATGCCTCGCCCTGCTTCGGCTCACACACGGTGCGCTGCACCCACTGACCTGCACCCACTGTCTGGCACTCCCTAGTGAGATGAACCGGGTACCTCAGATGGAAATGCAGAAATCACCCGTCTTCTGCATCCCTCATGCTGGGTGCTGTAGACCGGAGCTGTTCCTATTCCGCCATCTTGGCTCCTCCCCCCAACCACTTTTCTTAGAAGAATCAAAGTAAGATAGTAATTTCCTGTGGATTACAAAAGACCTAGTATAGCCATGGTTAAAGATACAATTGGCAAATAAATTTGGTTACTTTTTCTGTGATCTACAGTAATTTAACATAGTAATCATAATTATGACTGATAATACATACCAAGACATATCAGACTTTTTAGATATCTTATAATTTAGAGCACATATTAATAACATCCACTCAAGAAAAGGTTAAATGTCTTTTCTTATTTGACAATGTCTCTCATATGCAACAAGTAAACCTAATATGTCTCTCTTGGACTTCCAGGGTATATTACTCCATTCTCACACTGCTACAAAGAAATACTAGAGACTGGGTAATTTATAAAGGAAAGAGGTTTAATTGACTTACAGTTCCACATTGCTGGGCAGGCCTCAGGAAATTTATAATCATGGCAGAAGGGAAAGGAGAAGCAGGCATCTTCTTCACAGTGTGGCAGGATGGAGTGAGTGCAAGCAGAGGAAATGCCAGATCCTTATAAAACCATCAGATCTCATGAGACTTACTCATTCTCACAACAACAGCATTCGGGAAGCTGCCCCCATGATCGAATTACCTCCACCTTGTCTTGACCTTGAAACATGGGGATTATGAGGATTACAATTCAAGGTGAGATTTAGGTGGAGACACAGAGCCAAACCATATCATGGGGTCTCTTTTTGAAATGTTCAAAAGTTGGCTCAAGGTCAAAAAGACTTAATTTAGAATTTGAAATATGAGTTTGAGAAGCTTGTCAAATATAAAAAGTTTAATAAACTTGATGAAAAATAGGATTGCAGGTCACTGTAAAATAAGTCATTTATTTAGCTAAAGTGATAATTAAACATTTTCAAAAAACAAAAAGACAAAATAAAACAAACAAAAAAACTTTACTCATTGATAGGGAGGTATATTAGTCCATTCTCATGCTACTAATAAAGACATATTAGCTAATTTGGCTAATTTATTAATTAGCCAAGTATAATTTACATACTTTACAAGTTATATAACTCAATACTGGCTAATTTATAAAGGAAAAAGGTTTAATTGACTCACAGTTCAGCATGGCTGGGGAGGCTTCTGGAAACTTAAAATCATGGTGGAAAGGGAAGCAAACGTCCTTTTTCACATGGCTGCAGGAAGGAGAAGTGCTGAACAAAGGAGAGAAAAAACCCTTATAAAACCATCAGCTGTCATGAGAACTCACTTGCTATCACTAGAATAGCATGGGGGTAACCCACCTCATGATTCAATTACTTACCACCAGGTCCCTCCCACGACATGTGGAGATTATGAGAACTACAAGTCAAGATGAGATTTGGGTGGGGACAAAGCCAAACCATATCAGGAGACTCAGTTTTCCAACCAACCAATCAAAAGAATAAAGACAACATGAAGCAAACTCTCCCCACTTATTGCTGTTTTTGTCTTTATAATCAAAAGGCTTCCAAAAGTATTTTACTATTTTTATTACTATTACATGACAATCTTATTTAAAAGAGAAAGCCAAATTTTACCTTTTCACTAGCACATTATTAATACTAAAGCTAATTTTAACAAAACCTTATAAACAAATGTATCCCATCTGAATCATCTTTGAACATACATGATTTTATACACCTTTTATAATCTTTTACAAATTTTAATTCTTTTTCTTTTATCAATTTAAATATATTCAGTTTTATCTATCACTTTTTATTTCTTTGATTTAAAACAACCTTTAAACAACCTCTAAATGAAAGAAAATCACTTTTTAAAGAAAAATCACATTTTTATATCCTTTTATAACTTATCAAAAACATCTTACATTTTTGTATATTTCATATACAGAATTGTTTTCTCTATATCTAGTAATTTTAATTACATATATTAACTTCAATGTTAACTCTCAGTAAGGCTAATTTTTATTGAAAAACCAAAGAAGTAAGTAATTTTAATTATTTATTTATTTATTTATTTATTTTTTGAGACAGAGTTTTGCTCTTGTTGCCCAGGCTGGAGTGCAATGGTGCGATCTCAGCTCACTGCAACCTCTGCCTCCTTGGTTCAAACAATTTTCCTGCCTCAGCCTCCTGAGCAGCTGGGATTGCAGCCATGTGCCACCACACCCAGCTATTTTGTATTTCTAGTAGAGTCAGGGTTTCTGCATGTTAGTCAGGCTGGTCTCAAACTTCCAACCTCAGATGATGCACCTGCCTTGGCCTCCCAAAGTGCTGGGATTACAGGTGTGAACAACTGCGCCTGGCCAGTAATTTTAATTTTTAAGTATCAAGTGCAGAACTTAGGACAGAGGACAGAGCTCTAAAGACAATGCCTGTAGGATCCAATCCCTCTGAAAATGGTCAGAAGACACAGCTGGACCAGGAAATACGGGGCCATATTGGAGTTGGCCATGCACTGCAGCTAATGACCCAGGCACTGTAGACACACATATATTTCCAGGTCTAACTGTGGTCTCCTGTCTATACCCCAGAACCTAAAGACTTAAAACCAAAGACATAAGCTTATAGACAAATTAGGCAACTATCAAAAATATCTCATAAACAATAGTTTTATGATGTTAAAAATCTAGCAGAGACAGAATAAATTAGTCTGACCAGTAGGCTCAGGCAAAAGTGTCTAAATTTTTATAAACATTTTAATCTAAATAATTTAAAAACTAGCTTTATATATGAAAGATTACTAAAGTTACATGAACTTGCAAAGCATTTGGGCTTATTTACTTAATTTATGAGTACTGATTTATGTCTATCAATTTGGTACCATATAAAGACAAATATATAAAGATAGACATGTAAACATGTATACACAGAAATAAAGACAGACAAATGTAAAAATGCAAGAGCTTTAATTTTAATTTTTTATCCATGAAACAAGTAAAACAGAGTAGGTTAAAAGGACAATGGATTTAAACTGTACCTTTATAAATGGAACCAGTTAAAGTTGATCTGTCCTACAGGAATGAAATCCTTACCTAGTACTGGAGAAAAAAGAGTGGTAAATTTATATCTCAAAGCACACAGAGAGAATTTAAGTTGTTTTTAAGAGAGAATTTGGCTGTGTTAGAGACGATTAAAAGTGGATATCAAGGTAACAAAATCATAGGAATTTACTACAGGATTTTACAAAGAAACATAGATTAACCTAGAGAAAGTTTAGAAACCTTTCCAAATAACCAGCTGAGTGGCAGGAAAGTCATATTTTGGAGACCAATCTAGTTATATAGGTGGATTTTAGGTTTAGCTTCCATTTATTAACTGAATCACTGAGCTCAAGAAGTGCATTAACAAGTAAGGCCAACAAAGCATTTGCAGTTTTTAGGACCTAACACTTACATATGTGAAAAGCAGGAGCAGCTGGAAGGCAGAACATCCAGATCTCCAGAAATCAAGAATCTCACGTTTACACTGAATCCTGGGTCCCCACAAAGAGAAAACACCACAGGACTGGACTGTGTAATGCTTCCACAGTGCACCTCACTGCAAGGACAACTTCATGCCAATCAACACACTCTAATCAGCTCATCCCTCATGGGAGCCTTATAGCTTGATGGCAAGTGTTTCTACAGTCTTCAAGTGTACAACCCTCACTTTTCTCATCTAAATGCACAAAGAAATGAGTAGCCATCTACAGTAATAACCACTCACTGCAACCACTATCAGCCCACCTTCAAAACTGCAGCTTTGCCAGGGACTTGCCAGCCATCACATACCCAAAATTCAAGTGCTCTTACAATACATATTAGCCCCTGCTACGCTCAAAAACCAAAGAGATGCTTAATGTGAGAGACAGCACAGCTTTTAGACCTGAGAGAGACCTGCCCATAATGCTTGGAACTCCATGAGGAAAATAAAAGACCCTGAAAAGGGGATATGTGGTGGCTTTTACTGTGTTCCTCAAGGATCTCAGGGTCACTAAATGTAACATAGATTTATGTAATATAAATGGTAGCAAAAAAAAAGAAGGAGTAGAAATAAATGAGAGAACAAGTCTTAGAGGACCCAATTTGAGACGATGTTAAGCTTTCCAGAAGGCCAATGAAACTTTACATTTTTTCTCAGTAAAAATTACATCAATAAGAAAAGAGATAAACAAGGATCAAACATAATTGAAAAGGGGTTTAGTTGACTGAAAAAAAAAAAGTTCCCAGGAGAGAAACATAATCCAAAAGAGAAAGAGTAGAAAGGCATATCTAGCTAGCTGGCTATCTCCTGAATATCAGCCTTTATTTGTTTGTTTTTTCTGAGACGGAGTTTCATTCTTGTTGCCCAGGCTGGAGTGCAATGGTGCGGTCCCGGCTCACTGCAACCTCCACCTCCCGGGTTCAAGCAGTTCCCCTACCTCAGCCTCCTGAGTAGCTGGGATTACAGGCATGCGCTATCATGCCAGCTAATTTTTTTATATTTTTAGTAGAGACTGGGTTTCACCATGTTGTCCAGGCTCATCTCGAACTCCTGACCTCAGGGGATCCGCCCGCTTCGGCCTCCCAAGTGCTGGGATTACAGATGTGAGCCACCACGCCCGGCCAAATATCAGCTTTTAATTAAGCTGACTTTGACCACACAGCTCTTAAAAACATCTTTTCAAATATCTTATCAGATTTTAGCCAGGAAAAACAGCCAATATTACTAGCTTTTGAACCTTTTTCTTTTAAACCATAGATAACTTTCCAAGTGACTCACCAAAACCAGTAAGTCTTAACCAAGGTTTTGACTTAACCAAGTAACCACAAGATATCTCCAAAGAGGTGCAAAATGATCCTCACAAGATGCAGAACCACCCCAAAGACAGCTAAACAACCAAGGATGTGTGAGGTGTGTCCAAGGAGGTGCAATGCCATTCTCAAAAGATCCAGAACCACCTCCAAAGACAGCTCAAATAAAGAAATGTTTTGCTAGTCACAAAGTGGGTACAAGCCACATTTTTGTCCAGCCATATTCTCTAGGGTCCCAGCTTTTCATCTGATCTACACAAAAAGGCCTGAAAGCCTTATGTGCCTCATAGAGACAGAAGACAGGAAATCAAAAACTATAAACGAAAGGGAAAAGGATTAATAACAAATGGGTACCCCAAAAGTCAAGAGTAACACAAACATCAAATCAATTTTTAAATAAACGTTTCTTCTCCCAAGTTAAAGGACTTACGTTTCCAAGCGACAGATTCCCTGACTGGCAATCAAACCCAGGACATTGTGGTAAAAACATGGCATTTTAACTACAAGATTACAAAATGGAATGTCCTTCATTGCAAACTTTTCAGGGAATTCAAGGAAGCCAGTTTGAGTGTACAAAATATTTTAACTTTGTTTTAAATCCGATTTCTGCTTTGTTTCTCTTTTTTATTAACCTTGCCAAGGGAACTTTTTAGGCCATATTCTTTTTGTATCTTTTCATAGATACCGATAGGATAAGGGTTTAAGACAGAATTCTCTAAAAAGTTAAATATAGACAATTAACTTATTTCATAAGTGAGCTAGTTCTCATACTCCCTTCCCCAAACCCCACCTGTTAACCCAATTTGGGGAGGGAAAAAGACAAATACTCTTACTACCTTTATTTGATCTGGCACCACAGGCAGCTATCTGGGAGAACTTACCTGGTTAAAAAAAAACAAAAACAAATTCTTACCTTTCTTTTCTGGCTTTTTGTCAACTGTCCCAAGATCCCATTCATAGCCCTCAGAATGAACAGAGTGATTTGTTACTAAGTGTACAGTACCAGACTGTAAGGATGAAAGGCAAACTTCCCCTTTGCCCTCTGAAAGTTTACCGAAAATTACCTGACAAAAGGCAGGAGGAGAAAAGGCATACACATTTTATTAACATGCCTAACCTCCAAATGGGGTACAAAAGTTTATTTACCCTTTTCATAGGGGAGAAAGGAAGTGGGAAATGTAGACAATTCTTTTGAGTGGTAGTACATGATAATTAGGGAGAATGAATGAACTAGGGAGACAAATTAATTTCTAAATGATTCTCTTTGGAATTTGAATGGGTCCAAGAGGCAGAAATTATCTTGTGGAAAAGTCCATTCAGTTGTGGTTGCATTCCTCAGTCTTCTTTTCTGCAATAGATAATGAGATTTCAGGGAGAGGATAGAAGGTAATTGTGTTTCTTTTGGTAATAAGCTTTCTTGGTCAGATAAGGAAGTTCCAGTCAAAAATTGTTCCCTGTACTTGGGGTTGGGGGAGGAACAAGACAATGTTAGAAGGATCTTAATTCTGAGGCTTATTTCTGAGGCCTTTTAATTTGCAAAAGCATTCAATATGCCCAAGCACTATATTTTGAGGAACTGTTTTCTGCACCCCAATGGTAGCATGTATTTATGTGTCATTCCTTTTTGTGGCAAACAATATTCCATTGTATGAAGATATTACATTTTATCCATTCATCAGTTGATGAGCATTTGGGTTGTTCTCACCTTTTCATTATTATGAATACTACTTCTATAAACATTTATGTACAAGTTTCTGTATGGACATGTATTTTCATTTACCTTGGGTATATACCTAAGGGTGGAAATGCTAGTGATGCAGGATTTTTTGCTCCTTAGTTCAGCTAAAATCCAGGCTCTTGACTCATGACCAGGGAAAATTAGACACACAGACACATTGAAGGATGAGGAGGGCAGATATATTAAGCAAAAAGAAAGCCCACAGCAAAGAAAGAAGGGGTCCTGCCAACAGGCTCCCAACTCATAGAGTGAATACCAGGCCACCACACACAAAGGTGAAGAGGCTAGGCTTCTCCCGCTGCATAAGGTGAAAATCCTTGGTGGCTCCACCCCATTTTTTCAGGGTGCATGCAGGCCCCCAGTCTGTTGCGGGCATGCCCAGGTAAGACCCTGTGTAGGTTCCTTTAACTGCCTCTTGCATCTATCACTAGCTTATATGGCAACTCTATGTTTAACTATTAAAGGAACTACCAGGAAGTTCAACAAAGCAGCTGTGCCATTTTACATTCAACTAGCAGTGTATGAAAAGTCTCATTTCTCCGTATCTTTGTCGACATTTTTTATCTGACTTTCGAATTATAGCCAATCTAGTGGATATGAAATGGTGTGTCATTGTATAATAGAAGGTTTTTTAAATTGACACAAAATAGAGGTACATATTTTTAGAGTACATGTGATATTTTGCTACATATAATGTGTAAAAATCAAATCAAGGTAATTGGGGTATCCATCATTTTAAACATTTATCTTTTCTTTATGCTGGAAACATTCAAATTCTTCCTTCTAGCTACTTTGAAATATACAATAGGTTATTGTTAACTAAAGTCTTTCTTTTTAATTCCCTAAGAATTAATGATATTTAGCATTTTTTATGTATTTATTGGTAATTTGTTTATTTTCTTTGGAAAAAATGTTGATTCAACTCCTTGGCCCATTTTTTAATTGGGTTATTTGTTTTGATTATTGAGATTTAAGTATTCTTTATATTCTAAACACAACTCTCTTGCTAGATTTAAGATTTGCAAAAATTTTCTCCCATTCTGTGGGTTGTCTTCACTTTCTTCATAGTGTCCTTTGAAGCACAAATGTTTTAATCAATGAAGTTCAATTTACCTATTTGTAGTTGTTGTTCTTCATGGTTTTGGTGTCATGTTTATGAATCCATTGCCAGATACAAGGTCATGGAGATTTATCCCAATGTTTTATTCTAAGAGTTTTATAGTTTTTGCTCTTACTTTTAGGTCTTTGATATGTTTTGAGTAAATTTTTACATATGGTGTGAGGTAGGAGTTCAAATTCCTTCTTCTGCATGTGGCTATCCAGTTCTTCCAAGACCATTTCTAGAAAAGACTATCCTTTTCTTCACCTAATGGTCTTGATACTCAACCAAAATCAGTTAACCATAGACACATGGGTTTACTTCTGAACTCTCCATAGAATCTTCATAATTCTATTCCATTGATTCATATATTTATCCTTAGGCTTCACTCACTTGATTGAAGTTTCTTGGTAGTAAATTTTGAAATTCAGAAGTTTGAGACCTCAAACTTTATTCTTTTTTGTCAAGATTGTTTCAGCTGTTCTGTATTCCTTGAAATTCCATCTGAATCTTAGAGTCAGTTTGTCAATTTCTACAGATAATCCAGGGATGATTCTGAATAGGGATTCTGTTGAATCTCTAGGTCAATTTGAAAAGTATTGTGATCTTAGCAATACTAAACTTTTAGATCCATGAACAGATGTTTTTCCATTTATTTATCTTCTTTAACTTTTTCAACAACGTTTTGTAGTTTTCACAATATAATTTTGATATTTTGTTAAATTTATTTCTAAATATTTTATTTTGATGCTATTATAAATAAAATTGACTTTTTAATATTATTTCAGATGGCTCACAATTTATCTTTACATATTGACCTTTATCCTGCAACCCGGCTATAATTGTTTATTAATTCTAATAGCTTCTAAATTCCTTAGGATTTTCTGTATATAAAATCATGTCATCTGCAAATAGAGATCGTTTTACTTCTTCCTTTTCAATCTGAATGACTTTTACTTATTTTTCTTGCCCAATTGACCTGGTTAGAACTTCCAGTATCATGTTAAATACAAGGGGCAAAAGCCCCTTATATCTTGGTGGGTTTTTTTCCTACTCTTAGTGGGATAGCAACCAGTCTTTCACCACTAAATATGATGCTAGCTATGGGTTTTTGTTGGTGCCTTTTATCAGATTGAGGGAGTTCTATCCTTTTTCTTTCTTTTTTTTTTTTTGAGTATTCTTATCAGGAAAGGGAGTTGAATTTTGTTAAATGTCTTTTCTGCATCTATTGAAACTATCATATCGTTTTTGTTCTTTGTTCTATTGATATGGTGTACTATATTGACAATTGATTTTTAACTGACAAACCACTTGCATTCCTGTGATAAACTCTACTTGATCATGCCGTGTAATTCTTTTTAAATGTTGCTAGATGTAGTTGGCTAGTATTTTGTTGAGGAGTATTCCATTTATATTCATAAAATATATTGGTCTATAATTTTTTGTAATGCTTGTGTCTGGTTTTTGTATGAGTGTGATACTGGTTTTACAGAGTAAGTTGAAAAGTGGTCCTCCCTCATATACTTTGAAAGATTTTCTTTTTAAATGGTATTAATTTTTCTTTAAATGTTTGATAGAATTCACCAGTGAAACCATCTGGGCATGAGCTTTTCTTTGTGTATAGTTTTGCTTGTTTGTTTTGCTTTATTTTGCTTTTACATATTCAATCTCTTACTTATTCCATGTCTATGGAGATTGTCTTATTAAGTGAGTTTTATAATAATAGCTTGTGTCTTTCTAGGTATTTGTCCATTTCGTCTAAGTTATCTAACTTATTGGCATACAAATATTCATAATATTCCTTTATAATTCTTTATTTTTCTGTAAGAGAAGTGGTAATATCTTCTCCTTCATTTATTTTCTTTTTCTTTTCTTTCTTTTTTTTTTTTTCTGAAACAGGGTCTCACTCTTTCACCCAGACTGGAGTGCAGTGGTGTGATCATGGTTCACTGCAGCCTAACCTCCCAGGCTCAAGCAATCAATCCTCCCACCTCTACCTCCTAAGTAGCTGAGACCACAGATGTGCATACCATGCCTGGTTAATTTTTTTATTTTTTGTAGAGACGGGATCTCCCTATGTTACCCAGGTTCATCTTGAACTCCTGAGCTCAAGTGATCCTCACACCTCAGCCTTCCAAAATTCTGGAATTACAGGCATAAGCCACTGTGCTGGCCCTTCTTTCATTTCTAATTCTTATAATTTGAGTCTTCTTTTTCCCATGTCAATCTGGTTAAAGGTTTCTCTGTTTTAGCTTTTCAAAGAACTAGCTTTTGTTTTCCTTGATTTTCTCTACTGGTTTTTTATTCTCTATTTCATTAAGTTCCACTCTGATCTTTATTTTTTTTCCTTTTATTAATACTTGCTTTAAGTTTTGCTTACTCTCCTTTTTCCATTGTCTTATAGTGGAAGGTTAGGTTATTCATTTGAGATCTTGTTTATAAAATATGGATATTTATAGTTACAAATTTTCCTCTCAGCACTACTTAAGCAGCATTACACAAGTTTTCATATGTTGTGTCTTGATTTTTATTTGTCTTGAAGTATTTTCCAATTTCTCTTGGGATATGTCTTTAACCCACTGATTATTTAGGAGTGTGTTGTTCAATTTTCACATATTTGTGAGTTTCCCAAATTAATTTATGCTACTTATTTCTAACATCATTCCATTGTGACTGGAGAACATACTTTAATTACTTCTATACTTTTACATTTATTGAGATTTGTTTTATGGTCTAGTATTCGGTTTGTTTTTGAGAATGTTCTATGTGTACTTGAGAAGAACGCATATTCTTTTTTTATTTGGGTGGAATTTTCTATAGATGGCTGTTACATCAAGTTTGTTTATAATGTTGAAGTATTTTGTTTTCTAGTTATCTTCTGCCTAGCCATTCTATTCATTATTTAAGTCTCCATCTATGATTGTTTGATTGTTGAATTGTATATATCTCCCTTCATTTCTGTCAGTATTGCTTCATATATTCTGGTTATCTGATATTAAGTGTACATATGCTTAGAATTGTTATATCTTTCTGATAGATTAACTATTTTTGAGGACTTTGGCCTATGAGGGTATAGCAAAATTTATAGTATTAATTTCTCTAGAGTGGTCTTATTCAACTTTTTCATTATTTAGTTCCTTAAAAGGAAGTATACGTCTATTTTCATTCAAACACGCAATCTCCTTTGACACTGAAGCCTTTATAAGGAATAAATTAGCATTTTGGTTCCACAAAGAAAACTCAAAAATAAGACAACACTTTGATCTTGAATATAGAAAGCAATGAAGTCAGTTATTTTGGTATACTGATTACAATCGTTTTAGTAATAAATGAGTCTGGTTTTTCTGTGCGAATCAGTGACACATTAATAGCTTATTAGATGGTAAATGCTAGTTAACAATCATAACATTAGGAAAAAATAGAAGCAGAAAGTCTCTGCTGATGTGGTGCCATTAGACAAAGTTTTATATCTTAAAAAAAACACACATGTTGTTGATCAGAACTATCAGAAGTATCTCTTACATCAAGAAACAAAGTAAATGCTTGATAATGTGCTCAACTCAATTATCCAGTTTTTCTAACTCCTGCACATATTTCAATAATGAATGTCATATTTATAAATCATTTTGGAAAGTACATATTCTGAGTAATGAGAAGTTGATACAGTTTTAGGTTATCTCTACATATTGTCTATTGTAAATAGTACTTCAGTTAACACAGGGAGGCTTATATCTCTTTGAGATCCTGATTTCAATTCTTTTAGGAAAATACTCGGAAGAGGGATTGCTAGATCATATGGTAGTTCTATTTTTAATTTTTTTTAGGAACTTCCATACTGTTTACCCTAGTGGCTGCCTCATTTTTCATTCTCACCAACAATAAGCAAGGGCCCCAATTTCTCCACATTCTTGGCAACACTTGTTGTCTTTTGTGGATAGCAATAAATTTGACAGCAGAAAATTACTTTTCTTGGTGTATTAGTCTGCATTCTCCCGAGAAACAGAACCAATAGTGTGTGTGTGTGTGTGTGTGTGTGTGTGTGTGTGTGTGTGTGTGTTTATCAGAGAGAAAGAGAGAGAGAGATTTACTCTAATAAATGGGTTCACAGTTATGGAGGCTGAGAAGTTCCAAGATCTGTAGTTGGAAAGCTGGAGGTTCAGGAGACTCAATGATACAGGACTGAGGATTAGGTGGGCTGATGGCATAACTTCAGTCTGTGTCTGAGTCTGAAGACAGGAAAAGACCAATGTCTCAGCTCAAACACAGAGCTTAAGTCTCCCTTACACTGCCTTTGTTCAGGCCTTCAACAGATTGGATGAGGCCCACCACACTGGGGAGGACAATCTGCTTTACTCAGTCTTCTCGTGTAAATGTTAACCTCATTCCAAAACGCCCTCACAGACACGCTCAGAATAAACACAGTCTATGGCTCAGTCAAGTTGACACATACAATTAACCACTATGCTAGGTATCTTAGTGGAAGAGAATGCCGAATGCAATAAGTAGTCCCAGTGATAACCCAAGAACTTTCATTTTCCAGAAACAGAGAACAAAGTCTCCCATTTTAAGTTTGTACAATTGAAGTGATACTAGAAATAAAAAATTGATAGCTCCTGGGCCCTTAGGAGGGAACAAAGTGTCCAGTTCATATATGAATTTTCAGTAACATTCAGATTTTTCCAAGTTCTTAAGATCAGCATTAAATACAAAAGTAAGAGTGTCTGTATGTACTTAGTTCTCTGGTAGGAATGAAAACCATAATACTAACATTCATTTTGGCACAAAATTAATTTTTCCAATTATTAAATCTTTATCATATAAGTTTATAATTATAATATTGTAACAGACCTGCTGTTCAAGGTTTAGAATAAGCAAAATCTCAAAAACAATAACAGCACCATATATGATTTTATATTTGTTGTGTGTGGCTTCAAATGGCTTCTCCTGGTTTCCTTTTATTGATGAAATTATCATTTCCTTGAATCATTTATGGCTTTTTATCTGTAATAGAATTTCAAACCCAGTACATTCTTAAGACCCTTAGAATTTCAGGCCCAGTACATGCTTAAGAAACTTTAGTTTAGCTGTCTCCAGGAAGTCTTTCTAGAATGTGACCAAAAATATATTTCTAATATCTGAGATCATGAGTTTTTCTCAATATGATTAGATGGCAGTCAAAATAAAGTCTAAACAAAATAATTTTTAGATATCTTTTGAGATTAGCATAGAGATGTTATTCCTCATTTCTTTGTAAAATTGAATACTTCCCCAATATGCAGATGTACTATAATTTAGCAAGCTCCATGTTGATATACATATGGATTCCTTCGCCATTTTTTTCTTATTTGTTGATAAATTCAAGTTATTTGTCCTGTAGAATTCCCTAGGATCTAAATTTTGATGATGTCATCTCTAACTTCTTGTTTAGCATTTTCCCTTATTCTTTATGTTTCTTGAGTTAGTAGATAGATTTTTTTTTCCCAAACCATGCTGAAAACATCGGAAGTAGCTAAATTTTAAAGGCCTGATCAAATTTCAGCTTGATTTCTGGAAGGATTATTCTTAGTTGATGTTTCATACTTCAACTAGGTGGTATATAATTGTCTGGTTGACTCTTTTTTGTGATTTTAGCAGCTATTGAGGGTCAATGCCTCTATCCATTAATTAGAAGTTACAAAATTGTTCTATTCTAATTACATCATACTTTCCCCGTTTATTGGCTTGAATAAAAAGAAATTACTCTCCTTCACTATTTGGTTACCCTCAAGTACAGATTATGTAGGAAATGCAGAATAAATGATTGATTATCAGTTTTCAGAGTAATGAGTTGATTCCTTAATATTGTTCAAAAGTGGCCAATGAAAGATTTTTGGGTTTGTTTTAGTATCATTTTGACTTCATGGATTTAAATATATCTGATGTATTTCAACCCATTGCAGTTAGTATTTCTTCAGTGATTTTCAAATTTCACATGTTTGACAGTGGGAGGCTCTTTTAAGTTGACTCAAGGGTGCTTTTGATACAATTCTAGTAATCCTTGATAGCTTCCTTGCTTTATGTTATAAGAAGAGATTCCAGACTCATCTAGAGCAATTCCTGTCTTAGATAGGCCTGGAATCAGACATTTTCCTAAGGAGTCCTGGTTTCTTTATGAATAAACAAAATTTAGATACTTAGAGTATGTCAGATGGGTACATTGCTAGTAGACCAGTTAATTTAACAGTTTTTCTTCCAAGGGGTCAAAGAAAGCACTGACTGCCTGATACCAGAATCACTATACTTGTGAATTATATATCTTTGTAAATTGGTTTTTAAAAAGTACAAATAAGTCTTCTATAGTTTCTGCTGGAGATCTGATGGAAAGAAAATTAGTTGAAGTTTCAAAAGTAAAGGTTTAAAGCCTGGGAACTGCTGTGTGATATTAAGTAAGTCATTTCACTATTCTGAGTTATACATAATTTCTTGTACTTCAAAATAGAGATAATATTACCTATCACAACTTTTATGAGAACCAGTATTGAAAGTACATCATAATAACAGCTAACATTTCCTAGAATGTTTTATATGTCAGCTTTTGTGCTATGTTACCTAGTTTATATCATTAAATCTGTATAAAAGAACAAAAATTATTATTATTATTATCTCCCTTTTATAAGGGAGAGCACCAAAGATTAGAGTGACTGGTATCTTGCTGTTTCTGTAAAGGAAAATTACCATGATCCTAAGAAGCTGAGGTCATCAAGCGGAGTAGGAGGTAGATTTCCTATCCAGGAGCAGTGAGCCAAATTAAATGCACAGGTAATCTACAGCTGCAAAATGTGAGAAATGATTGAACATAACCAGTAGTAGCAGCCCAAATTAAGAAAAATGTTAAAATGCATTAAATTTATGCTCAAAATTAGAACAAGTATATTTGGATTCATTTACAAGAAGAGGAAGACAAAGTTATGATAGAAAGAAAGCTCAGCAACTGGGATTACAGACTGGGCTCTTTTACAAACTCGCCATTTGAGTTTGTCAAGAGATTTATTCTCTCCAGGTCTCAATTCTTCACAGGGGAATGAGGATATGTGATTTCACAAGCTAATCTTCTAGGATAAAAATAGAACAGTAATGCTTGAGAAGAACTTTGTAATAACTCACTACTGATGTGCAGAGTTAAAAAAAAATTACAACGTATTTATAGGTTCTACCGATTCAGGTTTCTGAATCACTCATTAATTCCTTCATTTAACGATACTTGTTGAAGACCTACTAAGTGTCAGACACTGTAGCAAGTAGTGTTCTAGCAGTGAACAAAGTGAAGTCCTCATTTTCCTAGTTTACATTCTAGTAAGGAACGACAGAAAATGGAATACACCAGGCCCACTACCAAATTTGCAACAGCTGATTTGTGCGCCTGGCATACCCTTCCCCCAAGTATTCTCATGGCTAACTCTCTCTCCTTTTTCAAGTTTTCGTTCAAATGGGCACCTGCTTGATGAGGCCTAAACACAGAATATCCCTCCCTCCCCCACTCTGCTCTCTATATTTTTTCCTATAAATCTTATCCCCTTCTAACATATGATATAAATTGCTTATTTGTGTGTTTAATATGTTTCTCTGAGCTATAACGTAAATTCCAAGATGCCAGGACTCTTTGTCTGTTTTGTTCAAGGATGTATTCCAAAGCTTAGGCAGTACCTACTAACGTGTAATGCTCAATAAATTGATTAACAAACAAACTGATCAATGAGTGAATGAATGAATTAGAAGGATGATCTGGAAAGTTTTCTCTGATGAAGTGACTAAATAGTAAAAGCTTGGCATTTAAAAAAAATCACAGCATACAGAAAATTGTTAATTAAATTGTGTTACATCTAGTTGATAGACCATTATGTGGCCTTAAAAATGATTTTAAGTAATAGCTATAAAGTTTATGAAATAACACGGATACTACTTATAATGGATGGGTAAGTGAAAATGCATATGCATATATTACTATTACAAACATATTAAAAGGTCTTTAGAAGAAATATTAGAAAGTAATATACCAAAAGTTACCCGTTTATGTTATAGTGATTATTGGTGATTTCCTTTATCATTTTTTCTATTTTCACAAATTTTCTATAATTTCATTGTATCATCTTTGATATAGAAATAAGTTTAATTTTTTAAAAAGCTAATCAATGCAATACTACCTACCATTCACAGCATTTTGTTTTGTTATGTTTTTTACATTTAGAAATTAGACCTTAACAATGTCAATAACCTCCAACAAGCATAGACTCGCAGTTGAAAAGAACACACCTGGATTTCAAATGTTTCACAGAAAAACAGAGGTGAAGAAGGAGGTTGAATCAACTATAATTTCTTCTACAACAGCATCATTACTTACTTTGAGTTTACCTTTCAAGTAGATTGTCTCCAGAAGAAGGAAGTCCTATCAATTAAACATGACTCTCAAGAGAAAAACACAATGCGTATAAGTGATTTTAAACAGAATATAGCATCAAGAAGTAGAAATTGCCCAAGACCCTGTTTTATCCTGCACTTTCCCATTACTTTGGTAATCAACAGTTGGTTGAGGCTGGGTGCCGTGGTTCACACCTATAATCCCAGAACTTTGGGAGGCTAAGGCAAGAGGATCTCTTGAGCCTGGAAGTCCGAGACCGGGCTGGATAACAAAACAAGACCCCATCACTACAAAAAAAAAAAAAAAAAAAAAAGTCAGTTGAGGATCAACAGCGGAGTCCAAGTATGCAATGGCTATGTTATTCCATTTACTCCTCAGAATAATTAATTGAAGTCGGAGTTATATTACTAAATTTCAGATAACAAAATGGGGACTGTAGGTAAATTTCCCAAGGTCACACAACTAGATACGTAGTGAAACCATGATTCAAATTGATTCAAAATGACTCTAAATTCACTATAAAAAGTCATACATGGGAAGGGGAAAGCAAAAATATCTAACATTTCTCATAGGCCTCCTTTTCCACAGCACTTCTGGACCCCTTAAATGTCATGTTTTCTACATAATGATTTTTGCTTGCAAAAGTCACCAACTGCATCTTTACTAATATGGCTCCAGCTCCCAGATCTACAGCAGTGTCAGGGTAGGTAAGCATGAATATTATCCCAAAGCCTTGACAGTGTTCAGACTGCCAGGGTCTACGAAGGAAGGACTCCAAGTGCCATCTTAGAATTGGTGCTTTGCAAGTTGGTAATGGCTCCCCCTTACCTCAGTCTCCGGCCCCTCATGAGAAGCTATGCCAGGAATGGTTCTGCATTTAATGAGTCCAAGTGGGAAACAGAAACCTAGTGTGAACCCGAGGCTAGAATAGAAACTGGATTTAGTCCTCTTCAGTGGACCAGTTGACCAGGTGACCCCTTCTGTTAAATCAGATGATTACTTAGTAATGTGTCCTTAAATAAATTGCCAACTTGAAAAAACAGTCTTTGAAATGAATAATTTAATATTTTTATGTATAATTTTATGTATGTACATTCATGAAAAGACTAAATTATACTAGTTTTAGTTTAAATGCAACTTAAATATTCCAATAAGGAGGAAGTGTACATTGACTTTACCCCAGATCTGGTTTCCTAGCCAGACTGGAGGCAAATAAAATAATGTTTCTGTTTATGTTAAGTGACATACATAATGTCTACTTATAATATCTCTCAATAGAATTCATAAGAGAAAAAAAATGTTATAAGTTACATCCTTCTTTAAATGACTAGGCTAGAGGCCACACAATTCCCTTTAAACTCAATTATCTCACAACTGAATGCTTCGATAACTTGCTAAAAGCAGTAGACAAAGTGTCATTAGTGAACCAGGAGAAGGGGAAACCCCAGAGCAGCCATCAGCCGTCTTTATTTCTCTGCAATCAGCTCCTTCATATCCCTGATAACAATGACAGGAAAATGTATCTGCCATCACTGCCAGGTCTGTATCAGATGCTTTTCCTTTCACAGTAAACTCCCCGTCCTCAGAGGCCTCTATGTGGTAACTTGCAGGGTTCAAGTGAAGGTAACTGGGCGCGTTCCACATCTTCCTTATGCACCTGCCATTGTTCCTGCAGAGGTGAAGGCTGCATACCTCAGCAGCTCTGGTCACATTGGCTATGTAGCTCCCTAAATCAGAACTCACAAACTGCTTCACCTTTGTACAGTTGGCCTAGAAATGTAGGAAGAAATCAATTTTAGTGTGTTCTCCCTGGTAGAAATGTACAAAGAAATCGATTTTAGTGTTTCTCGCTGGTACTGATAGAATTAGAGCTTCTAGCACAGTTCTTTGGTCTTGATTAAAACATAATGGCTTGGTTCAGTTGTTGAACTTGTAGGCTCCTGGGCACTATAACAAGGGTCCCAAATCAGAAAGGGGAGAGGTCTGAGGGGCAGGAGATGGATACTATGTTATAATCAGGCTAAGCAACTGAACTTGCAAATAGCCCCCAGAATCAGCACATGAGACCTTGCCTTTCTGCAATTTACATTCTTTTTTTCTTCCTTCTAGCTCCCAAGTTAATGGGTATAAAAGGAAAAGGAACAAACCCAAATTAGGAATGTACCAGAACTGCTGCCCTCAGCTACCATTCAGGTATGTGGGGCCTTCCTTGGTTGTGTTAGAGCCTGAATCATAGTCCATCATTTATTGTCAAATCATCTTATGCCACCATTCTACCAAGTATTATAGCCTTCTGGATTTTCCTGTTAATTTCCATCAACTGTCCTGGGTCCTGTACTTCTAATACAATTCAAACACATGAAAACCTATATGGCTAAGTAACTTTTGTGTATATGGTTCCTATTACGTGTTCTAAACAGAGGCCACCTGTGTGCACCCACCTTCCTGATGAAGCTCTTCTGACGAGCCACCAAGGGACTGGGGTGGAAATATCACACCTGGAAAGTCAGGAATTAATCCTCTCAGTTTCTACCTAATTCTCATATGTGGGCATAGGCATAAACAGTTTCATGAACACTATCTCAGTAGCAACAAATTGAGACTGTGAAATTCTGAGAATAATATCAGATCATCATGGACTTGCAAAAAAATTCAATTTAGCAAAAAGTGTCAAGGGTGCCAGTATTCAAGGTAAAATGCATTACATTATAGAAATATAAACAAACCGCATCTGGAAATATGGAAGAGATTGTGATTAATGTGGATTGGGGAAAACTAGGAATCTTTCCTGGAGTAAAAAAAAATCTCAGCTGAGAGAAATTTGAAGAGCCATATAAATCTTTTTTTTTTCTTTTTTTTTTTTTTTTGAGATGGAGTCTCACTCTTTGAACCAGGCTCGAGTGCAGTGGTGTCATCTTGGCTCACTGCAACCTCTGCCTCCCAGCTTCAAGTGATTCTCCTGCCTCAGCCTCCCGAGCAGCTGGGATTACAGGCATGTGTCATCACACTCGCCTAATTTTTATATTTCTAGTAGAGACTGGCTTTCTTCATGTCAGTCAGGCTGGTCTCGAACTCCTGGCCTGAAGTGATCCCACCTCCCAAAATGCAGGAATTACAGGCATGAGCCACCGTGCCCCGCCATAAATCTTATTTTAAATGCTGATAATTTTCAGCTGATTTCTCTGTAGAGGAAAAAGTAACTTCATTGTGGAGAATTAAAAAGTTACCACCTGTTTCTACCTCTCAAAATAGTATATAACACATTTTCTATAGTCATTAAATGCAAGGTGTCCATCATCAAACTGTGGCTAATGCCAACTCTACCACTAACTATCCTAAATAGTTATTAACCTAGTTGGTTTCCTCTCTAGTTTCACCATCTGTAAATGAGGATGATAGTCACTACCTCATATGACCAGTAAGTGAGCAAATCCGACTCAAAAAATCTCTTAGCACAACCTTAGCGCATCATAAATATTCATCAAATGTCAGTGTTATGATTACTATCTTTATAAAAGTTCACAATATTTTTTAGCCTTTGCTATGTATCAGGCACTGATTTGGAATATTTATTCTAAAGCTGGTTTGCTATGGAGGTCATTAAGCTCTCCAAGAAAGCAGAGAAATACTTTTAATAGAAAACATTAAATATACCTTCAAGATACTGACTTACCTTGGATGCAGTTAAATTCATGTCTCCCCAAATAACAATGCCTGCAGCTCCCAAGGCAGCACTTTCTCCTATGGTGCTGACTAGATCTTGCTAGATTGAAGACAGTAGAGTTCATTATTAATTTGAATGTAAAACAATCCACCAGGGGCTGGGCGCGGTGGCTCACGCCTGTAATCCCAGCACTTTGGGAGGCCCAGGCGGGCAGATCACGAGGTCAAGAGTTTGAGACCAGCCTGGTCAACACAGTGAAACCCCGTCTCTACTGAAAATACAAAAAAAAATTAGCCAGGCGTGGTGGTGGGCGCCTATAATCCCAGCTACTCGGAGGCTGAGACAGGAGAATCATTTGAACCCAGGAGACGGAGGTTGCAGTGAGCCGAGATCGCACCATTGCACTCCAGCCTAGATGACAGGGTGAGACTCCGCCTCAAAAGCAAAAAACAAAAAAACCCACCAGGGATTAGGATTAGAGTCTGAGTTCAGTATAACAGGGCTGGTACTGAGCTCATATACTCCTTAGATACTATTTTCTATTTTCTTAGAGTGACACAAATGCTGAATAAACCAATGCTCAAAAATCACACTCTGTAATCATATGCAAAAACATAAATATTTTTAAAGAAAAACATATTTTGCCATGCAGGATATTATATTGAAGGCAATGAGGCTGTAAATAGTTATCAGAAATTATTTAATTGAAATAAATCGGGGGCACATACCCACATACCAGGTCATATGTATGTGCCCTGGAAACAGAATCCAAAAGTTTTCCTTCTCCAAATGCGATCCTGTTAACCAGGTTCCTTTTCCATTTTGCAACATGCCCCAGTGACACTTCATCCCCATAGTCATTTCAATTCCAAGGCCAGGCAAAGAAGCAACGTTAAGGGCTTGCAGGCTCTGATTTGGTCCAGCTTTTATATTTGTCCCTGAAATTATGTGTGTTTAATTTCTAAGTACCTGACCTAATGGGTTTTATTTATGACTCATCCAGTCATGGTAAAGTCGCTGGAATTTTCTGCAATATGGTTAAGACAGACAAAGGTAAGGTTTTAGCAGAGAGAATTTTGATTTTATAATCTTAAAGGGTTATTGTTTTAATGTTTAAAGATTAACAGGGATCTAGGCCGTTTTCTGGAGCAAATTAAGATTTGAATGTATGTAGTTGGTTTCCTAGTTTATTAAATTACAACACATTCCCTCACCCCACTCTTTAGGATACTAAGCATTCACCTTTTACTCCAAGGGTGAATTTCTACCAATTAAACGCTAGAAAATGTTATTAGGTGATTTGGTGGAAAATAAAAGCAGAACTGTAAATGCTATTTTGCCATTGGGCACTTAATATTAATACTTGAGAGATAAGTCTCTTTATCTGACACTTTTATTGTCTAACACTCAAAAAAAGGTTTTACAATATCAGTTTTTAAAGTTTTTTTTTTTTTTTTCTGGGCAATTGTCTTGTGACTTTCAACAAGGAAAGAGATTTTGGTTTAAACTAATTTCCCTTTCAGGTTAACATCCATTTTCATTCCCTATGATTATAATATCTGTTGAACAGGTCATAGCTGACATGAAAGGAAGGAGAGGAGGTTTTGAGAGGCTCAAATGAGATAGTATAAATGAAAGGATTTTGAAAATTGTCAATGGCACGATGAACAGGGACAGAGGAGGAGCCATCCCTGCAGTACCAAGACTGCAGACTCTGCTGAGTCTGCGTCCACTCCCTCTTTGGGCAAAGACATAAGGGAGCAGAACTCCTCACTCCGCTCACTTTGAAACTTCCCTGAAAATGGTGTCATATAGTCACATGGTATGATCAGGGCAGAAATCCCTAACAGCTCTCCTTTTGATGAAGGCATTGTCATCAAAGGAGAATAAGGACATAACATTTACATTTTATATTTATAGATTATTGGTCTATAGTAAGTATGTAAGCGTCAGATGTTTCTGGTGAAAGCCACACCTTCTGAGGTTGCTGTCAGTTTCTTCCAAATTAGTTTTCAAATCAGTTTCTCACCAAATTAGTTCACTGTCACCTCACAGACAGTAGGGTGCTGAATGAATCACAAAGCAGCTATGTTTTGGGGATCAGAAAATCAAGGGCACTACCCAGCTAGGAAAGTCACAGATAAAGTGCCTCTGGGAGCAGATTGGGACCACCTGAAAGCTTGAGCCACAGTGGTGTTGTCACATTACAGAAAAAAGAAGGAACAAAGTAGATGTACTGAAAATGAGCCTCCCAGGTCCCAGTGTGGCACAGGGTGCTTTGCACCTACACATGATCCTTGGACCTGAATCAAGGTTTCAGAAGTAGAGGGTAGGGCTACTCAGGGGATTCACTCAACACTTCGGTGTCAGTCCCTGACGCTTATCAAAGTGCATGTAAGCAACGTGCCCACTGTGGGGAGCTGGAGCATTACTAATGAGCTGCCTTTGTGCCTTACCGGAGACAGCATGAATTAATAACAAGGATAAATATCTTTAAATCTATAGGCAAGGAAACTCCTGTTGTTAATTTTTAAAAGCACATCTCACAGATGGAACAGGAGGCCATTACCTTAAGTGAAATAACTCAGAAACAGAAAGTAAAATATCACGTTTTTACTGATAAGTAGGAGCTAAACGATGGGTAAATATGGCCATACAGAGTGCAATAATAGACATTGGAGACTCCAAAAGGTGCAAGGGTGGGAGGAGAGTGAGGGATAAGAAATGACCTGTTGGGTAAAATATACATTTTTCGGGTGATGGGTACACTAGAAGCCCAGAATTCACCACTACTCAATATGTCCATGTAACAAAACTGCACTTGCACCCTGTAAATGTATAAAAATGAAAAACTAATAATAAATAATAAATGTTTTAAAAGCACAGCATCAGGTTATGTCTAGGTTGCATTTATATGTAAATAATGCAGGCAATCTTCTGTCTGAAATGAGGTTTGACTGCCTCTATATCCCCACGCTATAGCTATTGCCTGAGATACCACTCTTAAATATCCCATGTTTAAGTTTAAGGCTTTGATGGCTGTTAAAAAAGTAATAGCCATATCACATAGGTTTCTGTAGAGCTTCAAGTTTTCATATGCATGTTCTCATTTGATTTACATCATACTTTTGCTAGGTCAGTGGGGCAGGTAATATTGTCCCATTTTGTACATGAAGACACTAAGACACTAAGTCCAGGGAGGTTAAGAGATTTGCTACTTACTAGTGAATCTTTTTTGTAATCTTAACTGTATGTGTGTGTGCATTCTAAAATTCAGACATTGTTGGGAAAATCAGAAATGGAAGCCATTAATGGTCATTAAGAGTTTGGTACAAATGAATATCAGGCTTTTAAAAAATTATGGGCGGGGCCGGGCGCAGTGGCTCACACCTAAAATCCCAGCGCTTTGGGAGGCCAAGGCGGGTGGATCTCTTGAGGTCAGGAGTTCGAAACCAGCCTGGCCAACACGGCAAAACCCCGTCTCTACTAAAAACACAAAAATTAGCTGGGCATGGCGGCGCATGCAGTGTAACCTCAGCTACTTGGAGGCTGAGGCAGGAGAATCACTTGAACCCGGGAGGCAGAGGTCACAGTGAGCCGAAATCGCGCCACTGCACTCCAGCCTGGGAGACAGAGGGAAACTCCATCTAAAAAAAAAAAAAAAAATCATGGGCAGATTTTTAAAGTCAATAGGGTACAATGGTGGGTACACTTATAGTTTAAAACACTTGGAAATAGCTTGCCACTCGGAAAAAAAGAGTGCAGAATGAGATGAAACCCAAACTGTTGCTCCTTTTTTCCTGAGGAAAGAAAGCATTTCCGTGGCTGTAGCTATAGAAAAAGAAGCTTATACCAGGTTCACAGAATGTGCAGAATGTCCCAGTAGTCTAAATTCATCTTTTGAAATGAACGTTTTGTCCCTCAGAGTTTATTGTTTCTTCCAAAAGTCAATTTATTATCACTAAAGAAAGGAACTTGGTTGAGTCAAATATAGAAAAGACGTCTTACAAAAGAAACTGGTATTTAAATTTTGATTCCATTCCAGAGTCAAGATTATTTTATAAAGATTTACGTAACTTTCTTTCTTTTTTTTTTTTTTTGAGATGGAGTTTCGCTCTGTCGCCCAGGCTGGAGTGCAGTGGCACAATCTCGGCTCACTGCAACCTCTGCCTCCCGAGTTCAAGCAATTCTCTTCTCAGACTCCTGAGTAGCTGGGATTACAGGTACCCACCACCACACCTAGCTAATTTTTGTATTTTTAGTAGAGATGAGGTTTCACTATCTTGGTCAGGCTGGTCTTAAACTCCTGACCTTGTGATCCACCTGCCTCAACCTCCCAAAGAGCTGGGATTACAGGTGTGAGCCACTGCACCCGGCCTAGATAACTTTTTAAAACCTTTCAGACGGTACTGACTTCCTATTATTCTTCATTCAATTATTTTTCACTGATTTTTCTGGGTGGTATGAATAGAAGTTCACAACAGAGACTTTTTTTCCTTCCTCCTTCACCTCATGAGTGATGTTGGAGGTATGGTATTTACCATATTTCATACACATGCATCATTTCTCCCTCTGATGAATACATTCCATTTATGTTCCAAAGATACCTGGTCACTGTAGAGCCCTCACCTGGGTGTTTTCTATGCCTCCTCCTTAGGATGCCTAGAACTCAGAACGTCTTTAACAGATATTGGTGAGTTGAAATTTGTAATGGTGGAGAAAGGAAAAATGCCTCTGTTAAAATATATTAAACCACTGGTATCCAGCAATACCTTAAAACATCACTGCATCACACATGTGAAGCCCTCCACAAGTCCTGAGTCTTCTCAATGTAGAAAGGTTACACAAAATTATCCAAATCCAAAGATTAGGCTGGGCACGGTGGCTCATGCCTGTAATCTCAGCACTTTGGGAGGCCGAGGAGGGTGGATCACCTGAGGTCAGGAGTTCAAGGCCAGCCTGTCCAACATGGTGAAACCCCGTCTTTACTAAAAGTACAAAAATTAGCTGGGTGGGGGGGGGTGAGCACCTGTAAACCCAGCTACTTGGGAGGCTGAGGCAGGAGAATCGCTTGAACCCAGGAGGTGGGGGGTGCAGTGAGCCGAGATTGCATCATTACACTCCAGCCTAGGTGACAAGAACAAAAAACTCCATCTTGAAGAAAAAAAAAAAACAAAACAAAGATTAAAATACCCACTACTTTCCCTAGAATTTTTTTGTTTAAGTGGCTAGACAATTCTGCTTCCACATGTATGAGCAAACACTCCATTTCAAAACATCCTTTTTGATTGTCTAACCTGCTCACTGCCGATCATTTCAATAACCTTCCAAAATGCCCGATTGTAAGTGAGTACAGTTAAAGTTGGTGTGCAGGAAATGTAGTCGTTGCTGGTATCTACTTTAACCCTTTCTCACCTTACTTTGTTCCTTAAGAGAATAATAATGAGTAAGATAATCAAAATTCAGTTTCCATAAATGAAGAGTCTAAATGCATGACTAGTCAAGGAAGAATTATGCTCCCATATAACAAACCATTAATTGAAATCAATTCTTCAAAGAACATAATTAACAAAGAAATGTCCTTTTAGAGATAAGGAGGAAATCCCCCACCATTGGACAAGAAGCTTCTTACCTTAGAAAGGAAAAATAAAGGTTCATCTCTGTACCCTAGCCTTGTGTAGACAAATACAGGCAGAGCATAATCATGAGATGTCATGGTGGAGATCCTCATGGATTCATGCACCCGAAATTTGGAGAAGCGCAAAATGTTTTCACTGTCTCCAAGGGATTTCCAGACACCGATAGAAGGATATAAAGCAGCACTGCTGTTCCAGAGCCAAGAGAGCTCATTGTTCCTCAAGACTTCGTCTTCTGGGCATGACCCAGAGTAGTTTGGGGCATAAACGTTATAATTGTGGCAATCAGGATATAAATAATAACCCCAAAGGCCTTTGGGTCGGCTCTTAATTCCCAATTTGATGGTTTCCTTCATGAAAGCTTTTGCACTTTCTTCAAAGGTCACTTTGGCTAAATATTCAATATCGGTAGCTGATACATTCTTTCCCATATCGGAAATAAGCTTTCTTGACTTCTGTCTGTAAACATCTTTTGAGTTCCAGTTCCGGGCCCACTGTGGTCGCCAATATTCCCAATCTATAACAGCAAGTCCACTGAAATCTTCAGCAGGGATGTAATAATTAATATCTTGGTCAGCTTTTTCCAGATGTACTTGTAAACTTATGTTCTGTGGGAGACCTCCATTAATGGGGACCCCTTGTGATGTATACCACGGATAGTATCCCAATCTGTTGACATAAAATATAGTGACATTTTGCCCCCTGGCCTTGGCCAGTGGGCTTCCAATCACAGGAAACATTTTCAAATTTAGTCTTAAATTATATTTTATCAAACACTGATCTGTTGGAGCATTCCAAGCAGCTATAAAAGGTTTCCTTTGATAAATTGGAAGTCGAGCAGGTTTTAGACAAGAGATAGACTTTAGAATAAAAAATATAAGGAGCCATGAAGTGAGATGTACTGGTTGAACAACACAAAGCTTTAACTGTCCTTCAGATAATACTTTCATGGTAAGATAAAAATGTTACGTTATCTTCTGCTTTAGTGCACTCTAGAAGACCTGTGGAGAGATTTAATTTTCTGTTAGTCATAGTTTTGAGGAAAAAGACTCAAATAATAAATAGATATTATTATTATATATGACTATTTGTAAAGTGTATCACTTAAAGGTCTCAAAGAGGCCTATAAATAAATTGAGATATAGAAGCATATGTAGAGACCTAGCTTCTATTCAGGGGCAGGAAATGCAATTCAACAAACATTCATGGAGCACCAGACCCCATGTCCAGAAAACAAAATGAATAAGATGTAGTCCTTGCCTTTAAGGAGTTCATGATCAGATAAAGATGTGAAATAATATTTACCATCATTTTGCAAAACTCATCAAATCCCAGGCATTGTGCTTAACTGCTTTGTAAATATTTTTTTTAAACTTGTAATAACTACATAAGGCTTATAATTACATTTCCATTTTACAAATGGGGAAACTGAGGCTTAGAGAGATGAAAAGGCTTGCCTGATGTCACTTTATATGGAAGGCAAGGTGATGTAAAATTTAAATAATAAAAATGCATAACAAGTACTACATGATAATTTATTGGAGCAATTACTTCTTGGAGTAAGCAGTAGGTAGGAATGGAAAGGAAAGTGATTTGAGTGGCAAGAAATTAAAACCAGCCCAACTATCCCAAAGAATAGATGTTTTGGGTTTCTTCTGAATAAACTTAGAAATTGACCCTCCCAGGGTAAAACTTAAGAAAGTTATATTTGTCTTATCTGGGTTCCTTTCTCGGTAAACCAACCATCAAGCCTCCCAGAATGTTTCAAGGAACTGAAACTTACCAGATTATCACATCTAAACAATGAGACACCAGATGCCTCACTCATCATGATTGCCTAACTGACCACTTGCCTGTTGACCAAGTCCTCTTTCTTACCCTTCCTTAATTCCTGTTTTCCCACACATAGTTACTTTTCTTCCCTACTTTATAGACCCCAAATTTTAGTTGCTTGGGGAGATGGATTCCAGACTGATCCTTTATTCTCCTTGGCTGCAGCACCCAAATAAGGCCTTCTTCCCCAGCAATACTCCTTGACTCAGTGATTGGCTTTCTCTGCAGCAAGCAACAGGACCTAGACCAAACCCCTGGTGTAACAGAATGTCTCAGGGAAGACACTGGAGTTAAAAGAGAAGATAGAGCCAGGCAGGGTGGCTCACGCCTATAATCCCAGCACTTTGGTGAGGCCGAGATGGTCACAAGGTCAAGAGATCAAGACCATCCTGGCCAACATGGGGAAACCCCATCTCTACCAAAAATACAAAAATTAGCTTGGCGTGGTGGCACATGCCTGTAGTCCCAGCTACTGAGGAGGCTGAGGCAGGAGAATCGCTTCAACCTGGGAGGTGGCGGTTGCAGTGAACCAAGATCACACCACTGCCCTCCAGCCTGGCAACAGAGCGAGACTCAGTCTCAAAAAAAAAAAAAAAAAAAAGAGAGAGAAAGAGAAGATAGGTAGGTGTTTGGATAGTAGAAGAGGGAAGACGATAGTGGCTACTTTGTCAAGTTATTTTTTAGTCATCTCTTTGTAAAACTACTATGAAATTATTTTTGTAAAAGCTCATCAAAGGGTTTGATGGCATAAAACGTTTGCAGTCTTGTGTGTCATTAAGATGAAAATGCATTGTGGTTATGCCTGATGCCTAGTGAGATTAAGGTGTCCAGTAGACATTTGTCCTTTGGCTGTGTGCTCCGGATACAGACCCCTTTCCTCAGTAGTCAATTCTGCACCATAAGTATCTTGGAAGGCAAAGCCCATATTTCATTAAATAAGCCAAAATGTCCCAGCCTTCCTTGCAGGTTTGGTATTGGTCTATGACTGTCGTCAGTCCAATTAGATGCATCCTAATCTAGGCTTTGAATTTGGATATTGAGATTCAAGGAGGCTGAGGTGACATTGCCAGTGGTGACGTAAATTCCAGTGTCAAGGAGCAGCAAGCTGGGGCATCCAGATTCTGAACCTGATGCCCATAATGTTACTGTTAAGTGGAGATATTGTCCTCAAGGGACACCGCCTTTCTGCTCAAGTAAGCAAGGTTTGTTTTGGTTGCTTACAACCAGGAACTCTGATTTATAGAGAAGTGATATGGTTTGGCTGTGTCTCCAGCCAAATCTCATCTTGAATTGTAGCTCCCCTATTCTCCCTGTCATAGGAGGGACGTGGTGGCAGGTAATTGTATCACAAGGGCGAGATTTCCCATGCTGTTCTTGTGATAATGAATAAGTCTCATGCCATCTGATGGTTTTATAAAGGGTGGTTCCCCTGAGCATGCTCTCTTGCCAGCCACCATGTAAGATGTGATTTTGCTCCTCCTTCACCTTCTGCCATGATTGTGAGGGGTCCCCAACCATGTGGATCTGTGAGTCCATTAACTCTCTTTTTCTTTATAAATTACCCAGTCTCAGGAATGTTTTCATTAGCAGTGTGAGAATGGACCAATACAAGGTGCTTTTGTGGCTTGTAGTAAAGCCTGTGCTACATGTTGTGTGTAATTATCACGTCTAACCACCAGGTGTCACCAGCCAAACCTCATGGTATTTCTCAGGCCTTGGACACTGCTGTAAAAAAATTTTAAGTAATTCACAAAACTTCCTCCAAAGACATTTAAGAAGGCCTAAGTAAATGGATAAACACAAAACACCAGTATTTAGGAGCTATAGAGGTAGATATTTTCATTTATTGAATATACTCCTCCATGCACAAAGCTGAATAAGATTACCCCACTTAGTAGCATGAAATATATCATACTGTAGCTCTAAATTATGATTTGAAGAGAATAGTATTTTCAAGGGAATCTAATTTTATGAGTAAGAAAAATTGTGGTACTCAAAACTTCCCCTTCTCTTTGATTTTTTATTATATTTTGCCTCCAGGTAAGAAAAATAGATTTACATATGCATTCATTAATAGAAGGGGGAAGAAGCTTTTCTTTAAATTTAAAATTGAGTTACATTAGAAAAGACTATATTTGTGTACCAAAAAAAGAAAAATCTACCCTGCCAGATACTTCCTGCTTTGGTCTCATTCAAAACATAGTTTTCCACTGACTATTGTTTCCCCTTTGGTCGGCTCCCTCATCACCACCATAGAACATCCTGGTTCATTTATTACAAAGTTACCAAGTGATTCTCTTCTCCTATCTTGGAATGTTATTATTGTTCTCAGTGTCTCAGGGAAGACACTGTAGTTGAAAGAGAACTGGTGAACTGTTTGTTCTGGTGAACTGGAGGTGCACCTTACATGGCAGATGGTAGACATAGCTCCTGATAAAATGTGTGGGTGCACGACCAAAAAAGACAAAATAAATAAGTAAAATCCTGTGCCCGTGTCTTCTGCTTGCTGTATGTCAGGTTTCTGCTTCCTATACAGCCAGGTCAGGGCACTGGTGTGCCCTCCTAGTTAAATATGGCTTGTTGGGAGGAGATCCCCTCACGTGACCCCTCTCAGACACTGTTTTCCCTTCCCTGTCCCACCATGCAATCTCTGTTTCTCTTGTCCTTCCTTCACCAAGGAACCTCCCCAAGCCTGCCCTTCCAAAAGTGCCCTTTGCTTCAGAGCTTCCCTAGACCTCTTTCCCTCACCCCACCTATGCCATTAAAATCCCCACCGCTGAGCTCTGCCTTATCTTGACTAGTTCTTGTAGCATAGCAACCTGTGCAATTATCCACAGTTAACCATATCACCAGCAATAGCAACCTTCCTTTTCTTTCTCCCTTCCCCCTTCCATAATCCGCCTAGGCAAATGTGCTCCTGTAAACAAACCTCTAAATGACAATGTTTAGAAAGAGTTAGCAAGATATTGGAGGTAGAAGTGAATGAGGAATTTAACCTGGACTTGTCCCTTAAATTTTAATGCCCAGGTTTCTCTCCTTAGAAGTAAGGTCTGTTCTGGGAATATATAGGAAGGACTAGTTCCTTTCCTTCAACAAGGAAACTTCTGTGAAGACATTTTAAAGGCCCCTGAACAAATGATTTTCAATGAAATGACATACTCATTAAAGCCATAGGTAAAGGGAAGTAGCTTTCTCCTGACCCCTCCTCTAGTAGAAGGAAGTGAGGAAGGTTTAGCTGCTACTATGTTGACCTTGGTTTCATAGTTCTAATCTTCTTACCCTGACCAGAGACAAATGTGGCAAAAGCAGCAAACAGACAGGGCCTATTTCAGGTCGGCTCAAGCACCTCACCTCATCACTGCCCCTTCCTCCTGACAGTGAAGGAGACAGTGAAGAAGGTGGCAGGAGGGATGTTCTTTTGAGGGAGACAGGACCACCATGTACAGCTACAAGAGTCTGCAAAAAAGCCTCTATCTCCTATCCCCTACTTATTCCTATCTCCCTTCTCACTCCTTCCCCAAAGAAGCTTACTTGCTTGTGATAAATTAAAAGAAAAAAAAGAGCAACCCTTGGCATTCAGAAACTGTGAGTACTACACTCACAGCTAGGCTGCATAATGCTTCTCTTAAACAATGTCACAGAATACCAGTCTGGACAAGTTTACTCTCAGACCATAATAAAATGAGACAAAGCCAGGCCACTTTTAAATATTGTCTAAGATCAGAAAAGAAGGTCACTGTGCAACCCACAAAATACCAAACATCCCTCTCTCTTGCTGAATGAATGACTGCTATTCTTTACCCAATCACAGGAACGCCTCTGCTTTCTGACAACATCTAATCTAGAGAAAATCCCTGCCTTCTTAGACTCTTCACCAAGTCACTCAGCCAAAACCTAAATCATATGATAGTTTCCTCCTAATACCCTCTTACTGAGACACCCCATGGCTTCCCATGGTGTGCACCCTCCCTTCCCACAATAACTGATAAAGTAAACTAATTTAACTGCAGGTGTGCTCCTGGTGGTCTTTGGAACACTGACATTGTATGATGAAGGCAGAGGCACTTAGTGTTCATTCTTATAAGAATTCAGAAAATGTTTATTGAGCATCTTCTATGTACCAGGCTCCCTTCTAAGTATTAACAATACAATAGTGAGCAAAACAAACAAGAGCCTCTGCCCTCACTGAGTTTAAATTCTTGTAGGGGAGGGAGATAATAAATAAGAACAGTAAATAAATATTCAGTATGTTGCAAATTATGATAACAAAGAAAAATAAATAAGGCAGGATTTGTTCCTAGATGGTAACAAGCCTCACTGATCCCAAGGATAAGAGGAGTCAGCCTGGAGGATGTCTGGGGAAGTATGAGGGAAAGCAGGTGCAAAGGCCCTGTGGCAGAGCATGTCTGCTGTCTCTAAAGACCTTTGAAGAGGTCAGTGACTAGGTAAAAGGAGCCAGAGAAGAAAGAGTGAGGGTCTTGTTGGGGCTTATAGGTACTCAGGCTTTCACTGTAAATGAGATGGGAAAGATGTGGTGGGCTTTGAAAGAAGAATGACATTGTCTGCCATGGGCTTAACTGGATTCCTCTGGCTGCTGTGTTGAGGCAAGCCTTTAAGGGAAAAGACACAAGAGAGAAGCAGGAAGACTATAAAAAGCTCTTGCAATAATCTAAGACAGAAATGAGAGCAGTTCAAACCAGTTATTTATGAGACCATAATATTTTAAATAATCACCACAAAGGAAAAGGATATTATAAATCAATAAATTAATTGCACTAATTTGTTTTCATTTTGATTGCAACTCTAAGTGCCTGTTCTCAAACACCCAGTGCGATGTTTTTTAACTTTACACAGCATGGTGATCCACACTGATCTTTACGATTAGAGTGAATGCTCTGGAAAAGTTTTTCAAAGCATATACTCCCTTCTTAATATTCAGGTATTAGTGAAACGAGTTGATTTTCCAAATCTACATGTCTTCTATTTCTTTTTTCATGATATTGGGGTTCTGTTTTAAAAACCTTTAAGATGCCAAGTGTCTGCTCCTAAAACCGTGAGAGTTTGAAGAGATATCCTGAAGGTCATGGTCCCTAAGGAATTTAATAAATGCACTGTTTTATTTCCAAGCCCTTAAGGAAAGTACTGACCAAAGTGATATTTTGTTGCCAATGATGAAAAATATATATACTCATATATATTTATCAGACTGAGAGACAGAGCAGAACCATCAAGTTCAAAGCTATGTGCTCAATTTCGCAGAACTAATTGCCAACCTATTTTCTAATAAAAGCTTATTAGAGCAACAGCCAATAATAGGCATCTATTTTTTTCTCTGATGAACTTTTTCTCTTTTGAAACATCAATGCTCTGCAAGCTGGCTCTTTAGTATTCCAGCAGAAAAAGCAAAATATTTTAATGTTAGAGGTTTCTCAATTAAGTATTTTTCATACATTTTTCTTAAAAACTTGTTGCCTATGGGTTTATAATATAATCTACTCTATAACAGTATTTCATTAAGGCCCATAATTCATCATTAGATACTGAATTTTATGATAACTATTTTATGTTATTATCAAAGAACACAGTGTCCCTCCATCTGAACTAATTTTAGAACTCCTATACTATCTTGATTGTATAAAATTGTTTCCTTTCCAGTCTTCTTAAATATAGGCTTAAGTTTTGTAAATATGTGAAAATGACTATTTCAGTGTCACTTTTGCTAATGGTAAATTCACTATATTATTCAGTCTGAAAGGCCTCGTTTTTAATGAAGCAAGCAAATTTTGCAGTTTTAAGAAATACAATCTGAAAGAGGTTTAAATTATCTCTGTATTAAAGTATACACTTGGTCTTTGTCTAAGTATTACTCCTCTTTTAGGACTTGAAATTTCTTACAGCCAAGATCAACAGATTTCTTGGAAAAGCACACTAAGTCTTAGGATCACATTTTTAATAGAATGTTCCCTCTGTCAACCTGTTTTTAACTAAGTTCCTTAAGATAACATTAAGTTGATTTATGTCTTCAGGTTTTTAATTAAAGTTGTTGAACTAAAAAGCCATCCAGTGGTCTGCGAAATGTTATTTAAGTCTTTCCAATGTCCATAGTCAAGATTACAACTTAAAATACTTCCCTCCCCATAAAAATGACCCAAGCCATTGATTAGGAGTGTTGGGATACTAGTTGGGGTTATCAGACAGAAACTAGAGATGGGGAGCTGAGTCCCCAACCTCAGGCCTGAGGACCAGAACAATATTTAAGCAGGAGAGAGTTGGATCCCAGTTCCCTAGATCCTAGCTCTCAATGTTAAGAGTACAAGAGTGGAGAGGAAAGGCAAACATTTGAGAGGTCAAAAGCTGTAGCCAGATCACATTGTCTTGTCTCTGGTAAACATGGCTTAATTTCAAATTTTGCCTCAGTCCTGAATGGAGTGGCTTAAAAACTAGGGTTCCCCTGGCTTTACAAATGGCAACCTATCATCTATCTCTCTGTACAAGCATATATATTTTAGCAGGATAAGAAATTTGAGCAAGGTGAAATGTGCAGGGGTTGACTCCAACCTGAATGAAGAAAGAGTACATTCCTAGTGGAAACAGAAGACTGGAAATTTCTATCTGAATTATCAATGAATAAAACCTTTCACCAAGAAATTCTGCTTCTATGTAATTCATTGTAGCACTTCTTATAATTAGGAAGACAAAATTAATGTCTTCCTAATTCTTATAATTAGGACAACAAAATAAATGTCTACTATAAGGCAAAGGCCACATAAGACATGGCCTCGTATACAGTGGAATGCTATGCACCTATAACAAAGAATGAGGTTTCTTCTACATATTGATAAGGACATTGACCAGATATTAAAATAGTCTTTAAAATATGTATTTGTTTTACATGTGTGTCTGTACACAAGCTACAAATTTTAATAAAGTGTGTATAGATTGTTGCCATTTTTCAAAGAAAGGAATATATGCATACATATATATACACACACACATACACATACACACACAAATTACATATGTACACAGTATAATAATTTGTGTACTGAGGAATATCTCTGGAGCTATATTAGTCTGTTCTCACACTGCTATAAGGAAATACCTGAGACTGGGTAATTTATAAAGGAAAGAGGTTTAATTTACTCACAGTTCCCTATGGCAGGGGAAGCCTCAGGAAACTTACAATCATGGCAGAAGGCAAAGGGAAATTAAGTGCCTTCTTCACAAGGTGGCAGGAAAGAGAAGTGTTATGAAGGAGGAACTTCCAAACACTTATAAAACCATCAGATCTTGTGAGAACTCATGCATTATCAGGAGAACAGCATGGGGGAAACTGCTTGCATAATCTGATCACTTCCCTCCCTCCACACATGGGGATTACAGGTCCCTCCCACAACATATGGGATGATAATTTGAGATGAGATTTGGGTGGGGATACAGAGCCAAACCATATCAGGAGGGATACTCAAAAAAGGTTATATTGCTTGCTTCCAGGGAAGAGAACAGGGTGGCTAAGTGAGAGAAGTGAGCATGGGTGAGATTTATTTGAGAAGGAAGTTCTGTTGGAATTTTGTAATATGTTGCTGTAACAGCTAACTCAAAACCATCAATCTGATTTTAAAAACTCAAAGTTCTTTGGATATATAAGAGAAGATGCAAATCGATTCTGACTACAGTATAAGGAATCAAGTTTTCCTAAAGAAAGTTACATCTCACTTGCATTTTGTTATGAAGATCATTTTTATAATTTTATTTGAGAAATTGTATGCTCATCTGCAATCTGACAAGAACATCCCTTTTCAGGAAATAAGAATGATTTTTTTTAATGGAAATGAACACTATCAGCCAGAGCTTTAAGTTAAGGCTCTATTCTGACATTTGATTATTAAAAGCTAATTATTGATTGGTTACTATCTATGGTAAAAGAAAATTAACAGTGGTTAATGGTTTAGGAGGTGTTCGGTAGGAACACTGATGATAAGCTTGAAGAAACTGATTAGTATTATTATTCTCCACAAAATGTAATGCACAATACCGGTGAATTATTTAATACTAGTGGAAAAATATACTTTACAGTAATAGGCCTTCTCTGATTGTAAACAAGGCAAAACTCTAGTTACAACAGATAAAAGTATGTGGAGAAATTGGATATGAAAAAATGATTGTTCTTTCTTTTTTATCTTTGACTATATATTAGTTTTGGTGATTTATTCAGCCTAATTTTAAATAACTCAGGAAGCTAGATTGCTTGTTAACTTCTTCAGCATCAGATAACTTTTTTCCTTGGATTTTCTTCAATTCCATTTTATTTCATCACCCATACCTTTTTGATGAAGACTAACTTCTGACCTTATTTTTTATTCTTCAATGTCTATGGCATTGTTTTTATTTCTTTTTATTCTTCCCCACACTTTTCTAAATCCTTCTCAAATCTGATTGCTTTCTTTGAATTACGTCCAACTACCCTGGTGTGTTTACAACACAAAATACCTCAGTGCAATATAACAGAAGTCAGTAAGAGTGCAGGTTAAAATCTTACACTCTGGAGCCAGTTACCATAAACAGCACACTAGAAGAAGTTTCATTATTTTTCCTATTCAATTTTTATTTCTATTGTTTTAACTTGCCTTCCCAGAATATCACAATACTGTCTTTAGGGGCAGAGGAGTGCAATGATAATAGTAATGGCATGTTGTATATCTAAACATAGTATTGATGTCTATTCTGTTCTTATCAACTAAAGTCTCAACTTTTGAAAATTATATTTATGAACTAGAACTTAAATTCTAATTTATAAATATGGGAGAGGATCTTGCACACTACCCTTTCCCCATTCCTCTCTGCACTCTTGCCTTTCTCTGTTTGACATTTTCACATAAGACAGATCTTCTAACCTAGACAGCAATCCTACCATATGGCTCAATGGACGTCTTATGTCCACTATGTGCTGACTACCACATATTTGATTAAGTCATGCCTGAGTTTGTAACGCCTTTTGGCATTGCACCTAATGTTTTCTACCTAAAATATCTCTGTCAATCTTCGTTAAACTTGACTATGAGATTTCAAGCCCATCAAATTAAGCAATCTGAGTAGATTTTGGCTTATAAAGAGCTGGTTGGATTATGTCTGTATATAATTTTCTTCACTTTTTGGTTTACATCTTACATGGTTGCTACACATACATTTCTTTTGTTTGTTTGTTTTTGAGATAGAGATAGGCTGAAGTGTAGTGGCACAATATCAGCTCACTACAACCTCGACCTCCTGGGCTCAAGCAATTCTCCCACCTCAGCCTCCTGAGTAGCTGGGACTACAAGTGTGTGCCACCATGCCAAAGTTAATTTTTATATTTTGGCAGAGACAGGGTTTTACCATGTTGCCCAGGCTGGTCTCGAACTCCTGAGCTCAAGTGATCCACTTGCCTCAGCCTCCCAAAGTGCTGGGATTACAGGAGTGAGCCACCACACTTGATCTACATAGACATTCCATATCTCCATTTAAGAGCCTAGTTTTCCACTTCAAGTACACCTTCTGGATAAATGATGATGTTCTTGATGTTGCAACTGAATTGTGCCAATCAGCCTGATCATTACCAGGTTTAAATAACAAATAGTACATGTTATGTGACCAACTGAATTATGTTTTGTTTCTATTGAAAGAAAGAAAGAAAGAAAGAAAGAAAGAAAGAAAGAAAGAAAGAAAGAAAGAAAGAAAGAAACAAACAAAGAAAGAAACAAAGAAAGGCAGCTGGCAAGATGGCCCAATAGCAACAGCTCTGGTCTGCAGCTCCCAGTGAGATCAATGCAGAATGAGGGTGATTTCTGCATTTCCAACTGAAGTACCTGGCTCATCTCATTGGGACTGGTTAGACAGTGGGTTCAACCCATGGAGGGCAAGCAGAAGCAGGGTGGGGCATCACCTCACTTAGGAAGCACAAGGGGTTGGAGAATTCCCTCCCCTACCCAAGGGAAGCCATGAGGGACTGTGTGGTGAGAGACAGTGCTATCCAGCCCAGCTGCTATGCTTTTCCCATGGTCTTCGCAACCTGCAGACCAGGAGATTCCCTCAGGTGCCTACACTATCAGGGTCCTGGGTTTCAAGCACAAAACTGGCAGCCATTTCAGCAGACACCAAGCTAGCTCCAGGAGGTTTTTTTGTACCCCAGTGGCACCTGGAACACCAATGAGACAGAACCATTCACTCCCCTGGAAAGGGGGTGAAGACAGGGAGCCAAGTGGTCTAACTCAACGGATCCCACCTCCACGGAGCCCAGCAAGCTAAGATCCATTGGCTTGAAATTCTTGCTGCCAGCACAGCAATCTGAAGTCAACCTGGGATGCTCGAGCTTGGTGAGGGAGGGGCGTCCACCATTACCCAGGCTTGAGTAGGCGGTTTTCCCCTCAAAGTGTAAACAAAGCCACTGGGAAGTTCGAAATGGGTGGAATCCACCACAGCTCGGCAAAGCCACTGTAGCCAAACTGCCTCTCTAGATTCCTCCTCTCTGGGCAGGGCATCACTGAAAGAAAGGCAGCAGCCCCAGTCAGGGGCTTATAGATAAAACTCCCATTGCCCTAGGACAGAGCAACTAGGGGAAGGGGTGGCTGTGGGCACAGCTTCAGCAGACTTAAATGTTCCTGCCTGCTGGCTCTGAAGAGAGCAGTGGATCTCCCAGCACAGTGATCAAGCTCTGCTAAGGGACAGACTGCCTCCTCGAATGGGTCCCTCACCCCCATGCCTCCTAACAGGGACAGCTCCCAGCAGGGGTCAGCAGACATACAGGAGAGCTCTGGCTGGCATCTGGCAGGTGCCCTTTGGGATAAAGCTTCCAGAGGAAGGAGCAGGCAGCAATCTTTGCTGTTCTGCAGCCTCCTAGTGATACCAGGCAAACAGGGTCTGGAGTGGACCTCCAGGAAACTCCAGCAGACCTGCAGAAGAGGGACCTGACTGTTAGAAGGAAAACTAAAACACAGAAAGCAATAACATCAACATCAACAAAAAGGACACCCATGCAAAAACCCCATCCAAAGGTCACCAACATCAAAGATCACAGGTAGATAAATCCATGAAGATGAGGAAAAACCAGTGCAAAAATGCTGAAAATTACAAAAACCAAAATGCCTCCAAAGTATAACAACTTCTCACCAGCAAGGGAACAAAACTGGATGGAGAGTAAGGCTGATGAACTGACAGAAGTAGGCTTCAGAAGGTGGGTAATAACAAACTCCTCTGAGCTAAAAGAGCATGTTCTAATCTAATGCAAGGAACCTAAGAACCTTGATAAAAGGTTACAGGAACTGCTAAGTAGGATAACAAGTTTAGAGAAGAACATAAATGACTTGATGGAGCTGAAAAACACAGCACAAGAACTTCATGAAGCATACACAAGTATCAATAGCCAAATCAATCAAGCAGAAGAAAGGATATCAGAGATTGAAGATCAACTGAATGAAATAAAGTGTGAAGACAAGATTAGAGAAAAAAGAATGAAAAGGAACAAACAAAGCCTCCAACAAATATGGGACTATGTGAAAAGACCAAACCTATGTTTGATTGGTTTACCTGAAAGTGATGGGGAGAAGGGAACCAAGCTGGAAAACACACTTCAGGATATTATCCAGGAGAACTTCCCCAACCAAGCAAGGCAGGCCAACATTCAAATTCAGGAAATACAGAAACCACCACAAAGATACTCCTCGAGAAGAGCAACCCCAAGACACATAATTGTCAGATTACCCAAGGTTAAAATGAAGGAAAAAATGTTAAGGGCAGCCAGAGAGAAAGGTCAGGTTACCCACAAAGGGAAGTCCATCAGACTAACAGTAGATCTCTTGGCAGAAACCCTACAAGCCAGAAGAAAGTGGGGGCCAATATCAACATTCTTAAGAAAAGAATTTTCAACCCAGAATTTTATATCCAGCCCAACTAAGCTTCAAAGAGAAGGAGAAATAAAATCCTTTAAAACAAGCAAACGCTGAGGGATTTTGTTACCATCAGGCCTGCCTTACAAGAGCTCCTGAAGGAAGCAAAACGTATGGAAAGGAAAAATGGTACCCGCCACTGCAAAAACATACCAAAATGTAAAGACCATCAACACTGTGAAGAAAATGCATTGACCAGTGGGCAAAATAACCAGCTAGCATCATAATAACAGGATCAAATTCACACATAAAAATATTAACCTTAAATGTAAACAAGCTAAATTCCCCAATTAAAAAACACAGCCTGGCAAATTGGATGAAGAGTCAAGTCCCATTGGTGTGCTGTATTCAGGAGAACCATCACACGTGTAAAGACACATATAAGTTCAAAATAAAGGAATGGAGGAATAAGCAAAAAAGGCAGGGGTTGCATTCCTAGTCTCTGATAAAACAGACTTTAAACCAACAAAGATCAAAAGAGACAAGGAAGGCCATTACATAATGGTAAAGGGATCAATTCAACAAGAAGAGCTAACTGTCCTAAATATATATGCACCCAATACAGGAGCACCCAGATTCATAAAGCAAATTCTTAGAGACTTACAAAGAGACATAGACTCCCACACAATAATAGTGGGATACTTTAACACCCCTCTGTCAATATTAGACAGATCAACGAGACAGAAAATTAACAAGGATATTCTGGACTTAAACTCAGCTCTGGACCAAGTAGACCTAATAGACATCTACAAAACTCTCCACCCAAAATCAACAGAATATACATTCTTCTCAGTACCACATAGCACTTATTCTTAAATTGACCACATAATTGGAAGTAAAACATTCCTCAGCAAATGCAAAAGAACATAAATCATAAGAAACAGTCTCTCAGACCACAGTCCAATCAAATTAGAACTCAGGATTAAGAAACTCATTCAAAACCACACAACTACGTGGGAACTGAACAACCTCCTCCTGAATGAATTCTGGGTAAATAATGAAATGAAGGCAGAAATAAATAAGTTCTTTGAAACCAATGAGAACAAAGACACAATGTACCAGATCTCTGGGACACAGTGAAAGCAGTGTTTAGAGGGAAATTTATAGCACTAAATGCCCACATCAGAAACAGTAAGGATCTAAAACCGACACCCTAACATCACAATTAAAAGAACTAGAGAAACAAGAACAAACAAATTCAAAAGCTAGAAGAAGACAAGAAATAATTAAGACCAGAACAGAACTGAAGGAAATAGAGACATGAAAAACCTTTCAAAAACACAATGAATCCAAGAGCTGGTTCTTTGAAAAGGTTAGCAAAATAGACTGCTAGCCAGACTAATAAAGAAGAAAAGAGAGAAGAATCAAATAGACACAATAAAAAATGATAAAGGGAGTATCACCACTGATCCCACAGAAATACAAACTACCATCAGAAAATACTATAAACACCTCTATGCAAATAAAGTAGAAATCTAGAAGAAACAGATACATTCCTGGAAACATACACCCTCCCAAGACTAAACCAGGAAGAAGTCAAATCCCTGAATAGACTAATAACAAGTTCTGAAATTGAGGCAGAAATTACTAGCCTACCAACCAAAAAAAGCCCAGGACCAGAAGGATTCACATCCGAATTCTACCAGAGGTACAAAGAGGAGCTGGTACCATTCCTTCAGAAATTATTCCAAACCATAGAAAAACAGGGAATCCTCCCTAACTCATTTTATGAGGCCAGCATCATCCTGATATCAAAACCTGCCAGAGACACAACAACAACAACAAATTTCAGGCCAATATCCCTGATGAACATAGATGCAAAAACTCTCAATAAAATACTGGCAAACTGAATCCAGCAGCACATCAAAAAGCCTATCTACCACAATCAAGTTGGCTTCATCCCTGAGATGCAAGAGTGGTTCAACATATGCAAATCAATAAACGTAATCCATACATCAACAGAACCAATGACAAAAACCACATGATTATCTCAATAGATGCCGAAAAGGCCTTCAATAAAATTCAACACCTCTTCATGCTAAAAACAATAAACTGGTATTAATGGAATGTATCTCAATACAATAAGAGCTATTTATGACAAACCCACAGCCAATATCATACTGAATGGGCAAAAGCTGGAAGCATTCCCTTTGAAAAGCAGCACAAGACTAGGATGCCCTCTCTTACCACTCCTATTCAACACAGTATTGGAAGTTCTGGCTAGGGCAATCAGGCAAGAGAAAGAAATAAAGAGCATTCACATAGGAAGAGAGGAAGTCAAATTGTCTCTGTTTGCAGGTGACATGACTGTATAGAAAACCCCATCATCTCAGTCCAAAATCTCCTTAAGCTGATAAGCAACTTAAGCAAAGTCTCAGGATACAAAATCAATGTGCAAAAACCACAAGCATTCCTATACACCAATGATAGACCAACGGAGAGCCAAATCATGAATGAACTCCTATTCACAATTGCTACAAAGAGAATAAAATACCTAGGAATCCAATTTACAAAGGATGTGAAGGACCTCTTCAAGGAGAACTACAAACCACTGTCAAGGAAATAAGGGAGGACACAAACAAATGGAAAAATATTCCATGCTTGTGGAAAAGAAGAATCAATATCATGAAAATGGCCATACTGCCCAAGGTAATTTATAGATTCAATGCTATTCCCATCAAGTTACTATTGACTTTCTTCACAGAAGTAGAAAAAACTACTTTAAATTTCATATGGAACCAAAAAAGAGCCTGTATAGCCAAGACAATCCTAAGCAAAAAGAACAAAGCTGGAGGCATCACACTACCTGACTTCAAACTATACTATAAGGCTACAGTAACCAAAACAGCATGGTACTGGTACCAAAACAAATATATAGACCAATGGAAGAGAACAGAGGCCTCAGAAATAACACCACATGTACAACCATCTAATTTTTGACAAACCTGACAAAAACAAGCAAGGGGAAAAGGATTCCCTATTTAATAAATGGTGCTGGGAAAACTGGCTAGCCATATGCAGAAAACTGAAACTAGACCCCTTCCTTACACCTTATACAAAAAATAACTCAAGATGGATTAAAGACTTAAACCTAAGACCTAAAACCATAAAAACCCTAGAAGAAAACCTAGGCATTACCATTCAGGACATAGGCATGGGAAAAGACTTCATGGCTGAAACACCAAAAGCAATGGCAACAAAAGCCAAAATTGACAAATGGGATCTAATTAAACTAAAGACCTTCTGCACAGCAAAAGAAACTATCATCAGAGTGAACAGGCAACCTACAGAATGAGAGAAAATTTTTGCAATCTACCCATCTGACAAAAGGTTAATATCCAGAATCTACAAGGAACTTAACAAATTTATAAGATAAAAACAAACAACCCCATCAAAAAGTGGGCAACTGATATAATCAGAAACTTCTCAAAAGGTGACATTTATGTGGCCAACAAAGATGAAAAAAAGCTCATCATCACTGGTCATTAGAGAAATGCAAATCAAAACTACAATGAGATACCATCTCACACCAGTTAGGATGGCAATCATTAAAAAGTCAGGAAACAACAGATGCTTCAGAGAATGTGGAGAAATAGGAACGCTTTTACACTGTTGGTGGGAATGTAAATTAGTTGAACCACTGTGGAAGACAGTGTGGCAATTCCTCAAGGATCTAGAACCAGAAATACCACTTGACCCAGCAATCCCATTACTGGGTGTATACCTAAAGGATTATAAATCATTCTACTATAAAGACACATCCACAAGTGTTCACTGCAGCACTATTCACAACAGCAGAGACTTGGAAACAACCCAAATGCCCATCAATGATAGACTGGATCAAGAAAATGTGGCACATATACACCATGGAATACTATGCAGCCATAAAAAAGAATGAGTTCATGTCCTTTGCGGGGACATGAATGAAGCTAGAAACCATCATTCTCAGCACACTAACACAGGAAGAGAAAACCAAACACCGCATGTTCTCACTCGTAAGTGGGAGTCGAACAATGAGAACACATGGACACAGGGAGGGGAACATCACACACACGGGCTGTCAGGGGGCAGAGGGCTAGGGGAGGGACAGCATTGGGAGAAATACCTAATGTAGATGACAGGTGGATTGGTGCAGCAGACCACCATGACACATGTATAGCTACGTAACAAACCCACACATTCTGCAGATGTATCCCAGAACTTAAAGTATAATTTAAAAAAACTTTGTTGAAACATCAAATGTAATATTTAACTAATCATTAATTTGCATGTATTTTTTAAAAGATCATTAAATAATTTGTTGTCTACTTTGGTTTCCCATTCACATGGTGTGAGAACTGTGTTGCACTTGGATCTTAGTAAAGTAAGTTGCGTTCCTACATTAATTCATAGCAACATACATTAACCATAAATGTGAAGAAATACTTTTTCATACAAATATTTTTTAATTCTTTAAAAATAAGTTTATTTGTCCAAGACTGCTAATTGCATGCAGTCTAATTACACAAACCTTATAACTTCAAAATGTTTCACAATAGATTTTGATTTCCAGATGTAATCTTGAGAGAATTTCCTAATACAATAAGGAAATTTGGAAATGTTCCAATCATAGATTTTGGGTTAGACTAAGGATGCAATAAGGTCGTTCTGGAATTCTCTTGACAAAGGCAGGAGGAACTCCAGCCTAGGATTGTAGCCAGTTCTTCAACCACCCAATATAGTGTATCAAAGAAATATTGCTCCTCGAAGAATGAGATTTAGATTTTTCACATATTCATGATAAGACAGAGCACAGGATTCATGCATTTGGGCCTATTATGAACATTAGGCCCATGCTTAGTACTTAGGTAAAGAGACTTCGGTCTGTGAACAAAACAACTACAGGTTGTTCTTGTTAGAAATTCACAGTATCTGTAATTCTATTATAAGTAGAGTCGCACGGTGGCTCAAGACTGTAATCCCAGTACTTTGGGAGGCCGAGGAGGAGGACCGCTTGAGCCCAAGAGTTAGAGACCAGCTTGAGCAACATGGCAAAACCCTGTCTTTACAAAAAATACAAAAAATTAGCCGGCTGGTGGTGCGTTCCTGTGGTTCCAGATACTCAGGAGGCTGAAGTGGGAGGATCATCTGAGCCCAGGAGTTCAAGGCTGCAGTGAGCAGTGATCATGCCACTGCACTCCATCCTGAGTGACAGAGTGAGACCCTGTCTCAACAACAGCAACAAAAATCTAAGTATTCATATTTCAACAAGAGCTCTTCTTTCCATCCTCAAACTGAATTCTAATTTACAAGCAAGGCTGAAATAAATCGTGTGACTAAGCTTTCTTAGCTATTGCTACAATTGTATTGCATTTATCAGTACAATAAGTATCTCAAGTAACAATGATTCTAACATGTGTCACACTTATTGGAAGAATTCCCAAAGCTTTGAAACAAACAGGTAAATCCAGTGTCACTCTAATTCTACCTGATTGGTATGTAAGAGGGTTGCATGCTACTATGTAAGATAAAACATATGAGAAATATAGAAACATGTTTCTACATAGAAATATAGAAAGTTTTGTATAAACAGGTGAAATAGAGAATCAAGTTTTTTGTTATTTGTGAGAGAGTCTGGCTCCATCGTTCAGGCTGGAATGCAGTGATGCGATCTCGGTCCACTGCAATCTCCGCCTCCTGTGTTCAAGCAATTCTCCTGCCTCAGCCTCCTGAGTAGCTGGGACTACAGGCACGCTCCACCATACCCTGCAGAGAACCAAGTATTATGAAGATGATTCAAGTCAGCATGTCTATGAAGGAACAAAAATTTTGTCTTAAAAGGTTTCTCTTTTGTTTGTTTATGTATATTGTTTTAAAAAAGAAAGCCTGGGCCAGTTGCAGTGGCTCACACCTGTAATCCTAGCACTTTGGGAGGCCAAAATGGTCCAATCACTTGAGGCCAGGAGTTCAAGACCAGCCTGGCCAATATGATGAAACCCTGTCTGTACCAAAAAATACAAAAATTAGCCAGACGTGGTGGTGGGTGCCTGTAATCCCAGCTACTTAGGAGGCTGAGGCAGAAGAATCACTTGAACCCAGGAGGCAGAAGTTGCAGTGAGCCAAGATCGCGCCGATGCACTCCAGCTTGGGTGACAGAGAGACCCTGTCTCAAAGAGAGAGAGAAAGAGAAAGAGAGAGAGAGAGGGAGAGAGAGAGAGAGAGAGACTGTACATTAGTTATTCAGGTACTCCAGGATCTAGAGATAACAAGTTTTATTATCTCATAATTTTTCAAATTTTCACTTTATATACATACATACAGTCACATACATAGTCACTAAAGTAAACAGCATTTTCCCCATCATTATTAAATTTCTCAACTTTAAGATTTCTCTTTAACAGGTTGAATGATTTAAGATTTACCTTCCTTATACTGTTTTGGTACTTGTTCCTTCTTTTCTGGAAAATCTAAATCTATCCATATGTACATATATGTATATGTTTATTTATTTATCCTCTCCCCAATTACTAAGATTTTTCTTTTTTGAAATGTCAGATGACTGTTATCTCTAAATATTCAGTCACTTTAACAATATTTGGAAAGAAAATGTACGACCCAGTTTTACAACCAAAAATCATCCACTTTCTGAGCCCTTTTAAATGTTGCATGCTTCCTAAAATCTGCAATACTTATTCCAACAAACAGTCCTCTTGTATTGACCATCATGGTAAGTATAACTATAAAATTAGGTATGAAAAACATGTTTCATTAAAGATGGTGCAAAAGTAAAATCTTTGTCAAAATACGCACTAATACTCTAATGGAAAACATTTATGTTTATAAAGTTAGCTTGAGGAGTGCTTTACATCTATTGATTCAAAAGAATATTAAAGTTGTGGCTGTCTCATGAAGTCATGTGTTCCTATGGCTTGTTTGTAGTTAATTTACTAACCTGCTTCATGGAATACATTTTGATGCTATCACAAGTTAAGGTTAGTAATGCAATCACAGAAACTATGTGCACAAGAAAAATGAAGAAAGCCTTGAGTAGTCATTAAAGTGGGAATTATTTTCAAATGTAGATTTATAATAAATAAAAAGTTAACTGAAATTTAGCTCGTAACTATCAGTGACAAATGTGTATTTTAGGCTGCTTGGTTCATAAAAACAAACTCATATTTCAAAAGGTAATGCATTTGAAAATTAAGTAAAGTTAGGCTGCAAAAGAAATTGAGTATTCCAAGAAATTAATATTGGCTTTTTTCTAACTCCTCAAATTTCTAAAAACAATTTTTAAAATTTTTACAAACAGGAAAAAAAAGTCTATTTTACCTTTGCTTTTGTTTGCTGCTGGTCCTTTAGTCACCTTGTGCAAATCAGAGGTTGAATGGCAAAGGATGTCCTGTGCGTGGTTCAGACAAACATGTTATTACAGGGGTGACTCAGTCCTCCAAGTTAAACTGGAGGCTTGCATTAAATCTCTTTATAACCAAAGTCAGTTCTCTTAAAAGCATCTTAGTATACATGACCATTGCTTTCTGAAAATACCCAGTTTAAATTCACTAACTTAAGATGGAAGAAAGAAAACTTTGACTCTTTAGCTGGAAAATAAGGAAGAAAAGAAAACTGTATATGTAAGACTTCCAGAATAAAGAGAAAAAAGGGGGTCAAGTGCTTTGTGTACTAAAGCATGTATTATTATTATTATTATTTTAGACGGAGTCTCACTTCGTTATCTAGGCTAGAGTGGAGTGGAACAATCTCAGCTCACGGCAACCTCCACCTGCCAGGTTCAAGTGATTCTCCTGTCTCAGCCTCCCAAGTAGCTGGGACTACAGGCGTATGCCACCATACCCAGCTAATTTTTTTGTATTTTCAGTAGAGACGGGGTTTCACCGTGTTAGCCAGGATGGTCTTGATCTCCTGATCTTGTGATCCACCTGACTGGGCCTCCCAAAGTGCTGGGATTACAGGCGTAAACCACCGCTCCAGGCCTAAAGCATGTATTATTAAAAAAATAGATCCTAATGTGCTATTCTTAATGATAATGGAATCGTTGAATAGAGTATTAGGTATCATCCTGAGTAAATACAACATGAATTTACTAGAACTAATGGCTCAAGATGGTGAGCTGAACATGTGTATTTATTTACTGTGTCATTTTCAGCACCTAGGATTAGAAAAAATACACTATAAAGCTGAAAATGAAAAGGGATAACATGACTCAAAGACTGAAAACAACTAAAAGTATATCTCAGAAATTTTTTAAAAGTAGAAAGACAAAAACAAACAAAAACCATAGTAGAAAGTTATTCTAGGAAATCATGGCAGACAAGAGGCAGGACTAGACTGCAGCTCTCACGTGGACAGACAGAGCAATGTATGGAGACTCACGTTGTGAACTTTTGCTCCAGAACTACTGCAGAAATTAACCAGGAAAGCTGAGAGCACTCACAGACCATCTGAAGGAAGCGGAATGCTCCTAGAGGACCCAGGAGACACCCCAAATAGAGCCCAAGCTGTGGAAGTGGGAAATGGAGATTGTCTGCCCCAAACACACACCCTCAATGGGGAACCTGAAGGTCTAGATCATGGGAGAAGATTCTGACCTTACCTTAAGCTGGGTCGATTCAGAGAGCTGAGTGAAATACAGGGATAGAGGAAGCAGCAAGAAAAGCCCTGTGGACTCTCTGAGTCCCCTGGGAAGCTATTTCTGCCTTGTCTCATAGGAGTCCTTGGGGAGGGCTGCCAGAGGTATTTGGAAAAGACCACAGGGAAAAGGAAACCTCCAGCTGAACTTTGTAACAATTCCAACAGAACCTGAAGTTTCCTGTCCAGACCTCAGGGGAGGGTGTGAATCTGGTATGCAGACTCCACAGGCAGGGAGGCAGGAAAGCCCCGTTTGCTTTCACAGCTAGGAGGCTGGTAGTCTGGGGCAAGTTCTCAGTCTTGCTTGCCCACTGCTTGGAAACAGACTCGGTGCTGTTTGAGAGGGCAAGGTGGGAGTGAGACTGGCCTTTTGGGTTGTATGAGAGCTGGGTGAGGCCTGTGACTGCCAGCTTTCCCTCACTCCCCTGACAACCTGCATGACACAGCAGAGGCAACCCTAATCCTCCTGGGAATATAACACCATTGGCCTGGGAACAACACCCCCATCCACCACAGCAGCTGCCACCAAGACCAACCCAAGGAGAGTCTGAACTCACACATGCCTAGCCCTGCCCCCCTGATGGTCCTTCCCTACCCACCCTGGCAGCTGAAGACAAAGGGCATATACTTTTGGGAATTCTAGGGCCCTGCCCACTGCCTGATGCCCCTATGCTACTACAGCTGATGCTCTCTTCAAAGTGCCACCTCCTGGCAGGAGGCCAATACAAAAATAGTGCATTAAGCAACCAAAACTAAGGACCTTCACAGAGTCCATTCCACCCTGCTGCCACCTCCACCAGAGCAGGTGCTGGTATCCATGGCTGAGAGACCTGCAGATGGTTTACATCACAGGACTCTGTGCAGACAACCCTCAGTGCCAGCCTGAAGCCTGGCAGACCAGCTAGGTGGCTAGATACAGAAGAGAGATAACAATCACTACCACTCAGCTCTCTGGAAACCACATCCATAGGAAAAGGGGGAGAATACTACAGCAAGAGAACACCCCGTGGGTCAAAAAATCTGAATAGCAGCCTTGAGCCCTATACCATCCCTCTGACATAGCCTACCCAAGTGAGAAGGAACCAGAAAAACAATTCTGGTAATATGACAAAACAACTTTCTTTAACATCCCCCCCAAAAAATTACACTAGCTCACCAGCAATGGCTCCAAACCAAGAAGAAATTCCTGATTTTCCTAAAAAAGAATTCAGAAGGTCAGTTATTAAGCTAAACAAGGAGGCATCAGAAAAATGTGAAGTCCAATTTAAGGAAATTTAAAAAAAATGACTCAAGAAATGAGAGGCGGAATCTTCAGTGAAATAGATGGCATAAATAGCAAGGCACGGTGGCTCACCCCTGTAACCCAACATTTTGGGAGGCTGAGGCAGGCAGATCACTTGAGGTCAGGAATGCAAAACCATTCTGGCCAATATGGTGAAACCCCATCTCTACTAAAAATACAAAAATTAGCTGGGCATGATGGCATGCTCTTGTAGTCCCAGCTACTCAGGAGGTTAAGTCAGGAGAATCACTTGAACCCAGGAGGCAGTGGTTGCAGTGAGCCGAGATCACACCACTACACTCTAGCCTGGGCAACAGAGTAAGACTTCATCTCAAAAAAAAAAAAAAAAAAAAAAAAGGAAAAGAAATAGATAGCATAAATAAAATAAAGAACTATTGAAACTGGAAGATGGCCAAATAGGAACAGCTCCAGTCTGCAACTCCCAGCATGATCGACGCAGAAGACGGGTGATTTCTGCATTTCCAACTGAGGTACCTGGTTCATCTCACTGGGACTGGTTGGACAGTGGGTGCAGTCCAAGGAGGGCGAGCTGAAGCAGGCGGGGGCATCGCCTCACCCAGGAAGTGTAAGAGATTGGGGGATTTCCCTTTCCTAGCTAAGGTAAGCCGTGACAGACTACCTGGAAAAACAGGACACTCCCACCAAAATAGTGCTTTTCCCAAGGACTTAGCAACCAGTAGACAAGGTGATTCCCGTGCCTGGCTCGGTGGGTCCCACGCCCACAGAGCCTTGCTCACTCCTAGCACAGCAGTCTGAGATTGAACTGTGAGGCAGCAGCCTGGCTGAGGGAGGGGTGTCCGCCATTGCTGAGGCTTGAGTAGGTAAACAAAGCAGCTAGGAAACTCGAACTGGGTGGAGCCCACCACAGCTCAACAAGGCCTACTGCCTCTAGACTCCATCTCTGTGGGCAGGACATAGCTCAAAAAAAGGCAGCAGACAACTTCTGCAGACTTAAACGTCTCTGTCTGACAGCTCTGAAGAGAGCAGTGGTTCTCCCAGCACCGCGTTTGAGCTCTGAGAAAGGACAGATTGCCTCCTCAAGTGAGTCCCTGATGCCCGTGTAGCCTATCTGGGAGACACCTCCCAGTAGAGGTGGACAGACAACTCATATAGGCGGCTGCCCTCTGGGACGAAGCTTCCAGAGAAAGGATCAGGCAGCAATATTTGTTGTTCAGCAATATTTGCTCTTCTGCAATACTTGCGGTTCTGCAGCCTCCGCTGGTGATACCCAGGTAAACAAGGTCTGGAATGGACCTCCAGCAAACTCCAACAGACCTGCAGCTGAGGGACCTGACTGTTAGAAGGAAAACAAAAAGAAAGGAATAGCATCAACATCAACAAAAAGGTCATCTACACCAAAACCCCATCTGTAGGTCACCAACATCAAAGACCAAAGGTAGATATAACCACAAAGATGGGGAGAAACCAGAGCAGAAAAGCTGAAAATTCTAAAAATCAGAATGCCTTTTCTCCTCCAAAGGATCGCAGCTCCTCACCAGCAATGGAACAAAGCTGGATGGAGAATAACTTTGATGAGTTGACAGAAGTAGGTTTCAGAAGGTCAGTAATAACAAACTTCTCTGAGCTAAAGAAGGGTGTTTGAATCCATTGCAAGGAAGCTAAAAACCTTGAAAAAAGATTAGATGAATGGCTAACTAGAATAAACAGTGTGGAGAAGACCTTAAATGACCTGATGGAGCTGAAAACCATGGCACAAGAACTTCATGACGGATGCACAAGATTCAATAGCCAATTCGATCAAGCGGAAGAAAGGGTATCAGTGATTGAAGATCAAATTAGTGAAATAAAGCAAGGAGACAAGGTTACAGAAAAAGAATAAAAAGAAATGAAAAAGCCTCCAAGAAATATGGGACTATGTGAAAAGACCAAATGTATGTTTGATTGGTATACCTGAAAGTGATGGGGAGAATGGAACCAAGTTGGAAAACAGTCTTCGGGATATTATCCAGGAGAACTTCCCCAACACAGCAAGGCAGGCCAACATTCAAATTCAGGAAATACAGAGAACAGCACAGATACTCCTCGAGAAGAGCAACCCCAAGACACATAATTGTCAGATTCACCAAGGTTGAAATGAAGGAAAAAGTGTTAAGAGCAGCCAGAGAGAAAGGTCGAGTTACCAACAAAGGGAAGCCCATTAGACTAACAGCAGATCTTTCAGCAGAAATGCTACAAGCCAGAAGAGAGTGGAGGCCAATATTCAACATTCTTAAAGAAAAGAATTTTCAACCCAGAATTTCATATCCAGCCAAACTAAGCTTCATAAGTGAAGGAGAAATAAAATACTTTACAGACAAGCAAATGCTGGGAGATTTTGTCAGGACCAGGCCTGCCTTACAAGAACTCCTGAAGGAAGCACTAAACATGGAAAGAAACAACCGGCACCAGCCACTGCAAAAACATGCCAAATTGTAAAGACCATCGATGCTATGAAGAAACTGCATCAATCAACGGGCAAAATAACAAGCTAACATCATAATGACAGGCTCAAATTCACTCATAACAATATTAACCTTAAATGTAAATAGACTAAATGCCCCAATTAAAAGACACAGACTGGCAAATTGGATAAATAGTCAAGACCCATCAGTATGCTGTATTCAGGAGACCCATCTCACGTGCAAAGACACACATAGGCTCAAAATAAAGGGATAGAGGAGGATCTACCAAGCAAAAGGAAAACAAAAAAAAGGCAGGAGTTGCAATCCTAGTCTCTGCAAAAACAGACTTTAAACCAACAAAGATCAAAAGAGACAAAGAACGCCATTACATAATGGTAAAGGGATCAATTCCACAAGAAGAGCTAACTATCCTAAATATATATGCATCCAATACAGGAGCACCCAGATTCATAAAGCAAGTCCTTAGAGACCTACAAAGAGACTTAGACTCCCACACAATAATAATGGGAGACTTTAACACCACACTGTCAATATTAGACAGATCAACATGACAGAAGGTTAACAAGGATATCCAGGACCTGAACTCAGCTCTGCAACAAGCAGACCTAATAGACATCTACAGAACTCTCCACCCGAAATCAACAGAATATACATTCTTCTCAGCACCACATCGCACTTATTCTAAAATTGACCACATAATTGGAAGTAAAGCACTCCTCAGCAAATGTAAAAGAACAGAAATCACAACAAACTGTCTCTCAGACCACAGTGCAATCAAATTAGAACTCAGGATTAAGAAACTCACTCCAAACCGCACTACTACATGGAAACTGAACAACTTTCTCCTAAATGACTACTGGGTGAATAACAAAATGAAGGCAGGAATAAAGATGTTCTTTTAAACCAATGAGAATAAAGACAACATGTATCAGAATCTCTGGGACACATTTAAAGCAGTGTGTAGAGGGAAATTTATAGCACTAAATGCCCACAACAGAAAGCAGGAAAGATCTAAAATCATCACCCTAACATCACAATTAAAAGAACTAGAGAAGCAAGAGCAAACACATTCAAAAGCTAGCAGAAGGCCAGAAATAACTAAGATCAGAGCAGAACTGAAAGAGATACAGACACACAAAAAAATCCTTCAAAAAAATCAATGAATCCAGGAGCTGGTTTTTTGAAAAGATCAACAAAATCGATAGACTGCTAGCAAGATTAATAAAGAAGAAAAGAGAGAAGAATCACACAGATGCAATAAAAAATGATAAACGGGATATCACCACTGGTCCTACAAAATACAAACTACCATCAGTGAATACCATAAACACCTCTATGCAAATAAACTAAAAAATCTAGAAGAAATGGATAAATTCCTGGACATATACACCCTCCCAAGACTAAACCAGGAAGAAGTTGAATCTCTGAATAGACCAATAACAGGCTCTGAAATTGAGGCAGTAATTAATAGCCTACCAACCAAAAAAAAGTCCAGGACCAGACAGATTCACAGCCGAATTCTACCAAAGGTACTAAGATGAGCTGGTACCATTCCTTCTGAAACTATTCCAAACAATAGAAAAAGAGGGAATCCTCTCTAACTCATTCTATGAGGCCAACATCATCCTGATACCAAAGACTGGCAGAGATACACACACAGAAAAGAGAATTTTAGAAACCAATATCCCTGATGAAAATTGATGCAAAAATCCTCAATAAAATACTGGCAAACCGAATCCAGCAGCACATCAAAAAGCTTATCCATCACGGATCAAGTTGGCTTCATCCCTGGGACGCAAGGCTTGTTCAACATACACAAATCAATAAACATAACCATCACATAAACAGAACCAATGACAAAAACCATATGATTATCTCAATATATGTAGAAAAGGCCTTCGACAAAATTCAACAGCCCTTCATGCTAAAAACTCTCAATAAATTAGGTATTGAGGGAACATATCTCAAAATAATAAGAGCTATTTATGACAAACCCACAGCCAATATCATACTGAATGGGCAAAAGCTGGAAGCATTCCTGTTGAAAACCAGCACAAGACAAGGATGCCCTCTCTCACCACTCCTATTCAACATAGTGTTGGAAGTTCTGGCCAGGACAACCAGGAAAGAGAAAGAAATAAAGGATATTCAATTAGGAAATGAGGAAGTCAAGTTGTCCCTGTTTGTAGATGACATGATTGTATATTTAGAAAACCCCATCGTCTCAGCCCAAAATCTCCTTAAGCTGATAAGCAACTTCAGCAAGGTCTCAGGACACAAAATCAATGTGCAAAAATCACAAGCATTCCTGTACACCATTAACAGACAAACAGAGAGCCAAATCATGAGTGAACTCCCATTCACAATTGCTACAAAGAGAATAAAATACCTAGGAATCCAATTTACAAGGGATGTGAAGGACCTCTTCAAGGAGAACTACAAACCACTGCTCAATGAAATAAAAGAGGACACAAACAAATGGAAGAATATTCCATGCTCATGCATAGGAAGAATCAATACCGTGAAAATGGCCGTACTGCCCAAAGTAATTTATAGATTCAATGCCATCCCCATCAAGCTACCAATGACTTTCTTCAAAGAATTGGAAAAAACTACTTTAAAGTTCATATGGAACCAAAAAAGAGCCCACATTGCCAAGACAATCCTAAGCAAAAAGAACAAAGCTGGAGGTATCACACTACCTGACTTCAAACTATACTACAAGGCTACAGTAACCAAAACAGCATGGTACTGGTACCAAAACAGATATATAGACCAATGGAACAGAACAGAGGCCCTAGAAATAACACCACACATCTATACCCATCTGATCTTTGACAAACCTGACAAAAACAAGCAATGGGGAAAGGATTCCCTATTTAATAAATGGTGCTGGGAAAACTGGCTAGCCATATGTAGAAAGCTGAAACTGGATCCCTTCCTTATACCTTATACAAAAATTAAATCAAGATGGATTAAAGGTTAAATGTTAGACCTAAAGCCATAAAAACCCTAGAAGAAAACCTAGGCAATACCATTCAAGCCATAGGCATGGGCAAAGACTACATGACTAAAACACCAAAAGCAATGGCAACAAAAGCCAAAATAGACAAATGGGATCTAATTAAACTAAAGAGCTTCTGCATGGCAAAATAAACTACCATCAGAGTGAACAGGCAACCTACAGCATGGCAGAAAATTTTTGCAATCTATCCATCTGACAAAGGGCTAAGATCCAGAATCTACAAAGAACTCAAACAGATTTACAAGAAAAAAAAACAAACAATCCCATTAAAAAGTGGGCAAAGGATATGAACAGACACTTCACAAAAGAAGATATCTATGCAGCCATCAGACACATGAAAAAGTTCTCATCATCACTGGTCATCAGAGAAATGCAAATCACAACTACAATGAGATACCATCTCACACCAGTTAGAATGGCAATCATTAAAAAGTCAGGAAACAACAGATGCTGGAGAGGATGTGGACAAATAGGAATGCTTTTACACTGTTGGTGGAAGTGTAAATTAGTTCAACCATTGTGGAAGACAGTGTGGCGATTCCTCAAGGATCTAGAACCAGAATTACCATTTGACCCAGCAATCCCATTACTGGGTATATACCCAAAGGATTATAAATCATGCTATTATAAAGACACATGCATACATGTTTATTGCGGCACTATTCACAATAGCAAAGACTTGGAACTAACCCAAATGTCCAGCAATGATAGACTGGATAAAGAAAATGTGGCACATATACACCATGGAATACTATGCAGCCATAAAAAAGGATGAGTTCATGTCCTTTGCAGGGACATGGATGAAGCCAGAAACCATCAATCTCAGCAAACTATCACAGGGATGGAAAACCAAACACCACATGTTCTCACTCATAGGTGGGAATTGAACAATGAGATCATTTGGACAAAGAGTGGGGAGCATCACACACCGTGGCCTGTCAGAGGTGGGAGAGCTGGGGGAGGGATAGCATTAGGAGAAATACCTAATGTAAATGATAAGTTGATGGGTGTGGCAAACCAACATGGCACATGTATACCTATATACCAAACCTGCACGTTGTGCACAGGTACCCAGAACTTAAAGTATAATAATAATTTAAAAAAAAAACTATTGAAACTTCAAGAAATAATGGATGCACTTATGGAAATGCAAAATGCTCTGGAAAGTCTCAGCAATAGAATCAAACAAGCAGAAGAAATAACTTCACAGCTCTAAGACAAGGTTTTCAAATTAACCCAATTCAACAAAGACAAAGAAAAAATGAACAAAGTCTCCAAGAAGTTTGAGACTATGTTAAACGACCAAACCTAAAAATAATCAGTATTCCTGAGGACAAAGAGAAATCTAAAAGTTTAAAAAAACATATTCGGGGGAATAATTGAGGAAAACTTCCCCAGCCTTGCTAGAGACCTGAACATCCAAATATAACAAGCTCAAGGAACAACCAGGAAATTCATCATAAAAAGACTATCACGTAGGCACATTGTCATCAGGTTATCTAAAGTTACGATGAAGGAAAGAATCTTTTTTTTTTCTGTTTATGACATCATTTATTATAAAAAGCCAATGCAAAAGCCATACAAAAACTATACAAAACACATTTAAAATGGGCAGTATAATGGTAGAACCATTTTGTAATGTTGATATTATTTGTTGGGGTTGTCCGTCATATTAGATCTTGACATAAGCCCATACGTAGCATGATTAATTATGTAATAGTAGTTTTTCATTGCAATATTTCAGCAGGCATGACATGGCCTGTTTCATGCCTGAATCTATTTAAATATTAGCAATTCCACAGAGTTTCTTTGTATATAATTCTGTTGATTTCCAAAAAAAAAAAAAAAAAGGCTCTGTAAAGAATTCTATGGTAGAGGTAAACAACAGAGACTACAGTCTGGAGTCAGGATTCATGCTGGAGAGGATGTGGAGAAATAGGAATGCTTTTACACTGTTGGCGGGACTGTAAACTAGTTCAACCATTGTGGAAGTCAGTGTGGCAATTCCTCAGGGATCTAGAACTAGAAATACCATTTGACCCAGCAATCCCATTACTGGGTGTATACCCAAAGGATTATAAATCATGCTGCTATAAAGACACATGCACATGTATGTTTATTGCGGCACTATTCACAATAGCAATGACTTGGAACCAAGCCAAATGTCCAACAACGATAGACTGGATTAAGAAAATGTGACACATATACACCATAGAATACTATGCAGCCATAAAAAATGATGAGTTCATGTCCTTTGTAGGGACATGGATGAAGCTGGAAACCATCATTCTCAGCAAACTATCGCAAGGACAAAAAACCAAACACCGTGCGTTCTCACTCATAGGTGGGAATTGAACAATGAGAACACAGGAAGGGGAACATCACACACCGGGGCCTGTTGTGGGGTGGGGGGAGGGGGGAGGGATAGCATTAGAAGATATACCTAATGTTAAATGACGAGTTAATGGGTGCAGCACACCAACATGGCGCATGTATACATATGTAACTAATTTGCACGTTGTGCACATGTACCCTAAAACTTAAAGTATAATTTAAAAAAAAAATGGCAATGCCAGACACGTTAATATTCTGTTCAGTGTTAATAGAATTTTAATGCTGCATGTTGGAGTTTCAGATTAATTGCTCCCTGAGAGACAGATGGTGTAGAATGAGGTGGTGAAATGCTCAGACTAAAATGGCATTTGCTAGTTGACAAAAATCTACTTAAACACTTCCTTTTTGATGCAGGAAAGAATCTTAAGAGCTGTGAGACAAAAGCATCAGGTAACCTGTAAAGGAAAACCTACAGATTAACAGCAGATTTCCCAGCAGAAACCTTACAAGTTATAAGGGATTGGGGTCCTATCTTCAGCCCTCTTAAACAAAACAATTTTAAGTCAAGAGTTTTGTATCCAGCAAAACTAATCTTCACAAATGAAGGAAAGATAGTCTTTTTCAGACAAACAAATGCTGAGAGAATTCACCACTACCAAGGCAGAACTACAAGAACTGTTAAAAGGAGCCCAAATCTTTTTTTTCTTTCTTTTTTTTTTGTTTCTGTTTTTGTTTTTGAGATGTAGTCTCGCTTTGTTGCCCAGGCTGTAGTGCAACCTTGGCTCACTGCAGCCTTGGCCTCCAGGATTCAAGCGATTCTCCTGTCTCAGTCCCCTGAGTAACTGGGATTACAGGCACCCACCACTGCGCCCAGCTAATTTTTGCTTATTAGTAGAGACAGGGTTTTGCCACGTCAGCCAGGCTGGTTTCAGACTGCTGACCTCAAGTGATCCACCTGCCTTGGCCTCCCAGGGTGCTGGGATTACAGGCATGAGCCACCACCTGGCCAAGAGCTCCAAATCTTGAAACAAATCCTGGAAACATATCAAAACAGAACCTCTTTAAAGCATAAATCTCACAGGACCTATAAAACAAAAAGACATTGAAAAAAAAAAGATATACAGGCAACAAATAACACAATGTATGGACTAGTACCTTACATCTCTGTACTAACGTTGAATGTAAATGGCCTAAATGCTCCACTTAAAAGATATAGAATTGCAGAATGGATAAGATTTTACCAACCAACTATCAATGCTGCCTTCAGGACTCACCTAACACATAAGGACTCATATAAACTTAAGGTAGAGGGGTGGAAAAAGATATTCCATGCAAATGGACACTAAAAGTGAGCAGGAGTAGCTATCCTTATATCAGACAAAACAAACTTTAAAGCAACAGCAGTTAAAAAAGACAAAGAAGGACATGATGTAGTAATAAAAGGCCTTCTACAACAGGAAAATATCACAATCCTGAATATATATGCACCTAACACTGGAGCTCCCAAATTTATAAAACAATTACTACTAGACCTAAGAAATTAGATAGACAGCAACACAATAATAATAGTGGGGGACTTCAATACTACACTGACAGCACTAGACAGGTCATCAAGAAGAAAGTCAACAAAGAAACAGTGGATATAAACTATACCTTGGAACAAATGGACTTAAAAGATATTTACTGAATATTCTACCCAACAACCACAGAATATATTGTCTATTTATCAGCACATGGAATGTTCTCCAATATAGACCATATGATAGGCCATGAAACAAGTCTCAATAAATTTAAGAAAATTGAAATCATATCAAGTAGTGTCTCAGAGCACAGTGGAATAAAACTGGAAATCAACTCCAAAAAGGAAGCTTTAAAACCATGCAAATACATGGAAATTAAACCTGCTCCTGAATGATCATTGGGTCAACAGTGAAATAAAGAAGGAAATTTAAAAAATTTTTGAACCGAATGGCAATAGTGACACAACCTATTAAAACCTCTGGGATACAGCAAAGGCAGTGCTAAGAGGAAAGTTCGTAGCCCTAAATGTCTATATCAAAAAGTCTGAAAAAGCATAAATAGACAATCTAAGGTCACACTGCAAGGAACTAGAGAAATAAGAACAAATCAGACCCACACCCAGTAGAATAAAGGAAATAACCAAGATCAGAGCAGAACTAAATAAAATTGAAACAAAAAAATACAAAAGATAAATGAAATAAAACCTGCTTCTTTGAAAAGATAAGTAAAATTGATAGACCATTAGCAAGATTATCGAGAAAAGAATACAGAAAATCCAAATAAGCTCAATTAGAAACAAAACAGGAGATACTACAACTGACACCACTGAAATATAAAAGATCATTTCAAGGCTACTATGAACACCTTTACATGCATAAACTATAAAACCTAAAGGAGATGGATAAATTCCTGGAAAAATAACCACCCTCCTAGCTTAAATCAGGAAGAATTAGATACCCTGAACAGACCAATAACAAACAGAGAGATTGAAATGGTAACAAAAAAAAATTACCAATGAAAAAGTCCAGGACCAGACAGATTCACAGCTGAATTCTACAAGATAGTCAAAGAAGTGGTACCAAACTTATTGACACTATTCCACAAGATAGAGAAAGAGAGATTCCTCCCTAAATCATTCTATGAAGCCAGTATCACCCTAATCCCAAAACCATGAAAGGACATAACCAAAAAAAAACAAACTACAGACCAATATTACTGATGAGCATAGATACAAAAATCCTTAACAAAATACTAGTTAACTGAACCCAACAACATACCAAAAAGACAATCCACCATGATCAAGTGGGTTTCATAGCAGGGATGCAGGGATGGTTTAACATATGCAAGTCAATAAATGTGATACACCACACAAACAGAATTAAAAACAAAAATCACATGATCATCTCAATAGATGCAGAAAAAGCATTTGACAAAATCCATTGTCCCTTTATGATTAAAACTCTCAGCAAAATCAGCATATAAGGGACATACCTCAATGCAATAAAAGCTATCTATGACAAACCCACAGCCAACATAATACTGAATGGGGAAAAGCTGAAAGCATTCCCTCTGAGAACTGGAACAAGACAAGGATGCCCACTCTCACCATTTCTCTTCAACATAGTACTGGAAGTCTTAGCCAGAGCAATCAGACAAGAGAAAGAAATAACATCCAAATCGGTAAAGAGGAAGTCAATGTCACTGTTTTCTGATGATATGACTGCATGCCTAGAAAACCCTAAAGAATCCTCCGAAAAGCTCCTAGAGCTGTTAAAAGAATTCAGCAAAGTTTCTGGATACAAAATTAATGTACACAAATCAGTAGCTCTTCTATAAACCAACAGCAACCAAGCTGAGAATCCAATCAAGAACTCAACCCCTTTTACAATAACCGCAAAAAAAACTAAAATACTTAGAAATATATCTAACTAAGGAGGTGAAAGACCTCTACAAGGAAAATTACAAAACACTGCTGAAAGAAATCATAGATGCCACAAACAAAAAGAAACACATCCCATGCTCATGGATGGGTATAATCAATACTGTGAAAATGACCACACTGCCAAAAGCAATCTACAAATTCAATGCAATCCCTATCAAAATACCACCATGATTCTTCATAGAACTAGAAAAAACAATCCTAAAATTCCTACGGAACCAAAAAAGAGCCCACACAGCCAAAGCAAGACTAAGCAAAAAGAACAAACCTGGAGCATCACACTACCTGATTTCAAACTATACTATAAGACCATCGTCACCAAAACAGCATAATACTGATATAAAAATAGGCACATAGACCAATCAAACAGAATAGAGAACTCAGAAATAAACCCAAATACTTACAGTCAGCTGATCTTCAACAAAGCAAACAAAAACATGAAGTGGGGAAAGGACACCCTTTTCAACAAATGATGCTGGGATAATTGGCAAGTCACAAGTAGGAAAATAAAACTGTACCCTCATCCCTCACATTATACAAAAATCAACTCAAGATGAAGAATCAAGAACTTAAATCTAAGATGTGAAACTATAAAAATTCCAGAAGATAACATTGGAAAAATCCTCCTAGACATTGACTTAGGCAAGGATTTCATGACCAAGAACTCAAAAGCAAATGCATGAAAAAAACAAAGATAAATAGGTGGAACTTAATTAAACTAAAGAGATTTTGCATGGCAAAAGGAACAGTCAGCAGAGTAAACAGACAACCCACAGAGTGGGAGAAAATCTTAAAAATCTATACATCAGACAAAGGACTAATATCCAGAATCTACAACAAACTCAAAAAAATTAGCAAGAAAAAAACAAACAATCTCATCAAAAAGTGGGCTAGGACATGAATAGAAAACTATCAAAAGAAGATATACACGGGCCATCAAACATATGAAAAAATGTTCAATATCACTAATGATGAGGGAAATGCAAATCAAAACCACTATGTGATACCACCTTACTCCTGCAAGAATGGCCGTCATCAAAAAATCAAAAAATAATAGATGTCCATGTGGGTGTAGTGAACGGGAACACTTCCACACTGCTGGTGGGAATGTAACCTAGTACAATCACTATGGAAAGCAGTGTGGAGATTCCTTAAAGAATAAAAGTAGAACTACCATTTGTTCCAGCAACCCCAACACTGGGGATCTACCCAGAGGAAAAGAAGTCATTGCACATGCATGTTTAGAGGAGCACAATTCACAATTGCAAATATGTGGAACCAACCCAAAAGCCCATCAATCAACAAGTGGATAAAGAAATTGTGGTATTTATATATGAAGGAATATTCAGCCTTAAAAAGGAATGAACTAATGGCATTCGCAACAACCTGGATGGGATTAGAGACTATTATTCTAAGTGAAATAACTCAGGAATGGAAAGCCAAACATGTATGTTGTCACTCATAAGTGGGAACTGAGCTATGAGTATGCAAAGGTATAAGAATGACACAAAAGGCTGGGCGCGGTGGCTCACGCCTGGGGGGCCGAAGCAAGCAGATCATGAGGTCTGGAGATCGAGACCATCCTGGCTAACACAGTGAAACCCCGTCTCTACTAAAAATACAAAAAAAATTAGCCAGGCATGGTGGTGGGCACCTGTAGTCCCAGTTATTCGGGAGGCTGAGGCAGAAGAATGATGTGAACCCGGGAGGTGGAGCTTGCTGTGAACCGAGATGGCACCGCTGCACTCCAGCCTGAGCGACAGAGCGAGACTCTGTCTCAAAAAAAAAAAAAAAAAAAAAAAAAAAAAAAAAAAAAAGTATGACACAATAGACTTTGGGGACTCAGGGGGAAAGGGTGAAAAGGGGATCAGGGATAAAAGACTACAAATCGGGTTCAGTGATTACTGCTCGGGTGATGGCAGCACCAAAATCTCACAAATCACCACTAAAGAACTTAACTCATGTAACCAAATACCACCTGTTCCCCCAAAACCTATGGAAATAAAAAAAATTTTAAGAAAGAAAAACAGAGTTACTTTAGATATATGAGCTGTTCCTTCCATTAGAAAGAGAAATTCTAATATTCAAAAAATGGAAATGGGTGGAGGACAAATTATCACATCAAGGAAAATATTTATTTCAACACAGCAGAACCAGTTCCACTATTTAACTTACCAGAATGCATAGAATGGCAAGCAGTAGAGACATTTGACCCCAAGACATTTAAGTAAAGAGAAAGCTCTTCCTACACAGGTTCAGAGTTTATATGTTGAACCAAATATAAAAGCAGACCTAAAATGAATATATCTGGATCTTTCCAGTGGGCATGGAAGGGAAAAAAAAAGGAAAGGCTGCTCATCCCAGGAAAGAATTACACTCCTTTTCCATGATAATTTTCTACCTATTTTGATAATTATGAGGGGTTCTACTAACCTGCCTGGTTTCTACTCATCTGCTACAGATGCACTCTCACTTGTCAATATGTCCCAACCACTTTCAGAATCTACAGTCCATCCTTTCATTCAATGAAATAATCCTGTTGAGTAAATATGCCCAACAAACGCATGGGGAGGGGGGCAGAAATCCCTATGACAGATTTTTCAATTACTCTGGTCCTTTGTAAATATAAACAGATGACCAAAGATCACAAAACATTTGATACAGACCAAAAGTATAAAGGAAATTAACAAAGGGAACATTCTATTCTCAAAGGAAATGGAATAGAATAAAATGTATAACAATAGAAACAATTTTCAATAATCTAATTAACAGCCTCAGAGAGATTTAAGAAGTTGTTGAACCAAACCAAAATAAGAGTACTATAACAAAGGAGCAATCATATTACACACAAAAAAGAGTTCTCCGAAATTAAAACAAATATCAAAATATGGTGGTGTCTCAGTTCATTTAGCATTGCTATAGTCAAATACCTGAGGCTGGGTAGTTTATAAAGAAAAGATGCAGGCTGGGAAGTTCAAGATCATGGCCCTGGCTTCTGGTGAGGGCTTTCATGCTGCATCACAGCATGGCAGAGAAGGTCAAAGGGGAAGCAGATCAAGGGGTAGCCTGGCTTTATAACAACCCATAGACAAGGGAACTCACTCATTCCCATGAGAACTAATCCAGTCTTGCCAGAGCAAGAACTCAGTACCACAACAATGCCACTAAGCCCTTTGTGAGGGATCCATTTCCATGATCCAAACACCTCCCATTAGGTCTCACCTCCTAATACCACCACATTTGGGATCAAATTTCAATGTGAGTTTTGGTGGGGACTAATAAACCATTGCCAAACCATTGAAAGTGCAGAACAAACTAGTATTCTAGAAAAAGAGGTTAGCAAATCCATAATATGAGGCAAAAAAGACAAAGACTTAGAAATGTGAGAGGAAAGCAACACAGGGTTCAGATGTAGAAAAGCCAAGATCTATCTAATAGTAATTTTATAACTGAACAGTGAAAATTAGCTAACTATTTGAAAAAAAAATTGAAAGCAAATTATCTTGAGACAAAGATGAGAGTCTAAATTAGAAGATAAAGTCAAAAGACTTTGTAAAGAATGTCTCCAATATAAAAATAGCCATGACATGAATCTACTAAAGACCAGAAAGACTGATTATAACATACTGCTTGTGAAATGAATACATAAATTCCTTCTGATTCAGAAAATTGTGGGTTGTATGGAATAGTAAGAGACTGGGAAAAACAGGTGTCCCATGAAAAAGTTTATGTCCAGATAAAGAGTGCTGTGTTGTTGTTGTTTTCTAACAATAATGCGAGGTAAGAAACAATACTGCCCTAAAGAGTAGACAAAAGTGTCATTTTTCAGGTTATTCAGGACAGAAATAAGCCCTCTTTGGGTTTCTAACAGATATTACCTCTCATCTTAGAAGATAGGTTTTATTTGCTAAAGTGATTTGTGGTATTTATAAGATATTTTGCTTACAGGTGTACCTGTTACTAATTTCTCTTGGAAAATTATCATAAGCATAGGAAGAGTTTAAATTTTGATTTTTTATTTTAGAAAAAAATGTTCATCTCAGCATAAGACATAATTGATGATACTCATTTTTATGAGACAGTTGACAAAGTATTACAGTCTGGAAGTCCAAAATTATTCAAGTTAAAATAAACTACGACAAAACCTGAATGCTTTTCATGATCTGTTTTTAACTTGAGAAAATGGTCACTTGTAATATTTAGGGATCCCCAATTACTGGAGTGCAAACAGCGATTTGCTTCTGCATTTGCTATTCCCTATTCCAAGAATGCATTTCCTCGGATCTATTTGTGACCTGCTCCTGCCTTCAAGACATCTCATCAGAGAGGCTTTGACTCTCTTACATTTCCAGTGTTCTCTCACACTCCCTAATCATTTTACCCCTCATTGTTATTCTCCAGAGCACTTGCAGCCACCAAATATATGTGTGCTTGTTAGTTTATTGGGTCTTTAAAAAAATTTTTTTGAGACGGGGTCTCACTTTGTCACTCAGACTGCAGTGCAGTCACACAATCATAGCTTACCACAGCTTTGAACTCCTGGGCTCAATGATCCTCCCACCTCAGGCTGAAGTTGCTGGGACTACAGTCCACACCACCACACTCAGCTATTTTTTACATTTTTTGTAGAGATGGGATCTTGCTATGTTGTCCAGGCTTGTTTATTGCTTATTTATCATTGTTCATTTTCCCACAAGTATTTAAGCTCCCTGAGAGCAGGTATATTCACTTTCTTTTCCCTATTGCCTTGCATGAGGTAAACACCCAGTAAATAATTGCTGTATCAATGAGTGGCATCAATGACTAACTTTTTTATTTTTATTTTTTACTTTAAAGTCAATACATATTTTGGGAGAGGCTTGAGGTTGAAAAAAATCAACACTTGCTACTGTTTGGTATTTCAAGAAAAAATTGGCATTGTAGTAAGGGCTAAAATTTTTTTTAGCAGAATCACAGAAGAAGCCATAATGAGAAAAACTAATAAATTGAAGTTAATAGTAGGAGCCTTATTCATCACTCTTAGGAGATCTGAAGAGTGATCGTGACAAGACGGTCCATGCCAGCCGTAATAGCAGTGACACACAAATCCATTCTTCATGTCTGTTATTGTCTTCTGTTTATTATTTTCAGAAATGATGAATCTGAAACTCTTGTTTAGAACATATTTCTTACCACTGCTTTCAGGCATATGCAGATAGAAGGAGGACTCAGGTGTTTTTCGAATACTCTTCCATGATTGTTACATAGACTCTGACTGCAGAGCTTGGCTGCAGATGTCACATTCACAGCATAATGGCCCAAAGGCCCTCGGATAGATTGCTGCACAGATAAGCAGTTCTCCTGTAGGAAAAACAGAAATCTACTTAAAGCACTTTCAAAGTGTGATTCCATAATCCAGGCAGTATTAATGCCTAAAGTTTTGTATTTGGTAAGGCTGAGGAGGAGGAGCATTTGTGTGGATTAGCTATTTAAAGGAGGGACTAAGCCTTTATAGGGTCATGTGAGTAATGAGCCATGCCTTTAATTGGGAAGACTATGACCCAACCAAATTCGTATCATTTCCAGGTGAAGATGATCTCACAGTGTCCCAGTAAAGACTGTTCCTTAATGTAAAGATATATTTGTAGTGATACTTTTAAAAGATATCATTAATATGGGGATGGTTTGTTAAAATTGAACTTTAATTGTGAAACATTTTCAATGTTGATACTCAATATATTTTAACATTAGGTCAGATTTTTCAAAAACTACCAAGTCATCCTATTCTTCTCCCTACCTCTGAAGAGATAACAATTCTCCTAAAGTTGATGAGTTCTCATCCAAGTTTTTAGAGGTGTGTGTGTGTGTGTGTGTGTGTGTGTGTGTGTGTAATTATGAACAAGAGGGAGTATTATTTTGTGCTTTTTAAACATTTACGTATATATAATCATGTAGGATATTTCTGCAATTTGCTTTTTGAACTTAACATTTTCCATTTTTTATGTTGATACATGTAGCATTTTTCCACTTTAATTGCTGGTCAGTATTTCATAATATAAATATAACATACTTTACTTGTCCATCAGTCAGTTTTTAGGAGGTAGAATATAAAAGATCATTATTTACACCAAATGCTAGTGTTACTTGTACATTGTATATAGGGTCCAATGATAGTAGGTAAGAATGTCTTCCCACAAGTCTACCATTGGGTATTTCATTGGTGTGTCCATAGCATTGGGCTTTAACTCTAGGACACATTTCTACAGATTAATGATCACATTGTGCAGCTAGGATGGGCAAACCTAATTGAAATGATATTATCAGCTAATCCAGAAGAGCCTGGCAGGAATCTTGATAAATGTCTGCCTTGATCCATACAGGTAGGACCATGGAAAAATTCTAGTAGATTAATTAATAACATAAATTGAGTTTTCTATTAGCATTTAATTATTTATTTTATCAATATTAAAACTAATTCATAATTAAAAACCAATTAAGCTTAGAACAGTGGGATATTTTCTCAGTAAGAGGAGGCCCCAGAACTGTGACTCCATCTGGTAAAGATTTGGGAGATTCAAATTGAAAGTCATAAGGCAGAATAAAGCTCTTAATTGACAGGTAGTTGAACGAGGCCAGCACTTTGGCAATAGCAAATTCTGAAGATCATGTAAGCAATATTATTTGTTACAGGCACATTCAATCGGAGGCAGTCTCATACTATGTTTAGAAACACATGCTGTTTTTAGTCAGGACAGGACTCCTTGTCTGAGGCATCTGAGGAGGTTTCTAAGAAAGACACAATAAAATAAAACAGGCAAACAATTGAAGCAAAGGAAAGAAGGAAGGGGAAAAGGGCAGTTGGGAAGGAAAAAGAGGAAGGACGAAAAAGCAACCAAGAAAGACAAAGGTCGGCAGGAGTCAAATGAAGACAACACAGAACACTGGCAAATATAATCAACTTCAACTTGGGCATTCCCTGTTCTGTTGCAGCCGCCCTCCTTGAAATACCTTCTTCACTTAGCTTCCAGAACATCACATCCCTGTTTTATCCCCAACCTCACTAGATGTTCCTTCTCAGTCTTCTTTACTGGCTCCTGTTCATCTTTCCTACATTTAACACTGAAGTGCCCCTGGCTTAAATCTTAGACCTCTTCTCTTCTATAGCTGTACTATTTCACTGGATAAGCTCACCCCATCTCATTAGTTTAAATACAACCCCCAAATGTGTACCACCCAGACCTTATCCCTGAATTGATTATATACCCACCTATTTACTTGACATCTCTACCTGGATGTTGTACAAGCATTTCAAACTTAACATACTCCAACATAATCTGACCCTCTTCCCAGACTTCCCCATCTCAGCATAAGCCAACTCCCTCTTTCCAGTGCCTCAGGAGCAAAATCTTGGAGTTATTCATCACTCCTTTTTCCCCTTACAGTTAATCCATCAGCAAGTCCTTTTCAGTCTACCTTTGAAATATATCCAGAATTCAACCCTTGCTACCATTCTGTTTCAGATCACTACTAGCTCTCGCCTGGATGATTGCCTCCCAACTAGTCTCCACAATCTGTTCTAAATACAGTGAGCATACATATATTTCTCTCTATAATTAAGTAAAATAGGAATCAATAATAAAAGAAGTAGACACAAAAATCCTAGTTTTTTACAGATTAAAAATATCCTCCCAAGTAGCAATTTGGTCTAAAAGGAAATTTTTAAAATTACAATTTCAAATTAATTAGAAAAATAAAAGCAACTGGAATACTACATGTTAAAATGTGTTAATACATCCAAAGTAATTTTCAATGTCAATGCCTAGTCATAAGTGCTTTTGTTTACCGGGCAATCCAATTATCAAACCAGAAACAAGGCATTTTGGCATTGGCTTTCACCTGGACTCCCATTCAGCTATACAGCACTGTGTACTGGTAGCTGATGGGGTACTGAGTGGCTTGCTTTCCATTTACGCTTTTTTCCATGCTTCCTGTTCCCCCAACTCTCTGCATCTTCTCAGTCATTTTTCCACTCTTAGAAGCTCCACCTTAGTTGCTACCTGCTGCATTGAATCAGTGCATTTCCTATCTCTATCTCATTATCAGAAGCTGGTCACCAATTTCCCAGAACCCAGCAAGTGACATTCTACCCATTATGGCAAACTTTCTTGACATTCTGTGTATCTGGAGCATTAGCTAAATATATAAAATTAGCTTCTAATTTTAAATCTTTATCCAAAGAAATGTGCACCTTTTTGTGGAAGTTTATCTTCTACTCTGTCTTTGGATCTGGAAAAAATGTCCTAACATTTTAAAGCATGCTAATACTAGATGCAAAAGTAACACTTTTTATTGCAATAGTTTTGATTATTTAACATAGAGGAATAAAATAATAAATTTAACAAGCATTCAAGAAATTAGAAAAATAATTTTTTAGAAAGCAATCTCATGAAAAGAAATAATAAAGTTAAAAGTATAAATTTATGAATTAGAAAATTGAATTGATAAAGAATAGGTCTTCAAAAAAAGAAAACCATCAAACATTTATATCTGACAAGCCTAACTAATCAAAAAAGGAAGAGACATGATTGATTGATTGACTAAGTGGTTCAACTCAAGCTCCAACTCATTGATAATGCATAGCTTGAAGCATCTACCCATTGTTTCACCCTTTGTGACATGGTTGATTCTTGGGGCATAGTCAGCCCTTATCATAAAACTATTAGGTGTGACTATATCCACCCTAAACAAAGATATCCCCAGATTACCACCCAGAAGCCAAGGACAAAGGCCAGATCTCTCTTTGGGAAAAGCCAGATTCTTTATAACCCATTGTCTCTCCATCTCACTACCTCCTCTTCTATTTTACTATGAAAGTTTTGATTATATCAACCTTAATTATTGCTTCTAGAGTTGGATTTGTCAGCCTCTTGGATGTGATTACATGGCTATTTCAGCTGCTCTAAGGAAAGATGATCTGTATTTAAAGATTTACATCAGGAATCTAAAAGAGAATTTTGTCTATGTGACAGTTTGGATTTAATCAGACCATCCCAAATACATGCTTCAATTAGGGGAAACCTGTTACACCATTTATATGTAACGTGGTTAAAAAAAAGACAGGAACTTTACATATAATTTATAAAAATCTAAATACATTTTATATATATAGATTTATCATAGATATATATATAGAGAGAGAGAGAGAAAGAGAGATTTCACCTGAAACCCAAAGCTGAAGACAGTGGGGTTGACAACTAAGGAGTTAGAGACATTTACCCATCTCCAGCATATATAAATGGCTAGAAATTATCAGGGCAGAAGGAATGTTCTGTGAAAGGAATTTGAAGTAGAGAGCACTGTCCTAGAACCACACGGGAACTACTGGGAGCTTGGAGGCTGACATGTTTATTTATTCACTCTGCAAATATTTATTCAGCACACATTATTATGTGCAAAGCTCTGCTACAGGTTCTTGGAATAAAGACACTGAGGAGAGATGACAGCAGTGGGAGTGGCCTGCCTTCATGTAATTTAACAGAACAAGGGTACAGGAGTATTTTCATGATCCAAGTGGATTTTACACAGGTAGCCAGGCATGCATCTTCCTGAAAAGTCCAAGGGCAAAGGGAATGTAGGAGGTACTTCTGGGGAAGAAGTAAAGGGGAAGTTTCAAGGTGGTAGCTAAAGCCTGCATTGTTCAAAGCAGAGAATGGTGTCATGTGCGGGGGTGAAGGAGGTGGTGGTGAGAGTTGTGGGGAGAAGGGGGTTTCCTGTAACCAAATTGCAGCAGCGCTTCATGTAAGAAAAAGTCAGCCACTAAATGGCAGCCGTATCAAAAGGCTTTCAGCAGGAAAGATAATTACTAATGTCATTAAACTTAAAAAAATTATATTGCCACCTTTTCTCATCCTCATCCCCATCTTCTAAACCCATCTTTGAATTAGCTGAACAAAAGAACTCACCATACCCCTCTTCTCCACACCTCAGATCCAAGCCTGGTGTGTGGGGAAGAGAGGTAAGAAGTAATAATCAACACTTACATGGCACTTGCCATCTGCCATGTACAGTTTTAAGTGCTTTATATATATCAATAGTGTAATTCTCATAAAAGTCCTATAGGAGAGATACTATTATTTCTTTCATTGTATAGATAAAGAAATTGAAAAGTCAATTACTTGATCAAGGTCACACAGCTAGTAGGTGACAAAAAGTGAGCATTGAAACTCAAGCAGTCTCATCACAGGACTCCTGTTCTTAACAATGCTGACATCCTAACTTGTGTCACACTGAATGAAAAGAGATTGCTATTTTTATATTTTATAAGACTAGACATTTTAATTCCTGAAACTGAGACTGTTTGTTAATGCCTGGAAGTGAGGAAGAGCTGTGGTCTCAGAATTTTCACTTAAGCAGTGGGATGGATGACCATACTCAAAGGCAGCTTTAGAAAAGTAGTAGTTATTTTGTGAAAATTAATAGAGTTATTTTGTATGTACTATCTAGGTAACTCGGGATAACCTAGAAGAAATGAATAAATTCATATATATATAAATATATGTGTGTGTGTGTGTGTATATATATATATATAAAATATATATGTGTATATATATAAATATATATGTGTGTGTATATATAACTTCTAGAACTAAAAATGAAAAAACAAATAGAATATCTGAATAGACCAATAACGAACATGGAGACTGAATCATTAATCCAAAAATTCCCAACAAAGAAGAGCCCTGGACCTGAAAACTTCACCAGTGAATTGTGCCAAACATTAAAACAATAATGCTAATCTCTCTCTAACTCTTCAAAAATATTGAAGCAAAGGAAACACTTTCAAACTCACTTTATGATGCCAGCATTACCCTGATACCAAAGCAAGGCAAAGATGCTGTAAGAAAAGAAAATTATCAGCCAATATCCCTGATGAAACTGGATGCAAAAATCCTCAACAAAATAATAGCAACCCAAATTCAATAGCACATTAAAAGTATCATACACCATGATCAAGTAGGATTTATTCCTGGGATGCAAGGATGATTCAACACACACAAATCAATAAATGTGATATACCACATAAACAGAATGAAAAATAAAAATCCTATGATCATCTTACTAGAAGCAGAAAAAGCACTTTTTAAAAATTTAACACCCCTTCACAGTAAAAACTCTTAAAACAATAGGTGTAGAAAGAATGTGCCATAACATACAAAGGCCACATATGACAAGCCCATAGCTAACATCATAGTCAATGATGAAAAGTTGAAAGCTTTTTCTCTAACATCAGAAATAACACAAGGATACTCACTCTAATCACTTCTCTTTTATTCATTTTAATTTAATTATTTTTCTTTAACAGATGGAGTCTGTCACCCAGGCTGAAGTGCAGTAGCACAGTCATAGCTCACTACAGCTTTGAACTCCTGGGTTCAAGTCATCCTCCTGCTGTAGCCTCCTGAGAAGCTAGGACTACAAGCACACACCAACACACCTGGCTAGTTTTTTCTTTTTTACCTTTTGTAGAGATGGGGTCACATTATGTTGCCAAGGCTGGGTTTGAACTCCTGGCCTCAAGCAACCTTCATCCCTCAGCTTCTCAAAGTACTGGGATTATAGGCATGAGCCATCTCATCCAGCCAACTCTGACCACTTCTATTCAACGTAGTACTAGAAGTCCTAGCTAGAGCAATTAGGCAAGAAATAAAAATGAATCTGAATTTAAAATTATTCTTGCTGCAGATGATATAGTTCTATATATAGAAAACCCTAAAAACTACAAAAAATGTCATAAGTAATAATGAAATTCAGTAAGGTTGCAGGATACAAAATCAACATACAAAAATTAGTTGAATTTCCATCTATTAATAGTGAGCCATCTGAAAAGGAAACTAAGAAAACAATTCCATTTACAATACCATTAAAAATAATAAAATACTTAGGAATAAACTTAACCAAAAAAGTGAAAGACTTGTACATCAAAAACTACATAATATTGATAAAAGGTGTTAAAAGAGACATAAATAAAAGATAACCTATGTTTATGGATAGAAAAACTTAATATTGTTAAAATGTCCATACTATCCAAAGTGATCTGCAGGCTTGATGCTATCCCCATCAAAATCCCAATGGCATTTTTTACAGAAATAGAAAACAAAAAACTAAACTTTATATGGAACCACAAAAGGCCCAGAACAGCCAAAGTAACCTTGAGAAAGAAGAACAAAACTGGAGGCTTCATATTTCCTCATTTAAATATATATTACAATTCTACAATAATTAAAACACTATGTTTCTGGTATAAAGGAAGATATACAAGTCACAGGAACAGAATAGAGAGTCCAGAAGTAAACCTACACATATATGATCAACTGATGTTTGACAAGAGTGCCAAGAACACAACAGAGAAAGGATAGTCTCTTCAAGAGATGGAGTTGGGAAAACTAGATATCTGTAGGCCCAGAAATGAAATTGGATCCCTATCTTATACCACACACAAAAGTCAATTCAAACTGGACTAAAGACTTATTTAACATTAGACCGAATACTGTAAAACTCCTAGAAGAAAACATAGGGAGAATGCTTCTTGACACTGGTCTTGGAAATTATTCCTTAGACATGACACCAAAAGGACAGGCAACAAAAAGAAACATGGACAAATGGGATGCATCAAACTGAAAAGCTGTTGCACAGCAAAAGAAACAGCAGTATGAAGAGATAACCTACAGAATAGTAGAAATATTTCCAAACCATATGTCTGATAGAGGTCAATATCCAAAATATATAATGAACTTCTATGACTCAGCAAAAAATATATATAACCCAATCAAAGATTAAGCAAAGGACTTGAACAAACATTTCTCCAAAGAAGACATACAAAGAGCTAACAGGTATATGAAAAGACGCTCAAAATCATAATTATTGGGGAAATGTAAATCAAAACAATGAGCTATCACCTCACACCTGTTAGGATGGGTATTATTTAAAAAATAAAAGATAACAAGTGTTGAAGTTGTAGAGAAATGGGAACCCCCATACCCTGTTGATGGGAATGTTAAATGGTACAAGAGCTATGGAAAACAGTATGGAAGATTCCTCAAAAAATTCTAACTATAATAACTACTATATGATTCAGTATAAATGCATATATACTTCTGGATATATAAAAGAAGTGAAATTGCAATCTCAAAGAGGTGTCTGCATTCCCATGTATATTGCAGCACTATTCACAATAGCCAAGAAATGGAAACAATCCAAGTGTCTGTTGACAGATAAATGAATAAGGATAATTCGGTATATACATACAATGAAATATTAGTCAGCCTTTTAAAAGAAGGAAATAATGTCATTTATGACAACCAGATGAACCTGGGGGACATTATTCTGTGTGAACTAAGGCAGTCACAGAAGGACAAATGCTACATGATTCTACTTACGAGGTATCTAAAATAGCCAAACTCGTAGAAGCAAAGAACACAGTAATAGTTGTAAGGGGCTGAGGGTGGGAGAAATGAGAAATTGTTATTTAAAGGTTGTAACGTTTCAGTTATGCTAGATAAATAAGTCCGAGATATGCTAGTTTAGTTACGCTAGATAAACAAGTTCGAGAGATCTCCTGTACAACATAGTGTCTATGGTTAACAATATATTAAGCACTCCAAAATTTAAGAGGGTAGATTTCATATTAAGTGTTCTTATAATAAAAGGGGGATTGGTAATTTTTTTTTTTTTTTTGAGATGGAGTTTCACTCTTGTTGCCCAAGCTGGGGCACAATGGCACAATCTTGACTCACCGCCAACTCTGCATCCCAGGTTCAAGCGACTCTCCTGCCTCAGCCTCCTGAGTAGCTGGGATTACAGGTGTGCACCACCACATCCAGCTAATTTTGTATTTTTAGTAGAGACGGGGTTTCTCCATGTTGGTCAGGCTGGTCTCGAACTCCTGACCACAAGTGATCCACCTGCCTCGGCCTCCCAAAGTGCTGGGATTACAGGGATTACAGGCGTGAGCCACCGTGCCCAGCCAGAACAGAGTAGATTGTTAATAAACCTTTATATACAAATAGATTTTTCTCCCACATGCATTTCTATAATAGGTAATCAGCAAAGTAAAGAATCATTTTTGGGCCAGGTACAGTGGCTCATGCCTGTAATCCCAGCACTTTAGGAGGCTGAGGCGGGCAGATAGCTTAAGGCCAGGAGTTTGAGACCAGCCTGGCCAACATAACGAAACCCTGTCTCTACTAAAAATACAAAAAAATAAGTCAGACATGGTGGCACATGCCTGTAGTCTCAGCTAGTCAGGAGGCTGAGTCACGAGAATCACTTGTACCTGGGAGGCAGAGGTTGCAGTGTGCCAAGATTGCGCCACTGCACTCCAGTCTGGTGACAGAGTGAGACTGCCTCACAAAAAAAAAAAAAAGAAAAAAAAAGAATTATTTATCATTTTTGGAGAATCTGCCCTCAGTGCAAATGAAATAATTATTCATTTTTAAAATTTATTACTTTTTGTTTGTCACATATATATTATGCCATTTAATCTACCAAAATCCTGCAGAGGAGGTTTTATTTTAGTCTAATTTTTTAGATGGAGAAGCTGAGACTCAGAAATGTTAACTAACATGCTCAAAATTACACCCCTAGGACATAAACATCAGTTTCTCACTTAGCTGTCTGATTAGAATGATTGTGCTCTTTCTACCCTTCTACTAACCACAATGGCTGGTATGGAGTAGGTGCTCAATGTTAGACCCTGTACTTTTTGAATTTCACTAAGGTCAAGTAAGCAGATAATCAGCAACCATTTGACTCTGATGCGAAAAAAAAAATGTTTTTAAACCAATCTCAAAAGTATATTCAAGTTGCTGACAGAGAAATCATTGCTTACCTTTGAAGCAGAATATTCATATCCTCCCCACAATATTACTCCTGCTGCCCCCAATGCTGCACTTTCGCCAATTGCATGCACTAAGTCCTCCTAGAAAAGAGAGGTATCAGGAGTAGTTTCCACCAAGTCAAATTTTGTCAGTGATAATGCAATAATAAGACTCAATCCCTCAACTGTGGTAAGGAACACGTTAATAATGATATCTTTGTTTCCAAAACAAAGGACTGTACCACAAGGTAAATACTGCGTGATCTCACTCAGATAGAATCTGAAAAAGTTAATCTCATGGAAGTAGATAGTAGAATGGTGATTACCCGAGGCTGAGGTGGTTAGGAGGGAGAGGGGATTGAGGAGATGTTGGTTAAAGAATACATAATTACAATTAGATAGGAGGAATAAGTTCAAGAGATCTATTGTATAGCATGGTGTCTATAGGTAATGACAACATATTGTATTCTTGAAAAATGCTGAGAGAGTGGATATTAAATGTTCTTAAAATAAAAATAACTGTGAGGTCATGAATTTGTTAATTAGCTAGATTTAACCATTCTGCAATGTATATGTACCTCAAAACATTATGTTGTATATGATAAATACATACAATTGTATATGTCAATTAAAATATAAATTTTAATACACAGAAAAAAAGGCATTTCTTTTAAATAAAGCTATCATACAAAAAATAAAACAAAAGACCATACCAGAATTGGAAAAGGTGATACTGCCTTGGATTCTTAGATTTATTTGAGAAATATTTACAATGTTCCAGGCAATATTCTAAACACTGAGAATATAAAAATGAAATAGATTTCAATTCCTTTTCTTGAAGGAATGCTTTTTAGTCTAATGGTTGAGACAGACATATAAACAAGTGACTATAACATAATAATTTTTATATTAGTAGCACTCACAAAACATATATAAATTAGAAGTGCTTAATACTTCATGGAAGAGTCTGGGAAGGCTTCCTTAACACGTTAAATTTCATATGACTCTTGGGAATGAGAATCAGTAGACTCTTGAGAATGAGTATGAATTCACAAGACAGTCTAGAGAGAGCAGAGTTTTATATCCACAGGAAGAATAAGAGCAGAGACTTAGATCCAGGCAAAATCACAGTCCATCCAGAGAACTCCCAGTACTTCCTTGTGGTAAAGCACACAGAATTTGGAAAGTAAAAACATATGAATTTCTATGTATAAACAGAATCCAAATACAAAGAGAAAAATGCTGTTTTAAAGTGTTAAGACAACTGGTCAGGTGCAGTGGCTCACGCCTGTAATCTCAGCAATTTGGGAGCCCGAGGCAGACAGATCACTCAAGGTGAGTAGTTCGAGACCAGCCTGGCCAACATGGTGAAACCCTATCTCTACTAAAAATACAAAAATAGCCAGGCATGGTGGTGCCTGCCTGTAATCCCAGCTACTCGGGAGGCTGAGGCAGGAGAGTCTCTTGAATTCAGGAGGCGGAGGTTGCAGTGAGCCGAGATCCTGTCACTAAACTCCAGCTTGGGTGACAGGGCGAGACTCCATCTCAAATAAATAAATACATAAATAAATGTTAAATATTTAGTGCTGGAAAGACACAAATTTGCAACTTTGATTTTTTTTTTCTTTTTGCATATAAAGAATGCATTGGAAGATGGGTAATCCCAGCACTTTGGGAGGCTGAGGCGGGTGGATCACCTGAGGTCAGGAGTTCGAGACCAGCCTGACCAAAATGGTGAAACCCTGTCTCTACTAAAAATACAAAAATTAGCCGGCGTGGTGGCACACGCCTGTAATCCCAACTACTCAGGAGGCTGAGGTGGGAGAATCACTTGAACCCAGGAGACGGAGGTTGCAGTGAGCCAAGATCATACCACTGCACTCCAGCCTGGGTGACAGAACGAGACTCCATCTCAAAAAAAAAAAAAAAAAAGAAGAAGAATGCATTGGAGGGGAAGGTCAAGATAGTACAGGCAGGAACACCAATTAGGAGGTGATAGAAATTGTTCGGTGAGAAATGATGATGCCTCAACAAAGGCAATGTAAATCCTTGTAAAGCAGAGGGAATAGATTGAAGAGTTATTTGGAAATAAAGATGGATAAGTTTTAGTTACCCATCCGATAATGGAAAGAGGAAAAGGGAGGCAGCCAAGTGACTTTCAAATTGGGTGACTATATAGATTACAGTTCATAAAGATAAGAAACCGAGGATGTTATGCTAATGTATATAGGCCAAGAGCAAAGAAGTAGGAAATAGGGAGAGATGGGAGATAAAGGGGATGACCAATGGTGCAATCTGCATTCTTTTCTCCCCTACAAGGTATGGAGAGTCAGAGATCCAGTGCAAAGGTGGAGTGCTCACAGACTGCAATGAGTAAATTGTCACGCCACTGTAAGCTTTCCTGCGTTATAGGAAGGTTTCAGCAATACTGGCATTTATGTTCTGCAATTTGTCTAAGTAATACAACAAGAAAGGAAATCATTCTTCCATTATACTGACTAATATCACATTCCTTAAACCTAAATGTAGTCGCTTATTTTAATTGAGACACTCCTGAAAGCAAATACCAAACAGGACTGGTTTAAAAAAAAATGCGTTGGAAAGTTATGTTACTTAGACCAAAGGTGAGAAAAACCCATACTGTTTTTTGATATATGATACATGGAAGGCAATTAAAACAATTCAATATAATGCTCAGGTGATTCTATATATTTTGGTGAGTAGAGAATGCAGTCTATTGATTTCTCAAGTAGAGCTCAGAGGTGATACTTAGCATATAATTTACTTTAAAAGTCTAATGTACCCACAAAAATTAAAAATAAAAAAGATTAAAAAGTCCAATAGTACAAAAAATAGGAAAGCAATGAACAAGGCTTTTATGAAAATGTGGCTCATCTCATTCTCCCATTTTCTCTCAAGGTGAACTCTTTGACTGCATGAATTATTATTATTTTCTACTGTTATTACTAATAACATGTAATTCCTGACACAAGGTAGGCACTCAAGAATTTCTCAATGAATAAATATAACCCAGGTTATTTTTCTGAAAAGGATTTAAGATAGTAAAATGATTTGAGAAAGCTGGCATCACTTGAGGAATACCTTAGCAAGAAGACTTTGGTAGGCAGGCCTGATATCCTAAAATACCTGGACAACTGGCTTTTGAAAGAAGGATTTGCTGTATTCTATGTTGCACCAGAAGGTAGAATTAGAACTAGTGGTATGAAGTTATTAAGAGGCAAAGTAGATTAAATATACTTAAAAACTTTCTAGGAATTAATATTTCCCCCAAATGGCAGTTTCCCTTCTAATATAAGAAGTGCCCCCATCAAAAAGTGTTAAAGTATAAGAAAGGGTTTTTATTTGGGTAGGAGATGGGTTAGTGCCCATGAGATTCTTCCAAATTTTTGTCATAATGCTATGATTCTTTTCCTTCTAAACTTATTGAATGAATAGCCCATTCTGAATAATACTGAGTAATCCTGCAAAGATGAATATGTCAAGTCTAATTAATAATTGGATTTTATTCTGAAATATTTAGGAAGAATTGCTACTGCTTTTAAATGGCCTTATCTCAAACCTAAGTGGTCTAAGTGAGCTGTGTATTGTCCATACAACAGCTCTGCTTCTGTGTTGGGTACTGGCATAAAGTATTGTTGGCTCTCAGGTATAGATGGAGATTTGAGGATTTTCTTATCTAGCCACCTATCCAATGATTGAATCCTTACAAGAATGTCCTATGTGACAATCTAGTTAAAGTTTGGACACTTGCCATGTCTTCAAACTTATTATCTTCTAAACAAGCTCATCTCCACATCTGTAGGCTTCCAGCTTTGTGTTCAGTCTAAAGACAATATCTGTCTCCTTATATAAACCAGTTTTAATGCCTTGACAATAACCACTAGATTGCATTGTTGACTGTTAAAGACAAAATCAAGAGAACCTATGTAATTTTTTTAGTTAGCCTAGCTAATTAAAACATACAAATGCAATATAATGAGAAATGTAGTTGGTTAATAATTTACCCTAAGCTCTATGTTGCACGTTTTTGATTTGGAAAATTGCTGTTACCTTTTCATATTAAGAAGTTAGTTCTAAAATTTCTCTCTGGTTAAAATTAATCTGTCTGTTACATTATTTAAATCAAGTTTAACCTCTGTTCTGTAGGAAACTCCTGTGAATGCTAAGCTGGTAAGAATCATTATCCAAAAGTGTTAAGTGTACATCTAATTGTCAGTGACATTTTTCAGAATTGAGTTGACATTTGAAGAAATATACATGTTTAATAAGAGAACAGCATTGTATTGCTAAGGGAAAATAAATATCCTAAAACATTTATGTATAGGCTTTATATAGTTATTCTACCAAATTTCCATTTTTTTTAAATGTGAGTGACTGTGCTTTTCCTTACCTGTGACAGAGCTTCAGTACTATGCAAATAAAATGGTCTGGAAAAAATAAAAACTGGCAAAACATAGTCATGTCTAGCCATTTCAGCAACCCTCATGGCTTCTCTAACTCGATAGTGAACAAATTTCAAAGCATTTAAGCTTGACTTCAGTATTTTATCCAAATGTATTGAAGGATAAAGTGCTGCGCTTTTTTCCCACAGCCACAATTTGGACAATTACCTGTGTACGTCTCTGGATTTATTCTGTAATCATAATTGTAGCAGTCTGGATAGAGATAAAAGCCCCATAAACATTTTGGTCTCATTTCTAAAGCCAATGTGAGAGTAATGTTCATGAAATTTTTTCCAGCATTTTCAAATTCCTCTCGGGCAACTGTTTCCACTTTCATTTCTGACCAATAAGGATGATGGTTTCTAGTGAAGGCTAAAGAGTGGTTTTTATATATTATTCTGCTGCCCTGATTTCTATCCCATTGGGGTTTCCAACTTTCCCAGTCAATAACAACAAGTTCTTCTGATCTCCACCAAGGGACACCTTCTCCAATGTCATCAGCAGTTTTCCTAAGGTGTTCAGAAAGGCTCACATTCTGCGGTATTCCTCCATTAAAGGATTTTCCATCTTGAGATAAGTAAGGGTAATACCCTAATTCATTTGGATAAAATATGGCAATTTTTGACCCACTCTGAGTCTCTAAAGGATTTGATATAATGTTAAATACTTGAAGATTTATATCCACGTTGAAGGAAGGCATACAATACATTGTTGGGGCTGCCCAGAAAATGTTGAAAGGCTGGCTCTTGATCACCGGAGGCATTGCTGGTTTGAGGGCTGCCTGAGTTAATAGGATAAAGAGTGGTAGCACTCCTAACCACGCCACCCATGGGTTACACATGGCTTGAGGTTTTCAGCATTACAGCAGTCTCCTTGAAAATAATAAGCAAAATATCATACATAATGGAGTCAAATGTCTCTTAAGTTTTGTGGTATACAATGAATAGACCAAATATTTTAAAATATCTTTGAGGCTTATTAATATCTATGCCAATTTATAGTGAAATGTGAAAAAAATATATACTCAATAAAAACTATAAAAAGTTTCACACATTTGTCAGCTATGCAAACTCTAGCTGCTAGCCATTCTGGTTTTAATTTCCTATGATTCTGAATACGCTAACCCAAACCTTCTTGTACTGACAAGCCTTCACTGGCTCTAAGAGGAACTAGAAAAGAAGTCTGAATGGATTGTCATATCTCCTTATTGATTACTTACAAAGTGACTCCAAGAACATGCCCACTTGAAAATTAACAAATATTGGGATTTTAACTAATATTAAATAGAACAAAAAGAAATAACTAACTGTACTAACAGTAAGTAATACTTTACATGCAATTTGAAATGCACTGGCTTCAAATGTTTATTTTTAAAACAGAGAGCAGTTACCCTTGGAACTAGCATAGGCTGAAATAAAAAACAAGTAGAAATGTTAATTACCCTGTGTTGATTATGGATTTTGGTGCTATCATCTTCTTAGGCATATAAACAAGCCTAAAATCCTATTAGTTCTTTAACTCCAGTGGTTTTCCTATAAAGAAACTGGATTGTATATTCAGCAGTTAAACCCTAAATAAAACTTGTCTCTTTAGGCCCCTTTAACTAGTCTGTTGGGACGAAAACTGCCAAAGAATCTTCCCAGAATATAAGGACTATCTAATAGTTGATGCATTCCAGCCAACAAGATCTCATCCTGAAAGCAATATGGTTTCAGTTACATATCAAAATTATCTTATCGTATGGATTTTTTTAAATAAAGGAATTTATTTTAAACAGATTTTTCTCTGATATAATTAAACTCAGTTTCTTTTTAAGAATCATACATTGTTTCTCATGTAGTTCTTGGTGTCTTTATTTAACGTACTAAATTCAGGAAAGACACCAACCAAAATTGTACGCTAACTCTCACAACATAGCACCCCAAGTTTGTAAAGAAACTTGAGTTCAAGTCGTATGCTCTCTGTACACTGAATTTTTAAATTAACAAATGTGAACGATAATTTACTCTTTTAAATAAATTGGATATTATTGAGACAATTGCCTTCATGTGGAGTGTGTATTATAGCACCAGATGAATCTCTAAGCTATCAGAGATGGTTTTTCTCCCATCACTCTTCTCTAATCATGGGATCTTAATTTGACTCCCACTCCCCCACAAAAATATAAAGGCAAATCTTCTTCATTCTTTATTTGTTGTTCAGGGAAAATGAAAGAATATCTACTCTCCATAAATATTATTCTTTACCTCCCTCTGGTCATGACTGCACATTGCGTATATATATGCCTAATAAACTGACACCCTTGGGAACAAAAAACACCTTTTTAAAATGTCATATCACAATAAATTTTTTAGAGCCAAAGGGCCTAAAAATACAAAATATTGTACTTTAGTAAAATACTGTTACAAATTTCCTCTTCTAGGAGATTTTCATTATGTTTTCCATGTATATAAATGATACACAATCATCTATTTTTCTAGCTAGCCTATGGAAAAATTATTTTGGCATTATTTTGGTCCCTAGTCTACATTTTATAACAGACTTCTACTACAGTAACAAAAATATGCATTATAATGGTATGCATTTTTAAATATAATGAATTCTTTCTACATGCTGCTGAGATTTTATTTTTTCTAGCTATTTTTATTATTCAAAATATAAAACTAGATCTACATTTTTCCACTTATAAAATATATATACTAATACATGCATACATATATACACACATACACTTGAATTTTTGTTCAACAAATCTGATATGTTTCAGGCAAGTAGCCAGGTCTAGTGAAGCAGTGGGGAAAGCAACATAATTCCACACATTGTAAAAAGGTATAGATACCAGCCAGACGCAGTGGCTCACACCTGTATTCCCAGCACTTTGGGAGGCCGAGGCAGGCAGATCACGAGGTCAGGAGTTTGAGACCAGCCTGGCCAACATGGTGAAACCCCATCTCTACTAAAAATACAAAAATTAGCCACGTGTGGTGGTGTGCACCTGTAATCACAGCTACTCAGGAGGCTGAGGCAGGAGAATCACTTGAACCTGGTAGATGGAGGTTGCAGTGAGCTGAGATTGTGCCACCGCACTCCAGCCTGGGTGACAGAGTGAGACTCCCTCTCCGACAACAACAACAACAACAACAAAAAAGGTATAAATACTTAGATGTAAAATATAAAACTATAAAACTCCTAGAAAATAATATAGGAGAAAATTTAGATTACCTTAGACAAGCAGATGACTTTTTAGATACAATACTAAAGGCACAATCCATGAAAGAAATAGTTGACAAACTGGATTTCATTAAAAACATCTCATCTGTGAAAGACACTGTTAAGAAAATGAGAAGACAAGCCACAGACTAAGAGAAAATATTTGCAAAAGACATATCTAACAAAGAAGTGTTATCTAAAATATACAAAATCTCTTAAATTTCAACAACAAGAAAATGAACAACAGATTTAAAAATGAGCAAAAGGCTTGAACAGACATCTCATCAAAGAAGATATACAGATATGAAAAGATGCTCAACATTATATGTCCTTAGAGAATTGCAAATTAAAACAGCAATGAGACACCACTACATGCCTATTAATGAATGGCCCAAATCCAGAACAATTCCAACTCCAAATGTTGGTGAGGATGTGTAGCAACAGGAAACTCTCATACATTGCCAATTGGAATGCAAAATGCTACAGCTATTTTGCAAGACAGTTTGGCAATTTCTCACAAAATTACATATACTCTTACCATACAATCCAATCATTATGCTCCTTGGCATTTACCCAACCAACTTGGAAACTTACACCCACACAAAAATCTGCACAAGAATGTTTATAGAAGCTTTATTCATAATTGCCAAAATCTGTAAGCAACCAAAATGTCCTTCAGTAGGTGAGTAGATAAATGAACTGTGGTACATCCAGATAATGGAATATTATTCAGTGCTAAGAAGAAATGAGCCATCAAGCACTGAAATGATGTGGAGTAAACTTAATATTACTAAGAGAATTAAGTAAGCATCTTACTAAGTGAAATAAACTATCTGTAAAGCTTACAAATTGTACAATTCCAACTATACATGACATTCTGGAAAAGAAAAAATATGGAGACAATAAAAAAATTTAGTGGTTGCCAAGGGTTGGGGAGAGGGACAGATGAATAGGTGGAACACAGTGGATTTGGAGAGCAGTGGAACTATTCTGTGTAATACTTTAATGGTGGATACATGCCGTTATACATTTGTCAAAAGCCATAGAATGCACAACACGAAGAGTGAACCCTAATGTAAACTATAGGCATTGGATAATAAGAACATGTCCATGTAGGTTCATCAGTTATAATAAATGTACCACTCTGGTGGGACATGTCAATAGCAGGGAAGGTTGTGATGTCAGGGAGAAGGGAGTATACAACAAGTCTCTCTACTTTCTGCTCAATTTTGCTAGGAACCTAAAAGTGCTCTGAAAAGTAAAGTCTACTTGAATGAAGAAAGTTATAGATGCAATTGCATTCACTGCTACTATGTTTGTAATAGAAAATCCTAGAAACAACATCTATGTGACCAACAAGGAGTTTCTTAAATATATTGTGAACTATATTATGGTAATTACACCAAATATTATAGTATGAAGTAACACGGGTTTTTTTTTTCCAGTTTCTTGTTGTCTTTCAACTTTTTCATTCATTTTGCCATGAAACCCCTCACAAGAAGAAAGTCAGCTTTAAAGAGCCAATTTCAGATTGACACCTGTCAAGTAAACATTTGCTGCTTCTCTTGCAGCCACTGATACCCACACTTCAACCATGCAGGAACCAGAAGCAACCTAGTATTTGGGGAAAAGCACTTGGCAAGGGATAGAGAAGAAGTGAAACACTCCTTGTCTTTTCTCCTGGCAGATTTTCTTCCATCAGATTTAATCCAGAAGAACGAAAAAAGAGTTAACTTTTACTAAACTTTGAATTTAATTTTATAAACCTAATTAGTGACTGAAGTGCTAAAATCTGGTTGTTGAGACTAAGGATCTGTAGGTGACTATAACTTTGAGGGGTTTAGTCTGCTCTTCAGTTTGATCTGATGGCATATGCTTCAATCAACTGGGGCTGTTCAATAAATTGTTAATGGAAGGGACACTTGCTCCCTCCCTGTCCAGTGGGATGTGACAGGTGAGAGAGAACACAACTAGCAGGTAAGAGAGATGCAGAAGAAAAGGTCCTAGAGATGGATGGTGGTGATGGCTACAATGATATGAATGTACTTAATGCAAGAAAGAATGTTGCAAATGCTGGGGGCAGTGGCTCACACAAGTAATACCAGCACTTTAGGAGGCTGAAGGGGGCAGAACACTGGAGGCCAGGAATTCTGAACCAGTCTGGGCAACAAGGCGAAACCCTGTCTCTACAAAAAAGAATACAAAAATTAGCCAGGCATGATGGTGCATGCCTATAGTCCCAGCTACTCGGGAGGCTGAGGTAGGAGGATCACTTGAGCCTGGGAGGTGGAGGTTGCAGTGAGCCGAGATCACGCCACAGCACTCCAGCCTGGGCAACGGAGTCAGACTCTGTCTCAAAAAAAAAAAAAAAAAAAAGAAGAAGAAAAAAAAGAAAGAAAGAATACTGCTGCAAGGGAAGCAGTGCACGCAGTGCACTTGGAGGACAGCCAGTTTTCTATTACAGCAAGAAAATACAGAGAAACTCAGAGAAGATGTATTTGATCTAGGGGATTCTCTTGATTGGAGATTTTAAGTTACAAAGAACATAATGGACAGGTTTTCAGGGTCAGGGAGTGGCATGATCTTGGCTCCATTAGAGAGTGTAAAGAAGAACACACAAAAGACAAATAATAATTTGGGAATTTGGACTTCATGTGTTAAAGGCATGATGGAATGAGTTCTGATGGATTCTTCAAGGGAGATGAATAATCAGTTCCAATTATATCCTCCTTCTTGTCAGTGGTACTATGGTCTGAATATTTGTGTCCCCTCAAAATTCATATGTTGAAACCTAATCTCTAATGTGATTATATTAACAATTGGGCCTTTGGGAGATGATTTGGAAGGCTCCGCCCTCATGAATGTGATTAGTGCCTTTATTACAAAGGCCCCAGAGAATGGCCTTTACCCCTTCCACCATGTGAGGAAACAGTGAAAAGGTGCTCCAACTAAGGAGCAGGCCCTCACCAGACACCAAATCTATTGGGACCTTGATTGTGGACTTCTCAGCCTCCAGAACTGTGAGAAATAAATTTCTGTTGTTTATAAGCCATCCAGTTTAAGATATTTTTGTTATAGCAGCCTGAACAGACTAAGACCATTGGTATCTTAGACATTCTGTAGTGGGAAGATCTAGAGAGAAAGGGCATCAGCTTTCTGTCTAGATCTGTCAGAGTTCTATGAGGTCTCTTTTCAGTTCTGCCAAGGACAGCGTCCAAAATGAGCATGAGGCTTTACCATGCTTTTTTTCATACATTTTCTGCCACTGAAATGTGAACCTACTGAGATGGTCTAAACCAGAAAATACACACACACACACACACACACACACACACACACACACACACACACGTGATGATACATATAAAATATGTGTGCATGCGTGTGTGTGTGTGTGTACACATTTCTATGCAACCGGGAATTTCATTCTTTCCACTCAAGGATAGCAAGTCTTATCAGGGAAACACATTCTTATGTACTATGAAATCATCAATCACTAAGTTCATTATGATAAAGCATTGTTAAACCTAGGACCCAGTAAAAAAAATCACATTGGAATTTGCAAGAACTTTTAATCAACAAAGGTTTACATATATACCATAAAGCCTTTTGTAATGTATTATCAGGCATTCCAAGCAAAGATGAGATTTTCTTTTATGGAGGGTCTTGTTTGCACGAAAGCTTGAGCCCTGGCTGGGCAACTATAGTACCTCATGCCTGTAATCACACCACTTTGGGGGGCCGAGGTGGGAGTATTGTTTGAGCCCAAGAAGTTGAGACCATCCTGGGAAACACAGTGGGAGTCTGTCTCTACAAAATAATAATAATAATAATAATAATAATAATAATAATAATTATCCAGCTAAAAATATTAGCTGGATGTGGTGGCATGCACTTGAAGTCTTAGCTACTCAGAAGGCTAAGGCAGGAGGATCACTTGAGTCTGGGAGGTTGAGGCTACCGCGAACTATGATCATGCCACTGCACTCCAGCCTGGGTGACAGAATGAGACCCTGTCTTCAAAAATACATAAAAAATAGGCCAGGCACCTTGAGAGGCTGAGCACCTTGAGAGGCCAAGGCAGGTGGATCACCTAAGTTCAGGAGTTCGAGACCAGCCTAACCAACATGGTGAAAACCTATCTCTACTAAAAATACAAAAATTAGCCAGGCGTGGCAGCACACACCTGTAATCCCAGCTACTCAGGAGGCTGAGGCAGGAAAATTGCTTGAACCTGAAAGGCAGAGGTTGCAGTGAGCTGAGGCAGAGGTTGCACCACTGCCCTCCAGCCTGGGTGACAGAGCGAGACTCTGTCTCAAAAAAAAAAAAAAAAAAAACCATAAAAAGTAAAAGTAAAATTAAGTCAAAAAATTTTTTAAAAGGAAGTTTGAACTCTAATGATGACATCCAGCATTGATCAATTTTTTTCAAACCTGCACATTATTTATGGTTTTAGTTTTCTCAAAGAGATAATAGTAGTAGCTTTTATGAAAAGAAAAAGAAGAGAAATATTGATTAAAGCAGACTTGATACAAAAAAGCATTTTGCTCAAGTTTGCCTGTATTTTAAATTTCTGATGAGAAATTTAAAGCCAGGTCAGTTCAGATTAGATTCTTTTCGAAGAAATAAATGATTCTCTAAAAAGTCTATGAGGTTTATAACTCCTTCAGAAATAAGCAGGGAAATTGCTATATATCACATAAGCTTTAAATCTGGGGAAAAGAAATTGTATGCAGTAATGTAATTTTCCCCCAAAAGGTCCAGGAGCTGGGGTAACTGTAGGACATCTATAAGGATCAACTGAAGGACTTCCTGTGGAATAACTAGGCCAATCCTGTCCCTTCCCATTCCCTAAGTACTAGGAGTACCTGACTGAGTGAAGCTTTTTCACTAGCCTGAAGCCTTGAGCACTGCTTTCTAAAAAGTGGTGTGACCATCTGGAGACAGCTACTAGCCTGGCCACTGAGGTGAAAGGAAGAGAGAGAGACAGAAGGAGTACGAGAGAAATGGAAAGCAAGGGCCGGGCGTGGTGGCTCATGCCTGTAATCTCAGCACTTTGGGAGGCTGGGTTGGATGGATCACCTGAGGTTGGGAGTTTGAGACCAGCCTGACCAACATGGAGAAATCCCATCTCTACTGAAAAAAAAAAAAATACAAAATTACTTGGGCGTGGTGGCGCATGCTTGTAATCCCAGCTACTTAGGAGGCTGAGGCAGGAGAATCGCTTGAACCTGTGAGGCAGAGGTTGCGGTGAGCCAAGATCCCACCATTGCACTCCAGGCTGGACAACAAGAGTGAAACTCCGTCCCAAAAAAAAAAGGAAAGCAAGATTATGGCTACATCAGACTGCCACACTAAGGAGTAATGGAGAAATTGGCAGTATTTCCCAAGAATGAGCTACACTAAATACACTAAAGCCTCCACACGAAAGGAAAACCTTCATTACTTTGGCAAGGTTGGGGCCTCCTTTCTGCCTACCTAAAGCCCACCTATGGAACTTACTTTGGTTTCAGCATCCTCCTTTCCCCTCCATGTTCCAAGGCCAGCTGCTCCCAGTGCAACACTCTCACCTCATCAATAATTTGATTGATCTCTGTATGTACTATTATGCCAGCCTCATCTTGTCTTGATTATTTCAGTTTTGTTGATGAGTCTTGAAATCAGATGGTATAACTCCTTCAACTTTATGTTTCTTTTGCAAAATTGTTTTGGATACTCTAGATCCTTTGCATTTCCATATATATTTTATTTTATTTACTCATTTATTTATTTTTTCGGACGGAGTCTCCCTGTTGTCACCCAAGCTGGAGTACAGTGGCTCAATCTCGCCTCACTGCAATCTCTACCTCCCGGGTTCAAGTGATTCTCCCGCTTCAGCCTCCAAGTAGCTGGGATTACAGGTGCCTGCCACTACGCCCGGCCTATATTTTAAAATAGACCAGTCATTTCTACCAAAAAAGCCTGCTGATTCTTTTACTGCAATTTCTGCCTTTTAACTGGTGTGTTTATGTAATATAATAAATATATTACATAATGTAACAATTAGTACAGTGGATTTTGAGTCTATGATCTTACTTCTTATTTTCATTTTGTATCTTCTCTTTTTTATTAAATATCATGCCTTTCTTGCTCTTTCACTTTATCTACTGCCTCCATCATTCTATTTCTTTTTTATTATGTTGTTAGTAGTTGTTCTGGGACTGATAATATAACTTAAATTATCAATGTCTACCTAGCTTCAGTATTACTGTTATTCACACTTTACATTTCATACCTATCACTTTCCACTTCCCACTTTTCAATTCTCACTTCCCCCTTCACATTTTACACTCCACATTTCAAAAATGTAATAACTTTACAATAATATAATTCCATTTATACCTTCCTTCATTTAAAGACATAAGAATTGGAAAGGAAAAGAATAAAATTCATATCCAACAACATTATTGCTTATGCAGATATTCAAAAGAATCTACAAATTATGTGAAATAATAGGAGGGTTGAACAGATTGTTGGATACAAGATTAATATATGAAAGTCAGATGTATTTCTACTCACTAGCATAATTGAAGAGAAGACAAAAGAAGATTCAAAACTTCCGCAAGGCCTTTACAGGGGAAAGTTATTCATCTTTATTGAGATTATATTATAGGAAACCTAAATAAATGGACTTACAACTTTTTCACCCTTACCATTCACTACATAGCACAATCTCTTGATTTACACTGATTTCACCTTTCCAAACCACCTGGGGAAGAAAGGCTAGAGGTTAAGGAAGGGCTCATCTCTGAGATCCTGCTTAGGAGACCCCACCTCCACATCTGGAAGTGAGAATAGGTTACATTTATAACCTGTGAAATCATTGTGCTTAAGATAAAAAATTTTAAATACTCAATAAGAATTCACTGATATAAAGATCTATTGAAGGACTTCCTGTGAAATAACTGTGGAATAATGTCTATAATCTATAGCCAAAGTTTGTAAAGATTCTAACATTCAGATTCAATTCAGTATCAGCAGAGTTCACCACCACATTCATGGTTAGATGCTAAAGATGGACACAAAATCCCGCCCAAGAAGTTCAAGGTCTAATGTGTGGGCGGCCATGTGTGTGTGCACACATGGAATGTATGTGTGGGAATATATGTGATGGGAACTGGAAGGAAGGAAACATATACGTCCTATTTAAAATACCAAGGAGAATAGCACGAGTGCTAACTTTTTCTTTTTTTAAATTAGCTGTTACAAAATTAATGATCATTGCAAAAAATACAGAAAAAGATAGACAAAATTAAGGTTAATTTTATTCTTATTACTCAAAAAGTAATATTTTTCCTGTGCACCCTGAAGTGCTGATTAAATGAGAATCTTTTCCCTCCCTTCCTCTAGGACTCTTCAAGATAAACACTGAAGAGGACAATCAGGGCAAAAGGCCAGACTTCCATATGAGGGGTCTCAGAGCACTGGGATTTGTAGTATTATTACACCTGTGAATCAGTAATCCCCAATGGTGGGTAAAGTCAAGAAACATATGTGCATAACCACACTCACCATATACTTCGTTACAAAAACAGTGTCACACTATATATGCCATTTGCTACTGTGTTTATTCACATAGGTTGGGTGGCAGCTTGTGAGAATAATCAGCTTTGTTAGAGAGGGGAGAAAGCTACATTTTCTTAGCATATATAGTATTGTGGGAGTAAATTGTGAACTCTAGTATAAGGATAAGACAATTATATAAATAACCTACATATTATGTGGAGTAAAATCAGTTCCATAAGCTAGACATACCCAGAATGCCATGTGAGTTCAAAACGTGGAGCTATCAAATGTGGTTTAAAAGATCTGGATAAACTTCAAGCTGGAGGTGGTATTTAAGGCTTGAAACATAAGCAGAATTTCAACAAGCTGAAATTGCAAAGGGACTCCAGATGGAGGAAATGGCAAGAGGAAAGATGCAGAAGAAGAAAGACAAAGGGCATGTACAAATGGTAACAGACACTGATTTGGGGGTGTACATATCTTCACATGGAGATCTGCTGCAGGCAGTTAGGAATTTTTCTAGAAGTATAAAATTGGGCATCTTCTGTGTTGAAGTGATGGTTGATGCAAAGGAGGAAAATATCTACAGAACAGAGATGAGATCTGAAGATAGAATTTTGAGAATCACCTACATTTATATCGAAAAGGAAAATGTCCAATAATAAAAGGAAAAATAGTCTTGAGAGAATTGGGAGGACGGTATAGTGTACCTAAAGATAAGGAACACAAACATTTAAGGAAGGCAAGCTGTGGAAGATGAAAACCAAGAAAAGGCAACTTTGCTGAAGCCATTAGATGCTGATTAAAGATATCAGTATACAAGTATTAAAACATTGAAGGGGTTTATGAGTAAATCAGTCTAGTGAAGGCGGCATTCTTTTTTACATGCAAATGATGTCGCTGTGGCCCCCTTTTTAAAAATTCTTTTAAATTCAATTTAAATTTAAAATTTTTAAAAAATTTATTTTATTTTTTAGAGACATTGCCCAGGCAGGCCTCAAACTCCTGGACTAAAGCAATCAATCCTCCTATCTCAGCCCTCCAAGTAGCTAGGACTAGAGGTGCATGCCACCTTGCCCATGGAGTCTGTGGCCTCTTTATCTCTCCCTAGAGATACTTCAGCTAGAGTAGAGAGAGGATTATTTCTCAAGAAGGGAATGCTTGGATGGTACAGCCTCTCAACTTTGTGGTACTCAACTGAATTTACTCCTGAAAGGCTAAGGGAACAGAATGACACCAGATTTAGAGTTGTAGTAAATAATCAGGTGTATGGAGCCTAGTGTCTTTCAGTCCCGAGACACCAGCAAGGTCAGTCATGACAGATTTTAAGACATAAGGTTGACCTTACACAGTAGTGTAATATAGTAGTATACAATTGCATATGTTTCATAATCTTAAAATATGTATCCTATTTGAAATGGTACTACATCTTTTTAAAATTATTAAGCCATCTTATTTTTATAAGCAGATGAAAGTATTAGTTAATACTTGGCTTTTCCTTTAGTATCTTTTGTTTCTGTCTTTAAAATTAAAGATTCAGTGCCATAAAAAGATCTATAGGGCGTTGAAGAGTAACGTATGCCCAGGCTGTATTCTTTTGTAGGGACGTCTTCAAAAGAAAAAAAAAAATTCCCAACTTGGGATTTACAATGTGGGTTAGATATTTAAATTTATATTAATAATAAATGTAGCCAAAGAATACACAAGACAAAGTAAATGGAACTTGATTTGTTGTCTAATACAAGCACTGTTGATGTGTGCCAAAAGGCATAAGTTCCATTTAAGTCAAATTATCTTGATTTATTAAAAGTTGAACAGAGGATTGTCAGGAACAGAGAAGTCATCCTTGATATGGAAAAATGAGATGAAAGCTCTCCTTTAAAAAGAGCATTCTATCTGAAGATTATTAAAAGATTTACAGTAGAGGGGACTATGGTGAGGAAAGGGGTATGTTTAAATAAATTTAATTTAAGTTTAAAAAAGTCCAAGTGGACATTTAAGTTAGAATATGAAGCAAAAAAATAACCTTTTTATATAATATCAGAAACTTCTGCAACAAGTATCTGGGGAAATGTTTCTTTTTGGAAGCATCAGGCATTACATTGGTTTCTTTGGCAACAGTCATACTTGGAGATCATATGCTCAGTTTCTTCTCACACACTCATCAATCAGAAAAGTCACTCCTCCTCCCCTGGAGAGGAATAAGAGAAAAGACAAGAAAAGATAAAAGTGTTTTCCATACTATTCTAGAAACCCTCTACCCTCTAGGAACAAAAACCATGGGGGAAAAAAATGCACTGCCCTCACACCTGTCTATAGGTGACCAGGCAGTCTGGTTTGCTGGGGAGAATCACAATTTACACCTGTTGCCCTCGTGTGATAATTAGTAGTGCACATTTTAATACCCCAAACTGTCCCAATTTAGACAATAAATTATATGAACAGCCTAAATATGTAGCAATTGTAGACTCAAGAGATGTATAATACTGAAAATAGAAGTTTTGTAATAACTTCTACTTAGCCTGCAAAATTGAGGACTAGGACACTGAAAAAAGATTATAAAATCAAACATGAAATAAAATTGATGAAATCAAATAAATAAGATACATTTACTTACCTTATTTTTTATAGAGAACGTTTAAACTGCTTAGAAATAAGAATAGGTTTTCGTATTTTGTAATTTAACTTTAGGATTTAAGTTGTCTTCAATAAGTCAATTTTTACTTTTTCATCCTTTCATGAGAGAAAAGGCCTTTCATGAGAGAAAAGGCCTCAGGTAATTTATGGTTCAAGCTAATGAGTACCTTAAAATAGTTTACCTATTTTTGATTGAATATTAAAGTACATGGATGGAAAACAGATCAGTATTCCTTTTCTGAATTAATAACTCAATGCTATTCCCACTCCCACTCAATTCTACATAAATTTAAAAGACAATCATTTTTAAAAAGTTTTAGTAGATTTAACAAGATTTATTTAACTGCCTCAATAAGAAAACCAAAAGTGAATGAGAAATAATATGAATAATGCCTAAATTGACCATATTCTCATTGGCTGATTCTTTGTATTTTTAGTAGAGACAGGGTTTCACCATGTTGCCCAGGTGGGTGTCGAACTCCTGCGCTCAAGCAATCAGCCCACCTTGGCCTCCAAAATTGCTGGGATTACAGAAGTGAGCCACCAAGCCTGGGAAAAACTTCTATTTTTAATTAATAGTGATTTCATGTACCAAATAAAATAAATTTTATTTTGAAATTACACTGAGGCTGGGCACAGTGGTTCACGCCTGTAATCCCAGCACTTTGGGAGGCCAAGGCAGGTGGCTCTCCTGAGGTCAGGAGCTCAAGACCAGCCTGGGCAACATGGTAAAACCCCGTCTCTGCTAAAAATACAAAAAAAAAATTAGCCAGCGTGGTGACGCGTGCCTGTAATCCCAGCTACTCAGGAGGCTGAGGCACGAGAATCGTTTGAACCCGAGAGGCAGAGGTTGCACTGAGCCGAGATCAGACCACTGCACTCCAGCCTAGGTGACAGAGCTAGACTGCGTCTAAAAACAAAACAAAAAAAAAAGAGAGAAAAAAATTACATTGAGATTTTAAATCGGTATTACACTAGATGGAATTGTTAAAGATGCAAGAAAATGAAGTGATTGCATTCTAATTAGACCATAGAAGATGATATGCTTATTTGATATTTTAGCTATCAAAAGAAAAACTTCTTTTTTTTTAATTTTTTTTTTTTTTTTTTTAATTTTCAGGCCGGGCACGGTGGCTCACGCCTGTAATCCCAGCATTTTGGGAGGCCGAGGTGGGCGGATCACGAAGTCAGGAGATCGAGACCATCCTGGCTAACACGGTGAAACCCCGTCTCTACTAAAAATACAAAAAATTAGCCGGGCATGGTGGCGGGTGCCCGTAGTCCCAGCTACTCAGGAGGCTGAGGCAGGAGAATGGCGTGAACCCGGGAGGTGGAGCTTGCAGTGAGCCGAGATCGCGCCACTGCACTCCGGCCTGGGTGACAGAGCAAGACTGTCTCAAAAAAATAAATAAAGTAAAAAAAATTGACACAGAGTCTTTCTTTGTTGCCCAAGCTGGAGTACAGTGGCGCGATCTCGGCTCACTGCAACCTCCACTTACCCAGTTAAAGCGATCCTTCCACCTCAGCCCCACCTCCAATAGCTGAAACTACAGGCGCACCACCATGCCTAGCTGATGCTTTGTATTTTTAGTAGAGGCGGGGTTTCACCATGTTGCCCAGGTGGGTCTCGAACTCCTGCGCTCAAGCAATCAGCTCACCTCAGCCTCCAAAAGGGCTGGGATTACAGGCGTGAGCTACCAAGTCCAGGCAAGACTTCTATTTTTAGTTAATAGTGATTTCATGTACCAAATAATGTATTCAAACAAAAATTCATATTAGAATTGAAGTAAATAAGAGACCTTGTTTAAAGTGCAGTCATTCCTTGGTAGAAAAACATATCTGATAAAAAGAACAAAAAGAACAAGAAACATGGAACCAAAATGAGTAAATGAAAAATTATTAACAAAAATGTTAGCAAAATGTTGCTAACATTTAAATTTATATATATTTTTTGTATTTTTAGTAGAGACAGGGTTTTACCATGTTGCCCAGGCTGGTCTTGAACTCCTGACCTCAGGAGATTCACACCCCTTGGCCTCCCAAAGTGCTGGGATTACAGGCATGTGCCACTGTGCCCAGCCTCAGTGTAATTTCAAAATAAATTTTATTTTGAAATTATAAATTTATAATTTATAATTTAATTTTATTTTATAATTTTATAAATTTATAAATTACCTTTATAAAATACCTTCCATAGTATTATATTTTCAAAAAGATTAGAAAAATGAGCCTGCTGATAAAAGAGTAGGGAACTGAAAATATTGGCTTAAAAGGAGCTATGAAATTAATTTTTTTCTGATTGTATTTTAACCAGAAAATTAAAGGGAAATCTACAATAAAGAAATAATGTCTTTACATAAGGAGAAGAAAGAGAGGAAAATACATTAAATGTGAATCCGTCAGAGAGAAATGACATTACTTTATCAATACTAAAAGAGTTTGTAATGAGTCTACTGATATATACAGTGAACTCTGATAAATGTGGATGCCCTGAATTATTTAATAGCCTCTTACAAGTTTCCCTGCTTGTATGATTGCCCCCTTCAGTCTAGTTGCAAGCGTAGTGTTCTCTTAAAATCTTAAGTCAGATCATGGCACTCCTCTGCTCAAAGCTCTTCAATGGCTCCCCATTTCCTTCAAGGCTCTATCTAATCTGATCACAGTTACTTCTCTTACTTCCTTTCCTATTTCCCTCCCCTAGACCATACTCTAGAGTAACAGAATTTTATGTTCCACACAGTCACTCAGCTGCCACCATCTTGTAGCTGCTTCATCCTAAATATGCCACTTCCTTGGGTATTCTATTAAAGGGAAAGAGAAACGAGAAATCTGCATGGACTTTTCACTACCTCAGTCTGGAAAGGACACACTTATATCCACAAACATTCTATTAGTCAGAACTTGTCCTATCCACTCATTTAATTGCAAGAATGCCACGAAGGGAGTAAATGGCATGTTTGATCTGTTTCTGTCAGCCCCGTGAACGTGATTGACACACCCAACCACCTGTCCCACTCCTAGTTTCAGCTTCGTCTTTCCTAAGGTTGCTTTTAAGCTCATGATAATATGATTATCCATTTTTAGAGATGGCTTTACATTTTGTGGTTTGAAAAGGATAGTGCAAGATCTTTATAAGTCTTTATTTAGGGCTAAATTATGGTTCTAAGATCATTGTAGGTAATCTCTCTCTCTCTCTCTTTAAATGAAGCAGTGTTTATGGGATGAAGGAACACACCTACTCTTTCCCTTATTAAGAATAAAGCACTGAGCAAGTAGAAGGGTGGAGGCTCTGATAATTGCATAGTTTCTATAACCACAACTGACCTGTAATCACTTGACCTTACTTCTGGCTTAAATACACAAGAGTGACTTTAAACATCTGAGTGTGTTGCAACTAGCTCTGTAACTACCGCTGACAGGTGTCCAATTACAAAATTCCTATTGCATTACAGAGTCTTGAATAACAGAAAGTTGCCAATTTGAATATCAACACAGGGTACTTAAAACAATATAAAAATTTCCTTCAGAAGCCAGGCCACATCTTTAGGAAATGTAAGGAAGTAGCACCCTCTGGTGGGTAAAATAAAAGGAAAATTTGTGGACTTGCTTATTGAGGAATCTATAATTGTGGGCACTTTTTAAAATTATTATTATTGCCATAGGTGTAATTAAGTTTTCAAATATAAGCTTTTTGAGAATTTGGAATTGAGTCCTGGGGAACAAAATGCTTTTCTTAGAAAACATTGATAAAGAGAAAGTGCATGACTTTGCAAATTGCCATTTTTGATTGATAGCTACTTGTATGAATTCCAGGCGAGTTAAAGCAGAGTCTAGTAATGATGAGAAGGTTACTTATAACCTGAGACTATTATCTTCAAAGAGCCATGTGCCTTAGTAATTTAAAAAAGTTTACATATGCTAGGCCCAGGCCTTAGTGTGGGCCTCCAATCTCCAATTTACTTAGTACTTATCAGCAGAGGCCAACAGGGGCCCTTTTTCATATCTACTTGATTTATTTGTTAGCCAATTTCAGAAATAATAGTTTTTATTTTTGTTTTGTTTTTGCAAAGGCAAGAAAAATAAGTTTTTGGCTTTTCAGCTTTCAAGTATCTGGGTCCCATTTACTTAGCTGACATTTTTCTCAGAATTTTAACGTTGCTTCCTTGAGCAATTAAGTTTGGAGTTTTATTTGACTAAAAGGTTACTTAGTTCAACAGAGCAGCAATGTGATGGACCTGTTCTGGAATTTTACCCTGACACTTTATTATAGCTTTTTCTGTGATGTTCAGTAGCAATGAGAGAATAGAAGACCTTTTCTATAAAAAGAGAAGGGTACATGAATAGTCATAGCAAATAGATGCTAAAACTTCATAGAACCTGTTACTCATCCATTTACGATTGAGTCTCATTAAGCCAGGCTTCTTTTTAACCTTTTACCTTAAGGATACTTTTTACCTGACTTTGCCCCCATATGAATACCAAAACCACATGTATTTTATAGTATGTGAATATATACAGCAAGAAGTCCTAGTCAGTAGGCTTCTGTGATCAAGAAAGATGGGCATAGCCCAGAAATTGAGAGCACAGACTCTTGATCCAGATCCTGACTTTTTTTTTGAGATCTTGTTTCCCCCTTAGCTATCACCTCCCTACTTACAAGAAACCACCAATCTATTTTCTATCTTCATAGATTTGCCTATCTTGGACATTGTATATGAATGGAATCATACAATATGTGGTCTTTTCTGACTGGCTTCTTTCACTTGATATAATATTTTCAAGGTTTATCCATGCTGTAGTATGTAATATGTATTGGCACTTCATTCTTTTTCATGGCTGAATAATATTCCATTGTATATATATACTACATTCTGTTGATCCATTCATCTGTTGGTGGACATTTGGGTTATTTCTACCTTTTGGCTATTATGAATACTGCTGCTATAAACATTAGTGTACAAGTTTTTATGTGGACACGTTTTCACTTATCTTGGACATGTACCTAGAAGTGGAACTACTAGGTCATATGGTAATTCTGTGTGTCAACAGACTGCCTGATTTTTAGGCCTAGTTCTGTTGTTGCTTGCTCTGTTGTCTTGGGCAAATTATGCCTCAGTTTTTTAATCTATAAATAGAACTGATAGCATCTCATATAGTTGATTTAAAGATTAAATAATTACAACTTGAAAGGCTAATAGTATACTTATAAACACCACGTAAATGTTTCTTTAAAAACATTTTTTTTCCAGATTCTCTTCTTTAAAGATTTTGAGAGAATCCCTAAATCCAAGTGACAGAAGGAATTGTCTCAGGTTTGGCCAGGTCTGGATGACTCTTCCTATGAGGCTCCACAGTTGTCTGTTCCCATGATGTCTAATCCATGCTGTTCTGTGTTTGAATTGTTGCTTGGTGCCTTCAGTGCCTTCTGGGGATTTGCAAATAGTGCTTATTCTTTGCATTGGCAAAAGTTCAAAGTTCACCTAAATACAAGCTTTACAGAGGCTTCATTTCCCTGCAATATAGTTTGCAAACAATTGGATTCCTGCCTTCTCATAAACCCTGAGGAAGGTTTTTGTTTATTTGGTTCACCCTATACTCTTAAACGAAGCATCTTATCCTATGTGTCTCTGTCAAACAGTACTCAAGGAACCAGTTTTATTCTGCTCCATTGGGGTAAGAATCTTTCACATGTTGGGTCCAAGCTATATGGATCCAACCATGATGCAGTACTGTGACTCTTCCTCTTCCTTGGTAACTAAACTAGTAGCATTTCTTATCAACCCAGTCATACTTACAACTTCATATGTTTCATTGATAGTATATTAGTCTGTTCTCATGCTGCTAGTAAAGACATACCCAAGACTGGGTAATTTATAAAGGAAAGAGGTTCAATTGACTTAAGTTCAGCATGGCTTGGGAGGCCTCAGGAAACTTACAATCATGGCAGAAGGGGAAGCAAACACATCCTTCTTCACAGGGTGGCAACAAGAAGTGTTGATCAAAAGGGGGGAAAGCCCCTTATAAAACCATCAGATCTTGTGAGAACTCACTATCATGAGAAGAACTTGAGAAAACACCCCATGACTAAATTACCTCCCATCGGAACCCTCCCATGACACATGAGGATTATGGGAACTACAATTCAACATGAGATTTGGATGAGGACACAGCCAAACCATATTATTCCACTCCTGGCCCCTCCCAAATCTCATGTCTTTGCATTTTAAAACACAATCATGCCCTTCCAACAGTTTCCCAAAGTCTTAACTCATTCTAACAATAACTCAAAAGTCCAAGTCCAAAGTCTCATCTGAGACAAGCAAGTCCCTTCTGCTTAAGAGCCTGTAAAATCAAAAGTAAGTTAGTTACTTCCTAGATACAATGGGGGTACAGGCATTGGGTAAATACACCCATTCCAAATGGAAGAAATTGGTGAAAACTAAGGGGTTACAGGCTGCATGCAAGTCCAATATCCAGTAGGGCAGTTATTAAACCTTAAAGTTAAAAAATTATCTCCTTTGACTCCATGTCTCACATCCAGCGCATGCTGATGCAACAGGTGGGCTCCCATGGCCTTGGGCAGCTTAGCCCCTGTGGCTTTGCAGGGTACAGCTCCACTCTTGGGTGCCTTCAGGGGCTGGCATTAAGTCTCTGTGGCCTTTCCAGGCACACAGTGCAAGCTATCAGTGGATCTACCTATTCTGGGGTCAGGAGGACAGTGGCCCTCTTCTCACAGCTTCACCAGGCAGAACCACACTAGGGACTATGTGTGACAGCTCTGACCCCACATTTCCCTTTTGCATTGCCCTAGCAGAGGTTCTGCATGAGGGTTTCATCCCTGCAGCAAACTTCTACCTGGACATCCAGGTGTTTCCGTACATCCTCTGAAATCTAGGCAGAGGTTTCCAAATCTCAGTTCTTGACTTCTGCGCACCCACAGGCTCAAAACCACATGTAAGCTGCCAAGGCTTGGGACTTATGTTCTCTGAAGCAACAGCCTGAGCTGTACATTGGCCCCTCTTAGACATGGCTGGAGCTGAAGCAGCTGGGACTCAGGGTACCATGTCTCAAGGCGCATAGAGCAGAGGGGGTCAGGGGATGGGCCTGGCCCAGGAAACAATTTTTCCCTCCTAGGCCTCCAGGCCTGTGATGGGAGGGGCTGCCACAAAGGTCTCGACATGCCCTGAAGACATTTTCCCCATTGTCTTGGTGATTATCATTCACCTCTTGTTACTTATGCCAATTTCTACAGCTGGCTTGAATTTCTCTACAGAAAATGGGTTTTCCTTTTCTATCAGATTGTCAGTCTGCAAATTTTTCAAACTTTTATGCTCTGCTTTCTCTTGAACACTTTGCCACTTAGATGGTTCTTCCACCAGATACCCTAAATCATCTCTCTCAAGTTCAAAGTTCCACAGTTCTCTAGGGCAGAGGCAAAGTGCCATCAGTCTTTTTGCTAAAGTGTAACAGTCACCTTTGCTCCAGTTCCCAAAAAGTTCCCCATCTCCATCTGAGACCACCTCAGCCTGGACTTTGTTGTCCACATCATGATCAGCACTTTGGTCAAAACTATTCAACAAGTTTCTAGGAAATTCCAAACTTTCTCACATCTTCCTGCCTTCTGTGCCCTCCAAGTCTCTAGGAAGTTCCAAACTTTTCCAAATTTTCCTGTCTTCTTCTGAGCCCTCCAAATGGTTCCAACCTCTGCCTGTTACCCAGTTCCAAAGTCGCTTCCACATTTTGGGGTATCTTTACAGCAGCACCCCACTCTCTGTGGTGCTAATTTACTGTATTAGTCCATTCTCATGTTGCTAATAAAGTCATACCTGAGACTGGATAATTTATAAAGAAAAGAGATTTAATTGATTCACAGTTCAGCATGGCTGGGGAAGCTTCAGGAAACTTACAATCATGGGGGAAGGGGAAGCAAACACATCCTTCTTTACAGGGTAGCAACAAGAAGTGCCTAGCAAAAGTGGGAAAGTCGCTTATAAAGCTATCAGATCTCGTGAGAACTCACTATCATGAAAAGAGTATGAGGCTAACGGCCCCCATGATTAAATTATTTTCCACCAGGTCCCTCCCATGATATCTAGGGATTATGGAAACAACAATTCAAGATAAGATTTGGGTGGGGACACAGCAAAACCATATCAGATAGTAATCTCCCAAGTCCTGAGATGTTCTATATAATAACATGACCCAGACAACTTTGGGTCTCAGATTTTATCACTGTAAAACAGTTAGGCATAAGGGTAAAATATTTAGAGACAACTGTCTAGCAAATACTTCAAATTGTTCTTAAGCAAAGAAGGCAAAATAAGTAGCTTATTGTGTGGCAAGCACTAGTTGCTTTAAGGAATATTTTGGACCAGATCAAGTTTGGAGCATGGCATGAGACCCTCTGTACATCCTGGATAGCACAGCTTCCTGTTATACAAAGTTCCAAAGCTTCTTGACCATCACAGAATGTTTTGAAACACCACAACTGATGCTCAGACACATACCTTGTTTTGCATGGTCTTAGGATAGCTGTAGAAGAGAGCTCAATCCTGGTCCACCAACTGTGTTAAGGCATCCACACACCAGTCTAGGGGACTGGGATCCCCTGAAAAAGGCTGGCCCGAAGGGACCTCAGAGCCTATGAGAGGAGGTCTGGAAGAGCAGGCTGAACTGGTAGCCTGCCTGAATGTCAGAGGAGCAGTGGACCATGGTAGGAGGGAGCTTGACCTTACCTGATATTACTCCCTTCCCCCTGAGCATCAATGTGTTATGACAGTAGAAGGCTAGGATGTCAGTTACATCTGTTTCTAGGGCCCTAACTCTTCTGTGAAAAACGTCTCTGATCATGAGACTCTAAGGGAGTTTTCCTACCAGTCAGAGAGGGAGAAAAGCAAGAGATCAGCAGTCTGGGGATGAGACAGGGCATGAGAATAAAGGAAATTGTGGGCAAACCTCACCCATGGGACCTCCCAGACAGAATAAATTAACAGGAGGGGCTTCTACTAAAAGACCCAGTCAAGCAGGTGTGGGCTCCAAGCCTTGAGATTTGGACTATTATTATATATGTGACTATTTGTATGCCCTGGCAGATAAAGCTACAGCTATCTGTGTTCAGTGCATTTAACCTTCACAATTAATTTTACAGAAGAAAAACTGAACCTCAGCAAGGTAATTTACCTAAGTGCAAAGAGATAAGAGGCAAAGCCAGGAATCAGAACCAGAGCTGTCTGACTCCAAAAGCCAGGCTCTTACTTCCACAACTTAAGGCATCTCAAGAGGTGGAAGATTCAGTGGAGCATAACCAATAAATACGTACCGTGTTCTAAATAATGATAAAAAGCAAACTAATGTGAGCAGTTTCTATGTGCTATGTGATCTGCCTGTGTAACAGTGTGACTTCCTGAAGAATTTATTGATACCTTGATTTTTTTCCCCCTATTTTCTTCTCATCAGTGAAACAATGAGGTCAGGGCTCTATGCCCTTGAGGTCTAGAGTTCCCTTGTCCTCAGAGTGAGAGTTCATAGGGCTCATTTCAAAGCTCTCAGCCAATGAAGAAATTAAACTGGACTGTCCCAAAGAAGATGAAAATAGAGGCTTTGGGAGATTGGCCCAACCTTGCAGTTGGTTTCACAGATGCAAACATTGGGAGAATTGTGAATTTCTTCACGTGCTTGGACTTGGCATTCTGGAGGTTACAAGTCCTTGTATGGGAACAGGTGTTTGGAACAGATGAGAATTGGCCATTAAATGCTATGTCTTGAGCATCTTTTTAAGACATTTGTGACTAAGCAGTCAGCAGAGAGGAATTTTGAGGAAGTTTTGGGCCAGCTCACCCAAGGAGGCCGTCTCCAGTGCATGGCAAAGAAACCATGCTCAACTACTGTTGAACATTTGGAAGACTGAGCTGCCATCCATGTCTGTGAAGGTTGTATACAAAATGGCCCTGTGCACAGCACCCAAGTGGAGCCAAGGGGTAAATGGCTATCCCTGTGGACCAAGAACCAGGCCCTTCCCCTTTTCCTGGGAATATGTAAGCCCCAGGGTTTTTGTAAATTCCAGTGAGGATAACCCCAATTAATCACTGATATTGAGCTTATCATTGACCCTGATAAGTTATGATTTGGAGATGGCTTTATTTAGAAAATAAAGAAGCATACCATCTCTTGTATCTTGAGTGTAAAGAAGCTATTCATAACTTTACACAGACAATAAATCATTTTCTATTTACATGATGAATTACTGAAGTTCTATTATCATTCTCTTTTTACAGATAAAGAAATTAGAACTTAAAGTTGAACAACATGCCCATGTTGACATGACTCATAAGCCCTTTTAAATATAAGGAATTCAGGCCTTTCGGACTTCCCAGCTTTATGAAAAACACTGTGGCACCATTCTACATGCTGTGAAAACTAATTCAAGGAGCCTGTCACCACAAGCTGCATAAACAAATCGTTACCAGCATAAACAGAATATATAGCAGAATTTATTCTTCGAAAAAAATACTTACTGATATTCAGGCCAGGCACAGTGGCTCCTGACTGTAATCCCAGCAATTTGGGAGGCCGAGGCGGGTGGATCACCTGAGGTCAGGAGTTCAAGACCAGCCTGGCTAACATGGCAAAATCCTGTCTCTACTAAAAATACAAAAATTAGCCGAGTGTGGTGGTGGGTGCCTGTAATCCCAGCTACTTGGGAGGCTGAGGCAGGAGAATCGCTTGAACTCGGGGGGCAGCGGTTGCAGTGAGCCAAGGTCATGCCACTTCACTCCAGCCGGGGTGAAAGAGCAAAACTCCATCTTAAAAAAAAAATTACTCATATTCAATTATATGTAGTACATAATATGGTTGGCCATAAAAAGGCATGTCTTTGGTGCTCGCTTCGGCAGCACATATACTAAAATTGGAACGATACAGAGAAGATTAGCATGGCCCCTGCGCAAGGATGACACGCAAATTCGTGAAGCGTTCCATATTTAAAAAAAAAAAAAAAAAAAAGGCATGTCTTTGAATTTAGTTGGATAGATAGAATATATATCCATAAAGGTACTTTGCACTAAGTTTCAAGAGAGCGTTACAGATAATGAATGCTATAGAAATTTGGGTTGGCACTAGTAGATGGCACAACAGAAAGAACACTAGATAATGAATCTGAAGACATCAGTTCTAACTCTAACATCAGCTGTGCCACTTCTAGTTCCCTAAACTTCCAGATTATTAATCTCTCTGTGCCTCAGATTTGTCATTTAGAAACTGTTTATAATAATATGCTACCTTCTTTTCTCACAGGATTTTTAATGATTATATATGCAAAAACATTTATAAAACATAATGAGCTGTGTAAGCAAAGGAAAGACTTTACTGTTTCCCCTGTTTTCATTACTGCCATGTCTTCATGATTCATGACAGCTCTGACGGTCAATTTCATGTGTCAACTTGAATTGGCTAATGTGGGTGGGCAACTAATCAGTAGAAGGCCTTAAGAGAAAAGACTGAGGTTTCCCCCGCCTCAAAGAAGAAATTCTGCCTCCAAATTGCATCAGACTCAAGACTGTGAGATAAACACCTGCCAGAATTTTCCCTACCTAACAGCCCTTCAAATTTCAGACTTGCCAGCCCCCATAATTGTGTGATTCAATTCCTTACAATCTCTCTCTCTCTCTGGCTCACTCATTCTCTCTCTGGCTCACTCATTCTCACTCTCGCTCTGGCTCTCAATCTCTCTGTCCAACAAATAGGATATATATACACACACACACATACACATACATATTTGTGTTTGTACTTATGTGTATATGGATATATATACATACATATATGTATTCATGTATACGTCCTATTGGTTCTATTTCTCAGGAGAACTCTGACTAATCCAATAGCTGAGCTAACAGCTTACTTTGACAAGAAAAATGTGGAAAACAATTAAAAGGACTTCAGAAAGTACTATTTTACTCTCAATATATTTTCTGTTGGTCATTTTTGAATATTTATGAAGTAGCAAATAACAGAGCATATGTTTCATAATTATACCTTTCATTATTTCAATGAAATATGCACATTTTATATACCCAAGCAGGAAATACAATGACACATGACTATTCACTATTGTTTGAAGCAGTTGATTTGCCTCTCCTGGTCAGAGTGTATGTCATTGTTCAAGGTGTTCCTTGCATCATGTTACCTCCCTCCCCAGTCAGCCCTTGTCCAAATGGATTATAGTCCATTCTCTAAGGCATAGTTCAATGACCCTTCTAAGCTGACCCTTCTAAGCTGAAATGCTCAATTCCTCTAGCTGAAAATGGTCACTACCGCTCCTAAACTCCATTCGTCTTATACTATTTATCACTTCACGTCCTAAATTATAGTTATTTGTGTGTTTGTGTTGTTTCCACCTCTAGAAATAACAATCTTCTTGAGAGTAGCATTTACTGATAAATCATAGCTTTTATCAGAGCCCACTGTGGCTCCTGGTGAAGATGTCTTCATAAATATGTGCTGGATAAATACACCTTCATGGGTCATTTCAGTCTCCAGAATTCAATCTCTTCTCTCTAATTTGTGCCATAACAAGTCCTATAAGTAATTTCTATCAGAGTGACTGTAATCTTTAATGCATGGTGGTGGTCTCGTGGTGAATATTTATTAGATAGAGAAAGGATGAAAAGCAGCAGCATGGGGCTTTAGCTATCTAAAGAACAGGCTTGAAAATTGGCTTACAATTACATTTTTAATGAAGGAATTTTACGAACAGAGGTAGTAAAATAGCACAGGTTTTGAAGTGTACACTGATAACTGCACAGTAACCAAGGTACTTCCTTGTTCTCACATGAAATGTTCTTGCTATTTGTCAGTGATATAAACTAACTGCTAAATATGTAACAAAAGCAAAGTACAAGTGTCTGTGTACCCATCAAATATTTTACTTTCAAAAATATTCCTGTACCCTCCATGAACAGTGTGTACTTTTCATCTAAATTCAGAACACTTTAGTAACTTCACAATATGTGAAGAGACACAGTGGTACAAAGAGATAGAATGACTTCTCAGGGGTTAAAAGCAGAGCTGAGATCTATTTTAGATCTCAGAATTTTAAAATTTCAATTTAGCATATTTGATAACCAATATTCCTTGTTCATTTGGGAGCAAATTTATCAAGATGTTATGGTTGAAGAACAGAGATTTGTCCTTGAATTCTATTCAACTAGTTTCATATTTTAATGCATCTAAAAGTTTCTAAGACCAGAATTATTCTAGAAGACACAAATAGTAACTGACAATACATTCAGTTCATTGAGCATTTTTTTCTGAGACAAGATCTCACTATGTTGTCCAGGCTGGGCTCAAGCATTCCTCCCACCTCAGCTTCCCAAGTAGCTCAGACTATAGGTGTGTGCCACCAGGCCCAGCTTAATTTTTAAAATTTTATCTTAGTAGAGATGAGGTCTCACTGTGTTGCCCAGGCTAGTCTCGAACTCCAGGGCTCAAGTGATCCTCCTGCCTTGGCTGCACAAAGTGCTGGGATTACAGACATGAGCCACCTCTCCTGGCCACTGAGCCAATATTTATTGGCTGATAACATGTACTATGTTGAGTGCCGAAGACCCATTTATAAAGAAACAAAGCTCTTATCCTCAAGACCCATGTCTATTGAGAGGGGATGGGCACACAACAAACCAACTGGTAAGTTGTGTTTGTTGCTTAATGCTATTTTTGGATTTCCCTGCTGTTGACTCACCATGGTTAAAAAAATTATCTCTTTTTCTGTTTTTCATCCAAAGAGATGAAGTTTGCTGTCACTGCAATTGCCCCTCCTCCTCTCAATAAACACACACTGAACTCTTAGGGACAAAATTAAACTGTTTGGGATTCAGACGCATTAAGGAAGATTATGCTTCCTCAATCCACTACTCAGAAGGTGAGGTTATTGTTTGAAATTGATGATGGGGTTGACTGGGCCATAGAGAGGATTTCCTAAGGCGGGTAGGGACTTGGGTCTTATTCCCAGTCAGAATCCCAATAGGTGGTAGGACTGCTGATAAGACATGCATATAAATGGCTGGTGACTCAATACTGCCATGGCCTTGCAAGCTTTGGAGAAGGCTGCTAGGGCTGAGTTGAGCATGGAGGAGGACACTTCACAAGAAGCAGGGCAGCCTACCTTCAAACAGGCCACATGGGCTTGAGCAATGGGCATGACATTAGGCAACTGGAGTGAACTCAAGCTAAGAATCCTTTCCTCTCCTCAGCTGACCTGTCACAGAAAAAAAAAAAATTTAAAATGTAAAAGAATCTTTTCTTTCATGACAACATGGGATAACTATATAATGCCCCAGGGAATCTTGAGCAATGCTAAGGAAGGGCCCTCTAGTAAATCATAGTCATGTTTACAAGGAAGTTCAGAGTGAGATACATTTTGATTTTTCAAAATAAAGTAATGCAGCTTTTTTTTTCTTTTTCTTTTTTTTTTTTTTTTTTTTGAGACAGAGTTTTGCTCTTGTTGCCCAGGCTGGAGTGCAATGGTGCAATCTCAGCTCACTGCAACCTCTGCCTCCTGGTTCAAGCGATTCTCCTGCCTCAGCCTACCAAGTAGCGGTGATTACAGGTGCCCTCCACCATGCCCGGCTAATTTTTGTATTTTTAGTAGAGACGGGTTTTTGCCACGTAAGCCAGGCTGGTCTTGAACTCCTTATCTCAGGTTATCTGCCCGCCTCAGCTTCTCAAAGTGCTGGGATTACAGGCATGAGCCACCGCGCCCAGTTAATAATGCAGACTTTATTCACCCAAGTCTCATGAACCAAATTCATACCCTTTACAGTTTAGATAGATGAAAGATAGATAGATAGATAGATAGATAGATAGATAGATAGATAGCATGTGATACATACCAAAATAGAGAATGTATTATGTGCTAAGGTTGCAACACAATTGTGGCAGACAAAGCAACTACCCCATTTACTAGATTTTAAAACTTGTTTGATTACTTTAATGTTTCCCCATTGGAACATGTCTTAAAACTGATGCATACTTTTAATATTCTATTTGTTTGGCTCTGATTTTCAAAAAAAAAAAATAAAGCTGATGTTCTAGAATCAAGGAGTCATTGTAATTCCCTGTAGGGAAATAACAGAGAAAAGAAGGTATCATAGATGAATTGATTTTTCAAATGGGTCAAAAGATAAGTAGTGAACAAAGTGGAGTAAGGATAGTATGTGTGGAGGTGGAAATATGTAGAAAAATCATAGTGAGTGCAAGCAAACCTCAGCATCATTGGCAACCAAGTGATTTGACACCTCTTTCACCCCAAACTACTTTTTGAGCACTTATGTAGAGTGTGAAAAATTATATTAATAAAAAGTTGTACATAAAAACAAATTTTTTTACTGATTGACTTCTGCTTAAAGCACAGTCTGTATTTTCAAAAAATGTGACCACTTAGTTGGAAGCATATTCAGAGATTAAAATTTTAAATTAAAAGGTGAATCATGTCCCTATTAAGCAGTATTATGGCCTGCATTTTGGACCTTGGGATTTTGGCTATTTGTAACTGCTTGTGTGCAAGAACGCTCAGAAAAGAGAGGTGATTCTAGCAAGGAGTTGTAGTTGTTTGTTTTGTTTTGTTTTGTTTTGTTTTGTTTTGTTTTCTTGTTTCTACTGAAGGGCTTGCTTCTTTTGCCAGGAAAGGAAATGTAAATTTACATTTTGCCTAGGATAGCAAATCAAAGCCTGCATTATCTGGCAACATATTTTCAATGTAATCCAGGGCTGGGTAGCATTTTTATAGGTTGGCACTCAACTGAGGCTGTCCATGTGTCCCATGCCTTAATCCAGCTCTGAGTTCAAAGAACTTAAAGAAGCAAAAGGGAAGTAAAAATGTGTTTGTGGAAGGGATGGGAGATGAAGGAGTACAGCAGAGTGCAGCACATTATTATTTTCATGAAATACGTGGCATATACAATCTCTTTTGATCACTTCTTTACAATATATGTATCATCATCCCCATTCTTAAAGATGGTGAAACTGGGACTAAGAAAGTTAACTTGCCTTAGACAAGGTTAATCAAGTAGTAAATAAGTAGAACATTGAGTGCAGCCCTTCTGAATCTCAACTCATGGACTGCCCACTGCCTCATATAACAGGTAGAGTGGCTAGCTAGCCAAGTGAGACATGTTTTATTTGTTTAAAGAAATCCAAATACTTAGGTCCAGCACAGTGGCTTACGCCTGTAATCCCAGCACTTTAGGAAGCCAAGGTGGGAGAACCACTTGAGCCCCAAAGTTTGAGGCCAACCTGGGCAACATAGGGAGACATTTTCTCTACAGATAATAAAAAAAAATAACCAGGCGTGGTGGCGTGCACCTGTAGTCCCAGCTACTTGGGAGGCTGAGGCCAGAGGATCATTTAAACACAGGATGCAGAGGCTGCAGCCTGGAAAGTGGAGGCTGCAGTGAACCGTGATCATGCCACTGCACTCTAGCCCGGTGACAGAGAGAGACCCTGTCTCAAAAAATATATATGTACTTAATTTTTCAATAATTGTTTATGGTACAAGTGTCAAGGCAAATGGAAGAATGAAAATAAATTATCCAGCTGGTTTTGATCAGAAAAACACCACTTCTCTCTTTGTTACACTCAACATACAACTCCCTAACACAGTAGCAGGATTCTAGTTGCTAGTTCTAGAGGTCACACAGCTTGATACCTGACTTACTCTAAGATATGTACAGTAACAAAAGCAACAACCACATAATCCAACCTGCGACTACCAAGGTCCTTCCCACATCCTGGAAGGCTCCTTGTTTTCAGTGGAATTGGTAGTGGTGGTGAAAACTAGCAAATTCAAATAAAAGCAGATGTGGTTTGTTTAGCTCTTTATAGAGTTAAGGTAAGCAAATTTATTTGTAGCAAAACACACACAATGAAAGTCCTTTGAGAAAAACATTGCTAAATAAAGTTACTGCAACACTGTGGATTTTTAACCAGAAAGTAATTCCCTGGTAATCAGTTTTGAATGCTGACAAGCTTGTTTTCTTCCTGGTTTCCTATTTCTGACCTTCTCATTCCTTTCTTTAGCAACAGTAAGAATATTCCAAAATAATTCTTTCCAAGGACTCTGTGTCAGCAGCTGTGAAGCCTCTAAACTTCTGTTTTCCTTTGGCTGGTCATTAAGTGAGGTCAGTGTGAGGCTTATGTCACATTTTCTAGTTGTATTAAGCAACTTCTCAACTGGTGAAAAATGTAAAGTTCTAGATTATCAATATCTCAAGAGTTTTGAAAAACAATTATGATATTGCTATTATGCAGTATACAAAGTCTGTGCTAAATTTCTGACTAATATGTTTGTTAGACATAGTTTGAACTCACTTATCTAACACCTTATTTTAACAAATATACTGAAATTAAGGAGTTTCTTTTTAAATCAAGACTAGACGTACTTTAAAATACCAGGAAAATTATTTACTATACAGATGGGAAACTGAAGGATATTCAAACAACAGAATTAAACTCTCTTTTACACATATACTCTGTTGCTGTTACATGAACACACACGCATGTACACAGTGACTAAGTACTTTCTGGAGGAAGTTCTTGCTAAAATAGTAAGATTAGATTACAAACACATTTTATGACAATTATTTTATTGAAAGGGAGTGACCAAAAGCTATTTTATGTGGTGGTAACTTAGCATACTTTTATTTCTTTGGTAGACATTTAACACGCCAGTGAAATTTTCTCATCAGTCTTTTAAAGAGTTGGCTGTCCAATATTGAAGGGTACTCACCAATGACATAAAGTCTAGTCATTAAAATCATAGGTCGTTTCTTCATTCTCCTTAAATCATATTTAAACAGATTTTATGTTTGGTTCCCAATTTTTTTTTAAACTTATATTTGCCCCCCATCACCCTAACCTGTTCCCAGCAGCATGGAACATGGGCTTACATGGTCTCTACTGGAATTGTGCAAACAACTCTCTTGGCCTGAAAATACTTATACTCTCTGTGTGTCTGTCAGCATTTTAATTTTTTTCAAGGCTCTACTCACATAGGACCTCGTCAGTGAAATCCTTTTCAATGATTCTGGGGAGAACTGAGTAATTCCTTCTCTATGTTTTAATATCACTTCATTTATGTCTTGTTATATCACTTAACTATTAATTCTTAATACAATCATGTGTGTTCCACCACTAGATTAATTCTACTAACCTTCATAGACTGTTGATAATATGATGAGAAGTAGAAATGCAATTATGAAAACAACCAATCAATAAAAATTAGGGAAAAAAGTCCCAACATAGAGAAGGCAAACTAATCCACATTTTCTATACAACTTAATCCATAAAGGATCATGTCTGATTCATCTTTGCATTATCAGTACTAGCCCAGGGCTTGATGTGTAGGACGCATGGGATGAATATTTATTGAAATTAACTGAAATTAGCTGAAACTCAGATTTCCTGATCATGAATAAAAGGAAAAAATTTCTTTAAGCAGATACCTGCTCATATCAATGCTACACTTTAGAAAAAGTCAAACGCTTTTGACTTTATATTTATATTTGATTTATAAATATATAATCAAAAGATTATATATTTATTTACATAATGATAAAAAATTGTTATTCCTCCTATGGTAGAAACCTGTTAGTTAAAAACCTGGCATTGAAAAATTCTGAATATGGTTAAACTAATTTTAAGTGTGTTCTGTGGGATGTTATATGTGTCACAGGAAAAAAGGGAGTTTCAATAATGAAATAAATTTAGGAAATGAGTTACACTAAGTTAAAAACATTTATTATATGACTTCTCAGAAGCGAGTACATGTTGTAAATTTCTAAGAGGGAGATGGAATATGATTTATTTCCCAAGCTTATTGAATCAAGAAATCCTACCATCAATGAGGATCTTATGAAAGGTGAACCATGAAACTTACTGTCCATACTGAAACACTTTTGAAAGTGAAAGGGAGAGCTAGTTAATAATTATGCCAGGACAACAGGTGTAAACTGGGATCCTGCCAGGAAAATCAGGATGTATGGTCACCCTACTTTTATAGGGTTTTTTTTTTAAATACACTTTGAAAAAAAACTAAATCAATATGGCCAAGAGATAAAACTATTTTATGTCAATACCCGTCTGCTATTAGTATATGTGTTGATAATATCAAGAGGAAGATTACTTGCATTTTAAACATAATGTAATGTTCTTATTTTTCTAGCTCAAGGATTCTCACCATTCTTATAGCTCTTTTCCTGAAACTATAATTTGAGTGATAAGGTTGTATGGTTGGGGAAGAATAATACACAATGGAATTTCTCACTTAGCAGTTAGGAAGATGATTGAAGAATGCTGGCTTCCTGCCTAGAGTCTACCCCACCAAAAATACTAGGATCATATATGTCAACAACCTCTTTTTTCTTTTGTATTATTGATATTAACCACATTGTAAATGATTTCAACTATGGAAAGGCAGCAGTATCTCAGGCTTTAATGCAAGGCAGAGGCAGGGGAAGCATATTAGCCCATGGTGATGGCGTGCCTATAGTCTTAACTACTCAGGAGGCTGAGGTGGGAGGATTTCTTGAGCCTCACGAGTCCAAGGCTGCAGTGAGCCAGGAACTTGCCACTGCACTCCAGCCTGGGATATAAAGTGAAACCCTACCTCGAAGAAAAAGCTTCATAAAGGAATTACCATTTATGAAGTAACCCAGGTTCTAGACTAGCACTGTCCATAGAAACAGGAAAGCCACAATTTGATTTTACAGGTTCTAAGAGCCACTTAAACTTTGTTTAATAACAGGTAGAATTAATTTTAATACTATTTTAACTCAAAATATTCATAGTATTATTATTTCAATATACATGCAATATAAAAATATTAAAGAGATACTTTTGTTTTTCATATTAAATCTTTGAAGTCTGGTGTGTATTTTATACATATAGCCCATCATAATTCTGACTAGCCACATTTCAAGTGCATACGTGTGTAGGGGTGGGTTGCCCCTACACACCTGTGGGTGTTTCTCGTAAGGTGGGACGAGAGATTTGGAAAAGAAAAAGACACAGAGACAAAGTATAGAGAAAGAAATAAGGGGAACCGGGGAACCAGCGTTCAGCATATGGAGGATCCCGCCAGCCTCTGAGTTCCCTTAGTATTTATTGATCATCTGTGGGTGTTTCTCAAAGAGGGGGATGTGTCAGGGTCACAAGACAATTGTGGGGAGAGGGTCAGCAGACAAACACGTGAACAAAGGTCTTTGCATCACAGACAATGTAAAGGATTAAGTGCTGTGCTTTTAGATATGCATACACATAAACATCTCAATGCTTTACAAAGCAGTATTGCTGCCCGCAGGTCCCACCTCCAGCCCTAAGGCGGTTTTTCCCTATCTCAGTAGATGGAGCATACAATCGGGTTTTATACCGAGACATTCCATTGCCCAGGGACAGGCAGGAGACAGATGCCTTCCTCTCGTCTCAACTGCAAGAGGCATTCCTTCCTCTTTTACTAATCCTCCTCAGCACAGACCCTTTACGGGTGTCGGGCTGGGGGACGGTCAGGTCTTTCCCTTCCCACGAGGCCATATTTCAGACTATCACATGGGGAGAAACCTTGGACAATACCTGGCTTTCCTAGGCAGAGGTCCCTGCGGCCTTCCGCAGTTTTTGTGTCCCTGGGTACTTGAGATTAGGGAGTGGTGATGACTCTTAAGGAGCGTGCTGCCTTCAAGCATCTGTTTAACAAAGCACATCTTGCACCGCCCTTAATCCATTTAACTCTGAGTTGACACAGCACACGTTTCAGAGAGCATGGGGTTGGGGGTAAGGTTATAGATTAACAGAATCTCAAGGCAGAAGAATTTTTCTTAGTACATAACAAAATGGAGTCTCCTATGTCTACTTCTTTCTACACAGACACAGTAACAATCTGATCTCTCTTGCTTTTCCCCACATATGTGACCAGTGGCAACCATATTGGAGGGAGAGTTCTAAAACTACTCTTAGATATTTTGTATTTGGCTGTGCAGATGATTTCATATATTCTTAGATGATGATTCTAAGGGAGCTATACTACTTGGTGAGGAAAAATGAATAATAAAAATAATCTTAACTGTCATTCCTTATATTCTTATGTGACAGCCATGTGTCAGTCTTTTCTGTACATTATCTGAGGTAATCCTTGTGCCTATGAAGTGGATACGTTTTTATCCCTGTTTTATTAAATAGGGAACTAGGCTGATAAAGATTAAATAACTTAGGCAAAGCACTTAGCTGGTAAGATAGAGCAATGTAGTGCAGTGGGTAAGAGCAAGGACGATGATCTGGCACCCTGGTTTTGAAATCCTGATGAAATTCTTAGCGAATATATATTTAGGCAGCTTATTTACTCACCAAAAGTAATCTATAGTATGACTTAGCACAAAACCTGTCACATTTCAAGATCTACAAATACTGGATTTGTTAGTATTTCTATTATTATTACTGTTATTACAGGTGTTATAAAGTAGGAGAGCCAGAAATCAAATTCAAATTTAACTGATTTTAGAGCCTACAGTCTTAATGAGAATTATGCAATTTGCATGCAAGCAACATATACTGTATTACAGCTAATTCCAAAAATGCAATAATTTTACTTGTCATTGTATGATAGTTTTTTATGTGTATTTGATGTGTTTATTTTTTTAATTTGCAAACTTCCCTAAGATGTTTCAAAAGACCAAATAAATAGATAATGAGTACTCATATTTTAAAAGTCAGCCAAGATGAATCAGTTTGAACTCTACAGAAGAAAGGTACTATGTAAATCCAAGAAACCATAATTAACAGAATTTTTGAATAATTATAACATCTGAGAAAATTAAGCTTGATTCTCTCCTAAATTTATACTATTAAAAAGTTTACCTAGAGATGAAAATTTTAAAATTTTTTTTATTTTGAAAATGTTCAAACATACTCAAAATAGAATTTTATAATGAATCCCCATGAACCAATCATGCAGCTTCAATAATTAACAGCACAATCTTATTCCATCTATACCCTTACCACCACCATCACCATTATTTTCATTATATTATTTTAAAACAAATTTCAGACATCATATTATTTCACCTGTAAATATTACATTATGTGCATTATTAAAGATGTTCTATGGAAAATATCAGGCCTTTCCTAAAGATGCTTTTGTCCAAAGGGCAAGCACTCTGGAAATCTCAGTTTCAATTCTCCTTCATTGTCACTGCCCCGAGAAATGTTAGGTTGTAGCACTCATATCAGCATTTCATTTGGTCTTGGACAATAGTTCTTAACCTTTTTCTTCTCAAGACCCCTTTTTATTCTCAAACTTGTTGAGGACTTTAGAGAGCTTTGGTTTATGTGGGCTATATCTATTGATGTTTACTAGATTAGAAATTAATACTGAGAAATTTTTTAAAATCTTTATTAATTCATTTTAAAATAACAATAAAGTTTAGTTGAAATGTGGAATCTGGAATCTTATATAAGCCTCTTACATATTAACATGGGTAACATATTTGTATGTAAATATATTTATTTTTCCAAAACAAACAAACAAAAAAGCTAGTGAGAAGAGTGGCATTGTTTTACATTTTTACAAATCTCTTCAATGTCTGCTTAATAGAATTCATTTGGATTCTCATATCTACTTGGCATTTAAACTGTTGCAATATATTGCTTTGGCTAAAGAGTATGAGGAAGTGTAATTAATTCATGTAAGATTCATCAATCTGGGCTAAAAATTTAGGTAAAAATTTGAAAAGGAATATTTAGATATTTCAATTGTCAAAGTGTCTCTCTACTATTTATGAATTACAAAGGTAAAACCTGAAATTTTACAGTACAAAAATCTGTGGACACCATCTTAATCAAGCTGGCATCACCAAAATGGGAAGCTATCATCATGTGCTCTTGATGTGGCGCCCGAGATCACAACTTCACTTTTGTTGTGCTCCTGCCAAAAGATTCATAACCTGCATCTCATCACTAGGAAACTCACATCAAAAGACATCGTACGAAACAATGAAAAATTATTTAAATTTAAGAGGCCCACGCTCTTAAAAATAATACTGTCATGAAAGATAAAAGAGGAAAAAAAAGGCTGGAAACTGTTCTTGATTACAGGAAACTAAAAAAGACATGGCAATTAAATGTAAGACGTGATCTTGAATTGAACCCCCGTCAATTGGCAAAATTTAGATATGTATTGTATAATGGATACCTGCATTGAATTAGTGTTAAATGTCATGAAATTGATCGTTTTATTATGATTTTATAAAAGAATACACTTAGGAAATGCTCATTGATGTATTTTGGAGTAAAGAAGTATAATGCCTGCAACTATCTCTCAAATGACTCCTGAAATAATACGAATAGGTGATAGATAGATAGATAGATAGATAGATAGATAGATAGACAGACAGACAGATAGAAAGATGGGTATGGAATGGTAAAGCAAATGTGGCAAAAAAAATTGATAAATCTGCTTGAAAGGTATATAGGAGTTGTCTTGTGCTGTTCTTACAAGCCTTCTATGACAAAATTATTTCAAAATAAGTAGTTAAAATAAAAATAATTTAGAATTTTAGAACTTCAGTTAATATTTCTCTCAATTATAAATTAATAAAACCTTATAGAAATAAGCAAAAAAAAAAAACTAACGAAGAATTTTGCCCTGATTTCTTTCTTAAATTTCTCATTTTAGAAGTATAAAACAAGGAGATGGAAAAATAAACTCATGATGGAATTAAAATAATTCTGTTATTCATTAGCACATTTTCTGAATTGAATGCTTTTTATAACAATACAAAATTCTGTTTATAATCAAAATGCACTTATCTAGGACACCATCTAAAAGTGGTTCACAGTTTTATGGAAATAAAAAAAATATTTTTAAATTAATTCAAATCAACAAGTATATAGCGAAATCAGGTGCTAACAGTGCTTAAGCATCTGGAATAATGAAAAATAGAAACACAGAACCTATCCTCAAGGAGTGTATAATTTTATCAAGCCAAAACTTTTTGCACGTGTGAATTAAAAAGTAAAATAAGCAGCATATGATTTAGCACTTAAATGTTAAATATCAGTCAACTCTGTCTAACAAAAGTATAATGCAAGCCACATGTATAATTTTTAATTTTCTATTAGCCACATTAAAATGAAGTAAAAAGAATCATATGAATAATTTTAGTTATATGTTTTATTTAACCCAATATATCCAAGACATTATTATTTCAATATGTTATCAATATAAAAAGGAATATTTTACATTCTTTTTTATACTGTTTCAGAAATCTAGTATGTATTTTACACTTATAGCACATTTCAATTCAAATCTGCCACATTTCAAGTAGACAACAGATACATGTGGCTAGTGGCTACCATTCAGCACAGAGCAAGAATAAATAATGGTAAGAGAATTTCTTTCATAAAAATTACACAATGGTGGTGGCGTATGGCTTCAAAATGGTCTCATTATCTGGGAGTGCCAAGGAGTTTTTATTAACTGTAATTACTTGAATTTGGTGAGCTTCTTATTCTCCTACGTATTTCCCAGGATAATGGTCTGTTGCAAAATTCCCCTTCACCGTAATTATTTTTTGAGAGTTTTCAGGGGTATTTTGCCTGTAGTCACAATCAATCAATCCTTTCACCAACCTTGGCTGAGAAGCCACTTGAAGGGAAGCATCATCACTGTCAAAAGACATGTTTCCTAATATATCCCAAATCTGCAGTGTAGAGATGGAAAGAGCACCTCACAACTCTTTGTGCCAGTGCTGTAGTGTGTGCTGCCCCAAAATGTAGGACATGTCCCTCTCCAAAACCTCATCTTCCCTCATGAAAATGGTGCCTTCAGCCAGGCACAGTGGTTCACACCTACAATCACAGCACTTTGGGAGGCCAACGTGGGAGGACAGCTTGAGGCCAGGAGTTCGGGAGCAGCCAACTGCAACATAGCGAAACAACATCTCTACAAAATATAAAAATAAAAATTAGCCAGGCGTGGTGATGCCCACCTGTAGTCCCAACCACTTGGGAAACTGAGGCAGAAGGATCACTTGAGCCCGGAAGTTTGAGGTTACAGTGAGCTATGATCACACTGCTGCACTCGTTTGTGCAACAGAGTGATTCCCCATCTCAAAAAACAACAAAAAACCCACACACCTGCAGCTTTCACCTAACATGCCTCTCCCCAAAGGGCCATAATTTAATACAAGATCAAGAAAGAGACAGCATGTCGCCCATCGTTGCATTGATTTCTAGCTCCCAGGCTCCCATGCATAAAGCTTCCTCAGACTTCCTGCAGCCAGAAAGTCTTCATCCCAATCAATCCATGGAAATCACGCTCTTCTTAGGCTTATCCTACCAGTTCCCAAATGCCACCCAGTCATGCTGAGTCCCAGCAATAGGCACAGTCCTCTTTAAAGCTGAGATCTTTGCCGTATAAGCAGAGACATACAGAAAGATATCTTACTTTATGCAGTAGACATTTTCTTGAAACTTTTATATAAATTGAAACTGTCTAAATTAATTCCTATTTAAAATGGATTATAGATGGCAAGTGTTGGGTGTGCCTGAAAAAATCTTCTCTAATCCAATTCCTCTGATTTTCCAGATGGCTAAAGTGGCCAGGCCAGTTTGAGCTTGCAAACTTGAAACACACGTGGTCTGCTCTATATTTCCAGATAGCTGCAGGTCTTCCAAGTTCTGGTTTAGGGGGCTTCCTGTTACACCAGTTGCCTAGGGTAGTGTGTCATTTTAAAGATTCATCTGGAGAATGATCAAAAAAAAGTAGGGAACTCTTTTGGTCTGTCATCTAAAGATGACAGGAAAGATGACATCTAAAGACATCTAAAGATGACATCTAAAGATGGAGGAAAAATAAAGATAAAACCAAAATCAGAGATTAGAATGAAGAAGGCTACATCAAGTCCATCAAGTCCTTGTCACAAGTGGACTGCACTCAGCATTTTATACATGGTACAAAGCAGAGTGACTTTGCTGTAGTTTTTGTCTTATTCCAGATGTGGTTGAAGACTAACAACAAGTTGTTTCTGATATTCAATATATATAGCTTTAGTATGGAATATAAAATAGGAACTCTCATGGCACTTTTTTTCTTTCATTTTTTTTTCTTTTTTAAAGAGACAGGATCTGGCTCTGTCTCCCAGTATGGAGTGCCATGGCGTAATCACAGCTCATTGCAGCCTCAAACTCCTAGGTTCAAGCAATCCTCTCGCCTCAGCCTCTTGAGTAGCTAGTACTATAGGCATGTGCCACCATGCCTAATTTTTAAACTTTTTGTAGAGATGAGGTCTTGCAATGTTGCCCAGGCTGGTCTCAAACTTCTGGCCTCAAGCAATCCTCCTGCTTTGACCACCCAAAGTGCCAGGATTACAGGCGTGAGCCACCATGCCTGGCCTCTCAAGGCATTTTTAAAAGATGTGCAAGTATTCTCTTAAAACATTTCATGAGTTGTCTCATTCAATCAAGTGCTTACTTAGCACCTACAATGCAACAAGCACTAAGCTAGACTCCAGGTATCCAGAGTGGAAACGATATTTTCCCTGCTCTTAAGTTTCTTGTAGAGGGACATAGAACAAGAAAATAAGCAATTTTAGTACTGTCTGTGGTAAAGGTACACATAGAAGAGATACCTAACCCAGAGAAAGCATCCTGGAAGTAGTGAGTGCAAAACTGAGACTTAAATTTGGTTGGAATTAGCTAGGAAAAGCATGGCAAAGAAGGTGAGAGATAAAGTATATCGACATAAAGAGTCAGAAGGGAAAGTGCCTCCAAAGACCCAGAGGTGAGAGAACACATGTTCAAGGAACTGAATAGGCAGGTGAGATCTATGTGAGCCGGATCAGAAAAAGCCTTGAGGAATGTTAGGAATCTGGACTTTATCGTAATGGAAATGAAAAAATACTGAAGGGTTTTTGAGTGGCTTGAGACAAAGTCTGCTTTGCATTTCAAGGAGATCCTATGACTGCAGCACTGACCATGAATTAGGGGAAAAAGAGAGATCCATTAATAAGCAGTTGCCGCTATCCCAATTATAGTAGATATCTGGTCTAGGATGGTAACAGAGGCTGCAAAGAACAGCAAAGGACAGATTTCACAGGAAAAAAAAAAAGGAAAATTGACAAGATTTTGTGACAAATTGAAGATCAAGGCAAAGGAGCATACCACACCCAGTGAGCAAAACATAGGAGCAAGAATTAAGCATGTGACCAGGCATGGTGGTGGCTCACGCCTATAATCCCAGCACTTTGGGAGGCCGAGGTGGGAGGATTGCTTGAAGCCAGGAGTTTAAGACCAGCCTGGGCAACATAGCAAAACCCCATGTCTCTAGAAAGTTTTTAAAAAATTAACTGGGCATGGTCATATATACCTATAGTCTCAGCTAATTGGGAGGCTGGGGTAGGAGGATCACTTGAACCCAGGAGTTGAACCTAGGAGTTTGAAGCTGCAGTGAGCTTATGATCAAGCCACTGCACTACAGCATGGGCAACAGAACAAGATTCTACCTCTGAAAAAACAAAAATAAAAAATAAAATACAATTAAATTAAACATGCGAGACCATGTCTCACTCACCCTTGACCCCCCACTGCCTAGCAGACTGCCATGCATAACAGAGTGTAAAACAAATGTTTGATGAATGGATGGATGAATATGGAATTATTGACTGACTGACTAATTAAATTCATTAAGAAGCAGGAAATTTGAGGGAGAGGTGAAAACAAAGAATGAGCATTGCCTAAGAAGAAGAAAGTTCAATCTGAAAAATTAAAAATTCCCATCTAGATTGAGATATTGTTTGAATTCTGAATCATGAGCTTGAGGAATTTAATTAAGCAAACAGTAAAGGTCTGACTCAATGAGTTGGTTCCTGTAAAGAAAATGCACACAAACGTATATGCGCATGCACACATGCACACACCCCAAGGTAAAATTGAATTGTTAACAGCTAATACCATGTAAAAAAATATACATTATGTAAAAACATTCTGTGAGATAAAATCTATCCCTAAAGTATGTAAGTACCCGGTAGTTATTCCTGTTTGAACTAGTACAAATTGAGCTAGTATAAATTAATATGAAATTTTAAAACCAATAATGTAATTTCAGGTAGCAATTAATTTATTCTTATCTTACTCTTCCATAGAAAAGAGGAAATAATTAAGGAAAATAACAAAGAATACTTATTATTCATAAATAGATAAGTATTAAATAAATGAAACAGTAAATATTTACTTTTTTAAAATGTAGAAATAGGTCAAATCTGATAAACCACAGTTTATATGTTTTTTCCCATATAAGAGCACAAACAGGAACTCATACAAGAAGAGCACCTGGACTATTTGTTGCATTAACAGCGAAAACTCCTTAATTAACTATAAAATATAAAGAAGCAAAAACGAAGTGCGAATAAGAATCAGGAAAAAGCAAAGACTTCCAGTAGCTTTCATGGGCAAGATTAGACTTAAACCATCAGAAAAATATTCTTATGGAATACAAGTTCCAATGACATAAGAAAAAAAGAAAAAGAAAACAAATCAAGACCACCACTGAATCTTAGGAGAGACAATGCGGTGTGCCATGAATAGCTGGCACTATCAGTTCTTTTTCATGGGTGTAGTCTGGTCTGACATCAGATTTCGTTTTTTAACTGTAACATCTGCTAACAGTGTCCTTGTCCCTCACTTGGTGGATGGCCCTCTGCAGCTTTTGATCTTTCAGCCCCACCCCACTTCCTTCTGACTTGAGGCAAAAGGCACAGAAGCAGCTTTCATCAGGAAGAGCTTGGCTTTAAGACAATTTTCTATAATTCCATTTCGAAGATGCTTCACTTTCCACAGGTTTCATTTACTGTTCCACAAGTCACAATTTCTACACCACATGCATCAGATAATTGGATTGCTGCTTTGTCCCTAATTCCTAGTTTCGGTCTCAGTTTTTTGCCTACTTACTCATTGCTACCACTAAGATGAAGCACCCTTTTGTCTATTTTAACTTTAGTCTCCACGTTTGAAATTTTGTAACAGAAACATTGTTTTCAATGGTTGGAAATCCTGTTATTTGTGCACAAGCCTCTCAGATGACAAGTCCCATGTGTCACTTGTCTAGATGCCAGAGTGTCACATGTCTCAGGTATATGGGTATTATGATTATGCTCTTGCCACCTATTGAGATGCCCACTATTGCCTGAACCACGACGGGATGTTGCGGTTGCCCAGGGAATCTATCCACCAATCACTCTGCTTCCAGCCTTAGTGACTTCTATCCAAATCCAAGTATATAAGTCAAGGTTCTCCAGAGAAACAAAACCAGTAGGAAATATATAAACATATTGGAGCTTTGAACTTCCTGGGTCTCCACCTTTTTATATATAAAAAAGGAGATTTATTATGAGGAATTGGCTCACATGATTATGGAGGCTGAGAAGTCCCATGATCTGCCATCTGCAAGCTGGAGACTCAGGAAAGCCGATGTCAGTCAGTCTGAGTTCAAAGGCCTGAGACCCAGGGGAGCTGATAGTGTAAATCCCAGTCTGAGGGCTGGAGAAGACAAGGTGATGTGTCCCAGCTCAAACAGACAGGCAGGAAGCAAAAGTGGTTAATTTCTCTTCCCTTTCCCTTTTGTTCTACTCAGACCCGCAACAGTTTATATGATGCCCTCCATCTTGGGCAATGTACTTTACTGAGTCCATTAGTTCAAATGCTAATCTCTACATGGATGGGTAAGTTAAAAAAAAAAAAAAAAACCTCAAACCAAACAAACAAAAAACAAGCAAAGAAAACAAACGCTAATCTCATCCAGAAACACCCTCACAGACACTCTCAGAAATAATGTTTAACCTAGGCACCCTGTGGCCAGTGAAGTTCACACACTAACCAATAAGTCAAGTAATTGGTATTATGTACAAACTACCCATAACAAAAATGCCAAAATATCATAACAACTAAAAGGTTTTAAATTGCAACAAGATATTAGTGAGATGAAACACTATGGAAAAAATATATAAGGTTGCCAATGTATGTGAATGATGAGCTGAAGAGAATAACAAGCTGGGTAACTGAAATCAGATACTAGATGCTACTGGCATCTAGTGGGTAGAAGCTAGAGAGGTTGCTAAACATCCAACGCACAGACAGCCCCACAACAAAGAATTATGCAGTCTGAAATATCATTAGTACTAAGATACAGCAACACGTACATGTAGTTTTTGAAATCTGTATCCCTCATTTTGCATGATACCATGTTGACTGAGATTTGGAATCAGTGAATAGTGAGGAAATAATTTCAATAAATATGAGATTCAGTTAACATCGTACCAAGCAAGATGAGGACTGCCTTTATTTATTTGTCAGTTGAAGCTCAACTATCCATGATATTATATCAGGAAAGGAAACATATTTTTAGAAATAGATCTTCTCTTCAGCCTGCTCTTCCCAGGGTAGATTATTTAAAGTTAGGATGCTTAGAACTAACTGGACTTTTTATCTTCTTCTAAAACCTATCTCTTCCTCACCCTCTTTTTCTGTTAATGAAACTACCATTATTTTTTCTCTTCTGTCTCCTGAAGCCCTCCAATAAATTACCAAGCTCTGGTTCTATTCCTACCGTATTTACATTCATTTCCTCCTTCTTATTCTCAGTACCCCATCTCTAATTCATATCTTCTTTTTGCCTTTCACGGACTATAATTGCTTCATAATAAGACACAGAATCTCTGCCATGTAATCCATTTTAAGCATATGTCATATATAAAACCTTTTTTTTTTGATAAATTACTTTTCTTAAAGCACAACTCGGATCATGTAAATTCTTTGCCCCAAAATCTCTACTACTTCCTATTGTCTGCTGAATAATCTGACCCCAACGTACTCTAGTTTCATTTCTCAACACTCCTCTCCATGACTAATGCTCCCCTGAGCAGAATTACTACACTTCATTGTGTGATTACGCCCTGCTCTTCCCCATCTCTGAGCCTTTGTTCACACTGTCCACTCAGCTAGAAACCTCCACCCTGACTCATCTTGTTACCTATCTTTCCAACTTTAATGTTACTTTTTCTCCCAGGTCTTCCCTGGAACTTCCACGGCAGGATTTTTTTTTTTTTTTTTTAGATGGAGTCTCGCTCTGCCGCCCAGGCTTGAGTGCAGTGGCGCGATCTCTGCTCACTGCAAGCTCCGCCTCCCGGGTTCACGCCATTCTCCTGCCTCAGCCTCCCAAGCAGCTGGGACTACAGGCGCCCGTCACCACACCCAGCTAACTTTTTGTATTTTTAGTAGAGACGGGATTTCACGGTGTTAGCCAGGATGGTCTCTATCCTCGTGATCCGCCTGTCTCGGCCTCCCAAAGGGGATTTTTTTTTTATAGCCCACTTATGGTTATGATTTCCAAATGTCAGTTCACAGACAAACCATCAGTGACAAACTTTTCTCCTGTCCATGATGAAATGAACAATGTAGGTGAACGTTTTATAAAGGAATATTTATTTAGTTTAAACTTTATTCTGATATCATGCCCAGCCTTTTATTATTAAAATATCCTCTCTTTTTAAATATTGTTTAAAAAAAAAAACTTTACTTGGCGAAAATAAAAGCTGATAACCACACGTTTGTTATTTCAGTTGCTGAGAGAAATTTCACTGGTCTGTGAAATCCACGAGTCCTCATATCACATTTTACCCAGGATTAGTAAGTGGTCAACTTTTTGTTTAACGGTGTTTTTTTTTTTTTTTCAAGTCTCTTTCACTTACAGATTTGAGGCAGCTATTATTACTCTATGAGGTTATTTACAAAAGGACTGTTTAAACTATAGAGCAGACCGATGTTTGCATTGTGTAGTCTCTTACACTTGACGGTGAATTGTAGTGGACACTGTGATGCATCACCAAGATCCTCCTTCAGGAGGACTTGTTTCCCCCATGCTGGAAGGGCTGTTGGCAGAAGCCATCAGCTGCCAGCCTTTTCGGTATTGCTCCAATTGCAGAGAGCCACCTCAGTCAAGGTCATGCCCCTTTCTTGGCAGCTCATACACAATGACTAATTCACACAATGTCAGGAATACTCTGAAGGGCCATTCTAACCCCAGAGGTTTTCCTTGGATCAGCAAAACTGTTGCTGGGTCTGCTCCAAATTTAACTTTTCCTTCTGCCTACTCCTGCTTCCTCCTTCCCCTCTCTCTAACAGGTACAGGTCCCATAAACACTCCTATACACAGCCTAACTGCTAAACTCCATCCCAAAGTTGGCTTCCTACGGAATCCAACCTTCTTTATTAACTCATTGAAATCCAAAACTATGCTTTTTAATCTTTACATCTTCCCAAGAGCCTTACGTTGTGTCTTGAACATGTACTTGACACAATTAGAAAGGTAAATTAAGATAGATCCTCTTGCTTGAACCCATAATTCTACTTAGGAAAAAAAAGAAGACTAAACATACATAGGTAATGAACTCACTTGTGTTTCTCTCCCTGTGATGATATCATTAAAATTCTACTTCAGTATTGGTAGATTCTTACGTTGAATTTATAAGCTGACATGAGAAATACAATTTAAAATGTCAAAATAATGTTACCTTTACTTAGAAATGCTCATGGGTCTCTGAAAACAGAAACAGACTGTGGCATACAAAAAGGAAATTATTAAAAGGCTCATACAAATCTTAGGACAGAAACAGGGGCAACATCATTTGCCTGGAATCATAGCAAAAAAAAGTAACCAATGGACAATCTCCTCAGCTAGCTGATCAGAATGAACCAGCTCCTTTTCTTGGCTCCAAAGTAATTCCTCTTGAAACTCAAAATTCAGGGAGAAATTGTTTGCCTGGCCTGAGTTGTGTCACATGTTCACCTGGTCAAAGATTGCAGGACACTGGACTGACAATACTACCAAGATTACATGCAACAGGAGATGTACCTCCTCAAATGGTAGCTGAAGTGCTGCCATAAGGTTGGTGCAGATGTACAGTGTACACTGACTGATGAATCGGCCTACCTTATACAAGTCTATCAGATGATCATAAGCAAAAAACATCCCGAGTCTCTGAGTCTGAGGATGAATCGAGGCAATATTGTAGTAGCCATTGCCCAATAAATGTAATCAAAATGCCCTATAGTTTCACTTTTCAGGAGTGCTAAACAAGTGGAAATATCCTAATAAGATAGGTCTTTACCAGATAAACAAACCAGAAAGTACAAAATATAGATACTTAAATTATATCAACCAAACCCATGTAAATAAAGTGAGAACAGGTTGCTTACATTATTGAGATCGAATTGTTTGGTTTTTATTTTAATAATGGCAATTTGATTGTAAATGTTATTTATTTTTACTGAGGTTATGTAGTACTGTAGTTATGTTTATAGCACCTATGATTCTGGATGGATGAAGTGGCTGCCTAATATGAGATTACTTATTTTCCTATTCTTTTAAAGTTAATCTTAATCTTACATTTTTTAAAAATTAAATTTATTCACATACCTTTGTGGTAGGGTTGCCAGATAAAATACAGAATACCCACTTAAATTTGAATTTCAGATAAATAACAAATACTTTTTTAGCGTAAGCAGTCCCAAAGGTTGCATGGGACATAATTATACTGAAAGTTATTCATTGTTTATTTGAATTGTAAATGTCCTCAGGTGTCCTGCTTTTTATTTCCCCTCTAAATCTGGCAACCCTACTTTGTGATGCATACCTGATGTTTTTTAGTATCTGGCATTCATTTTCCCTACCACTGGTAAACAAACCTCTCTTTTCCTTTAGAGGACTATCCACTCTACTATTAATATATGTGTGTGGGTGGAACTGACCCATCTCTTATAGGTGCATGATTCAAGCTGTATCAACCTAACTCAATGTCATGCCACGGTGATTGGTTCAGTAATGGGGACATGACTCTGGTCAGGACAATGAGAGCCAGACCTAAGACTTTTTTGCTCTTTGTAGAAAAGACAAGAGTTTTTTTTATTTGTTTTGTCCTGTTTTGCTTGTTTGTTTTTCCTGAAATTATTGCTAAGCTTGTTGGTGATATGTCCTGGAGCTGCAGGGAGCCAGCACATGGAGTCTGTCCAAAAGTGGCTTCATAGGATAAAGCTGAAAGATGAAGAATAAAAGACTGAGACCTACTGATGTCATTGAGCCCTGGATCCAGCTAAGCCTGAAGAGGTCTATCTTGGACTTTTTCATTATTAGAACAGATAGATCCAGTTCACCAAACAAAACAAAACAAACAACAACAATAATAAAACATAAGCTACTACACTTAAATTGTTGCCACCTGCAGCCAAAAGTCTCTTTTAGCAAAGATATTTTGAGGCAATGAGAGGCATATACGATAAAGTTATTAAATAGAAAAATCAGAACCAAATATATGAGGACAAAATAAGCCAATCCTAAAAGTTAACATAATTTAATGTTTTCTAATATATGTGTACTACTGATAGTAAGATGATTTTAAACATATATAATTTTTTATTTGATAGTTTAATACTATTTCAATGTGAATTAAATACATAGCTGCACATCATAACCAAATGTTCTTATAAGACACATTTGCTAAAGTAAAAACATGATTTGATTAAAATTAGATTATAAATTATTCTTCTGGAAATATAAGGATATGGCAAACATCATGAAGGTATCATGCAAGGGTCCAAAATTTTAAAAGCATTGACATAGTTAATGTGATTGTATATCACGTTTTGCTTTGAGTAACCTAGCAGTCAGGGTTGGGGCAGGAAATGGGGAGAAATATGTTATTTTATAACTATCATCAGAAAACAAAAATTATGTCAATATTTCTGGAAAACCCATTTATTCTCTGCAGGCAAATTCCAAAACAAATTTCTCATTTAGTACTTATATGAAGACTGTTAACCTTTATTACTTAAGAAGAATATCCTCAGCAATAGTTTTATAATCAAATAAAACCATCAATATAAAAGGAAATTTTTAATGTTTTTTCTTATAAAATCTTCCATTAAGTCAACAGTTTTAAAAATATACTTTAGTACAACTGGTTCTATAAAATTTAAGTTAATATGGCACAACCATGCAGCCTTTCAGGGATCTAATTTAACGAAAAGAAAAAAATAAGCTTAGGTTACCCGGGGGTTTCAATGAGCATTTACATTGAAAACTCGTAAACCCCACATCTCTTACTGGGTTTTGAAAGTAGCTGAATAGCAAACAATTAGCTATCTGAGGTGGCTTTAGAATATTGGTGCTATATATTGCTAATGGATTCATATGCTTTGAAAATCAAGAGAACAAAAGACAACTATTATTAATGAGAAAAAGTAAAAGGCTTTTGGTAATTCAAAGAATTCTGTAGCAATTACAATTAGGAACCTTTCATAATAGGTAAGATGCCAGCGTAATGTCCCTCAGTACAGAATGTACATTGTTAGAAATCCAAGTGTAGTAGGCCTTTTCTATTAGGAATTATAGGAATAGGAATGGGAAAGTGGGAAATCAAGAATAGTTTTTGAAGAAAAGAACAAGTAACATAATGGAACGACAGCAAGAGATAAACGAGAGAAAGATATGAAGTTAGGCTTTCTAAAGCATATTTCGGAGAGGAAATTCAAATAGCTTAAGGAAGAGTAAAACAATAATAAATGAAACCTAATCTCACATGAGAGAGTGATAGAACACATCCAGAGAATAAACATATCCAGGGAATAAATGTCCTTGGGGCAATGGTTTCTCTTACTAAGGAAGCAGGAAGAGTATATTGTTTGCTATTTTGGGGTATAAAGTAGTTTCAGTCATAGCCTTGGTTTAATAAATATGAAGACTAAGATAAAGAGATGCACTGTGTTGGTAGTAGATTAGTTGAAATGCTGATTACAGAAAGGCAGACTACAAAAGCAGATGTTCCTTTAAGTTTTAATTTCTGATAAAATAAATATTTAAAAGTTATTTTTTCTTTTATTGCATAAATATTTGCCTTCTATTGCATTAATTTTGAAAATACAAACTATTCATTAGCAGATTTTACTTCTGAAAAGTTTATGAAAACTAAGAAGGGAATTAAGGTCAGATTATTAGAGTAACAGACCTTAAATTCCCTTTCATACCACATTTCCCATAGAACTGAGATACCTAATACACTGAAGAGTGGGGATTTCTCTACCTAATTAAAGATTACATTTTAAACTCTTGACTTGCAAAAATCCCTAATGTATAGTTAATTGTATGCTATTTTTCTCCTTACCTACACTGACACAAAAACTCTTCCCTAACCCTTCTTAGAAACTTGCTTAGAGAACAACATTTTTCTATACAGACAAAGCATCTCTGTTATCATCTTTTCATCTTTCTTCACCCTCAGAGTGACAATTTTTTTTATTTATCACTGATAGCTTTGTTAACTCAAAAGAGTTAAAATGCAAAAACTTCCAGAAATATATTTTTCTTTGAGAAATTGATTTTTATTAATTAAAAATTAACACATATTCTGACTGATGAACAAAATGTCCAAAATAAGTAGCTGTTACGTACTTAATGTTGCATTTTTTTGTAATAGAAATATCTTTAGACAGACTATTTAATTATAATATGTTATTGCTGGGCAATCTGACACTTTGGTTGAATATATTTCTATCATTAAGCATCACTGTCACTTTCAAAAGAAAATTTTGTTTTCTTTTCTTATCAGATTGTTATGGATCAAGAGTGTCCATAAAAAAGAACTAAAACTGGAGTGGAAGCTGGTAGCTGGCAAAAGATCTTCCAATGAAGGTGGGAGAATTTTCAAGGCACTTACCTGGCTACAGAGGATGACTTTGGCATTTATATCCAAACAGGTGAGAACAGAAGTTTCAGCCATGATTAAAATAAAATATTTAGCATTGGGAGATCCAAGATTATTTAGCAGAAAAAGAGATAGAGAGCTACAAGGAAAGTTTCTTAAAACTCCCAAGCATCTTCCCTTCGTCACTCACTCCATTCCTTTCTTTCCTCCCTTCTCCCTACTATATGCTTTAATCATTAGTCAACAAATTCTTACTGAGATCCCTAGACTCTGTGCTAGGCAGTGGAGGATCATCTTCATGAAAAACATACATATTCGGGGACATGTAATTGTAAATGTCAGGATCCATCTCCTTAGAGTCAAATGAGGGGACAGATAAGTACAAATAAGTTCAATTCATTTTAAGCTGTGAGGGGATTAGATGCAAGTTGCAATGTGGGCACAGAGGAACAAGGGACAACTCACCCGGGAAATTCAGAGAAGGCTTCTTGAGGTGGTAAACACCCAACATAAATATTGAAGGAGGCTGGGCACGATGGCTCACCCCTAAAATCCCAGCACTGGGAGGCTCAAGTGGGAGGATTGCTTGAGCCTGGGGGTGCAAGACCAGCCTGGGCAACACAGTGAGGTCCTCTCTCTACAAATAATTAGTCAGGCGTGGTGATGCGCTCCTGTAGTCCCAGCTACTCAGTAGCCTGAGGTAGGAACATCACCTGAGCCCAAGGAGTTCAAGGCTGCATGAGCCATGATCTTGCCATTGCATTCCAGCCTGGGCATTGGAGTGAAACTGTCTCAAAAAACAACAACAAACTAATTTATTGAAGGAAAGCTTGCCTGAGAGACACACTGGGGGAAACAGGAGAGAAGACATTCCAAGGAGAGGGAATAAAGTGTGAGAAAAGCGTGGCCTGTTCAGGGAACTACAAGTACTGACAGAGTGTAAAGTTTGAGTGAGGGGTTGGAGGTGGGAGGAGCAGCTACCAGAGGATGAGGCTGAAGCTGCTGGAAGGAAGAGATATTAAAGGGCCTTACATGTCATGGTAAGGAACTCAAATCTTACATTGAGAGGTGACAGCATGCTGGCAGTCCTCGCAGCCCTCGCTCGCTCTCGGCGCCTCCTCGGCCTTGGCGCCCACTCTGGCCGCGCTTGAGGAGCCCATCAGCCCGCCGCTGCACTGTGGGAGCCCCTTTCTGGACTGGCCAAGGCCAGAGCCGGCTCCCTCAGCTTGCGGGAAGGTGTGGAGGGAGAGGCGCGGGCGGGAACCGGGGCTGCTCGCGGTGCTTGCGGGCCAGCGCGAGTTCCGGGTGGGCGTGGGCTCGGCGGGCCCCGCAATCTGAGTGGCCGGCAGGCCCCGCCACCCCGGGCAGTGAGGGGCTTAGCACCTGAACCAGCAGCTGCTGTGCTCGACTTCTCGCAGGGCATTAGCTGCCTCCCCGCGGGACAAGGCTCGGGACCTGCAGCCCGCCATGCCTGAGCTTCCGCACCGCCTTGGGGCTCCTGCGCAGCCCGAGCCTCCCTGACGAGCGCCGCCCCCTGCTCCACGGCGTCCAATCCCATCGACCACCCAAGGGCTGAGGAGTGGCGGCGCACTGCGCGGGACTGGCAGGCAGCTCCACCTGCGCCTGGTGCGGGATCCACTGGGTGAAGCCAGCTGGGCTCCTGAGTCTGGTGGGGACTTGGAGAACCTTTTTGTCTAGCTAAGGGATTATAAATACACCAATCGGCACTCTGTATCTAGCTCAAGGTTTGTAAACACACCAATCAGCACCCTGTGTCTAGCTCAGGGTTTGTAAATGCACCAATGGACACTCCGTATCTAGCTACTCTGGTGGGGACTTGGAGAACGTTTATGTCTAGCTAAGGGATTGTAAATACACCAATGGGCACTCTGTATCTAGCTCAAGGTTTGTAAACACACCAATCAGCACCCTGTGTCTAGCTCACGGTTTGTGAATGCACCAATCGACACTCTGTATCTAGCTACTCTGGTGGCGACTTGAAGAATCTTTGTGTCCATACTCTGTATCTAACTAATCTAGTGGGGAGGTGGAGAACTTTTGTGTCTAGCTCAGGGATTGTAAACACACCAATCAGCACCCTGTCAAAACGGACCAATCAGCTCTCTGTAAAACAGACCAATCGGCTCTCTGTAAAATGGGCCAATCAGCAGGATGTGGGTGGGGCCAGATAAGAGAATAAAAGCAGGCTGCCTGAGCTGGCAGTGGCAACCTGCTCAGGTCCCTTTCGACACTGAAAGGTTTGTTCTTTTGCTCTTTGCAATAAATCTTGCTACTGCTCACTCTTTGGGTCCTCAATTCCTTTATGAGCTGTAATACTCACCGGGAAGGTATGCAGCTTTGCTCCTGAAGCCAACTAGAGGACGAACCCACCAGAAAGAAGGAAGAAACTCTGAACACATCCAAATGTCAGAAGGAACAAACTCCAGACACGCTGCCTTTAAGAACTGTAACACTCACCGCGAGGGTCCGTGGCTTCATTCTTGAAGTCAGTGAGACCAAGAACCCACCAATTCCAGACACAATATTGCAAACAATGAGGAGCCTCTGAAGAATTTTTAGGAGAGAAAGTAACATGATCAGATTCTCACTTGCATGCTGGCAATGATGTGCTGGGTGAATTGTGAGAATAAAACTGGCGAGAGAAGTGAGGTAGTGAAGGATGCTTGATTTAGGGCACAGGCAGAAGAGATGAAAAGGAAGTGGTGGTGGAGGGATAATAGGAGATAAAATTGACGGGAGGTGGTGACTGAAGATTAGAGGGCAGGAACAATGTGAGCAATAGGAGGACAAGATGGTTTTTGAGGTTTCTAATTGGAAAAGAGAGTGTGGTGGTATTAAACACTGAGATAGGAAACACAGAAAAGATTTTAAACAAAGATCGTGAGTACAGATGTGTACACAATGACTTTGAGGAACTTATCAGTTGTAGCTATAGTCCAGACCTCAGAAGAGAGGTTTGGAGAAATACCTGGGAATCACAAAGAGGGCAATAAAAGCTGTCGACATTAATAGTGTCACTGTTAAGAACACAGGCTCTGCTGTCAAAAGACTCAGATTGGAGTTGCCTCTCTCATTGACCTTGTGCAAGTTTTCTAAATCTGAAACGTGCTGTTAATAATATCTCTTATAAACCACTAAAGAATTAAATGGAAACGTATCTAAAGCATTCAACATGGTGTCAGGCATGTCGTAAGTGCTCGGTAATGCTACCTTATATTATTCTGATGAATCGGATTAGAAAGTTAAAATTCACCTGTCTGGGTGCGGTGGCTCACACCTGTAATCCCAGTACTTCAGGAGGCCGAGGCAGGCAGATCACGAGGTCAGGAGACTGAGACCATCCTGGCTAACATGGTGAAACCCCATCTCCAGTAAAAATACAAAAAAGTAGCCGGGTGTGGTGGTGGGTGCCTGTAGCCACAGCTACTGGGGAGGCTGAGGCAGGAGAATGGGGTAAACCCGGGAGGCGGAGCTTGCAGTGAGCCAAAATCGCGCCACTGCACTCAAGCCTGGGCAACAGAGCGAGACTCTGTCTCAAAAAAAAAAAAAAAAAAAATTAAAATTCACCTATTCACTAAATCTTCTGGGGACCCCTATTCTATTCAAGGCCAAATAAATGAGGCAAAATGATAGAACTCTGGGTGGAATTAATATTTAAGATGCAGAGCCATAGAGAATGGCAAATGAGTGATCATATAAGCAGGATAGAGACACCCTACATAGGACCGATAGACACCATATTGATTGATGGTAGAGAGCTTGCAAAGAAGAAAATGTCCAATTCACATTTAGTTATGTGACAAAAATGTCACATTAAATATTAGATGTCACCCCCAATATTAAAATATTGGGGATGGAAACAAGCTCACATTGCTTGATGAGTGAAAGAGAAAGGAAAGTAGACAATGAGTATAGATTACTGTTTTTAGAAGGTTGTCTGTGAAGAGGAAAGATACGAATTAGTAACAGTCAGGGTATTTACTTATTTAAATTGATTATTTTAATGAAAATAGTTTTTAATTTGAGAGATATCTGAACATATTTATACATTGACCAGAAAGAGCCAATGGAGAAAACAAAACGATGTATATAGGCAAGAAGGGACTCAGAATCACTGATGGAGCAAAAGGAAACAAGGAAATGTAGAGCGCAGCAAAGCAGAAGGCCTTAGGAAGAGCAAAGTGCTTCGCTCAGTGAGTACAGAGATGCCAGACCTAATGGGTGCTTGAGTTACCTTTATTGCCACTTGAAGAATTCCTAGGCTATCAAAGAATTACTGAATTCCATGTTGAGAGAGTGCTAACTACATTAGGATACAGAACACTATGACCATCTGGGAAATAACTGAAAATCAGTTCACCACTGGGAATGAACAGGAACTGGTGGCATGTGCAGCTTCAGGCACTGTGGAAAAGTTCTGGTTCAGAAGGCAGATCTTTGCATTGGGGGAGATGATGATCTTAACAGTGGTCACTATAAGGGAGCTCAACATGAAATGACAGTGTTTAGAGTCAGGGCGTGGAGGAATTGGAATTACTTGGAAATCTGGGAAATCAGCATCAGAAAAGTCCTTCAGCTGTTAGAGCTGGAAGAGGAGATCTATCCTCTTAGACCAATATTTTATAGGCACAAAAACCCTTAACAGATTATCAACAATTGGAATTAAGCAATATTTAAAAAGGGATCATATATCATGATCAACTGGGGTTTATCCCAGGAATGCAAGCCTGTTTCAACATTTTAAAATCAGTGTAATTCCAGGAACAGAAAATCAAACACCGCATGTTCTCACTCATAAGTGGGAGTTGAACAATGAGAACATATGGGCACAGGGAGGGGAACATCACACACTGGGACCTGTGGGGGGTGGTGGGGGGCAAGGGGAGGGATAGCATTAGGAGAAATACCTAATGTAGACGACGGGTTGATGGGTGCAGCAAACCACCATGGGACATGTATACCTATGTAATAAACCTGCACTTCTGCACGTGTATCCCAGAACTTAAAGTATAATAAAAATAAAAATAAAAATCAGTATAATTCACTGTATCAACAGACTAAACAGGAGACAAAATATGAGCTTATTTAACATAAACAGAAAAAGCATTTGACAAAATTTATGAGGAAAACCTCACAGGAAGATGGGATAGAAAAGAACTTCCTCAATTTAATAAATGGCATCTAGCATCATATTTAATGATCACAGATCAAATAAGTAAAAAACAGAAAACCATAAAGAACATCAATGATACCAAAAGAAGTTTCTGTAAAAAGGCCAATAAATTAATAGTAAAACAAAACAATTGTTTGCTTGCCCTAAAATATTAAGAAAATAGTTTTTAATGCATGCAATGTGATTGAATATGCTCCGTAATTTTTGAAAATTTGGCTTAACACTTTTTGACATGGGATCCAAAGGTTTTGCTATAAGGTGAGTTTTATCTATACTATATTTTAGTGGCCATAACTGAAAAGGACGCTTTACAAAACACATGAATATACACCCGCCTGGGAGAAATACACATGAATTTGCTTAGTTGAGCATAATACTTATGTTTTTCAATTGTATTCACCTGTTATAAATTTGTTAAAATTTTGATAGTAATTTTCTTGCAAACTGAGAAGTATTTCATTTCCATATTTTCAGCAAATAAGAAAACACCAAAATTTTTTTACTTGGAAAAATTTTAAACAGGTTTGAAGATTGTTTTTAAGTTTAGAAATACATGTTTTTACAGGTGACATATTTTATCATTTTGAACTTTAAAGTCACATAATGATGGACAAGATTCCAAATGACTGTTTTCAAAACATGCTTTTGACAATGTAAGTTTCTTTTGAGAAGTAGTTACTTTCTCACTCATGGTTAAAAACCTTGAAGCCACATAGTAAATGTGTGCTTTCTTTTTCTTTTTTCAAAAGTATCTACTAACAGTGATTTCTTGTCACTGGAAAGATCAGCACACTTGAACAGTTGTCTGTTTTGTTTTAAAAAAAGTAACATCCTAAGTTTAATGATTCTTATAAGAAATTTACACAAAGATAGACTGTCTTTGTTATTAATTATTTTCATGGTCATCTCCTATCTCATTATGAAGTATTTAAGATACTTTAATTCATAAATTATTAGTTTAGCAGCCCTGGATCAAATCATGAGTTTCACTTTTGGCTGTCTCAGTCCTGTAACTATCAGGGATATATTTTTTTCAGAATTATCATAAAATATCCCTGTAGCAGGCTATCCTCAGAGGCAACATTCATTCATTCTTACTGGTTAATTTATCTAATGCTATCTCACAATTCTTGAATTCCTCACCCTTCTATTATTCGATGGCAAAAACTATGCAGTTACCTAAAGCAAGGGTTGGCAAACTTTTTCTGTAAATGGCCAGATAATAAACATTTGAGGCTTTGCAGGTCATAAGGTTTCTGGTACAACTACTCAACTCTGCTGTTGTAGCATGAAAGCAGTCATAGACAATACTGAAAGAATGGTCATGGCTATGTCCCCCCCAAAAAGCTCTATTTACAAAAGCAGGCAACAGGATAGGTGGAGTGTAGTTTGCTGATCCTGGCCATAAAGCTTTCTAGAACCTCAGAAGTTTCTAGATCCTAATAACCAGAGGCAGTAATGTAATTGTCTGATGCTAGTTTCCCATCTTGGAATATAAATGAGAGTTTCACCACCTCTTGCTCCAGTATAGCCAGGTAAACAGTGCCAAATGACCCAGTTTTCTGAAAGATCTGTTGCTTGTAACCACCTTCATGGTACAAATTTTAGAATACCTAGGGTTTCCAGTTCAGAATCACCTAGAGTTTTTGTAAATAACAGAATCTGACCCAGGCTAGCTAAAGCAAAAGGGAATTTATGGGAAGGATGTTGTGTGCCTCACAGGTCAGCTCATTTTTAAGCAGAGGGCAATTATCCTAGACCATCTTCCTATTCCACTTGATATCAGACTAGCTCATTGTACAAAATAACATCATGCTGAAATGACCGGTAGAGCAGGAAGTTGCAAGTACACTATGTCCTTGGTCACATAAATGAATGCTGGGGGATAGAAATGCCATGAAATATAGGAGCCTGATACCTCAGGGGTGTTTCTGGGGGTCCGTTATTCTGAGGCATGCAGAAATATGTGCTTCAAAATGAAGGACATGTTGCTATTCCTTTCGTGCCTTTCCAGCAAGAACAAGGCTTGGTGGGCCTTTCTGGATGATAATGACAAGAAGGCACAGTTGAGTGCCTTGTTTCAATCACACTGTCCAATGATCACAATGCTGCTATCTCTCAATGGAACTGAGAGCAAAAGAAGACTCTCTAGTAAGTTCAGGCTGAGGTGAGGTAGTGTGTGAATTGTCCCTTATGACACAATAAATCCAAGGGTGCTTGGAGATCCTGAGGAAGATTGGGGTGTTGTATGGACTTGCATTAAAACAGGAAATTGAGACAGGGGAACACGTTTTCCTTCTGTGTGTCAGAACATTATAATGTGCATGCATATAGATACCATCATTATGTGGGAACTGAGTCAACATACCAAGTCAGCCCTGATGCTTGTTATAGCTTTCCTCTTTCATCAGTTCAAAGCTCCAGTCCAACAGAACATATAATAAACACACAATAGCTTCAGTATGAAGAGGATCAAGATGAAAGAAAAGTGCCAATATTCTATCTTCCTAAAAGGAAATTTGAATGTGAGAAAGCGAATATGTAATTTAATTTTTAAACTGATTCTAAGTAAAGATATTGAGAGGAATGACTCCCTAAACTAGGAATGAGGAACTTATTCTAATGTGACCATCGACTCTAAGTTGTTTGCATGTTCAATGTGTTTCCTTCTCTATTAAAAAACAAAACAAAAAAATCAATGAATACTACTAACTTCCAGCCACAGGGAACTGAGAATCATGACTGATGTAACAACTATCAAGTACCATGCAATCCAGTTTTGAATATAAATGGCAAATATTAGATCAATAATTCCATGAAACC